>NC_000011.10:25060000-26310000 GCF_000001405.40 Homo sapiens | reverse complement strand
ACTTTCTTAAATGGTGCAAATGTTTTTGTATGTGAGCTCTTGTATGAGACATTTATAAGTAAATGCGTTTTTATTAGAAGCTTAGGATAAAAATAAATTACATATGTGAATATGCTTTGCAAAGTGCATGATGAGCTAAATGTCACATATGGTAATTATTAACATGAGACTAAATTTGCGTTAAATTTTCACCCCCCCTGTAAAGACTCTGGAGTTGCTACCACATTATATTGAAGAACAGAGTTGGTGGGAGCTCTTGAAACACCATCCCCAAGACTCACCTTCATTATATTTGCCTTTGGCAGCCCACACACTCTTCTCAAGCTCACGATGAGAAAAGCACAACTTTTGCAGACCTGTGAGAGAGAACAAAAGAGAAAAATAAAAATTGCTCAGAAACTCAGTAGACCAGAAAGAGAGTAGAAAATTATCATGGAAAAGAAGAGCTTTTCATGTTGACTATAGCTGCAGTATAACTACTATCTGATATAGGCCAAATTAGTTCTGAAGAAGTGTGTAGGAAGATACAATTTTCAGTAAATTGCATTAGAAACTAAGCAGGTGGGTAGGTTCTATTCACTGTTATGCAAGCTGATTTAGCTGTCATCTTTGAAACAGCTTAGAATGGACAGATTTTCCAATTACATTTTCCTAGGGTGGGTAACACACTCTTCTAATATTCTGCACCCCCAAACTCGGAGGCTGTACCTTTTCCTTTGCTCACTCTGATCTTTTTCATAGGCATGCTAAATCACCGGAATTATTGAGCATAACCTATCCTTTCTAACCTCTGCTCAGCCTGTTGTCTGTGTCTAGAATGCCTTCTTTATCTAACAAGTCAATGGAAAGTCTACTCTTATGATTCAACTCTTAGAAAGACAACTTTTTAAGTGACACCTCCACTTAGGAACAATCATTCCTATTAAAAAAGCTTTTCTATGGAAATGTGTGCAATCCTGAAATGTTACCTAGTAAAATGCAGTGGAGACTACATTCCCATCACTCTAACTATATGAACTTAGGGAGATTAAAAACTCTGACCTCAGTTTTTCTTTCTCCTGCAAAATAGAAATAATAATAAGAACTACCTTGAAATGCTGTAAAAATAAAAATGTGCATAGGCTGTTTAGCTTTTGTGCATGCTAAATCCCTGGGATAGATCCTGGTTCATAGTAAGTATTCAGCAAGTGGTAGCAATCAACAACTTTTTCTGCCCATAATTATAGTAATTCCTTTATTTCTCTGCCTCCCTCATTAGACAATCAGTTCCTTAACGGTGGATACCATATCTTTGAATTCATTTCTGTATTCTTTTCCCTGTTCCCAAATGTTTGACAAAGTACCTTGTATTTAACAAGGTTTTGTTTTCATTTTAATATAAGTTGCCTAAGCTTATTCAATTGATACATGATATATTTAACCTCACTTTTTAAGTAGCCTGCCAATTGAATAAAATTAGTTTTATGTAATAACAGAAAAAAAATTCTGTAAAATATCTGCTTAAATACTTTTATAAGAGTATAAACTTGCTTGCCAGATAAATGAATAATGATGTGCAGTCTACTTCATTTATAATAGTAGAGTGTATTTTATAATGGTTGAGTGAATTCTGTACTAAATTGTATGAAATCCCCTTAAATATAAGTTTATGGAATGTAAACTGAAAGGAACCTTGAGGACGATCTAATCCAATCCTTATTTCACAGATAAGCAAACTGAGACCCAGTATGTGTAAGGGAATTATTAGGAGATGTGCATCTTGGAAGTCACAGAGAGAAAACTTGAATCCAGGTCTCTTCATTGTTTTTTCTTGTCTAACACTTTTGTGTCTTTGCAGAAAGATATTTAGATTTGCCAAT
The DNA here is from genome assembly GCF_000001405.40 of Homo sapiens. Lineage (NCBI taxonomy): Eukaryota > Metazoa > Chordata > Mammalia > Primates > Hominidae > Homo > Homo sapiens. The sequence goes on along the minus strand of NC_000011.10, from coordinate 26,308,141 downwards.
TGTGCCATCAACATGATAAAACAGATAAAATGATTTTGAGGAGACTAAGACCAGATGTTCAGAAAAGCCATAATAAATTTGAACTAAATATCTTCAGTTAAAGATGGAAAGCAAGCTGAACTCCAAAAGTAGAAGGATTTGGGTAGACCAAGGAAATTACAAGGTAACTTCAGGTGTGAGAAATAATGAGTGAAGTGTAAAATCAGAATAGACAAAGACTTTGTGAGATGAAGGAGAGGAAAATGGGGTTAGAGAAGCCTGTTCACAGAACCCTAGGCAGATGCAGAAAAGGCATAATTATAAGAAAGCTGAAAACACGTAGTGCAATTCAATCATGTGATGGTGAACAAAACTAAATAATTTTGTCTTTTTCATTAAATTGTTATTATTATTATTATTATTATTATTATTATTATTATTTAGAGACGGAGTTTCGCTCTTGTTGCCCAGGCTACAGTGCAGTGATGACATCTCTGCTCACTGCGACCTCCACCTCCTGGATTCAAGTGATTCTCCTGCCTCAGCCTCCTGAGTAGCTGGGACTACAGGCATGTGCCACCATGTCTGGCTAATTTTTGCAGTTTTAGTAGAGACATTTAAATTTTTAGTAGAGACATTTCACCATATTGGCCAGGCTGGTCTCGAACTCCTGACCTTAGGTGATCGGCCTGCCTCAGCCTCCCAAAGTGCTGGGATTACAGGCGTGAGCCACGGCACCCAGCCCCTCATTAAATTATTAACTACATCTGGAGGACATTAAAAAAGAGACCCTTTACTTATTTATTTTGAGACAGAGTTTTGCTCTTGTTGCCCAGGCTGGAGTGCAATGACGCAATCTTAGCTTACTGCAACCTCCGTCTCCTGGGTTGAAGCGATTCTCCTGCCTCATCTTCCCAAGTAGCTGGGACTAGAGATATGTGCCACCACGACTGGCTAATTTTTGTATTTTTAGTAGAGGCGGGGTTTTACTATGTTGGCTAGGCTGGTCTCAAACTCCTGACCTCGTGATCCGCCTGCCTCGGCCTCCCAAAGTGCTGGGATTACAGGCATGAGTCACCATACCCAGCCAACCCTATTTATTAAAAGTACATTTTGGGAAAATTAATCTAACATTTATGTGTAGAAGATTGTAAAAAAAAAAGTCATAGTTTAAGGCCCCATAGATTATATGGGAATTTTAAAAAGTAGACTGAAGCTTCAATAAAGGTTGTGGCATTGTAAATAGAATATATGGGTAACATTACAAAAGAAACCTCAAATTACCCAGTTGGCTAGAAAGTAAAGAATAGAGACAGAGATAGAAGGAGATCATATTTCATAATATTTCATACTTAGGAGACCTCACACATGTTTTCCATTGACAAAGTTAGGAATGCAGGGAAGAAGGTCATGCTGGTATGAGATGTGATAGCCCCATTCCAGACTACTGATTTTGGGGGCAATTCCGGTTTTTAAAAAATATGTTTTCTTTTTTTTTAGAGACAGGATCTCACTCTGTCATCCAGGCTGGAGTGTGGTGGCACAATCAGGGCTCACTGCAGCCTTGACCTCCAAGGCTTCAGTGATCCTCCCACCTCAGCCTCCCAAGTAGCTGGGACCACAGGTGCACACCACTGCACCTGGCTAATTTTTTATTTTTTGTAGAGACGAGGTCTCCCTATATTGCCCAGGCTGGTCAGCCTCCCAAAGTGCTGAGATTATAAGTGTGAACCACCATACCTGTCCTTGAGTTTGGGACAATTCTATCCATGCATTCGGGAGCCTTGGAGAGAGGTAAGGTTAGGAGATACAGATTGGGATATTATGCAAAGGTGAAGGCTGAATCTATATAAGGATTAAGTTCTTGAAAGACAAGAATAGGAAGAATAGGCCGGGAGCGGTGGCTCACGCCTATAATCCCAGCACTTTGGGAGGCCGAGGCGGGCTGATCACGAGGTCAGGAGATCGAGACCATCCTGGCTAACACGGTGAAACCCCGTCTCTACCAAAAATACAAAAAAAAAAAAAAAAAAAAAATTATCCGGGCTTGGTGGCGGGCGCCTGTAGTCCCAGCTACTCTGGAGGCTGAGGCAGGAGAATGGCGTGAACCTGGGAGGCGGAGCTTGCAGTGAGCCGAGATCGCGCCACTGCACTCCAGCCTGGGCGACAGCGAGAAGCGAGACTCTGTCTTAAGAAGAATAGGAAGAATAAAGTGCAGGGAGGAAGACAAATTCTTAGCCCACACCTACAGCTGGTTGGCAGAATATAAAAGAGAAACCAATAAACCAGTGAAGAGCTATCAATGGAGTATTTGAAACAAAATATATTTTCAACTCCATAATGAGCGAGCCCTACATACTAAATGCAGTTGAGGAGCATGTTTACTGGGTATAACTATATCAATTTCAAAATGCTAGTTTCCATATCAGGATTTATATCTGGCCAAATGATTCAACTCTTGTATGAAAAAATAAATATAATTTAATGAAGAACTCTGAAAGTAGTTATGTAAGATTAGTTCATCTTTAGAAACATAAAAGTGAATTGAAATATTTCATTAAAATATTGGTTTCTGAGAAAAAGTCTCTGCAGACTACTTGTTGAATATCACTTATCAAATTTGCTATTCCTCTGAAAACCCTCTTTTATCAGGATTTATGAATAAGACAAACATTAGGTCTCTCTTCTGTCTCGGTGGAAAAACCCCATGCTAATCCGATTAAAGTTCCTTAAATAAGTTAACAGATCTGGGTGCCAATATCATCAAAGGAGCTACATGTCATCTTGAATGAGTTTTGGGAAGGAAGGCCAGCCAATGTCAGAAGTTGTTTGAATGAAAAGCTGAGACTTTTCAAAGTTGCCTTTAATCATACGCTGACTCAATAAATAAAGACATCTAAACCAGATTGAATCATGCATTATCAATGCTGAAAGACAACCTACAATAAAATGTCTTTATTAGAACCAAAGTTGTTTATGTGGAATATTACTTTTTTTTTTTTTTTGCCTTGTAGGGAGCTAATGAATCGGTTTGGAATAAAAGTAATTCATAAACATCTAATTGGATAACTGTGAAGAGTTCACTTTTTCTTAATTTCTATCTCTGTAAAATGAGAAGATCGAACTGGACCCTTTTCTTTTTTTTAAAAAAAAGCAGTTTTCAAGTCCTTTAATTGGGATAATAATATGTTTATTATCAAATCTTCTTCAACCTGACCTTTCACAAAGTCATAATGCAGATAATAACATGAGTGACCAGTCTTGGTTGGAGAGCAATTTGGTAGAAATTTAAAAACTTAAAATACATATTCACTCTAACTCAGTAATCTCACTTCTGGGAATCTCTCTTTTCGGTATACATGCACAAAGCCAGAAAGATGGATTAACTGATGTTTGTTGCCATACTATGTGTAACATTGAAAAATTGAACACAAATCCTAAGAAAACTTGTATAACATAATTTTACAATCTTATGGAGCTAGTAAAAAATGAGGTGGTTCTATATGTACTGATATGGTGAAATATTATTATATATCCTTAAGTGAAAAAATAAGTTATCAAATGGCTGTACTATGACTTATTTGCAATCTCCCCTATTGTATTTATTTATCTATATTAGATAAATGGGAAAGAATAAGAAGGGATACATACATTAAACTGTAACTGTGGTTACCTGTGTACAGTGTCTTTGGGAGGTAATTTTTAAAAAAAGTTAAATAAGTGTTTGCAATTTGAGAAAATGGCCTTTAAATAATAAATAACATGAATTTAGTGGGTAAAAAGGCAATTAGTACTCCTCACTAGGTCCTAGTTATATTACATATAAATCCTTAATGCTTTTAAAGCATTATGTAGAGGACAATCTACATTTGCCATTGCTATAGGTACTCAACATACTATTTAAAGAGTAATAAGTTGAAGTCACTGAAAAAAGCCTAAATAAAAAGCTTCCTCTATTTCAAATGAAAATTGTAAATATGAAAATATTAAATTATGTACATATGAAAAATATTAATCCTTAGTAGTAATCGAAGAAAATGAATCAAAACAAGAATATAATACCATTCAATCAACATATTATAAAAGCCAAAGTGAATATTATTTGATATTACTTAAGATTTGATCACAAGAAACTTAAAAAAATAATTTTGGCCGTGCACGATGGCTCACGCCTGTAATCCTAGCACTTTGGGAGGCTGAGGCAGGTGGATCACGAGGTCAAGAGATCGAGACCCGCCAAAGTGGTGAAACCCCTACTCTACTAAAAATACAAAAATTAGCCAGGTATGGTGGCAGGCACCTGTAGTCTCAGCTACTTGGGAGGCTGAGGCAGGAGAATCACTTGAACCTGGGAGGCAGAGTTTGCAGTGAGCCGAGATCATGCCACTGCACTCCAGCCTGGGTGACAGTGCTAGACTCCATCTAAAAATAAATAAAATAATAACAATAATAATTTCAACTTTTATTTTAGATTCAAGTGGTACATTTGTAGGTTTGTTACATGGGTATATTGCATGATGCTGAGGTTTGGGATATGGATGATCCCATCAGCTAGGTAGTGAGCATAGTACTCAATAGGCAGTTTTTCAGTCCATGCGTTCCTTCCTCCGTCTCCCTCTTAATAGTCCCCAGTGTCTATTGTTTCCATCTTTGTGTCCATATGTACTTGATACTTAGCTCCCATTCATAAATGAGAACACAAAGTACTTGGTTTTCTGTTCCTGCATTAGTTCGCTCAGGATAATGGCCTCCAGTTGCATCTTTGTTGCTGCGAAGGGCATAATTTCATTCATTTTATGGCTGTGTAGTATTGTATGGTGTATATATACCACATTTTTTTTTTAAATCAGTCCACCATTGAAAGACACCTAGGTTGATCTCATGTCATTTCCATTGTCAATAGCGCTGTGATGAACATACAACTGCATGCATCTTTTTGGCAGAACGATTTATTTTCCTTTGGCTATATGCCCAGTAATGGGATAGCTGGGTCAAATGGTGGTTCTGTTTTCAGTTCTTCGAGAAATCTCCAAACTGTTTTCCACAGTGGCTGAACTAATTGACATTTCCACCAACAGTGTATAAGTGTTCCCTTTTATCTGAAGCCTCACTAGCATTTGTTATTGTTTTACTTTTTAATTATAACCATTCTGATTGATGCAAGATGGCATTTCATTGTGGTTTTGATTTGCATTTCTCTGATGATTAGTGATGTTGAGGATTTTTTCATATGTTTGTTGGCTACTTTTAAAAAATGTCTATTCATTTCCTTTGCCCATTATTAATAGGGTTATTTGTTTTTTGCTTGTTGGTTTAAGTTACTAGGAAATTTTATATATTACTGGTGCTAATAGTTTTTGCGTGATAGCATCATAATTTCTAAACACATATATATGTCCATACAAAAGCTGAAAATATATTACAGAATATTAAAAGTGCTGATTTTCAAATAATAAGATATAAGGCATGTTATTTCTTTCTCTGTGTACTTTCAACACATCCCAGTATTTATGCATTTGTACTTTGTTATTTATATTTTTTCTATAATGGTAAATATATAAATAGTTTGAAAGTAATATTTGTTTAAGGCCGTTAGTTTATTCACTGAAATAATCGGAGGCATTCTTTTGACTTCTGTCATTTTTCCTTTTTATTATCATTATTATTTTGAGACAGAGTCTCACTCTGTTGCCAGGCTGAAGTGCAGTGGCGCCATCTCACCTCACTGCAACCACTGCCTCCCAGGTTCAAGCGATTCTCCTGCCTCAGCCTCCTGAGTAACTGGCATTACAGGCGTGCGTCACCATGCCCAGCTATTTTTTGTATTTTTAGTAAAGACGGGGTTTCACCGTGTTGGCCAGAATATTCTCAATCTCTTGACCTCGTGATCCACCTGCCTCGGCCTCCCAAAGTGCTGGGATTACAGTCGTGAGCCACCGCACCTGGCCATCATTTTTCTTAAATAAACTCTCATACACTAACCACTTTTTATGAATTAGCTATTCTCCTCACTTCTCCAAAGAACCAGATAAAATTCAGTTTATGTATAAGAAATTATATGAGACAGACAGCACATGATGACTGGAAGACTGGCTGAATCTTGGCAGTTACCTTCACAGTCTCTGCCTAGTACCTTGTAGCTTAGCAGGGCTGAATCACCAGTCTCTCCCCTACTTTTCGATTTGGGATATTAATAACTTTCTATCATTTTTACCATAAATGCTCTTCTAAAACATGCAGGCCTATCTATGTGATGGGGCTTAGAAATGAGTTGATAATGTAAAGGTCTATCTCACTCTCACTTTGAGCCTCCTTGTCTTTTGAGATGACATCAATGGGGGCAGGGATAAAACAGTCTGTTCTATAAGGTAATTGAAGGTTTTTGTAACAATAGGGATGGAAGAAATAAAACATTTTATCATAGAAGGCATTTAAGGGTTTTTGCAACTGTAGGTATGTAAGAATCTTTTACCTGAACTTAACATTCATTTTTCATTCTCTGTCTCTCTTCTTCCTTCCCTATCTCTCAATCCCTCCACTCCCCTACATAACATAATGTGTTTATAGAATGACAGAAGTGGAAGAAATACTAGATCTTCCATTCTACTTTTAGGAATTGTAATCCTTGGAGCACTTGAATTATGTGTAGCTGCATCAAAGAAACCTAAAACAGTACAAAGGTGTTCAGTGAGTGGCCAACTGGATGCACCAGCCCTTGTTTAAATAAAAGTACTTCAGTTTCATTTATGCTGCTATTTTAAAATTATTTTAACTGCATATCTAGTCTATTTTTTCTCATTTAATAAGCTAAGAAACTACAGACTCAGAAAGCTCAATTACCTAACCAAGGCTATAAATAGGCAATGTCAGAATTAGGACAACAATTCAGGTATTTGGTTTTTAAATTCCAAATTGAAATTAGAAATCCAATGACAGTGGTAACAATCTGTCATTCTGGGATTGCCATAGTTTATTAAATACATTATGAAGAGGCAATTAAGAAAGTAAAGAGGCTGGGCGTGGTGGCTCACACTTGTAATCCCAGCACTTTGGGAGGCCGAGGCAGGTGGATCTCGAGGTCAGGAGTTCAAGACCAACCTGGCCAACATGGTGAAACCCCATCTCTACTAAAAATACAAAAATTAGCTGGGAGTGGTGGTGGGCACCTGTAATCCCAACTACTTGGGAGGCTGAGGCAGGAGAATCGCTTGAGCCCAGGAGGCAGAGGTGGCAGTGAGTGGAAATTGCACCACTGCACTTCAGCCTGGGCAACAGAGTGAGACTCCACCTCAAAAAAAAAAAAAAAAGAAAAAAAAGAAAGAAATAAATAAAGTAAAGAAGTACCCAGGCAACAGTAGTGACATTATCCTAACAAGAATATGAGCGATATTATGCAAGGTTATGTTATTTTGCTTCAACTGAGTTACTGAATATATAAGATAATTTATGTTGAGCATCTGCTAAACATTAGCATATAATTTTTCTATACACCTGTTCCACAGACACATATCTATAAGGGAAACTTCTAGAAGTTTGTTCCTATGTGACTGCCAAAATCTGGGCCAATCCTTTTTATCTGGTCCTTAGTCTCCCCATCTATAATGAGGAGAATGAAACTGATCTCTAAAATAATTTTCAATTCTTACATACTTGGTTATTTAGTTGGTGTGTCTCGATTCTTCTCCAGCCTCACTAACTCTCCTTTTCAGCCTCCTTTGTCATTCCTCTTTTTCTTAACCTTTTAACTTTGCAAATGCTATAAAATGGGGGGCAAATGTCGAGAGAGAGAGAGAGGGAGAGCAAATGAGAGAGAGAGATGGAGCCAAAAGGAAAACAAAAATTGCATAGGAAAGATGTAAAACAACTTGCTTTTAAAAGTAAGGTGTGTATGTGTGTGTGTGTCTGTTTGGTGTCTCTGTGTATGCGTGTGTCTGTGTGTGTGTGTCTGTGTGTGTGTGCGTGCGTGCTTGCATGGGCATCGCACTTCCTCCATACTCATACCTATGCAATTAAACCATAAATGAAGGAAAAAACATGCCAGCATACAGACTGGTCTTCCTCAAATTCCTGATAATAACCCCACATGAGGGCTTAATGGTGCCCAGCAGTCAAAATATTTTTCCCAGGTCCAGCTATTCTCCCACTCTCCTAGAAGACTACTTCATACTTTATTCCCTCATTTCAAACCCTGTCTTCCAACACCTCCTCCCTATATCTCACTCTTAGCTGATAATTTTGCTTCCTATTTCACTGAGAAGACTGAAGCAATGTGAAGAAAACTTCCACAGCTCCCACCCACTTATTGGCAATTGTATACTCATATATTCTGCCTTCCTGACTGATAGTCTAGATAAACGAACTGTATTCCAACAAAGGCCATCTCTTCCACATATGGAGTAGTTTCTATCCCTCACTCCTACTTCAGGACAGCAGCCCAATAATTTCCCATACATGCTCTCTCCCTACAGAGTCAAGTCCAGTCCCTGCACCCCCTGCCATTCTAGTTGATAATTATCATCACCATACAAGCATGCCAGTCTCCGCCTCCCCACTCTAGTTGACATTTATCATCACTATACAAATAGGTCTTCTAATCCCTAAAAAGAATAGGAAAAAAAAAAGGCAATCTCTCTTGACTCTAGTTTTCCTGGTGGCTTCTTCTCAACTTATTTGTTGCCTTTTGCTCCACTAGTCCACAAAAGCAGATAAAGTTAGAACCAAAACTTACTATTTCTAATTCATTTTTCAAAAATCCTCTACAGTATTTATTTATTTTCCTCTTATCACTTCACTAAGACTGTCAAAGTTACCAATGACCTCTTCTTCACCAAAGTGAATTCTTAACCTTCAGCTTCTTTGATATATTAGGGGCATGCTATATAATTAATCACACTTTCCTCCTTGATAAACTTCCCCCACTTAGCTTTCAGAATACCACAGTGTCTTGATTCTTCTCCAGCCTCACTAACTCTCCTTTTCAGCCTCCTTTGTCATTCCTCTTTTTCTTAACCTTTTAACTTTGCAAAACCCCAGAAACCTCAAACCTTAGACTCTTCTCTTTATTTCTTATGCCTGGTAATTTCATCCTGTCTCATGGTTTTATACATCTTCTGTAGAACGATACTTCCTAAACGTACATCTCCAGTCCAGATCTCTTTTTCTAACTCCAGGTTTTTAGACCACATGTATGTCTTCTTCACATTTCCATTGGTCTGAAAGAATCAAGTCCAAACTCGACATTCCCAAATGATCTCTCTGATCTTGGCTCCCAGACTGTATTCAGTCATTATTTTGTCATTTCAGTCGATGGAGAAAAGCTTGGGGCCAAAAATCTTGACTCTTCTATCTCACAACACTCATTCATTCTACTTTCAAGTATGTCCGAAATCTAACCATGACTTCTCCCCATCTCCACTGCCACCATCTATTGTACATCTCCTAAATGATTTTGGTCTTGCCACCGTCTCCATTGCCCAAAATGATAGTAGATTTAGGTTTGGAAACGAGTAGACATGAGCTAGGTGATATTAAAGTGAAATTCAGCTAATACAACTCCTTTGTTTAAAACCTTTCATTCAATGAAGCCCCACTTTACTCAGAGTAAAAGGTTAATTACTCAGAATAATTATTTGAAAACGAGCTCTACAAGGCCTGAAATAACCTTGCTTGGCATTGCAAATATTGAAAACACAAGTCTTTCAGTGAACAGTTATTCCATACCCCTCATATTTCCATGTGTAGGGACTTCTGTTGTGGAAAAAAATCTAGTTTATATATGATTTGTTAGCTTAAAATATACAGGAAAAATTGGTTCAGCAATTTCTTTTTTCCTTTCCATTTTGGCCTGTTTTCTCTCTCCTATCACCTGGTATGTGGTCCATCCCTTTGTGGGTGCCCTGGGATCTGCTAGTTGTGCCAGTTACTGGGTGGGTAGCTATTAGATTGAGAATGAGGGAAGGAATTTGGGCAAGCTCCTTTGGCTACATATCTAAGTCCTATTTTCCAGCTTACATCAATTCACAATTGACATTTTGATCTCTGTCTTGTAGTCTCTAGTATTCTATTTCTCAAATATTTTCTGAGAATCCAGGCAGAGAAGAGAAAAATGTTATCTACTGATTCTGCTGAAATCCCAACATGTTCAAGGATTGAGATACTAGTTTCTATGCTCCTCATTTTTGCAGGCACCACCTGCAGTTAGGAAGGAGGGTATAGTGGAAAGAATGGGGCTGTGGTGTCAGGTGGTCTTGGCTTCTCACATCAGATTTGTTACTTACTGATTATGTCACCCAGAGTCGAGTTATTTAACTTCCTCAGCCTCCTTTCCCTGATATAAACAACGGCATGAATAATGACTGCCTCATTGCATTGTTGTGGTGTTAAAAGAAATGATACACATGGAGTTCTTGGAAGGAAACTTGGTACAGATGGGTACTCAGAATTATTGCCTTTCCCTTTGTAGTAGTAACCCTCTGAATGAATGATTGAAATCAAGAGAAAAAGTTGTTTACAAACTATACAAGTTGAGTTGTAGGAAGAGCATTTTGGGGAAAATGACCAGTCTTTTATTTTGAAGGGAGAACAAAATGAATTATCATCTTGGAAAACTAAAGGAAACTAATGTCAATAAAAGGGCACCAGTAAATCTGTCTGAAATGTCTACATTAGCTAATGTGGGTGGATTAAGAGGACCCTTGATTCATTCAGCCCACTGCCTGTGTTCCGCATAATTACAAGTGCTTATGGCTTATGCAAGAATGTTGTTGATCATTGTATGACAGGCCCACAAGTGTTTGTCTGTGTTAGAACAGCGACACTCACTGGTTATTTGTGATACTGACAGAAATGCTCACTAATAAAGTGAAATTTAAAATGATCCTCATAAATATCAACAAGACAAAAAAGGGATAAAAAAAAGAAACACAGATATACTGGAGGGTAAAAAGAAATTCACACACACACACACACACACACACACGCAATGGTTGATGCAGCTTGGGATGTTCAGCCAGAAGAAGAAAGAACACAATCAGTGATTACTATTTTTAAATTATAGGAAGTAATCTGAAACATTGAATCCTAAAGTATATTATATAAATATTTTGATCAATATAATTTTAAGAGTTATCCAATATGAAATGAGCTATCCTGGGTGTGGCTACCTGTCTCTAGAGGTACTCAAGTGTATTTTTAATAATGATTGACTGGAGTACCCTAGAGAAGATTCATATATAACATTAGGAATTCTGGATGATATCTAGAAGTGTTTCAGCTTCAAGTTCCTGATACTCAAAGGCTCAGACCAAAGTCACATTTACGTGGCTTGGAAGCTAATCATATTTTTCATAGTAAAAGCTGTCTCCTTCGCTGATATATTAAGAAAACATTTTCTTAATTGTTAAGGCCCTACTGGCTGTGGAAAGGTGAGTGCTTTTCAAATCAGTGTCTGTTATTCATCAATGATAATTACTCACTGCAGTGAGATATAATAGAAGTATCTCCCATGTCTCACCTGTTGGATGATTTTATGTCACCCAACACAAGATAGTAAGAATGATTGACCCCCTTTTTTCCTAACCCCTAACCTCAGTAAAATATTCAAGTCTCATGGTAAAACTAATCTCAGATTCAAGGAGGAAATCAATCTGTGTGAGTAACCAGTAGGACACTACCCAGAAGTCATATTATATTTTCTCTCCCTCATAGGCTGGTAAAAGAGAGACATGATCTGAGTGTCAACAAGTTAGATATGCTGCTTTATTCATAATCCCCCAAAGCATGGAAGAGAGGGTCAATTAATCTGGGGCCAGGATAAGCCGGAGCATCTCTTGTAGATGTTTTGTCATTTCTTATTTTAGAGATGTTTAAATTTGGAGATTGATAAAAAACTGCCAACTTGCCTAAGGCAGTAGGGTTTTAATAAACTCATTTATATAATGAGAGCTCATTTTCCTTAGGTAGCAAGAACATTTTCATATATAAATCAGTGCACATAAGATCAATTGCCAACACAAGAGAAAATGCAACCTTACTGTCCACTGCCAATTTACTACTGAGAATAATAAACCACTTTGTTTTCATTTCTTTATTTTGAAAAAGAAACACATATTTGGACAAAAAACAGCAGTGGCAGCAATTATGTTTAAGTTTGCTATTGCAACCATTCCCCTCTTCAGTTAGCATTGGGGTGTTCATATCACAAGAGAATTTTCAGGTTTATGAATAAAAACAGAAACATCTAGAGAGAGGTGGCTCTGTAATTTCAGAGTAGAAAGGAGACATTTCCATGAAGAACATAAAAAGGGTGACAACATAGGTGGGAACGGAGCATGGGAGGAATTTGGCTCAAACTGTTAGGCTCTGTTTTCTTAGATTTATTTCCAAACGATAGCATCTGCAAGAACAAAACCCAGAAATATATTTAAAAACGTCTTTAAAATTTTTAATCTGATTTGACAACTGATGGAGATATGAGGTGCTCTATTTCACATCTGAACTTTTCTAGAAATACATAATTTTAAAATCAATTTAAAAAATTAATAACTTTTTTGGCTACTTGATAGCTTTAAGTATTACAAAATATTATTTAATGTTTTCAATTAGGTTTACTGCTATCTATTAATTTTTTTTTTTTTTTTTTTTTTTTTGAGACAGAGTCTCACTCTATCGCCCAGGCTGGGCGCTATCTCAGCTCACTGCAAGCTCCGCCTCCCGGGTTCACGCCATTCTTCTGCCTCAGCCTCCGGAGTAGCTGGGACTATAGGCGCCCGCCACTAAGCCCGGCTAATTTTTTTTTATTTTTATTTTTAGTAGAGACGGGGTTTTACCGTGTTAGCCAGGATGGTCTCGATCTCCTGACTCAAATGATTTTTGATGTTGCTAAAGGGAAAACAAAGACCTTATTATCATAAGAGGGTTATAAAATAATGTGTTAGAAAATGACTCAACTGAGGCAGGCGCGGTGGCTCACACCTGTAATCCAGCCCTCTAGGAGGCCGAGGCGGGTGGATCACGAGGTCAGGAGATTGAGACCATCCTGTCCAACATGGTGAAACCCCATCTCTACTAAAATACAAAACAACAACAACAACAACAAATTACCCTGGCACGTGGGTGCACGCCTATAGTCCCAGTTACTCAGGAGGCTGAGGCAGGGGAATCGCTTGAATTCAGGAGGCGGAGGTTGCAGTGAGCAGAGATCATGCCACTGCACTCCAGCCTGGCAAGGGAGAAAGACTCCGTCTCAAAAATAAATAAATAAATAAATACATTTAAAAAAAGAAGAAAAAAAAGGAAAATGACCCAGCTGAAAGCCTGTCACTTGGTGACATCTACATTCATTGCCGCAGATATGTTGATGTCTGTTAAAGATATGCCAAAGAAAAAGAAAGGCATAAGATTTTTTCGATGTGTTTTTAAAGTTTCAAAGAAGAATGATAAAAATCAAACTAGAGTAAGTCACAGGCAGTCTTTCTGAGTGAGGGGCAAAGTCACTGTGTAGGTGATGGAGTCAGAGAACACGATCTGAATCTTGCTTCTGTCAATTTTGTTGCATGACCCTGCAGAAGTTGCTTAATCCTACTGACCCTTGGTTTCTTCACTTGGAGAGCAGTAATGATAATTACAATAATAATAGCAATCATGATATCTAGAATAGTGCTATTGTTCTATATAGGCATTCCACAATGAATATATATTTCAAATCAACATGTAATACATGATAAACATATACAATGTTTATTTTTCAACTCAAAATAAAATTTAAAAAAATAAAGTAAAACAAAACAGCACTATTTTGAAGATCCTGTGATATCATAATATAGAAAGCAGTAGCACAGTGGCTGGTGTGGATAAACACTAAAATACACAGAGGCTCCAGAATAGCTCAATGGCTCTCTAACAGTCTTACGGAATTCATGTCGAAAATATGATGACAGTCTTGAGGCAATCATCATATTTTCAGGATAGGTCAGTTTCTGACCCTCAAGAAAAGATTATAGACTATAATTTCCAAATTGTGGACAACAGTCCTTTAAACGTATTTTATTTCCACCGGGCCCACTTTCTACTGTTATTCTTTCAGCTTCCACTGCACATCTCCCTGCAGCTCTCCAAACAGACCATCTTCCTGTGGACTCTTCCACCAAACACGGAGAGACTCTTCCATTGAAGTGCAATCAGAAACATTGGCAATGCAAAAAAGCGACAAAACTATTTAGGTAAATAACACCCAAATCCTAGTTACAACACTTGAGTGTTACTTAATCATTCTAGTGCCAGTTTCTTCACCTATAAATTGCTATTGTAATACTGTACCAATCTGATAAACTTATTACGGAGAATTAATTTAATGAGAAAAGCATATGCAAAGCACAAGGACATGTAAGTAGATGCCCAAGAAAGTTTAATGTCCTTTTTATCCCTGTGGCTCAATTTCTTCATCTGTAAAATGATGGATTTGTGCAGGTGATTTTTAGTCTCTGTTAGTGTGAAATATTCTGTCTCCATATATTTCCATAAAATGATCTTTGCGTTTTAATGGATTTCTTCTACATATGACAAAGCAAAACATGAAAAACAACAGGAATATATATATATATATATATATATATATATATATATATATATACATGGAATTTATAGACCCACTCTAGACTGAAATTGATTCTTTTGAGCATCAAAATTTCCAGAAGCATAGATCTCATTGTTTATCAGTAATGTAAACCTGGATCTAGTTACTGGAAATAACAATTGAGTAAGTTGGGAGAAAAAATGCTCACTAAATGACACTAAATGACAGTGTGAGAGAAAGAATTTCAGAAAAATATTAGCCTCTCTTGTTTTTCTATTTATATATTTTTTCAAAAATTCTTTGAAAACATTGTATTATGTTAATTAGATCCTGTATGCCTTTTTATTTAGGTTTTGCTTATTTTAGGATATGAGGCAGAAACTCACAATAATGTTTTCATCGATGGCCTGTGCCAATTTAGAAGAAAAATTTACCTTTTCAAAACACCTTTTAAAATGGGTATTAAATATATTCATTAGAGGATTTGGATTAAAGTGAAGCTGACCCAAATTTATTGCCTTTAATTTAAAGATATGGGGTGGGTGAAGATGGCCGAATAGGAACAGCTCCAGTCTACAGTTCCCAACATGAGTGACGCAGAAGATGGGTGATTTCTGCATTTCCAACTGAGCTTTGAAGAGAGGAGTGGTTCTCCCAGCACGGAGTTTGAGATCTGAGAACGGACAGACTGCCTCCTCGTGGGTCCCTGACCCATGAGTAGCCTAACTGGGAGACACCTCCCAGTAGGGGCCAACTGACAACTCATACAGCCAGGTGCCCCTCTGAGATGAAGCTTCCAGAGGAAGGATCAGGCAGCAACCTTTGCTGTTGTGCAATATTTGCTGTTCTGCAGCCAGATACCCAGGCAAACTGGGTCTGGAGTGGACCTTCAGCAAACTCCAACAGACCTGCAGCTGAGGGTCCTAACTGTTAGAAGGAAAACTAACAAACAGAAAGGAATTGCATCAACATCAACAAAAAGGACACCCACACCAAAACCTCATCTGTAGGTCACCATCATCAAATACGAAAGGTAGATAAAAACCACAAAGATGGGGAGAAACCAGAGCGGAAAAGCTGAAAATTCTAAAAATCAGAGCACCTCTTCTCCTCCAAAGGATCGCACCTCCTCACCAGCAACTGAGCACAGCTGGATAGAGAATGACTTTGATGAGTTGACAGAAGTGGGCTTCAGAAGATTGGTAATAACAAACTTCTCTGAGCTAAAATAGGATGTTGGAACTCATTACAAAGAAGCTAAAAACCTTGAAAAAAGATTAGATGAATGGCTAACTAGAATAAACAGCATAGAGAAGACCTTAAATGACCTGATGGAGCTGAAAACCATGTCACGAGAACTATGTGATGCATGCACAAGTGTCAGTAACTGATTGGATCAAGTGGAAGAAAGGCTATCAGTGATTGAAGATCAAATGAATGAAATGAAGTGAGAAGAGAAGTTTAGAGAAAAAAGAATAAAAAGAAATGAACAAAGCCTCCAAGAAATATGGGACCATGTGAAAAGACCAAATCCATGTTTGATTGGTGTACCTGAAAGTGACAGGAAGAATGGAACCAAGTTGGAAAACACTCTGCAGGATATTACCCGGGAGAACTTCCCCAACCTAGCAAGGCAGGTCAACATTCAAATTCAGGAAAAATAGAGAACGCCACAAAGATACTCCTCAAGAAGAGCAACCCCAAGACACATAATTGTCAGATTCACCAAGGTTGAAATGAAGGAAAAAATGTTAAAGGCAGCCAGAGAGAAAGGTCGAGTTACCCACAAAGGGAAGCCCATCAGACTAACAGCAGATCTCTCAGCAGAAACTCTACAAGCCAGAAGAGAGTAGGGGCCAATATTCAACATTCTTAAAGAAAAGAAATTTCAACCCAGAATTTCATATCCAGTCAAACTAAGCTTCATAAGTGAAGGAGAAATAAAATCCTTTATAGACAAGCAAATGCTGAGAGATTTTGTCACCACCAGGCCTGCCTTACAAGAGATCCTGAAGGAAGCACTAAACATGGAAAGGAACAACCGGTACCAGCCACTGCAAAAACATGCCAAAATGTAAAGACCATCGAGGCTAGGAAGAAACTGCATCAACTAACAAACAAAATAACTAGCTAACATCATAATGACAGGATCTAATTCACACATAACAATATTAACCTTAAATGTAAATGGGCTAAATAACCCAATTAAAAGACACAGACTGGCAAATTGGATAAAGGGTCAAGACCCATCAGTGTGCTGTATTCAGGAGATCCATCTCATGTGCAGAGACACACATAGGCTCAAAATAAAGGGATGGAGGAAGACCTACCAAGCAAATGGAAAACAAAAAAAAGCAAGGGTTGCAATCCTAGTCTCTGATAAAACAGGCTTTAAACCAAAAAGATCAAAAGAGACAAAGAAGGCCATTACATAATGGTAAAGGGATCAATTCAATAAGAAGAGCTAACTATCCTAAATATATATGCACCCAATACAGGAGCACCCAGATTCATAAAGCAAGTCCTTAGAGACCTACAAAGAGACTCAGCCTCCCACACAATAATAATGGTAGACTTTAACATCCCACTGTCAACATTAGACAGATCAACGAGACAGATAGTTAACAAGGATTTCCAGGACTTGACTCAGCTCTGCACCAAGTGGACCTAATAGACATCTACAGAACTCTTCACTCCAAATCAACAGAATATGCATTCTTCTCAGCACCACATTGCACTTATTCCAAAATTGTCCACATTGTTGGAAGTAAAGCACTCCTCACCAAATGTAAAAGAACAGAAATTGTAACAAACTGTGTCTCAGCCCATAGTGCAATCAAATTAGAACTCAGGATTAAGAAACTCACTCAAAACAGCTCAACTACCTGGAAACTGAACAACCTGCTCCTGAATGACTACTGGGTAAATAATGAATTGAAGGCAGAAATAAAGATGTTCTTTGAAACCAATGAAAACAAAGACACAACATATCAGAATCTCTGGGACACATTTAAAGCAGTTGGTAGAGGGAAATTTATAGCACTAAATGTACACAAGAGAAAGCAGGAAAGATCCAAAATTGACACCCTAACATCACAATTAAAAGAACTAGAGAAGCAAGAGCAAACACATTCAAAAGCTAGCAGAAGGCAGGAAATAATTAAGATCAGAGCAGAACTGAAGGAGATAGAGACACAAAATCCCTTCAAAAAATCAATGAATCCAGGAGCTGGTTTTTTGAAAAGATCAACAAAATTGATAGACCACTAGCAAGACTAATAAAGAAGAAAAGAGAGAAGAATCAAATAGATGCGATAAAAAATGATAAAGGGGATATCACCACTGATCCCACGGAAATACAAACTACCATCAGAGAACACTATAAACACCTCTAAGCAAATAAACTAGAAAATCTAGAAGAAATGGATACATTCCTGGACACATACGCCCTCCCAAGACTAAACCAGGAAGAAGTTGAATCCCTGAATAGACCAATAACAGGCTCTGAAATTGGGGCAATAATTAATAGCCTACCAACTAAAAAAAGTCCAGGACCAGATGGATTCGCAGCTGAATTCTACCAGAGGTACAAACAGGAGCTGATACCATTTCTTCCAATCAATAGGAAAAGAGGGAATCCTCCCTAACTCATTTTATGAGGCCAGCATCATCCTGACACCAAAGCCTGGCAGAGATACAACAAAAAAAGAGAATTTTAGACCAATATCCCTGATGAACATCGATGCAAAAATCCTCAATAAAATACTGGCATTATACATATATACACACACATATATATATACTGGCATTATACATATGTATACATATATATACACATATAGAATATATATACACATATAGAATATATATACACATATAGAATATATATACACATATAGAATATATGTGTGTATATGTACATATACACACATATAGAATATATGTGTGTATATGTACATATACACACATATAGAATATATGTGTGTATATGTACATATACACACATATAGGATATATGTGTATATGTACATATACACACATATAGAATATATATATTCTATATATGTATATATGTACATATATACTTAGAATCAAAGGTAATAATGTATATGAAAATTTTTGGCAAAATAGGCAGTGCTATATATATATTAAGGATTATTATTATTATTAGAATGATTATTTAGTGCCAAATATGTTTTAGGTTTGGTGTCAAATTACTTATATTCACAATCACCAAAGTTCACCATGAGTATTATTATCCCATTTTTATTACTGAGTATGCTCAGTTGAAAAAATGAAGTTAGTTGCTTAATAAAACAGAGCAAATGTCTGGTGTTCCCAGGACATAAATCCAAGTCTGCTGATTTCAAGGTTTATCTGTTTCCTGCTACTTTTTTTTTGCCTGTCATTATAAATCCCACACAGATAAATCTCTATTGATGCCAATTTATATTAAGAGATAAAATGTGAAGAAAGTAAAATCTATAAAAGGAGACCTGATATGTATGGTTTACCTCCATATTCCTAAGGCCTAGGCCATTGCTTGACAGTAGGCACTCCATAGTTGTTGAATGAATGTAATATTAAATAGAGTAAAGTCACACTGAAATCCATTATCCAGAAACTTTATTATTAAACGACTGAAATCTACCAGAAAACCAAAGATTGTGCTAAGTTGTAATAAATTTGAAATCTGGATATTGTACTTTATCCACCTATTGTAGCTTCCCAGAGGGACATTTGCAGGCAAATAGGTATGGCATATTAGATCCATGGCACCATTTAATTTCTTCAATTTAAAAATGCCAGTGTTGACTAATTTCGTGTATTCAGGTGGCAAAGTAATATTCCTCTCACTTCCTTTCCTATCTTGCTGCTTTCTCAGGCATGGTACAGATCAAAAGAAGAAAATGGTTTGCTTAGGTGTTTTCTTTCCCTATTGCTCCAGACACATAATGGCCAGTGAAATGGATCTGAAATTGGAAGGAGTGTAGAGGCCACCGGAAGTATACCTATTTATTAACCCCAGTTTGTGTTCATTATCATTGAAGCTAAAATGGAAAGCTCTTCTGGGAAGGTCAGAAAAACAAAGGAAGGAATCCCTTTCCTACCCACTCACAGAAAGCTGACAATTTAAGAGTCCAGATTTATAATTTGTCCTATATGTTGGTTTTTAGAACTTAAAACAACAACAACAAGGAAAATCCCACTGTTACTGCCAGCTGACATGGACTCTATCTGTGTTTTTCTGAACAACCAGTCTGTCAAATGTCAGTGACAATTGATACCTCCATCATAAACTTCCACTTCTTTATCTTAAAAGCAAGTAATTAAAAGCAGGCTGATGATTCCACCTCTAAATTCACTGGCCTGTCACAGGTGAAGTCAGCGTCGCCAGCCACCCTTCTCTTATGCCTCTCCACTCTACCCTGCTTCCTCACTTAGCCTCCTGGTCTAGCAGACATTCTGATTTTCCAGAGGA
This sequence comes from Homo sapiens, assembly GCF_000001405.40. Classification (NCBI taxonomy): domain Eukaryota; kingdom Metazoa; phylum Chordata; class Mammalia; order Primates; family Hominidae; genus Homo; species Homo sapiens. Next base: position 26,288,108 of record NC_000011.10, on the reverse strand, counting down.
AGGAGTGTTATTATGTGCCTTTCAGAATCATTTGATTAATTTTTTGACATTAGTCTACCCTCTACAGTGTGAACAACGCATAGTATATCTGGAGAAGAATGTAGAAGAGAAATTAAATTGACAGAAGATTCTCATGAGGCTCTTTGGAGGTAAGCATTTTCTATTATTTGACAAAGTTCTCCATTGGTTTCAAAAGCCAAGAGAAGAGGAACTTAGAATTTAAAGAAAATAAATGTGAGTTTCAACTCATCCTCTGCCATTAATTCCAGTTTGATATTTGATTATGGCACTTACATTTTTTCAGGGCTCTTTTCACACCTAGTAAGTGGTTTCTAACTAATAGGCTAGTTGAGAAACTATAAATTAGTGGTTAAGAACAAAGGCTCTGGATTTATAATCTGGATTTGAATCTTCCTGGGTTTAAATCCTGGTTTCACCGATTATTAACTATGTGACTTTGGGTAAGTTGCTTAGAGTCTCTGTGCCTTTGTTTCCTCACCTGTAAATGAGTGACATTATAACAGTACTTATCATATATTTTTGTTATGAACATTAACAGGATACTGGTGAAGATCACAGACTCTGGAACCAGAGTGCCTGGATTTAATGTCTGTTTCTATTGCTTAATGACTGTGTGACCTTGGATAAATCACTCGACCTCTCTGTGCTTCACTTCCTGTATCTCTAAAATGGATATTGTCATCTGCTTTACTGGGTTGTTGTAAATAGTAAATGAATCAATAAACAGATGTAAGGTACTTAGACCACTGCTTGGCACATGGTAAGCATTCAATACATGTTAGTCATCATTATTCGAAGGACGAAGTTAAATACAGGATTCAAAGCTCATAGCATATTTATTAATTGTGTATTAAATATTGTGCTAGGAACATACAATAATGTTCAGGACAGACCGGGCTCTGCTCTGGTGGTGCAGATAGTCTAGTCTAACAGAATATATTAGTCACTCTATCAATTCGGCTTTCTCCTGCCCCACAGTTTCTGACTTGGTAGAAAAGCATGTCAAATATCCATGAACCTAATTGTACTGACAATAACTAGTGACACAATAATTGGGCAGGTAATGTAAAGGCAAAATCTTGTGCTTCCATTGATTTATAACACTTTGTTAAGTTTATAAACTCCTTCCTGCAAAAATCTGAATGTCTGTTGGCCCAGAGTTCAATAAAGAAAACACATTAAGCAGAGAGTCTTTAGAAGGTTCTGGTGCAAAGCTAACGACTCTAAAAAGATAGTTTGGAGCTAAGCCCTGTTTGTTTTAACATTCCAAGAGCTTCTGTACCATCCAGTAACAATAACGATCAGCAAATGAACAGAAAGAACCCCTGCATTTGAGGAGCTTTGTGTCTATCTTGTATGGAGACCAAAGCCCACCCGCATTGCCAATTACTGAGTGGTGTGTCAGCATCCATATCGCCATCTTCTGGGAGAGTGTTAGAGATGCAGACACTCAGGCTTTGCCCCAGACCTACTGAATCTTAACTTGTATTTTAACAAGATCCCAAGGCAATTCATATCACATGAAAGTTTGGGAAATGGATTATAAAATTACTGTGCAATTATTATACAATTGGTCATACATTAGAAACACCACACATTAGAATCACGGGGGAAACTTAAAAAATGATGAATGCCTGGGTTTCAACTAAAATAATTCTGACTTAACTGGATGCCTGAGCATCTGAAATTTAAACATTTTTCCAACATGATTTTGCTGTGCAGCCAGAATTCAGACCCCTGAACTAAATATTGACAAACCCCAGGCCTTTATATCAAAATACAACTATTTATTTCATGTGCTCTAAATGAAACAAATGTTAAGGTATACTGAATACAAATATTTTGTGGTTAAGAAAGTTCCCCCTAACCTTTGATTATTTCACATGCTGTTTTCAGAGTCCTGTGAACTATTTTTCCCTTTGTCATTTCAGGATTTAGAATGCTGACCTGCTTATTTTCATATGGAAGACAATAAGCTGATTCCCTGTAGATTGAGCTAACGGCCATCTGTTATGATGGGACAATGCTGATTCAAGAAGTGTCATTTGCCACTTTATCTGATGTCAGGAGGCAACACATGAAATCTGAGGACCTTTAATAACTCACAACACCTTGTGTGTAAGATCCCCGGGGAAAGGCAACCCCAAATTAGAAACATGTTTCACTGGAAGGGCACTCACTTACTGATACCTCAGGGACTCCACTTTGAGGGATGCCTTTATCATTCATACCTTTCCATGGCATGAATGGAAAACTGCTGCAATGCTGCTTCTGTCCTAATGCATTTCATGAGTCAGCATATGACAAAGGGAAGGGACACCCAGGTCAGCCCCATCATTGTATCTGAAACCAACACTTCGAATATAATTGGAATGATTACATACGATTCTAGATGTTGAGTGATTAGCACAGCAAGTGGTGCCCAGTTGGTTGCTATTATTACTGTTGTTGTTGACATTATGATTATGCTTATTTTGTGTTATTTATTAAATGAATATACTTATCCCGTAAGACTCCACGTGCTCCTAAAACTCCCCATGGGTGAAAATATTTGTCTCCCATAATGTATTCCTTTATAAGAAACAGAGATTCACGGACCATGTTTATAAGGTAATCTTTAATTGTTCTTAAATATGTATTAAATATTCATTTAAAATAAGAATAAGAATGCACAACAAATAAGACAAACCAAAATAATTTTATAAATCTTAATAACAATGACATCTTTCAAATTTCATACAACATGTCTTGCTTTATTTTTAGATTCTTTTTCCATCACAGTTTAATTTAGATGCTTTGTTGCCATTATGCAAATTATGAGTTTCTTTATCTTCCTATATTTTCTTACTCCTAAAGTTCTTGGTTAAGACTTCAGGCTCTTTTACAAAATATGCATTACTATTTTCTAAAAGATAACAAAGTGAACTTTATTAAGATTAAGTTTGTGGGTGACCAGTAAATACTAACCTTACCATAATTAAAAAAAAAAATTGTACACAGTAAATAAACCACATAGTGGTAGCTCCCCCTAGTGGAAATTCTGAAGTAAAGGCGGTTTTAACAAAATAGTTCCAAATTGGCAGGCTTGATTCAAGTATATTTAGAGATCACCTATGCCAAATATCCACAAACTTAAAGGAAGAAAGATGAGTATTCAAAATATGCATCTTTTTCTTTTCTTTTGAGACGGAGTCTCGCTCTGTCGCCCAGGCTGGGGTGCAGTGGGGCGATCTCGGCTCACTGCAGGCTCCGCCTCCCAGGTTCACGTCATCTTCTGCCTCAGCCTCCGGAGTAGCTGGGACTACAGGCGCCCGCCAGCACGCCCGGCTAATTTTTTTTGTATTTTTTTTTTAGTAGAGACGGGGTTTCACCGTGTTAGCCAGGATGGTCTGGATCTCCTGACCTCTTGATCCGCCAGCCTCGGCCTCCCAAATTGCTGGGATTACAGGAGTGAGCCACCGCGCCCAGCCCAAAATATGCATTTCTTAAAGCAATAAATCCAAGAAACTATTGATTTAGATTCTTCCACTTCTGAATTGAGAGACCCGCGGGAAGTTAAAAGCTCTCTCATTCTCTGATTTCATATACATATAATGAGTACAAAAACACTCACCTCACAGAGTTGCTGTAAGGATTAAACAAAATCTATTCCCCACTTCCAGTTGATCTCCACATCGATAAAAGTGTGCAGCATGCAGGAATCAAATTAGAATCCTCTTTCTCCCTTACTTTGCTTCCCGTTCAACCCATTAGGAATTCGTGTTTTATTCTATGCCACTCCACTCCATATCGGCACTTAATCATCTGGCCCAAACCACCATCACCTCTTGCCTGTATTATTAGGATAGGTCCAAGCTGCCCTCTGCTTCCTTCTCTTGTTTTCATTAGCTTCATGGTGCATGCAGTAGACTGAATGAAAGCTGTGTCATGTCAGCCTCGGGTCCAACCCTTCAATTGCTTCCCACTGCACTTAGAGCACTTCTGGCCCTGTCCTCCAAGGCCTGCAGTTATCTGGGAGCTGCCTGTGCTTCCCTCCTCCCGCCATACCACCCACCTACACACCCGCCCCAGCACAGTTCCCCCACATGGGTCAAATACTGCAAGTCTCAGGACTCCTAACTGCTTTTCTCATTTTTCATGTGTCTTGTTCTGGTGCATCTTGCAGGTATCAGCTTAAATAACCTTTACAGTTTTCTCTATCTAAATTTGGTCTCCCACCTCTCAGTTTTCCTTTTCATAGCATCCCATTGGTTCCCATCAGGGCATTCGTTACAATTTGCAGTTATATGTTTGGTGGCTTATTATCTGTCTCCTCCATTAGAATTTAAGGCATCAAGTCTGTCTTGTTAACCATTAGATTTCTAGTACCCTGGAAAGTTGGTGTTTTAAAGTCTCTATTGAATAGATAAATAGATTGATTCATTTTTATAAAATTACTGGGCACACATTTGCCTGAGTAGGTACTTACTAAGTGAGAAATCTCACTAAGTGATAATCCTTTTCTCTTTCCAGCAAAGTATGTGCTCTATTAGTTCTCAGTTCTGGTCGTGATTATGAACTACTTTTCATGTTGTACTGATTGTTGAATGTTTTACATAATTAACCAATAGTGTGGTTTGTCTTCTCAGGCTTGGAGAGCAGATTTGCAGTGAAGCAAATAAACCCAAAGCCCAGAGTTACTCGTTTCCCCTGGACCTTCTAAGAACAGAAAAAATGCTCGCTATATATATATATATATATATATATATATATATATATATATATATTTATTTATTTGTTTATTTTGGTAAGATATGGTTATGCTAACAGATTGGTGAATGTGACATTCATTCAAAGAGGATTAGAGAGTAGCTCCTACACGAAAAAATGTGACATGCAATGACATCATATACCTTGTATAAGAAAGGAAATTGAAAGAAGACTTTCCATATTTGACAGTAATCTGAAAAATGTATATGGCAATACTAATAAGTTATGAAGCAAAACAAAAATTTAAAAATTATAATGTAAAATAGTTCATCAACCATTTTAGATGAAGCAATGATTTGTTTTTCAATTTTTTTCTGTAGAAAATATTATTAAAATGCATTCAAATAAAGACTCAAGGAATATGTAGTCTAAATGTAAGAAAAATAATTATAGAATTGTGATAGGCAGTTACTAAAGACACATACCTCATGTTATCTTTCTGGATTTTGTGAATGATGTTTGTGGGTTTTATGGCCATTGACAAATATATAATTTCTTTTATTTCGTCATTCACTTTCTAATTTTCTATTTATACTTTTGTATTCTTTTTATTCAAAAATTTCCCCAAATTTAAGACTACTGAGGCTTCATGAAACCTGAATCTTCCCTGATGCTTGGTAAGATGATACAGACTAAGTATTGTTTTCAACTGGATACACTGGAGATATAGTCTTGTTTTTGTTTTCTTTTTAGTCATGTAGATGAGCTTTTTAAAAATGACACAAAATGGCCTACACAATTCCAACAGTAGTGGATTCAAATTCAATTTCTTAATTAAAAAAATCTTATCTTTTACAGGAAGGAGTAAATACACATAGCAATATTTTCCAAAGCCGAGAAGAAGTGGAATAAAAGAAAATATTGGAAAAACAGCAATCTAAAAGTTAAATTAATATGCAGAATGCAGGCTATGACTTCATCTAATTTTATTAGAAGTTCATAAAAGTTTATGTCTGAGTTTCCTAACAACCAACAATAAGAGATAAATTCAGACACATGAATCAGATAATCTATTACAAAAAAAAAAACAAAAAAAATGAAAACCTGTTTGTTTATGCAAAGCCCAGTTCAGATTTATTTCTGGACTTTAGATATATGCTTTTCTTTGGTAGCTGATGCGGAAAACACTCCATGATATGAACAGCATCATCAACTACATTTTCAACTAAAAACAATGAGTTTCAGAAATTTTTGTCTAACACCCTCCGAAGCAGGCTAATGGTATAAGTAAAATTTAGGAAAAACAAGCTCTATTGACAACCCAAATAATGTAACCCCAAACACTGCTTCATAGGTCCCTGCTGCTAGTATTCCAAGAATAAACAGTGTGTCGGTGCAAAGTAATGGTTTTCATGTTTTTGCTTTGGCCTGGGAGGATCTTAATTATGACTAATCCACATGGTTGTATAGACGAACTGCATGTCTTCATATGCACATGTGCTGGGTTGGGGCAAAAATATTCCAAAAGAGATGAGGAGCTTCTTGAAGACATTTGCCTGAATGTCTTCAAACTTAACTTGCCATAGTTGCAGAAGGACAATGGGCAAAGATATGTCTCTTCAAGCAGTACTTTCAGGAACTTATCAGCATATAACCAAGGTCTTAGGCTTTAGAATTTTATATTAATCTTTAAATAAACATAAATATTTCATGCTTTCCTGACAAAATATTTTTATTTAATTGCACCTGTACCTGTTAGAGTGTACAAATAAGAATAAAAATGTTTTGCTGACTCCTACTTCCACAAATAGAAATTCCTAGGGTGGGGTCAAAATTTATTTTGCATAATTAACTCAGATGAGAAGAGTCTTTTTGTTAATTTTAGTTTAAGTGTGAAGAAGAACCTCTCCCTCAAGTCATCTGAGGTGGAGTTTGGACAGGTTCTTAGCTAATAAAAATTTAGGAGTAGGGTCCCTCTAGGCCTATCTCATTATTTTAGTCATAATTTTTCTATGCTCATGAGGAGTTCAGAGTGGTTTGGAAATGCTCTTTCAAACGTGAATATGATTAGGAAATGGTTATTTCCTCTTCATTCATTCAGTCATTCATTTCTGGAACAGAAATTGTGTGCCAACTATAGGATTATATATATTAATACTACACATTCTGAAGCCAATATGACTGTCATTTATGATCTGTATGATCTTGGACAAATTACTTAGCCTTTCTATATCTTTATTTCTTCATCTGCAAAGTAAAGATATTAATGTTAATTATTTCACAGGGTTATAACAAGAATTAAGTGAGACACTATATGAAAAGCACTTTTAATGGTGTTTGGTATCTAGTACAGTATTGGCACATCTGTGTGCCAATGCAGGGGATAAAACAATGATAGAGACAGATATTATTCATGTTCTTACTGATTTTGGCAGCCCTGAGAATGAGCCTGTCAGATCTCTGGCTCCCAGGAGCATGTATGTCCAGCTTCCCAATTGCTGTGCTATAAAATCTATTACTGCTTTTGTGCAGAGGCCTTATGGCTTCTCCCTGTCAAGAACCAAGTATAGCAGGAATACTAAGGTGGCACCATTCCTGGGAGACAGGGAACTCTTTAACAGGTGACTGATTTTAGAACAAATTCATGCTTATTGGGCGTGATGGTAAATATTGTCAACTTGATTGGATTGAAGGATGCAACGTATTTTCCTGGGTGTGTCTGTGAGGGTGTTGCCAAAGGAGATTAACATTTGAGTCAGTGGACTGGGAAAGGCAGAGCCCTCACCCGCCAATCTGGGTGGGAACCATCAAATCAGCTGCCAGTGTGGCCAGAATAAAAGCAGGCAGAAGAACGTGAGAAGACTAGACTTGTTTAGTGTTCCTGCCTACATGTTTCCCCTGTGCTAGATGCTTCCTGCCCTTGAATATCGGACTCCAAGTTCTTCAGCTTTGGGACTCGGACTGGCTTCCTCGCTCTTCAGCTTGTAGATGGCCTACTGTGGGATCTCACCTTGTGATCATGTGAGTCAATATGCCTTAAAAAACTCCCCTTTACATATACATCTATCCTATTAGTTCTGTCCTGCTAGAGAACCTTAATACACTAGGATTTAGGAATGGTGAAGGCTAGCGGGGTAGATGTGATAATAAAAAGAGGTGACACAAGACAACTCTTTGTAGTGATGTAATAATCCTTTATCTTGAATTAAGTAGTAGTTGCACAACTCTGCACATGTGGTAAAATGACATGAACTATACACACATATTGTACCGATGCCATTGTCCTGGTTTTGAAATTTTACTATGGTTGTGAAAGAGTTAACAATTGGAGAAGATCATCATCAAAAATGGTAGCATAAGAACCCCTGAAAACTCTTTTTCATTAAAGCAGTGAGAAAACTCACAAGCATCATCAGTGTCATTTCTTTTCGAGAAATCTGGAAATGAACCAAAGATTTACACTAATCCAGGGAGAGTTATTGAAGAAAAATGGCTTAATTCATTAATAAGAGCAAGTATTGGGTATTTTGACTTATTCTACTCCCATCCTATTCTGTTTAGGTCTGTAGTAATCTTAAAATAAAACAGCCTACAATCACAGTGGAAATAAGGAGTCTTGAAGTTGCCGGATGGACACAGAATGAGATTGGGGCCCCTTTAAAGCCTCACTCCCAGTTGTCACTATTTATCCAGTTTTCTGGTTCCCTGGGAGACCCCACTTGCAAGTCCCTGAAGACCCTACTTGCAAGGCTATCTTGATTTGACTTGAAACAGAGCTCACAGAAATGTGCAAAAAGACAAGTGATGTTAAATATCTGTCCATGTGCTTCTTGACTATTTGTACTCTTCTTTGCAGAAATATCTATTCAAATCCTTTGCCCATTTTAATAGGGTTGTTTGTCTTTTTGTTGTTGAATTGTAGGAATTCTTTATTCTGCATATGAAATCTTTTTCATATACATGATTTGCAAAGTTCTTTACAATTATGTATCCATAGGACAAACTTTCACTTCATGGACTTGAAAACAACAATAGCAAAGCAATTCAAAGAGGCAGAAATCTGTTAAGGAATCTATTTTTGTGCACTATTTGTGTTGGAATATTATTTCTAATATTATAAAATAATAAATCTAACTTAGGTAAAATTGTGAAGCATGTTCAATTTCTCTGTTTCCAGACCTGATCTTTGAAAACTTGAAGGGAACTAGTTGAGATAGGGACCCATAAGAAAAAAGCTTCACAGACTCTAGGGAAGATACATTCATTTTCTCTCTCCTGGATTATTGGAGTGGTCACCAGATATTCTTTCTTGCTTCTAGTCTCCTCACATTCAATCTATCTTGCATACAAAATTGCCTCTTTTCAGGACACTGGAACTTCCCTGACCTCTCCATTGAAGGCTATGTAGGGTGATCTGTAAGTACTGGAGCATAAAGGTAGAAAGGTAAAGATGTCTACATAGCAACTTCTATTATAAAAGAATCGTAGTATACAAATCCCAATATACAACACACATACCCACACACACATGCACACACACAGACATTAAGTCTAGTTTAGTTTCCCTCAGAAGAAGACTGAGACAAAATTTCAAATACAAATAATGTGCTTAAGATGTGCAGAGAACACCAATAGAGAGGTGGGAAGGTGATAGAGGAAAGACAAATAATAGAGTATATTAACCTGAAACTTAGGAAATCTAGTACTGTTTGTATTTGAAGTTTTATCCACTGTAGAATTTTGAAACACCAGTGCAAAATGTAATGTGTCAAAATTAGTACATCTGAGGTTCAAATTGGTCATGATTTGTGCCATCTCTAGAGAGCCATCTATTGGTGGCTCCCAGCTTGAGCCTACGTGAGTGACAATAAACAGTAAACAGTAAAGTCTGAGGGATACATGTGACTCTGCACTCCATAAAAAATTTAAAAAACCCAGTCTTAATTGGATCACATTCCAAAATATTCTGTAATGAGTCATTACTTTGTATTCTCAACACCACTAAAACCCTAATTTGTCTGCCTGTCTGATCCATTATCCTAATACTGGTTTAATAGGGTAGCAAGTAGCAGTCCCATTCCTCACAATTTTCAAGATTAATAGGTGGGTGGAAAAGTGTGAGCCTCTTTCCAAGGAAAATGAGCAAGGGTCTTCATGTTGTTCATCCTAGAGTTAATTGCCAATGCCAGAAGAATATGATGCTCTGATTAGCCAGATCTAAACGGTGTGTCAGTAATGACAGCAGAATTGAGTGAAATAAATAGCACCGGAAGCACACGGGCACACACAGAAGCAGAGAAAGAGAATCTGGGGGTCGTTACTAGACTGATAGGATCAATAGTCAATACTAAAATGATGGAGAGTGGATGCTGGGCTGTGAAAATAGCAGACACCACCAAAATGTCTTACAAGGAAAACCATATATTGAATTAAGCTCAGTGTTTGTCCACCAATTCATGCTTGGAAATGCAATACATCTTCTTTATATATTAAACCCATCTTTTATTCATAAAGATATCTTTACTGGGTATTTTTTTGATCACAGGCAAACTAACACACTTTAAGAAGATTGTCCAAAACTCACAGTCCAGAGATGATGTAGTATGAAGTTCAAGGTACAAGTAGGAAAAAGAAATAATCTGGAAAGTTTTACAGAAAGATGATATTAAGCCAAGAAAAAATTATTATCTATTTGGACAAGTCTCCTAAAGAGAAAAGAAAGAAAAAGGAAAAAAAGGCATTTCAAGCAGAAGGAACAGCCTATGTGAAAGCATGTAGTTATGAAAAGATATGACTTCTCTAGGTTAGCGCAGTTCAATTTGGCTAGAATCTCAGGATTCAAAATGAAGGAGCAGCAAAAGTCAAAAAGATTTTGAGAGACAAATTGTGAAAGTTTTATTTACACTGTGTTAAGGATTTATACATTAACTTATTGCCATTAGGATCCACTTAAGGATTCTTAATAGGGAGGTAAGATGACAATATGAGAATTCAGACATCCTGGGAATCAAAAGAAATTCTTTAATATATATCATGATCCATCTATGCTAAAGTTTCAATGTAGCGTGGGCAATTCTATCTTTTCCTTCCAAATTGTTTTCTCTTCTATTTATATAATGAGAAATATAATGTTTAGCCTTTCACTAAACACACACACAATGCATTACTTACAACTGCTTATTTTTATTAAAATGTTATTCATTTAAATTCATCAAAAATAGTTACTAAGAAAAAAATCACATGAAGGATATTTTGTGAAATAGAGAGATATCTACTTTTTTATATGGATGGATTTATTTCTGACTTAAATTACCCCTGCCCCCAAGTAAATGAAGGTAGAACCAAATTCCTGCAGTGCAATATGAATGGCAGCCACTAGAGGGCAAGCTTACCGCGTGCTGTGATTAGATACCACACAACTGCTTGAAATTAGACCACATTTAAGCAACTAAGGTGACCTCAGAGGAGGTTACAAAGAGCCCATTACTGCAAAAGGAGAGGTCAGTCTCTCAAGTGACAGAGGTGAAATATCATTTGAGTCTCTTTGAAGTCACGCTGACCAATTATACCCATCAAAGCCCAAAAGTAATGAAAACCAGAGAGGTGAAGGATATCATTTTGATGGAGATGACCTTTAGAGGGAGGTAGGAGTAAGGTTAACCAATTTTATTTTTATGTGAAAGAGATAGGAGCATATTTCAAACGCATTGAATTGGCCTTTGAAAGCGTGGTCTAACCTAGTGTATTCCTAACAGAAATAGAACAAAGTGGGTGATGCTGTTTTAACTGAGAATCATGGCTAATCTGCTGAAGTATAACTCCTTAGGGAATATCCATTTTATGGAAGTTTATTTGTTTAGAAACGGATCCCTATTTGAACACCAGCATGACCATCCTAAGACAGCCTGTATGCAGTTAGCCTCATTTCACTTAAAGTGTTGGTGTTTCTTGGAAAGAGCAAAGAGTTATACAAATATCAAATTTGCCTATACAAATGAAGCCAGAGTTTCTCGAATGGGGTCTGATGGGCCCTGATTCAGACTCACCTGGGGATGGTTGCTAAAATTTTAATTCCTGAGTTCTTTCCCAGATCTTCCTAATCAGAATTTTTAAGGTAGAGTTTAGGTATCTGCATTTTTCACAAGAGTCTTAGGTGACTCTTCTCATATGCAACGATATTTGAGGACAAATAAGTATGGTATCTTTTGGGATACCGATATGAAAAATGGGTCAGGAATGGACATGAAACTTGGGCCAGGCTCCAAAGTGCAGCCAAGGGTTAACTGTTTGCTGATATGCAAATGCACATACTTTCATCAAGCAAGCAAGGCCTCCCTTGTGCAGAACACCCATATTTGGCCGCTAACTCTAGTACACATTTTGTGTATATTACTGTATTTTAATCTTCCCCAAACCAGTGAAGATGATAGTGTTATTCCCTTGAACAAATGACAGTGAATACAGCTTCAGAGAGGTTAAGTGACTCATTTAAAGTCACATATTTAGAAAGCAACCAAACGAGAATTAAAAGCAAGATTATTTAATTAAAGTTCTTTAGCTAAAAAGGAGACAAGAAAGGAAAATCTTCAAACATTGATGTGGTTTCTTGTGTTAATTCTCTCACTGTATATTAGTCCTTGGTTATTGGACTAGATGCCAGAAAGCACTTCAACACCACCTTGAAATCTGCTGCACTAGAACATTCACCCTATGTCCTGAGATCTGACCTCCAGAGTTACGCAGGTGAAAAGCTAACCTCTGACCTACAGTATGACTTTAGAAAACAGCATTAACTCCTGCCTCCATCCTCAAAGGAGGGATGAGGACCTCCTCATGGTTTTTCCATTTGGGGGAAATATCCATTTTAATGGATTGCTTTGAATTACAGATGTGTTTGTAGGATTTTATAAACTATGGGCTTCAGCATTTAGTCAAAAGAAGGTCAGGCACCTCATGGCTACCAAACAGAAAGTGAATAAAAATCCTAGAAACATTATTGTAGATTTTTTTAGATTTCTCTAAAGAATCATATTTCACTCTAGTGAGAGTGTAGCCATGAAATACTGTAGCATAAAAATGAAATATGTCTTTATTTTCTCTTCTTTTTAGTGGATTTGGCCATTCCTATTGAGTAAGAAAACATTTTTCAGTAAATTGTATTTCATTTTAGCAGCATGAATCTAAATATGTCAGCTTAAGAACAAATCCAGATTCCATTTCTTCTAAATATAACGCTGGTCAGCCCCACAAATATGTGAATAAAGCAATAAAAACACAAAAGCTTTATAGCAGCATGACCCTTAAAATCAAAGAATTTACAGAAAATTCCTCTGAAATCAATGACCATATTGATAGAGTTAAAGATAAATTATAGCATTTTGAGGTAACCTTTTAAATTTTTTGAGTAATGAAATTAGTATTTTATAAATAAAAAATTAATATATATTTGTTTAAGATAAAAATGGTTTCCTTCTTCTCTTCCCCTACATTTCTCCTTCCTAACCATGCTCATGCTTTGTTGTGTTTCCTTTCATATCCATACAGATAAATTGATAGTTGAAGAAGAGTAGGTATAAATTAAAAAATCTTTAAAAAAATTAAAAATGGTATATCACTGAAGTATCTCTGCTTACTTTATTTGAAGTTTCATAGTTCCAAAGTGCAAAAGGATGTCCTAACCTAAAGCAAAAGTATAACAAAGTAACCAACAGATGGCATTATGTGTCATTTGTATGTAGCCATTTTAGATTTATGAATTAATTGCTTTATGTTCAAAGTTTGGGAAACTAGCATGTTCATAATATCACCATGTCAGTACCAAGGATTTACTTTCTCAGTGTCACATGAGGCAAAGTTATGCTGTGGTAATAACATATGACTCTAAAGTTCCAATGGATTTCAACAACAAAGGTTTTTTTTCATTCACATTATGTAGCCAACACGAGTGGGTAGCTGCTGTATTCTAGAATTATTTGTATTACTGAAAAATTAGGGACAACATAAACATACACACATAAGTTATGATGCATTTATATGATGAAATATTATGAACCATTCACAAGCAGGTGGTAGATAGAGCAGATTGTATTGTTAATATTGTATATTGTTTATTTGTATATTGTTAAAATTTATATTATTTGTATATTGGTAAATATTTTTGTATATTTGTATATTGTTTGTATGTTTTATATTTGTATATTGTTAAAAAATATTCACTTATCCTCCTTACACACCTCAGATCTGTTGACGTCAAGTTTGACCAAAGAACTTAAACAGGGCAGTAAAATGTGAGCAGAAGAGATTTTCACTCTCTGCCTCTTTTCAATTGAAGCATCCACTGTCTATTTTTTTCTTCCCTTTGTGCCATGTCCCGGATGGTTTCTGTCCCAACAGTCTGTTCTCATGATGGCTAATCATTTTGCCAGTGATGTGGAGAATACTGAAAGTAACATGATCACAGCTTATGTGAAGCTCAACATCATGAATTAGTAGGTTTTATATAGTATATATGATTTGCTTTCCTTCAATCTACATCCTTCTAGATGTCAATTTGTTTTCTGACACTGCTTCCTCCATGTCTTCTTCCTCATGATCTGGCACTGGTTTGGAAGCAGTCATCTCCATCAAGTCATCTTCGGTTAACTCCTCTCGTGTGATGTCTATTTGTTTTTGAATTTCTCCAAGATTCACATCTTGAAATCCTTTACCTTCCCCCGACAGAATTTGTGTGTGTGTGTGTGTGTGTGTGTGTGTGTGTGTGTGTGTGCCATATCCACAATCTCTTTCATGATTTCTTTGGGTTGCTCTGTCGTAAATCCTGTGAAGGCATGCAAAACATCCATGCTCAGTTTTCTTTAGCAGAAATTTATTGTTTGAGGCTTGATGGTTTTCACAGCTTGTCCTGTAACAACAATGACAGCTCAATAGTGTAATCCTTCCAGACTTCCACGATATTTTCTCTCTCTCAATTCTCTTTCATGGCATTGACAATTCTTTCCATAAAATTACATGTGTAATGAGCCTTAAAGGTCCTTATGATCCCCTGATCCAGAGGCTGAAATAGAAACATTGTGTATGGGGGCAAATAGACCACTTGGATGCCTTCGGTGCTGAACTCATGGGGGCTCTGGCTGGTCAGGGCATTGTCCAATATAAAAAAAAAAAAAAAAAAACTTTAAAAGGCAATCCCTTACTGAAAAGGTACTTCCTGATTTTAAGAAAAAAGCATTGATGGAACCAATCCAAAAAAAGGGTTCTTATTGTCCAGGCCTTCTTGTCATACAACGAAAAGACTGGCAGCTGGTGCTTATTATTTTCCCTTCAGACACTGGAGTTAGCAGCTTTATATTTATAGGTATTTCATTAAGTACGCTCAATACTTAATATTATGCAATACTTAAATATGAACATGCTTCCAAGGTGCTTGATAAATGAATTAGAAGGAGCTAGCAGCAATGTTAAGTATCGAGCATGTACCCTGATTTAGGTAGCAGATAAGGGCAGAGAAGGGCAGTCCTGATCACAAACCAGGCTAGATTTATACAAAGCAGAGTTACCCTATCCTTTGCTGCTTTATAACCTGGTATTTGTTTATCTTCCTTATTAATAAATGTCCTTTGTGCATCTTAATAGGACACTTTCATCTGTATTAAGAACCTGTGCAGGCAGATAGATATCCTTTCTCCTCAATTATTTTCTTAATGGCATCTGGGATCCTGTCTGCTGTCTCTTAGTTGGCAGAAGCTGCTTCTCCTGATCTTGACATTTTTGAAGCCAAATCTTCTACAATCATCACACCATTCTTTGCTGGCATTAAATTTGTCACTTCAGATGGTTCACCTCCCTTTTACTTTAAATTGTCATAAAATGACTTCATTTCTTTCTGGAATCATATTAGAGTCTATAGGTATGTCTTTCTTATACCGTATCTGCAGTCACGTAAAGGCTGCACTTACAAGTTTAAAAAGGTATTTCACAAAAAATGCAAAGTTGTCATGCCTGCTGGGGACAAATTCACAAATTTCCTTTTCATTTTATTAAAACAATGGTCCTTATGCTGGATTCATTTGTTTCGAAATGGCAGGCAGTTGCAGACATCAATCTATGGTACGTATCAAGCAATTCAACTTTTTCTTGTAATATCATGACTTTTCTCTGCTTCTCGGTGCTCTTCTAGCATCGCCGTGGCACTTCCCATGGATCCCATGTGTTATTCAAGGTTTATGGTATTGCAGTAAATATGATGAAAGCGATGCAAGAACTGTGGGGGATCAGTTTTTACTGATAAACCATTTACTGGAGAGAGGAACCGCTCACCGGGAGACGATTAGCATCACATGGCATTTTCAATAGATACTCAAAACACTTGATCTCACCACACTAGCAGCAGGAACTGGCTATGGAGTTTTATAAGGATTAAAAGATATAAATACCTAAATCAGAGTATATGCTCAATACTAAACATTGCTGCTAGCCCTTTCTAATTCATTTATCCAGCACCTTGGAAGCATGTTCACATTTAAGTATTGCATAATATTAAGTATTGAGCATACTTAATGAAATACCCAAGTCAGAGTATATTGCCTAGAAATTCTCAGATATACAAATTACTGTGCTAGGCGGAAAGAATATTTACCCTTAAATAATTTTAGAAGAAAAACACGATAAAATTGGACAGCAAAGTCTTAAAGCAGCATTATAAAATAATCTTAAGTTTATAGTGTTTATAAAAATCAACTAAATTTTTAAGTAGTGACATTATACCTCTAAATTATTAATTATACAAGAAATAAAAACAGGACAATAAGACAATGAAGGGTGATAAAATGTGTAGAAAGAGCTTAAATAAAAGAAATAAATACAAATACTAAAGCATCACAGTTAAATAGATGTTGTCCTGGATAATATTCATAAAATCATATTTTCTTTTATGTAATTGACACTCCTGAATATTTAATAATATCTTTTTGGCTATGATTTTCTTCCAGTAGAGGATATTTAGACATATACACACATTCTGTGCCCCATGTCAGGACTCCATCTGTGGCTTTCAGCCATGTGCCAGCAGGGGCAAGTTTACCTCCCATAAGATGTATCTGTTTCAAACTAGATAGGAAGTAGAAAAAATGCCACCTGTTGGTCTCATCCCAGCATATGTGAATTCTACTTACGCAACACATTTCTTACTGGAATCACTAAAACAGCATCTTAAATTGTTGCTCTTTCTACATTCTCATTCTCTTGAAAACGATCTGTCACTCTTTTAGAATTATCTTTTCAGAAGGGCAATCTTGTCACTAACAAAATTAAATCTAGGCCCTTAGCTTGATATATTCATCCCTCCAAGATCTGGTCCCTGTCCAACTGTCCAAGCTTTTCTTTTGTCCCTTCCTCCCTCCTACCTTCTACCACTCTCTTCAGTACATACTCCAGCTGTGTTGAATTAATAGGAGTGTCCTGAACATGTCTTTCCCAGAGACTTCTTTTCTTTTATCCTCCAGCTGATGCTATATTTTTCATGATTCAGCTCAAATACCCTAAGTCTGCTCTGACCATCTTCGTTTGCATATGCTCCCTATGTTTACAAAGCATCCTTTTCATATGTCAAGGAGAATATTCAGCAGATTGTAGTGTAGCTGCCTACCCCAATAGATTATAAACTTTTGGAGAGAAGGTCTGTATTTTTCTCATTTCCTTTATTCAGATGTAGCTTATTCTTAGCCAACAGAGAATTCCCAATAATCATTGAGTGAATAAATGAATTCGTAATATATTTCTAAAAGACCTAATTTCTGAGCTCCTATTTCCTGGTGCTTTGAGATTGATAGGAGTGAGAATGTTAAGAAAATACCTCCTAAACATAAGCACTGAAGAATGAGGAAGTGCTTAAATGTAAAAAGAGAGAGATTTTGATCGTAGAATAAAAGTATGTACACAAGCAAAATGTGAAAGTATCATAGATTCCAGGAGAAAAGAGTTTATCACTGTAACTAAAGTAGAAGATTTGGGCTGGCTAATAGTAGGTGATTCAGTTAGATTTTTTCAATAGAGTAATTTTAGTAGATTGTTTCTACCACCCTCCCCCATCCCCAATCAAGAAGTTTAAATATTATCTTCAGGACATTTAGGAGTTGTTAAATCATTTGGCAAAAGTGAATGATCTGATAAAAGATTAATATTCCAGTGTACGTAGTGGAGAGGGTCTAGAACAGGGTTCCTAATCATGGAAGAGAAGTAGGTAATATATTTCCAAATTCAAAAGAAAAATGAAAGCTGAACATCTTAAAAATATTTACAATATACTTGAACTGCCTATCATTCTTTGGCAAGATCAGCATGCTGATAATTTGGGTTCTTCTGAGGCCTCTCTCCTTGGTTTCTAGATGGCTGTCTTCTCCCTGTGTCTTCACATGATCTGTTCTCTGTGTGTGTTTGTGTTCTGATCTCTTCTTATAAGGATATCAGTCATGTTTGATTAGGGCCTATGCTAATTACCTCCTTTTAATTACCCCTTAAAGACCCTATCTTCAAATATGGTCACATTGAGAGGTACTGGGGATTTCGGATTTCAATATGTGAATTTTTTGGCAGGGTGGATGTGGGGCACAATTTAGCTCATAACTGTCAAACCCGAAAAGGTAGCAGAGCGTGAATGTGAATCCAGTCATCTGACTCCAGACTCCGTGACTCCTTAGGATCACACCTCCCAAGGTGTGCTGCAGTGCAGCACCGGATGATGACTGAGAGAGCCAGAGCACTGAGCTGCCAGGTGCTAGAGAAGCCAATTAAGACAGCAGGTCCAAATGAAGGAATCAGTCAAGTCTTTAACCACTTACTGTCAAAGGATAAGCAACAGGCTGAACTGGAGGAAGCACTGGCTCCCCCATTCCATATTTTCCCCCATGGAGTAACGCTAGTCTAGGACCAGCTGGACCGGCACAGATCTGGGCGTTACCTCACTGCTGAGAGAGCCCCAAGAGAGATAGGAAAAGTAAGAGGGGGAGAAGCTAGCGGCAGAAAACTACTAGGCACTAAGAGTGAAGAAAACGTGCCTTCCACGTCTCCCCTTCCCACACCCTCCAATAAGGAGACTTTGGCAGAGGTGCCTAAGGAAGTCCTGCCTGAGAGGTGAGTGCCAAAGGCCCCTGATAAAGAGGCCACTGAGTAGAGCTGCCTGTTCTGGAAATGCAGATTATGTGTAAAAGCTTGGCCAGTATGGAGGGTGGAGGGAGCTGAGTCCTGAAGTGTATTATTGGCTGTGCACTGAGTCTTGTTTGTGGAGAGCCGTTTCCTGGTGAATCTTGTAAGGCATAGCCTCCTGCAATTGCCTCTGGTTGGGCCTGGGGGATCACAAATAGGTTATGGCCAGAAACCAGATTCCTCAATAACTCAATGTTTCTGAGTTGAGGGAACCTCCCCTAAGACTCTGAGTCTGTGAGTTTTAGGGAAAGTCATATTTGTACATGTGGAGTGATTTTTTTTTCCTTGAGGTGCTTTCAGCAGGTCACGATGTCTGTTTTGTCCTCATCACATTGTTCTGATGGCTTATTCTTACTGCCTTCTAGGTCTGTTAAGCCTGTACTGTGTTGTGTGGGGCAATTAAGAAAACTATGTTGTCAGTGAAATCATTTAGGCTAGAAACCTGCTCAGCTGAATGCAGCTCAGCAGCTGTGGTCGCACTGATCTAGAACTAGGAGAGTTGCACCTTCTTCGGCTGATATCAGAGATGGTAAACATGGCCTTCGGATCCCAGTTCTGGCAATCTCCTCTTAATTTAGATGATGTTTTGAAAAGCCAATAAGTAAGTATTATACACACGTGCAAAGCTGACACCTTTGGCTTACCCCTTCAGAAGATACTTTTGTTTTTTTTCAAGTAAAAGAGACCTTTGACATTCCCATATCCTACATTTCTGCCTTTGCCTAACAAAAACTTTTTATGCCAGAGGGTGCTGGAGGGATCAAACCCCCGAGGGGCTGTATTCTTGGCATAATGATCAGGGTTTTCATTATACTCATTCATACAGTGCTCACAACAGTCACATTGAGAGATATTGTCTTCTCCATTTTGTAGGTATTAAAAATGCCAAAGACTGGATATTGATGCCATTAATCCCATTAGAATATAAATTGAATAAACTTAGACTTTCTTTCGAACAAGATCTACCTGGTCTCAAGTAACAGTTTTTAGATTATACATTGCTTTATGACCTTGAAACAAATATTGAAATGACCAACTATTTATTTATTCATGCATTTATATTTGGTGGTGCTTCAGGCAGTATTTGACGCGTAATAAATACTCAGTAAATGCTGATTTTCTTATAGTTCTTTCCTGACCAGTATATGTAACATGGAATGTAGGTATTTTCTCGACTCTGCAGTGATTCCTGTTTATCTTATTAGTGCCACATTTTTAAATTTTGCTCTTATTCACAGATTACTTTGGATTTTAAAATAGTTTTTGCGAAATTTTTATTTTAGCATATGATTCAACATTTACATGCCAAGATATCAGAAAGAAAAAAAATGAGACAAAAGAAAGTTATGTAGAGAGAATTAGGGCAAGCAGAAGCTTTTAATCTCAGGACTTTTCTCCAGTGGACACAGCAAAGGGAATATTATGTAAATAAGTGCACAAGATCATTTTGAGGAGCAAAAGGAAAGGCAAGAAAATTGGCAAATTTAACTGCACAATAAATCTAACTTAGCTAATGCTGAATTTGAAAAGAGATGTTAAGTCTCTACTTTTAAAAGAGGAAAACATTATGGAATGATTGTAATTGTCCTCAATAAATGTTTCACACTCTCTTAGCTGATAGTGATATTTTTAAAGTCACTGATAAAAATAAGAGCAAAGGAATTTTTGCAGTTACCCGCTGAACCAAAAATGAAATAATGCAAATTGATGCAGCAGATAATATTTTAAAAATGTATTTTCCTTATTATCCATATAAAAATACAATGATCTCTTACTATGAATCCTCTATAGAAGGAAATACTTGACATGTAATATAAATTATTAGTGATGAAATTCTGGCAAAAGACTTTAGGTAACATCAAGCATTTAGGATTTTAGGGAATCGTCACAAACACTCTGCATACATACTTTCAAAGAGAACACTTAATAGTGTCTTTGAAGAGTGGTAGAAAGATGTCAGATAAATTTAGTTTCAACCATTGAGGACATTTTGGGGGTGTGTGTGTGTGTGTGTGCGTGCGTGCGTGAAGGTCCTTCTCATACATGCCCATGTTTGACTTTATATACAAAAGTCTTTTTCTTTTCTTTTCTTTTTTTTTTTTGTTTGTTTGACGGAATCTTGCTTTGTCACCCAGGCTAGAGTGCAGTGGCGCGATCTCGGCTGACTGCAAGCTCTGCCTCCAGGGTCCTCGCCATTCTCCTGCCTCAGCCTCCCGAGTAGCTGGGACTACAGGTGCCCACCACCACGCCTGGCTAATTTTTTTTTTTCTTTTTGTATTTTTAGTAGAGACGGGGTTTCACCGTGTTAGCCAGGATGGTCTCGATCTCCTGACCTCGTGATCCGCCCGCCTCGGCCTCCCAAAGTGCTGGGATTACAGATGTGAGCCACCACACCCGGCTGAAAGTCTTTTTCAAATACTTGCCACTGACCACTCTGCATCTGCATTTAGAAATATTTACATTTGGTGGCCGGGCACGGTGGATCACGCCTGTAATCCCAGCACTTTGGGAGGCCAAGGCGGGTGGACCACAATGTCAGGAGTTCGAGACTAGCCTGGTCAATATGGTCAACTCCTGTCTCTACTAAAAATACAAAAATTAGCCGGGGTTTGGTGGCGGACGCCTGTAATCCCAGCTTCTCGGGCGGCTGAGGCAGGAGAATCGCTTGAACCCGGGAGGCAGAGGTTGCAGTGAGCCGAGATTGCGCCACTGCACTCCAGCCTGGGAAACAGAGTGAGACTCTGTCTCAAAAAAAAAAAAAAAAAAATTACATTTGTTGTTTGAATTAACTTTTATTAACTTGGATTTAACCTCTGTGAGAGCTAAAATTACATGGATCGTTTGCCATATAATAGGTGCCCAATAAATAGTGTTAAAGTCAATTATTGAATATATTCTAATTAATAAACCTTTAAAATCTGAGTCTTGGGGAAAGGAGAAGTGATGAATGAGAGAGGTGGGAAATCTCTGAGAAACTGAATGCTGTGTATGAACAAGTTTGAAATAATTTCTAAGGAAAGCAACTTTGCAGAGGTAGATGAAAAAAAATCCTCCTAGATAATTTATAGAGGCATTTGATAGGTTCTGGCGTAAATATCTAGTTAGAAAATTGTATTGGGTAATGAATTTCATTTTAAAGATGAGAGATAGAAGGTTTATTTGAAATATATTTTCCTTATTCTCCAGAATGTTTCCAGTAAAGATGGGATGACACTGACAGGACTTTCCCCTTCATTGTGTAGCTTGTGAAGTAGGCTACTAAGTTGGAATTAAAGGCTTACTTTTTATTTATTCTATTCATCATTGACATCTTTTGATTTGTAACCATGTCACTTCTAGGATTTTTAGACTTATACTTTGTCGTGCATTTTGCTCAGGTTAAAAGCCACCATACATAAGTTTCTGCTTCCCACTTGAAGTTTGAGAAGTGGACTCAGGTTTCAGGGTTATTTGACTACTACCTAGCTCAAGTCTTGAGCCACCATTACGTGTGCTAGAAAGGGTTACTAACCTCTGCCGAAGGGCTATAATGCTTACTGTAGAATTCTACTTGTCTATAGGATAAAGCATGATAATGGATGGTGGTATTGCTCATGGTGTGTGAGTAACATTTATTTCTTATGGGGTTATTTCATTAAACAGTTTCAGTAATGCTGAGACTGTGTCTTATTGTTTTTATTATTTTATATTTTATGTGCGATACAGGATACAGAACAATATTTGTTGAATCAAGAAATGATGTTAATGTAGAATCTATTAGGTTAGGTTCCCAAACCAAAGCTTATCAAAGCTAAGCATTGATAACATGGAGAGGACATAGCTAGTACTTGTCCTCAAGGAGCTCTGAGGTTAATGGAAGAAATAGTTGTATATGATTATTGTACCAGGTGATAACCCTACTGGGTCTGATACATATCCAGCTGCTAAAGAAGGACAAAGAAAAACCATTGAATTCAAATCAGTGAAAGTGGGTAAGTTGAAATGTTTTGTACAGAGGATGATGCTAAAGTTAGTTCTTGAAGAATCTCTAGGGATTAGCCATGAAAAAATAATGACTATTTTTGACAGAAAAGTATATACAAAAGTAGAAAAAATGTCAGGTTAGTAGATGTCTGAGTATTGCTTGGTGAAAAGCAATTCTCCTTTTCTTTTCATCTTTTTTATTCTTGATTTTCTGTTTTCCACTTTATTGTTAGCACCAAAACCACCAACTTCAATATATATTACCTCCAAAAGAAAATTCATTTACTGTATGAGTGTTTTGGGCTGATTGTGTCTCCCCTATATTTATATGTTGAAGTCCTCAAAATATGACATTTTTTGAAAAAAAAAATCTTTAAAAATATAATTACATGGAATAAAGTCATTAGGGTGGGTCTTAATCCAATATGACTATTGTCTTATATAAAAAATGAAAATTAGGATACAGACCCACACAGGAATAGCCATGTGAAAACTCAGGGAGAAGACAGCCATTTACAAGCTAAAGAGAAAGGCCTCATAAGAAACTAACCCTGAGGTTACCATGATCTTGAACTTCTAGTCTCCAGGACTGAGGGAAAATAAATTTCTCTTATTTAAGCTACCCAGACTGTTGTACTTCATTATGGCAGCCTTAGCAGACTAATGCAATAAGAAATATGAGGTATCCCTCCTCTACTGGCATAAAAGATAAATTTCCTCACACAAATAGTATCAAAATAAAGATTCTCACATCATCACTTTGTATTATGAAAAATAAATCAGAGCAGCTGGCACATTAACTTCTTCTGGGTCTTGATATTCCCTTTGCTGTATTACTTGTGTGTTTCCCTGAACTTCTTTCAGGGATTATCTGGTGCCAAACTGTTTACCTAAGTATGTGGTTTGATAGTATTAGTGCTAGTTTTTCTATGAAAGCATACTTCATAAAGCTTCATAGTCATTTGACTCATTTAATTAAAATTATTCAATAGATTGATTTCCTGGTTACATTGAAGCTACATGTTGTAGTTTAATTTCTTGGAAATATTTCAAAATCTACGGAGATGTATTTCCTTGAACAACTTGCAGAATCTTCCAGGAAATCTATTCTTACCACTTCAGCCCACATGGGCCCTACCCCTCCTTGGGTTGAAGAAAATATGTTTTGCAGAATTTCCCAGGACAGAATGAAGAGTATTTAATTTTAGTCATTTAAATGATGATGAATATAGAACTAATGTGATTACATGGAACTAAATGTGATGGCTTTACCTTTAACAAAAGAAACCTGATATTCTGAAATCATAAATTAATACTTGTTATGACTGAGGTTAGGTTTTTGACAGAGTAATAAGCTATATTAGTCTTTATAGGAACCAAATGATACTCATGTGTCCATTCATTACTTTTATTTGCATTTGCTATTATTTCAATTTCCACAGAGTTTCCAGTAATCAATGAAACCAATATGATGTGAATGAATTATATAGTCCCTGAAGTCATTCAGAAAACATGGGCTTTTCACTGTAATTTTAAAAATACTAAGAAAAAATTTAGCTACTTCTTGCCCATATGTCTAAATTCTCCTCTTAGGTAGTCCTTAGTCAGGTTTCAACCAGGAAAAACAAATTCATCTTAGTATTACAAATAAAAAAGTCAGTGTACTGAATACTGAGGCTGTGGAAAAGCAGAGAGGCTAGGCAGGAGATGGCGAAGCTACCCAGAGATGAATAACACTGGGAAGGAGCAGCTTTCTTGGAATGGAGTGACAACAGGAAGAGTCAGTGTCACTGAAAATCAGGGTATGGGATAACCTGGTAGAACCTGAAAGTATGACAGTCTTGTCAGGTACGGACCTGAACTGAGGGAAAGATGCAGCCCCTACAGAGAAAGAGGAAGGTAAATCCTCTGGTTTCTTTCTCTTCTGCCCTCTAGTCTTCGACTAGTTCCTGCAGAGTCCTGAAGGCAAGAAAGACTGGTTAATTTGACTCATTGGTTTGCACATAACTACATATTTGATCAGAATTAAGAAAAGATCTTGATTCATTTTCATGTGACTATAATTTAGAGTCTGGAAGTTGAAGAGTAAAATAGAAATCAAAAGAAACAAGTAATAATGGAGGAAACGAGAGGAAGCACTGGCAGGGAGAAAGCTTGGTCTTGGAATGAAGAATATGGGCAACAAAATTGAAATAAATCACATTGCAGATGAAAATAAGAACACAGACATCACCCACCCATTCATTCAGTCACTCATGTATTCAGTAAATATCTGATGAGTATGTCTCAGTATTTAGGGCTATTACCACAGAATACCTTAGACTGGGTGGCTTAAACAACAATTTATTTCTCACAGTTCTGAAAGCTGAGAAGCCCAAGATCAATGTGCAGCTCTTGTCTAGTGTTTATGGAGGGCACACTTCCTGGTTTGCAGGCAGCCATCTTCTCATTGTATCCTCACTTGGTTGAAAGAGAATCTCTCTCTCTCTCTCTCTCTGTGTGTGTGTGTGTGTGTGTTTACTATAAGGATACTAATCCTATTAATGAGGGCTCTACCTTTCCGACCTAATGCCTTCTCACAGGTCCTAATACTGTCTCCCAATACCATTACATTGGGTGTTAGGATTTCAACATATAAAGTTTGGGTTGAGGCAGGCACAAACATTAAGTAGAAAACAGAAGACCTATTATATTTCGTGTACTGTGCCATCAAGGAAAGCAAATATAATGTCAATGATTGTCATCCCACAGTATAAGCTTCTCTTATAAGAGAAGCTGAACATATAACATCAAATTTAATGCATGCTCCTAAAGGCTGATGAAGACAAGCATAGTGGGTTACTGGGCCTCAGAGAAATAACAGCAAGATAGAACAAAAAATTAAAATGTGCCACTTGATTTCTGTCTTTGTAAAATTTAACTAGATGAAGAAGAGTATTGACAGGATGGTAGGTTACTTCAATCAGGGAGAAGAGTACATAGATAAAAATAGAAGTACGAGAAAATAGAGCATTTTCACAGAAGTATAAGCTTGAAATTAATACAGAAAAATATTCTTGTAGTTTTAGATAATGTTCTAAACGTAAGCTGGGCAATGTCATAAGGTCTTGTGGGCTAAATTTTCTCTATTCTACTATTTCAAGCAAGAATAGGCTAGGAGAAACTTTTCTTATCAAAGAACTTCAGAGATTAGTAGCACCTGCTATCACAGACGATGATACTGGCCCTTACATTTGAACATTTTACTTAAAGTTACACAGCCTCAAAAACCTGTTAGCACTGACCAGCCTTTTACAGCTGGTGCTGGTGGTCAGCTTTTATTTTAAGAGAAAGCATATGGTGCATATTGTTTTGGATCCACACTCACTTTTTGAATCCTAATTCAAACGTTTCAGAATACAACTATATGTCAAACTTATTTGATAAAATGCTTTCACCTCCTTTTACAAAGCTAAGCCATTACTCTTAAATTTTCAGAAATATATTCACTCTTTGTTCTTCAAATTGGCAAAGTCTATTGAGATTCAGACAAAGTAAAGGTTAAGGCCCATCTAAAATGAAACAGTTTGCCTTGGTGTGCCCTAGTGACTGTCGGTTGTGGAATAAAGTGTGATGCATGGGATCATTATGGCCAGCCATGGGTCAAGTCATCGGAGAAGGCTGCTAGCACTGGTGGGTAGTCCAGCGAGACTCATGGAAGCCTCTGAAAGGGAGGAAATTTATACAGTGGGAAGAACAAGGAAAGGTAAAATAAACAGGGCATTGATCAAAGCAATCAGGTGATGATTTTTTTAAATGAGGCAAAATTGTTTTTAGCCTCTCCGGATATGTTTCTTGTCATGGTCAGAAAACCTTTCAGGGCATGGCTAACATTGGAATGGTAAGGATCAGAAACTAGTACATCTTGATAGAGGGTACAATAAAAAAGGAAGAAAGCAAGGCTGTTCTCTAAATATCTGTGTAATAAATAAGTGTGTAGATTGAAAATAAAGTCATGTAATTTTTTATGGACAAGTAAAAAAAAATAGTGAAAAGCCATCCCAAAGTGACCTGTTAAGAAATAAACTGACAGTTCTAGTTTAATATGTTGTTTAAAAGCTATTTCAGGCCCCTTAGAAGAACTGAAAAGTTAAATTCTCTCATCTTGTTGATGTTTGTTCATGAAGATTATCTTCTGATACAGAGAAGCTTAGAAGGGCTCTGACAAATTATGGGATATGTATGGTTAGCTGTTTTGTTGACATATTATTCTACTAAATGCTAATTCTCTAGATATGCACATGCTCTTTCTGGGTTCGTGTGCCTCAGTAAGTTTCTCTTGGGTCATTTTAAAGAGCCTTCCCAGCATCACAGATCTACCAACCATGGGGAAGGCCCCACCAAGAACCTTCAGGCTTAACAAAAGGGAAAATTACCCAGGAAAATCTGTACGTTCTATGCATTAAAGTGATCTGAAGCCATGCAGCAAAAACAGCCCACAAAATGCTGTATGGATTTAGTTTTGCATGGTGCCTAATCCTTACTTCCTTGGCAGTGGGGACATTTATATTGGGGTTGAGAGTCAGTGTTTGAGTGAGTAAAGGAAGAGGGTCTGGAATCACATACCTTGGTTAAGATCAGGATCTTTTCTTGCCCTAGTTTCTGGTTGTTTTCATTGTTCCCTTCTAAAGTGTTATTCTCCTTTTCCAACAATCTCAGGCCCCCTTAAGGACTGTTCCATGCGGTGATATCTCTTTCTTGAGATTCTGTTCGCTTATTGTCTCTTCTCATGTACTACTTTGGCAGTAGTCAAGTGATCTAATACTTGTAGCATAGGATAAATCACAAAACTTCTTTAAAATTTCAATGTCTTCACTTGTAAAAAGTAGTAATTGTACTTCACAGGCATGCTGTGAAGATTAGATAATATTTATGTGAAAGTGGTGTGTAAACTGCAGACATGTAATATAAAAATATTATCATTCTGGTGTCTGTTGGGAAAAGAAGTCTTATATGCCCAGTCTTTCAACCCTGGCTCAGCCACAGAATAGTGGGTCTTGAGCCTGGAACACTTCCTTATCAAGAGATAAAGAGCCCAAAAAGCCTGTGCCAGAATTATCCCTTTGTGTGGGGTATCTTGGCCTGTTTCAGACTCAGGGAGTGTTCCTTTGTTCTGCTTAAGTTTGTACATCAAAAAAAAAAAAAAAAAAGCACTTTAAAATTTTAAATCCCTTCATGGCCATCAGACAGGGCCCTAACTGTCAGCATGAAAGACCCTATGGGGTTAGGGTGAGGTCCTTTTACTGTGGTGGCAAACCGGTTGCCCTGTTCCAGATGCCAGGGTAACGTGTTAGCCATGAGGGACCAACACCATACTATTGGAGTTGGTCTTGCTTTGTATATTCTCTATGTAAGTAAGAGTAATTTTCTTTATGTAAGTTATGTTTCCCTTGGCAACTCTGATACCAAGAGGCAATGGTCAGAAGTGCTTGGAGTCTTCATCTGGCACTGATAAATGGTGCATAGTGTTCTGCTCATTAGTATCCTTCTACTAGTGATTAAATATTATTTACTTTTATAACTTTTTTTTTTTATGGAGTCTCGCTCTGTTGACAGTCTGGAGTGCAGTGGCATGATCTCAGCTAACTGCAACCTCTGCCCCTCTGCCCCCCCACCCCCACCCCCACGTTCAAGCGATTCTCCTGCCTCAGCCTCCCAAGTAGCTGGGACTACAGGCACACACCACCATGCCAGGCTAATTTTTGTATTTTTAGTAGAGATGGGGTTTCACCCTGTTGGCCAGGATGGTCTCAATCTCTTGACCTCATGATCCGCCTGCCTCGGCCTCCCAAAGAGGTGGAATTATAGGCGTGAGCCACCATGCCTGGCCATTTTTATCACTTTCTATTCACCTCCCTTTCTGTTTGTATATACTTACATAAACATATACTTACAAACGAGAGAGATATATACACACAATAGTCAATCTATTCAACGAGAGGGAGAGATAGATACAAACACAAGAGTCAATCTATTCAATCTATTTCTATATTCAGTGGCAGTAGAAGAGAGAGAGTGCGTTTATCCCTCAAGAGCCATATAAAATTCCTGGATTTTGCACAGATTTTATTTTCTTAGAACCAAGTATTATGGCCAGAGGAATATAAAACATTGGTCTTAGGCCTGAGTTTCATCAACCTTTCATTGTGGAAAGAATGGACAATCATTGTTTAATTTTAGTCAGCCAAGGTCCACCTGTGAAGTTAACCCAATCTAAACTCCATGAATATGTCACTGTGGAGAAACAGTGGGATGAATGTTGTTGAGATATCTGTAGTGCCCACAGTAGATATTCAATGAAAGATGTGTCTACCTATTTAAAGTTAACTTATTTACACCATTTCTCATTCCATAAAAAATTTGAACCATCTTGAAAGGGGCATTTTGAATTTTTTGTTGATCATTCTTTGGACATTAATTTTAGACTAGCCATTGGTTATAGACTAAACTGTATAGATTTAATATGAATGCAGTGTTTAACCTTGCATCTTAATTCTGTAAGACTCAAATTTGATAGGAATGAACTAACATGTTAGGAATACCCCTATGGAGTTCGAGAGAGATGCAATAATTTAACAGAGAATAAGTATTAATACTATGAAAAGATGAATCAAAGAGAAAAGAGGCAGTTGTGACAGTAATTAATTCAACTATGAGGCACTTCAAGACATACAGAGTGGCTGTAATCCAGCTTCCAGTTAGACCTCAAGATTCTTACTCCAATTTCGTTTTCAGAAAGTGAACTTTTTTATTTGTAAGTATTCTCGCTCATAGCTTCACAGTGATACTTAGCACAATGTTGAGCAGAGAGTAGACATTTCATAAATTTGTGTTGAATGGTTGACTAATATAACTGCTTAGTAAATGTGTTGTGAATACGATTATAATACATTTTTTGTTCAATAAGACTGTTAATTGAGGTGTCTTTTTGAAATTTAATTGTCCAGATCCATATAAAAGAGTCAAAGAGTATTACACTTTGGGGACATTAATCAAGAAAATCATTATAAAATGTTAGTTAATACATACTTACTCTTGTAAGAATGAGAATACCTCAATTTTACTCTGCTGAAATCTGACATTAGTATGGAAGTTTCCTTGAAAATATTGTGTTATTAACAGTCCTAAATCTTACCAGAAATGAGTACTCTTTTATTGAAGACACTCACATATGTTATATCCGTCTGTGCCCTGGTAGTTTTTGATAATTCTTGGATTTATTTCTCATAGGAAATATGAAATAAAACTGTGTGGTCAAAGCTATGTAAATTTTTCTGTAGTATAAATTTTATTTCTTTTCAATCAACTTTAATTTCATTAGTAAACACAATAGTTTTTACTTCTGAAGGGAACACTAGATTTTTAGATATTTATTTTTCTCTCCTTATTCTTTATGATTTGTCAAAAATGTCGCTTATCTTTGTTTTCCATGGGACAGAATTTTTATGTGTATTTATGTCTTTCTATATAGAGTACTGACAGGACCATTGTTTTAGCAGCATAAAGTTAAAATTCTTCAGGTATAATCAGTGATGAGAGGGATCTATCAATCAGTGGGCCTAGCAGCTTGCATTTTATGGTACTTTAAAATTTTAAAGTACTTTTATTGATTTCATAACTTTGATGCTGATGCTGACTCCATAACGTGAATGAAAATGTAAAATCTTTTAAAAAATTATTTTTTTACTGAGTAGAAACTATAATTCAAGAGGATTACATTAGTGAAAGAACTGAACCATTGAGTGTGCAGGGCCAGGATTTAACTGTTGGGAGACAACATTGCTTAGTGATTTGAAGCAATGGTTTTGGAGTCAAAACACCTGAATTTAGCTTATGTCTCCATCAGTGGGTAGTTACATGTCCTTGGGTCAGATTGTATGATATCATCAAGCCTCCTATAAAAATGAGTATAAAATAACCAACTTCATTGAATGGTATAAAACAAAATTAGGTAAGTCCAGTAAAAATAGATTTTTGTGTGTATGCTTCTGTATGTATATTTATGTACATATATGCATATGTACATATATGTATACATACATATTTAGCATAGTTTAGTCAACAAATATTAATATTTATTGATATTAATGATCTAGATTTTGATGATTCCTTCAATTCTATATTCCTTTTAGGTAAAATATGCATCTAATCAATAATCATCAGACAATTTTGATCTGCATTGTTCACATTTTGGGATGGATAATTTTTTTGCTGGGGGTTGTTCTATGAGTTGTAGGATGTTTAGCAGCATTTCTAGCTTCTACTTTCTAGATACTGGCAGCATCTGCCTTTCCTGTGGTAACAACCAAAAATAACCACAGATATTTTCAAATATTCCCTGCAGAGCAAAAATCCTCCAAACTGTGAACCATTTATTTAAATAATGTGGAATAAAAAAAAAGACACACCTATTTTAAATTTACCCTGTAAAAGTAGAAGTTTAGAAAAAGGGGGCAGAAAAATAAAATAGCTTAATTGTGTACGTTGTCACAGGGATGGTGGCGTTAGTTGCTTTCACATACATTATTTCATGTAACCTGTTAAGCCACTATATCAGCTGTTTTTATTATCTCAAGTTTATATTACAAAAATCTCATAGGGTAGGAGTAATAAGTATATTGCCTGTAGAATAAGTATTCAGGCTCTTGAGATTAAGGTGACCTGGTCTAACTTATATAGTTAGTAAGTGGGAAATTAAAGACTGCATCTATAAATTGCTAAAACTACCAAGTTTCTTATTAATCTAATTTTATTACATGTCTGGAAGGCAAAAATTATTATATATTTAAGCAAAAACATAATGAAGAATTTGAAAAGCCAGAGGAGGAAAATATGCAAGCATTTGAATGAATGCCTAGTATTCAGTGGGGTTTTATTGATCCATTCAACAATTCAAAGCAGGAAACTCCAGTTTCAGTCCAAACTCCATCATAACTTTTTTGAATTTGAATACATGATACAGTTTCATATGGTATAATCTTGAAGTGCTAAGACATTTTCAAAAAACCAAGTAGTGATTTCAATCCAAAGAGGCCAGCCTTTCTTTCCTATCCTGTTAACTTACACAGTACAGGGAATGTAGCCAATGATTTGTTTCCAGGC
Organism: Homo sapiens; assembly: GCF_000001405.40. NCBI lineage: Eukaryota > Metazoa > Chordata > Mammalia > Primates > Hominidae > Homo > Homo sapiens. Next base: position 26,256,095 of record NC_000011.10, on the reverse strand, counting down.
TTAACAGATCCTTCCTATGCTGACCCCGCTTCCTGATAGTGTCCTGCCTTTCATTCCCTTCTCCTCATATTGATCACCTTTCTAATTCTCCTTTTATAATTTACCATCCAATAAAATGAATATCATTCCAGAGGCCTACTGGCAGATGGCTGAGGTCTACAGTCTGTGACTGGCCTTTTCTAGTCAAGTCTCTGGGTTGTTAAACAGGGTCCTGATGAGGATTCCCTCTAGCATCTGCTGTGATTTTGCTAAGAATTGAGAGCATTTTTGTCATCACGGCTTAGATAAGACTGTAGAGCATCATGATTTAGTTGTTTGCTCCAGGAACCCTTTGTCTGGGAAAGATTAATGTATAAACAAATAAATAATGGTTGGCTCTAGGAAGTTCCTACTTATCAATTAATCAGAGTCACTAGTCTACACTAGTCTACTCAACTAATGGCTGATGCACATAGGAGACCAAAACCCCCCTCCCATCTTTTTTATCTCACCTGTATTCTCAAACCCTTTTTCTTGGGCTCTTATCTAGCTGTGGTTCCTATTAATATGGCTCAAGGTAAATTAAAGGTAGTACTATCTGAAAATGTATGGAAAACATTGTAGAGTACTAAGATTTCTCACGTAAAGCAATAAATGGGCCATGATTACTATCTGCCATCAATGTTCCATACACAGTGTGTATTTAATCCTCACAAGGATCCAAAAAAGTATCTGAGTTGGAGTAGTCTACCGAATAACAGTGCTAGAAATGGTGACACTTGGATTCAAGTCTATCTAAACCATAGCCCATTTCTTCCAATCGCACAACACTAGTGTTGATCAGGGAAATAACATCAGATGGAGAAATACAAAGTGAAATTAGAAAGAAAAAATGCCTTTGTTGCCTGAGGATAACATTAAAACACATTTACTCTAATTGTACCACAAATACTCCAGCGACTTTCCTAATTAATCTCTCTGAGATACATAGAAAGAGATGCAAAACTCCAACCTAGTTGTTAGATCACTTCCTAATGGAGCATAATAAACAACAAGGCTGAACATATGGGTTACAGAGAAACAACTGAATGGACCGAACACAATGTGGGATTTGATTTGAATTCCGGGTCTGTCACTCAATTTCAGCAACTTATTTAATCTTGAAGAAGTTGTTTTTTCATCTATAAAATTGGGATATTGAGGACAATCTCAAATGGTTGTTTTGAGGACGAATTGAGATAATACACTGTAAGAGTGTTGTACTGTAATGCCGGGAATATGATAACCTCTTCTAAGTATTTAGAAACACTCACTGAGCTTCACATAATTTTAATCCAAAATTACTCAGTTGAATATAGAAACTCTGCTATTTAGACATGGTTTTTATTACAGTTTATTAATATTTGCTTAGTGTGTGTTCTTTATTAAGAGTTATTCTGTGCTAAAACATATCATGTCTCAAGTTGATATTTAAAGGGTAAACAGAGTGTTGTTTAAAATAGCATAACAAAATGCATAAGCGTAGTGGAATTCTGAGTAGAATTCTTTCTGCCAGCAGTGAGTAAGACTAATCCCAAGCATCAGAAAGAAACAAATGCATTTTTCTCCATATGCTGAATAATACATTCCTTATAGACTAGAAATGTGGATAATACTTTTAAATAATATAGAAAGGGATTGTAATTTTATTTGTGATAATATGGTCATTTCAAAAACAAGTTATCTGGCCCAGATAGTTTATTTCTGCCGCTCTGATGTTATTTTTTTGTATCTTCATTTACCTTTTCTCGATTTGAGGTCATTCTAGTTAAACAGAAAGTGCAGCAACATATTAGCTCCTAAACTATTTAGGCTCTCTGATCCAAAGAAATGGGTTGAATTGGGGCAGCTATAGTCTTTACTTTAGTGCACAATTTGACCTGGTAATACCTTTCCAGGAAATGCTACAAGTACTCGTAAGTCACCAGCTTGGAAGGAAACACTTTACCTTTGTGTATGTCAAAAGCCTAAACTGTTAAATTTGTTCCACATGGCTGAATTCATATTGTAAAACAGAATCAGTGTGCTGGTAATTCCATCTAGAACAAAATTGCAGCTTGCAGGGGGCTTGGTTAGCATCACATGTTAATGTTGAGCATGCCTTCTTGTTTTTTCCTAAACTAAAATCCTGGACCCTGTAAAATTCGCTCGACATTTGGTAGCACAGATAGAACAAGACAATAATCAGTTTGTGCCAGAGGCCTTGTCCTTGAGACCTCATAAAAATTAAGGAGTAGCATGGACACACTCTAACACAGAGATTTGCCATCTAGCTTGGTAACATGAGGTGGGGTGGCATAATAAATTAGCAATTGGGTCTTCTGGCCTCAGATCCCAGCTTTACCATTTACTGACTGTTGGCCATGGATAAGACTCTCATTACATCTTAAGTTCAACTTCTCTATCTACAAAGAACAAACATTTGATTCCTTGATTTCTTAAGCTTATTTCAAACCAAAGCATTCGGTCATTGCAAATTGTCAAAATGTATCCAGTGAGGTTTTTTTTTTTTTTTAAGTTTATTTTAAGTTCAGGGGATACAAGTACAGGTTTGTTACGTAGGTAAACTTGTGTCATGGTGGTTTGTTGTACAGATTATTTCATCACCCAGGTGTTAAGCCTAGTAACCATTAGTTATTTTTCCTGATCCTCTCCCTCCTCTCACCCTCCACCCTCCAAAAGGCCCCAGTGTGTGTTGTTTTTCTCTATGTGTCCATGTGTTCTCATCTTTTAGCTCCCACTTATAAGTGATAACCTGTGGTATTCGATTTTCTGCTCCTGTGCTAGTTTGCTAAGGATAATGGCCTCTAGCTCCATCCATGTCCCTGCAAAGGACATGAGTTCATTCTTTTCATATTTTAGCACACTTTTGTCATGTAAAGCATTAGTGCAGCAGGCTGTTGTGTTTTTTGTGTGTAGAGAAGTGCTGTGTACCATAGCCATGGCTTCCACCTAATACAGTGCAGTATGAAAGGGCTTGCCTTCTGTGGACATGGCAGTCATTATTGTGAAGCGTTAAAGAAGCCCTCTGCTTCCTCTGTCTCCATGCCTGACAGGATGGCTGTGATCTCAGGATCATTTTCCTGTGTGATTTGGCTTTCAATTACCTAAAACTTAACAAGGGAACCTGTTGTTTACACCATTCAAGTGTTTCTTTTAGAGTTAGTGACTTATGAGAATGTCTCAGATAGATGGTTCGAATGGTTTATCAGGCCACTAGCACACTAATATTACACCTTAAATGTGAATTTTGTTCATACTTTAGACATAGCATAAAATGAGAAAAAAGTTTTAGCTTTCATGAAATGTTGTTCACTGAGTAGTGAAGAAAGAAAAATCAGAAAGTAATGCGTCTAAATACATATGTAGGTCTGTCCAGTCCATACTCATATGTATAAGTAGGAGTTTATGTTGGGGGAGAGGGATGTTCAAATGTCTGCTTAAGTCTCTATGAAAGAACCCTTGGATAAAATAAATGAGGAGAAAAATATAGATTAAATAATTAGGAATATCAGGTGGTCAATATCATTCACTAGAGGGACTTTTCTACAGGAGGTGATGAAAATAGCATTCCAGAGAAGAGTCTAAAAACTGCTCAACTGATTTTAATATTAGGAAATCAAAGAACACAATTTACATGCCTGTTCTCAGAGTTCTTACTGGCCTCACTGCATAACAGGCTCTGAACTTCCAGAAACCAAAGAAAAAACTGCCTGGAGAGCAAAAAGAAAAAAGAAAAAAGATTTCTTCTGAGGAATACAAGAATTCATGGCTTTGTTAGCATGACAGTATCACTAGGATTACTTTTCTTATGATGCGTTTGTGTATTTTATACTCTAGAATCAGACTAAGTCAGTTACAAAACAAATATGTCATTTAAAAAAGTTGTATTAAATAACGTGACTTTTTCAGTCTCCTTTGGAGTCAAGGCTAAAGTTGAATTTGAACTTTATGAAAATAAAATATTTTATATGTTGCATAAGATAATTCCACTGGTTATGTATTTAAATTATTGATATAAAAGTTTAGACACATGCTTTTCTCTAGAAAAAAAACATTAAAGAACACTTGAAACCATTTCATACATTGCATATACATGATATAACCTCACTGATATGGTTTGGACTGTGTCATCACCCAAATCTCATCTCAAATTGTAATCCCCAGGTGTGGAGGAAGGTATTTGGTGTGAGGTGAATGGATCAAGGGGGCAGTTTCCCCCATGCTGTCTGCGTGATAGTGAGGGAGTTCTCCTGAGAGCTGATGGTTTTAAATGTGGCACTTCCTCGCTCTTTCTCACACACTCTGTCCTGCCACCATGTGTGATGTGCTTTGTTTCCCCTTCGCCTTCTGCCATTATTGTAAGTTTCCTGAGGCCTCCCCAGCCATGCAGAACTGTGAGTCAATTAACCCTCTTTTCTTTATAAATTACCCAGTCTTGGGTATTTCGTTATAGCAGTGTGAGAATGGACTGATACACTCACTAAATCAAAATATGATCCTTTGCTGCCTTTTACTTTAAATGTTAAATAAATGCAGAGAAACAGATTATCTCATTAAAGAGAAATGTGATTCATTCATTTGCTTAATGTTTGCAGTGAGTTACTAATTTTGATCTATAGCAAAAAGGCACAACCAACCTCATTCTTCCTTTTGGATTATAAAAGAGATTTTCATTTGAAAAATATCTGAAAACATCCATTGCATTGGATTTCAAAGCCTATATCTTTAAGACCTAGAATTAGATAGCTGTGCCTCAGCTTTGATCCAGAGTCTGGGCGAACCCCCTGTTTGCTTCCTGTGCCTCCTTTTCAGTTAGAAAGCTTTCATTTTCTTGAATATACATAGGGGTTGTAAGACAAATTTCATGGAAAAAAAAGTGTTTTGTGTGTTTTATAAATACAGTCCCCCAATTTACAATTGCTTGACTTACAATTTTTCAACTTTGCAATGGTGTGAAAGCAATATGAACTCAGCAGAAATCATGCTTTAAATTTTGAATTTTGTTATTTTCCTGGAGTAGCAATACTCTTTGATGATGCTGATCAGTATAAGAGAACCACAGCTCCCAGTCAGTCACGGTATCACAAGGGTAAACAGCTGATATGCTACAGTGTGCTATGTTGCTAGATGATTTAGCCCAACTATAGGCTCATGTATGTGTTCTGAGCATGTTTAAGGTAGGCTAGGCTTAGCTATATTTAGTAGGTAGATGTACTAAATGCATTTTTGACTTATGCTATTTTCAACTTCCTATGGATTTACTGGGATGTAACCCGACCTTAAGTTGATGTATACAAATGTGCATATGTACAAAATTTGGAAAGAGACTCATATACTATCACATTTATTTAACAGTTTAAGTAACTTATGCATGGATAAGTTAAGTGAAATGCCCACAGAAGAAAACAATTAGCTAGTGACAAAATGAGAAAAATAATTTAGTTCTCCTGATTACCAACTCACTACCTTAAGCCTATCTTTCAGATGGTAAAGTGCTTCAACATAGAAGCAGGGCAGTGATGAATCCAACAGAAATTTTGGCATAAAATCGGCTCACTGACAGCATACATAAGCCTCAGGTAATAGAAATACCGTAAAATAGTGTCCTTTGGAAATTTAACCATTTAACTGTGGTCTGTACATTGGAAATAAATAGATATGGATGCCAGAGACTGTTGTGGTCCTCTTCAGCTCAGGATATAATAAAAATGTTACTTTTTCCTCCAGAGAGAGAAAATTATACTCTTTATCATTAATGCATATTCCTAAATGCAAATGGGTGGAACAAAGAGACAGCCAACTGGAAAACATAAAATACCCATAGCTGCCACAGAAGAAAGAAAACTTCAAACATATGTGAAAAGAAAAGGAAGATTTTCAGAGGTTAATGAGCAGGCTTTTTGCAAAGCAAGTAGTAGAGACAGTTATTGTTCACCCAATATTTTGTATGCTAGCTTAAATTTCTCATTCTCCCTTATAATTAGGTTGTAGTTATGTAGGGCTATGAGAATAGTTCTAGCCAGTGGCCTTTGGAAGCGACAGGGACAGTGATGTGGGCCACTTCCCATTAGAAATAACAACAGACGTTGGTTTTTCGTACTCTTTATTCCTTCTATTGCAATGAGAGTGGAGGTGACATATTGAGAGTAAAGCCATAATCTTTAAATCTAGATCCCTGCGACAGTGTATGGAAGGGAACTGCGGAAGACTTTGCATAGGAAAAACAACGTCACTGGTGTTAAGCTACTGAAGCGTTTTTTATTCTTTCTTTCTCTTTCTTTCTTTCTTTCTTTTTTGTTTGTTTTTTTCAGCAGAGTTTAGCTTAGACCAAATCCCTGGAGGGAAATTTTTAATAAGAGGCAATTAGTTAAGATTATTTAATGTTAATTTGTACAAATTTATAAACAGAGTTTGTAGTATCAAATAATATAATATAAAATATATTTAACAACATAACAGTGCTCCAAATATTTATATTTCCTTTTCATTTATTCCTTTTTTTTAAAAAAAATCATGAGTTAATTTAGCACAACCACCAGGGCCAGGAGAAGAAGCACATAACTATATAATTCAAGAAGTATTAGATACCGGAACACCACACAATTCATTCCTTTAGCCAAAGCTGGCTAAAGACTTGCATCAGTTCCTTTGTGTAGCAAACGGGAATTAAAATATCACTCTATCCCTTTCAATGTGTTGTATATTGTATCTCCTATGTTAGCTTCGTAGTAGAATGTGTTTAATTTTCGTTTCATATAATACATTCTTTTTTTAAGTAACCTGTTGCTTTCACAAAGTCATTTATAAACAAAACACTGCTGGTATACACTGTTACTGAAGGATGTCTACATTAAGCGGGTCTTGTTTAAACATGGCAATCAATATCCATATACCCCAACGGCAAAGCCAGGCAATCAGTCTCCATTACAAAATATTTTGAAGAGCTATGCAAATATAAGCTATGGTCAGTATTTTGTCTTTGCTTGTTATAGTTACAATAATAAAGAAATTAAGACATCTAAAGCGACAGTCTCCAACCTTTTTGACACCAGGGACCGGTTTTGTGGAAGACGATATTTCCACAGAGGCAGGGGATGGTTTCAGAGGCACTAGATTCTCACAAGGAGTACACAACCTAGATCCTTTGCATGTGCAGTTCACAATAGGGTTCGAATTCCTATTTGAATATAATGTGATCTGACAGGAGGCAGAGCTCAGGTGGTCAGGCATGCTCATCTGCCGCTCACCTCCTGCTGTGTGCGTATGGTTCCTATCCAGTACTAGTCCCTGCCCAGGGTTGGGGACCGCGATATAAAGGCAAAAACAAACAAACAAGCAAAACAAAACAAAAAAATACAGTATATTCCACAGAACAAAGAATACCAGAAAGAAAATCTTTGAACATTCAGCAGAATCATTGTGTCTGAATAAACATCTGCATACATAATCCAATTCATTTCTGCTAATTGATTTTAAAAAGATAAAGTTGAAAAGATTCCTTGAAAGGGAATCTTTTTGTCTTTTGTTGTAATGAATACCATTTGACACATTTTAAATTCAGTTTCTCTATATTTTCTGTCATTCATTCAAGTAAGCAGAAATCAAAGTAAATATCAGAGGCATATATGATAACCCTCTCATTAGGGAAAGAACTAACTTGAAAGAGATCAGCTTGGAAGAAATAAAATTTTAAACCCTTCCTTTTTCTTTCTTTCTTTTTTTATTTCTTTTTATTTTGAGACAGAGCCTCACTCTGTTGCCCAGGCTGGAGTGCAGTGGCGCGATCTGGGCTCACCACGACCTCCGCCTCCCGGGTTCAAGCGATTCTCCTGCCTCAGCCTCCCGAGTAGTTGGAACTGCAGGCATGTGCCACCACACCTGGTTAATTTTTGTATTTTTAGTAGAGGTGGGGTTTCACTATGTTGGCCAGGCTGATCTCAAACTCCTTACCTCATGATTCGCCCGCCTGGGCCTCCCAACATGCTGAATTACGAGCGTGAGCCACCATGCTCGGCCAATCCTTCCTCTTAAAAATGACTGGAGCGTCCAGGTATGTTGGCTCACGCCTGTAATCAGAGGACTTTGGGAGGCCGAGGCGGGCGGATCACGAGGTCAAGAGCTTGAGACCAGCCTGTCCAACATGGTGAAACCCCCGTCTCTACTAAAAATACCAAAAAATTAGCTGAGTGTGGTGGCAGGCACCTGTAATCTCAGCTACTCGGGAGGCTGAGGCAAGGAGAATCACTTGAACCTGGGAGGCAGATGTTGCAGTGAGCCGAGATCTCGCCACTGCACTCCAGCCTGGACGACAGTGTGAGACTCCGTCTCAAAAAAAAAAAAAAAAAAAAGTGACTGGAGCTACAGCTAAATGAAACATCTGGGTTTTTCAATAATACTCTCATCTGTTCAAAATAAATAATCACATGACACAGACAGAGACAGTAATTGAAAAAGACTCCAGCAGTAATTAAATTGAGTTAAAACAACTGTTTCTGAAAATTCCATTTCCTTCCACTCCAAGTGGCCTGTCTTCTGGTTTCTCTGACTAACAAAACCAAAATTACTCATAATTCTAATAGTCACTGTGTGACTGATGAAGCATGTTCCCCTTTTGGTACTGGCATATGGATACACAGATAGCTTGGTGAAATAAAAAAAGAAAAACTGGAAATAGATTCATGTACATACAGAAATTTAGCATCTGATAAAAGTGGCATTGAAATGACTGGAGAAAGATGAAATATTATAGCACGTTGTGAGACAACTAGGTCACGCTTGGAAAAAAAGATAGTACTGTATTCATACCTCACATAATACAGTATATAAAAAATATACTTTGAGTCAGAAATCTACACGTAAAAATTAAACTACACAGCACTCAATAAAAATATAATTGGTCTTTTAATCTCAGTGTGAGGAAAGACATTTTCAATGGAGTCAAAAATTCTGATTCATCAGAAGAAATCATTTTTAAATTGAACAACATTAAAACTGTTTTAAATAAACTTAAAACATTTAAAACTGTAAGAAAATACTTTCAATATATCACAAAAGTGGATAATATAGTAATATTTTATATATTATTGTTTTAGTCCATTCTCATGCTGCTATAAGAAATACCTGAGAAAAATAAGGAGAAAGAGATTCAATGGACTCACAGTTCCACATGGCTGAGGAGGCCTCACAATCATGGCAGAAGGTGAAAGAGGAGCAAAGGCACATCTTACATGGAGGTAGGCAAGAAGGCTTGGACAGGGGAACTGCCTTTTATAAAATCATCAGATCTCATGAAACTTATTCACTATCACAAGAACAGCACAGGAAAAACCCACCCCCATGACTCAATTACCTCCCACCACGTCTCTGCCACACACGAGGATTATGGGAGCTACAACTGAAGATGAGTTTTGGGTAGGGACACAGCCAAACCATATCAATTATTATAATATAGTAACAACATATAAAGAACTCTTAAAAATAAGGTAAATTATTATGAAAAATTCAAAAGAAAATTAAGCAAAAGACATGAACAGTACATGAAAACTTACAGATAGCCTTGAAACATATGATAAGATGTTCAGTTTATACTCATAATATATATATATATATATATATATAAAGACTACACTTAGATACTATTTCTCATTTATCAGATTGATAAAAATTAGAAAATATGACACAGTCTATTAATAAGGCTGTGCATTAACAGATCCTTTTTGACACTGCTGATTGGAGTACAAAATACTACCACTCCTGGTTTGGAAACTGGTGATACAAATAATAATTGAAAATATATTTTCCGTAATATGTACTGGTTAACCCAACAATACTACTTCTTCTAAAAATTAACCCTAAAAATTCACCTTCAGAAAGAATAAATATGTTACTGTTAGGGCTCAGAAAGAGATACCCACAAATACGGTGCTTTGACATGCTGAACTGAAGATGCCTTAAGGTCTCCCTTACCTTCCCCCTCTCCAATCTCTCCTCTTCTGTTCCTCCCAGATCACAGAATGAAGGTGTTCTCTGAATTTCCCTTATCTACCCAAAGTCTGCACTCATCAAAGAGGAAAACAAATACCTCTCCTTCCTTATTGGAGTTTTCATTAAGTGAACTCATACTGCAGGAGGAAAGACCTGAAGTCTGTCAACCCATCTGGACAGATATATTGTCACAAACCGTTGCCTGCTCTGCAGGACTAATAGATTTTGCAACAGGCCATCGTATGTTCTTCAAGCTCATTGAATTCCCCTAAAATCATCCACATTTCCCCATCTCTCTTTCCCCAAAGAAGTAGGGTATATAAACATCTGTACCCAATCGGGATATTGGGTAATCACTCTATGATACTCCCCATAAATGCTAATAAATTTGCATGCCATTTATCCTATTAATCTGTCATTTACAGTTGACTTTTTAGCAAACTATCAGAAATAAAAGGAAACGTTTTCCTTTGGTTCCTATACAACCATATGCAATATTCCTATGTATATTAACTTTAATTAAAAAGTAGAAGGAAAAAATCCATTAGTTCTTCATGATAATAACAAAATCAGGGAAGGGGAAGAAGACAAAGCTATACCTTACATAAGAAAGTAATCTAAGAAACAGGAAGGAATGATAGAATTAAAAGGTGGCTATTATCCAACCATTATTGTAATAATTGATTCGGGCTAAAATCATCAAAGGATACTGAAGTATTGGTTAAAATTTTGTTGTGGAAGAGAATATTCATGTGAACTTTTTGAATCATCCCAGAGATTACTTATGAATTACAAAAGGGGAAGAATGCCTTTGCAAAGAAGAATGTGGACATCACTTTCAAATTCTGACTAAAGTTTACATCATCAAAAATGGGACCAATTGACATCATGTGCCTCCTGATAAAATGTTCCAGGAAGGGTACTTTACCCATGCATTTTTCTTGGCAATTATATTTACCTTATTTTCTAATAAAGAGGGGATAATAGGGAAAATTCTATTTGAACAATTTTCTGCAAGTTGGAATTATTTTTTAAAAATTCAATGCTATGAAAGACAAATGCATGCATGCACACACACACACACACACACACACACACACACACACACACACACACCAGGAGACCAGAAGACTCTTCTATATTAAATAAAACTAAATAAACCTGACAGTGAATGCAATATGTGATCCTTGAGTGTGCCTGGAATTAACAAATAAATAATTATGAAAATTATCAGGACAATTGGGGAAATTTGGATGAAGTAAATATTTGATAATAATAGTGTTAAATTTCTTGTGTATTGCATTTTATTTCAGTTACATAAGAGACCACAGAAGATGTAGGATGCAGTACCTAGTACTAACAGTATTGCCATTTGGACTTAAATTTTCATCAAAATAAAAAAAGAACTATGGCAAAACTGTTAACTAGTGATGCATTTTGGTCATGTATACAGGTGTCCACTGTGGTATTTGCTCACCTATTTTTGATATCTGTAATTTTTCAAAATAAATACAGAATAGCTTCTGGCATAGTTCTCAGGTTTTTCTGCTCTAAGTCTCCTACGATCCTTTTCTTTGCTATGTACAGGACTGGTGGAGGCAACTTTGGCAGTTTCGTTTGTAGTGGTTCTCACTGACTAAGTGGTATAAAAATAATCCAAAGATTTTGTAACATATTATGAAATTGTAGCTAGGAAACTAGTAAACAGAAAAGCTAGTATTCCCATCCAGTTGTGTTAGCTACAAAGCCCAAAATCCTATTACTATGTTATTGTAGATTGCTGAAGCCACTCAGAGATTTCTGATTTAGTAAGTCCAGGATAGGAATCTGTTATCTATATTTTTAGCAAGCACCTTAAATGGAATTGAAGGTAAAAACTACATGTTTGGAAGATAGTAGTTCCCAAGCCTCAGTGATCACACTCATTTTTTCTTTTCTTTTCTTTTTCTTTTTCTTTTCTTTTTTTTTTTTTTTCAGACAGAGTCTTGCTATGTTGCTGAGGTTGGAGTGCAGTGGCACAATCTCAGCTCACTGCAACCTCTGCCTCCCAGGTTCAAGTGATTCTCCTGCCTCAGCCTGTTGAGTAGCTGGGACTACAGACACCTCCACCATATCCAGCTAATTTTTGTATTTTTAGTACAGGCGGAGTTTCACCATTCTGACCAGGCTGGTATCGAACTCCTGACCTCTTGATCTGCGCACCTCGGCCTCCCAAAGTGCTGGGATTACAGGCGTGACACCGCACCTGGCCTCATTTTTTCAAAAACAACACATACCATGGCTTCATTTAAGATTTTTCTGAGAATCTCTGGAATGTGGCCAGATATTTGAATTATTAAAAAACCCAAAGAAGCAGACAGAATCAAAGCAAATCTATTCCTCCATAACATCTTGAATTGAGATTCACTGATAAGTGGTGTTATTGTATCTCCATGAAAATTTTTGGTGGCTATTTATCAAAGTGTGCTTTGCTTCTGAGAAGAGTTAAAATCATAATGGGGAACTTTCAACTGCATTTCCAGGAACAAAGCCAACCTTAGTCAACCAAATAAAAGTGAATCTTTTATCTAAGCAAATAGCTTTCTCTATAAATCTCTGCAATTGTGTAGATTCCTCTTTTTTTTTTCTTTATTGCAGCTCTCTTTTGCTCTTTGTAAATCAGAGAATTGTATGAGAGGGCTTACGTATACACATCAAAGCTTCTATTCTTGCAAAGAACATATAATCTGGGAAGTCCTGTGAAAAAAAAAAGCCTTTACTTTATTCTTTTAAGAGAAAGAGAAGAGAATGAGAGTGAGAGAGAGAGGGTGAGAGAGAGAGAAAGATAATTGATTAGAAAATAAATTGATTATACCCAGCCTGGCAACAACCTTCTGAAAACCCAGCCTGGCAACAACCTTCTGAAAACGTGTATTGTTTTTTAGCTTAGAGATTTCACTGGCCATATCCCTGCTTTGGCATTTCTTCATTCTTCAAAATATGGTCCCTGGACCATCTTTAGTAGAGTCATTTGGGTGGCTGGTTAAGCAAGAGATTACTGCTCCTTACCAAGACCTAGGAAATCAGAGTATTTGGGGGCAAAACCATGGAGTCTGTATTTTAACAAGCTCCTTAAGTGATGATGATATACAATAAACATCAACACTAAAATTGAGAAATGTTGCTTAATTCTTCATACATTATTTCTAAATGTCTGCTACTGGAACTTTCTGTTTGTCTCAACAACAGTAATAGTCACAGTTACCATTTCATTGATGCTCACATTGAGCTAAGGGCTTTGTATTTACTCTTCAACTTAATCTTTACAATATTGATTTAGGGAGGTATTTAATGCACACTTTCGGGATGAGAAAATCAGATTGTGTAACTAACTTGCTACTTGGTAAGCTAGCAAATAGCAGAATTAGTATTTCCATCAAACTGTGTTCGACTATGAAGCCCAATATCTTTACTGCTATTATAAAACTTTTCCATCCAAGAAAACTTTCTGGTAAAAATTTGTGTAGATAGAAAATTATTAATGGATGTACAGAATGATAAATAATGCACAAACTATATGGTGGAATAATGAGTACCACGGAGATGAATAGAGAAAGTAAGGGCTACAGAATTGGGTAAAGGGGATATGGAAAATTCTTTCCTTGAGGGAAATATTTCATAACGGGAAAGGCCTTTCTAAACTTGGCCTTGGAGATTAAGTGGTGAACACTTTTATCTTAAAATGGACAGGGCAAATCTACAGAGTAGATTTCATATGGATGGAATAGTATAAATGAAACAATAGAAGTAGGAAAGCATGAAGATAGTGACAGGAAGTGCATATTACATTATGTAAATTACATAGTAGAAGAGAAGAGTGAAAGACAGAACTAGACATTTAGGCGAAGGGAAGATAATATTGGGCTTTAAATGCTAGTTTAATTAATTTGAACATTGTTAATGAGGCAATGAAATGTTTTCAACAATTTCAACTATCATCAGTCCCTCTTTCTTTGCTTTTGTTCAGGCTATTTTCCTTGCACAAAACATCCTTTCTTTGATCATCTGTCCAGAAAACTATACATCTGTTGAAACTCACTTCAAATGTTATATCCTCTCTGTTACTTTCCTTGAAAGCTCTCTATTTTGCATCTCATCTAAAAGCTTATTAAATCTTACTTGCTTCTGTCCTCTTAGAATGATATTCATACACTGATTTTAGCAGAGTAATTAAAAGTTTGGACCCTGGATTCAGATACTGCCTGGGTAGGAAACCTAGCTTCATTACTTGCTTTCTGAATAACCCCAGATACGTGATTCAAACTCTCTGTGCCTCAATTGCCTTGTCTGTAAAATGGAGATTTTATAGCACTACATGATATAATTACAGGAATTACCTAAAATAAGCTTTAAAATTATTATATTAGATTTTATTAATGTAATAAATGTTCTGCCAATACTATCTATTAATTGTTACTATAATGACACTTTTTATTCTGTACTGAAGTTATTAGTCTATATCTTTCTTACTAAACAGTAATTTCTTTAAAGGCAGAAATGTGTCAGATCATACATGGGAAAAGCTCCTAATGAATTAATTTGTACAAAGTTGGTATAAAGTATATGTTGCTAGGTGTTAGGAGTATGAGAGTAAGAAAGTAAGAATTTTATGATGTAGCTTAAGACCCCAGACAAAATCAGGGGCAATATTTGGGGAATTAAATGTTTTTAGGTCCTATTCCTCTTGAACTACTTTTCTGTCTAAATCCAGAGTTGTCAAATCTCATATGTCAGAAATGTCCACTACTAGGATTGTATTAGTCCATTTTCATGCTGCTGATAAAGACATACCCGAGACTGGGAAGAAAAAGAGGTTGAATGGACTTACAGTTCCACGTGGCTGGGGCAGTTTCACAATCACGGTGGAAGGCAAGGACGAGCAAGTCTTTTCTTGCATGTATGTGACAGGCAAAGAGAGAGAGAGAGCTTGTGCAGGGAAACTCCCATTTTTAAAACCATGAGATCTCATGAGACTTATTCACTATCACGAGAACAGCACAGGAAAGACCTGCCCCCATGATTCAGTTACCTCCCACCGGGTTTCTCCCCTGACACGTGGGAACTGTGGGAGTTAGTTACAATTCAAGATGAGATTTGAGTGGGGACACAGCCAAACCATATCAAGGATGAAGCAGAAATGTTAACACAGGCTGTCATAAGCAATGAATTTTATTTATACATATTATAGAAATTTAAAAATATTAAGAGAGTCTGAGGAATATCATACAGAATATTCAAGTGTAATAAGATATACGTTTCCATAACATGGCAGTAGTTGTAAGTGTGGGCGAATTCCTGGGTCAAGGGAGTTATCAAGTCACTATCACATATTAAGTTTAGGTGAAATTTAACTCACACTATTTATCCAGGTAGTCAAAATTTTTTTTATGAAATGGGAAGTAAAAAACCGAACAGTATATTTAAAGTACATTTTAGCAAAGCTTGATTTTGATATTTTATGTATTTTAAAAAGTCAATGAAAATATTTCACAGATGTATCACAAAACCAGGGAACATGAGGATGAAACACATTGCTGGTGCCATATATAATTTCCACTTAATACAGTTTTCAGCTTTCACATACTCAGCGTCTTTGAAATAGCCCATATTTATTTAATGTTTTGTTTTTGTATAATAGGACTTACCAAATGCATCTCTGAAGACAGCTATGCCATCAGAGGAAACACTGGTATAATTAAAGATGCAATTAGTACTTTAATTGCAATTTTATGCACAACTTCTGGTTATGTAGAGATTATATGTTCTTTATATCATATGCACAAGTGCCATCACAAGGATGAAAACTATAGTCACTGAATAATAATAATAACCTTTATTGTCTTATATTTACTATGTACTATCAGAAATATTGAAAAGGAATAAAGTCACTTAGTACTTCCAATGACTGCATGAGGTGAATACTATTATTATTTTGATTTTGTAGATGAAAAATTATGTGACACGGAGGAGTTAAGTAATTTGCCCCAATAAGTGGGGCTGAGTTAGAATTTAAACCCTAGCAAATGAGATCCACATCTTACAATCTTAACAAGGATATGAAACCTACTATATTATACTATACTGTAATATGTACTATACCACTCTCTTCTCCTCCACTTAGACATAAATACATTTTCTTTCTTCGCAAAGCGACAATTCCCATGTAATCTGTCACTGAAAACTCAAGTAGAGTAAAAATCTTCAATTATGGAGAAACATAAATTGCCTGCAATATTTTAGTTGTCAGAAATTTGGGATCTTCTTCATTATTTATTACTCATTGAACAAATATTTATTGAACACTTACTACGTGCCCGTTACTCAGCTGAGACTGGGGTTATAGCAGAGACCAAGACAGACAGAAGCTGGGCATGCTAAGGTAGGAGGACAAGGTGTTAATAAGGAAGCAAAATAAAAAATTTCCCTTCAGTGCTATGGGTGATATAAGGGAATGTGACTAAGAGTAAAAGCTACTATAGTAGCAAGAAAGGAAAAATCTCTTTGTTGAGATGATGTTTGTGTTAAGACCTGTGTTGTTGGAAGGGGCTGCTCTGCTTGATCTAGGGAAAGAGACTTCCTGGCAGAGGGACCAGCAAGTAGAGAGTTGTGAAGGCAGGGGACTACTTGGCATTTACAATAAATAGTAGAGAACTTTGAACCACAGTTATGATCCATTTTCAAAATGTGACTGTAAGTGAAGATGAAAATTAGGCCTGCTTCTTTCTCCAATGCGATGAAGCAGATCTCTAATTAGCATAAAAGGGAGGTCAACAGCTTGCTGTCCCACATGAATATGGAAGTCTTTTATTTTAATGATAATGTTTTTGGAGTATTATTTTTCTGCCTAAAGAAGCAATGCATTATTATGTAAATATTTTAATAATGTGTCTGCATTTATAAATATGTAATATAATTTTTATTAGGTAAATAATTTCAAATTCAGAAACATGAACCTCAAGCTGTAAATATTATTTACAGTTAATCCAAATTATAATTAATATAAATATTAAATTATATTTATATTTAGATTACATAATTCATAATTTTAAATATTAACATTAATATTTAAAAAGGAACATACATTAATACAATTCCATAAAATGCAAAAAGAAATTATCTCTAGCTAGCAAAACTTTTTATTTACATTTTCCAAATTTTGAATAATGATTTGAAACAGCTTAACTATCCAAAATAGAGCAGGAATTAAATATGTTCTGAAACCCATATATAATGAATTATTAGGCAACAAGTAAGATGATGTTTGCAATAATTTTGACAAGTTCTCCCAACCCACTTTCTTCTGCTCTATATTTTATTTCATACACATCGATCACCTTCTAATACACTGTGTAATTTCTGTATCTGTTATGTTTATTATTTATTAATTTCCTCCTATTTTAGAATATAATCTACTCAAGGGCAGAAATCATTGCCTAATTTGTTCAATTTTGTAGAGCCCAGAACATTTTCTGTCAGTAGGCATTTAATCCAAACAGAATGAATAGATAAATAAATAAATAAATGTACATGCAATTGTTTTTAATAGTTGCAACTGTAAATATTTTGGGGTAAACTGTAAATTTTAGAGTATTAATGTTAAATCAGATTACCTCCTAACCTTTTCAGTCTTAACCTATGATGATTCTAAATTAAGACTATTGAATTCAACAGCAAATTTTGAACATATTTCAAAATAAGTGTATGTCACACTAAGTAAAATACTAGTTGTCCAGTTTTGGCTCTACATTTAAGAGATTCTTACAGAAATTTCTCCTAAGAAAGTTATGCTAACAAAATAAATAGGCAAGTATTCTTTTGTGATTTTGATAGGCTAAGTTGAAAAATGGTCTAATTTAGTTTAATATGGCTTGAATCCTAGGGAATTTTGTGCTCAAGTTTAATTCTGTGTTGCATTCATGCCCATGCACACACACAATTTTATGCACAACACACATGGGGTAATAGTAGGAATGAAGATAAAAAGATTCTGTGAACTGTTTTAACTTAGAAACTTTGGTTTATAAAATAAGTACACAGTTTGTCTAACAGTCTGTGTAAATTGTCCAGTTTTTGTCTTCCAGACCCAGATACAAGATAAAGACTCTTTATTTTAGAGTCAACATAGATCTTGAATTTTATACTAACTTGTGACAGTCATAAACACTTTCATTTAGGCATAGCAGAATGTCTATGTAAAGATTAAAAACTCTTGTGATATGCAAAATTATAAATTATAGAATACTTGTTAGAAATAGGGACTGGTACCTAAATTTTGATACATACAATTTGGCATATATAACTTTTCTACTATTAAGTATTTTTAGTTTACAAAAAAAGACTACTTTAGAAATTTTTACCTACCCTGAAAGAGTCAAGGAATAATGTTCTTCACTTCCATTATAAGATCAGAGAATAACATCATTTTGTTATTTTTCTATGGCTAATGCTTATTTAGAAGAACAAAATCTTCAGATACATTTTAGAATCATTTTTTAAAATGATAATTTTTAAGATTTATGTGTTATGATGACTGTCAGTTGTATTTTATTTGTAAATATTGAAGTGAAATTACATAAAATATGTTGCAATAGGAAATATATTTTTGACAAAAAAGTAAGTGCAATTAAAATAATATAATAAATAAATTTTTATGGTATTCATTGATTTAAAAAAGGAAAGCAAAACTTTTAAAAATAGAAATGTAATCAAATCTCAATTACCAAAATGCTTTGTGGAAAAAATAACTATTTGAAGCTTACCTTATTTCAGATGTAAAAATTTTGCAGGTTACAAAAGATTTTGTAGGTTGTAAAAATTTAGTAGGTTACTCTATTTAATCCTAACAGTGTACAGCAAATTAAATAGAGTTAGAATCAATTCTATAGATTGAAAAATCTCGATTTTAGAGATGATAAGAACATTGACAATACTCCGGGAGTTGGAATTGTGTAATTCACACACAGTTTTGCCGGAATCACAATCTTAATATTAACTGCTTTACTCTTACTTGGAATTGTAGGAGAAGGAGGGGCAGAGGAGTCACTAAAGGATAGTCTTCAATAGTTGAAACTTACAGATAACTGGGTTTTGAACGCAAATATATATTTTCCCAAAATTAAAAAAAATCTTTTATAACTGTATATATCCCCATTTATAATGTGGTATAGATAGCTAAATAAATATATTTCCTCAATGTTTGGGGATTTTTAGATTCTTTTTTTTTTTTTTTTTTTTGAGACGGAGTCTCACTCTGTCGCCCAGGCTGGAGTGCAGTGGCGCGATCTGGGCTCACTGCAAGCTCTGCCTCCCAGGTTCACGCCATTCTCCTGCCTCAGCCTCCCGAGTAGCTGGGACTACAGGCGCCCGCCACCATGCCCGGCTAATTTTTTGTATTTTTAGTAGAGACAGGGTTTCACTGTGTTAGCCAGGATGGTCTTGGTCTCCTGACCTCGTGATCCGCCCACCTTGGCCTCCCAAAGTGCTGGGATTACAGGCATGAGCCGCGGCCCCCGGCCGATTTTTAGATTCTTGAGTTAATATTTCATACCATCAAATCTCACAGGATATGAGGAATACACATATATTTCTTTTAAAAATATTTTTATTCTTTTATTTCAAACTGTTTGGAGGCCAAAAAAGCAAACAAAACACTTTTAAGAGATTGCTTGAAGTATAGTATAATATATTGATGAGAATATCAATTGGTATAATCTTTTTTGAGAGAAATTTGGCAATAGCCAGCAAAACTATCTATGTATTAATATTTTCATTTTGATCCAACAACTTCAGTTCTAGGAATTTATCTCTAACAATAGTAAAGTGTACATGTATAAGTTTATTTATTAAATTATTTTTATAGATATGAAATTTTGAAAGCAACTTGAATGTTCATATATAGAAAGCTGGTTTAATAAACTATGATGCACATTTAGAATGGGATAATGTGGACCTGTAAAAACAGAATGGGAGTTCTACAGTCAGTATACTGGTATGTAGAAAATAATCTAGGGTTTGCTATCTATATCAAACTCAGGAAGGAAAATAAGAATATACACATATTTTTGCTCATTTGTGCAAAAAGAAACATAAGAAGTATTAACTACATAATATTGAGATTGGCTACTTTCAAGAGATGTGTGAGATCAAGGGGAAAACTATAGAATGGAGGGAGAGGAGTGATACTTCTCTGAGTATATACTTCGTTTATATAATTATGGTAGTGTTTCACATTTGTAGACAAATGATTACATAGAATCAATAGGAGTGGTAGTTGTGGGGGGACGACACAAAATGGTCTAAAATAGAAACAATAGAGCCTACTGTATATCATATGAATAATGTAATCACAATGATGGTGAAAAATAAGCAGAACAAAATAAACATATATAATTAATGTAAGAAACTGTTGAACCTTTAGATTCACTAATACTCCTAAAGACCAAAAAAAAAAAAAAAAAGTATACATTGTTAAACTTTAGCTAATAGGCTTTCTTCTCTTATTTTTTTCACAGTAATATGTGTTAACACATTCAGTAAATAAGTAAACATATAAATACATTATGGATAATGAGAATGAAATTTCTCAATGTCAGAAAGACCATTAGGTTGGATTTAATCTTGTGGTATTTGAAACTGGAAGTATCAGTTTTGGAAAGAGAGAAACACACACACATACACACACATTTAATAATGGAATTGTATCAATAGTAACTTGCTGATTTTTATTATTGTACCATGGTTATACAGAATAATATCTTTTAAAAAGTATATGCAGTCTTGTATATGGGAATATAATTGTTAGTTTAGTCATAGACTTGACTGGGCCATGGGATACTCAGATACCTGGTTAAACATTATTACTGGATTTATCTGTGAGGGCATTTCCAGAAAAGGTTAGAATTTGAATTGGTGGACTGAGTAAAGTATATGGACCTCCACAATATGGGTGGCATCTAGAAATCCATTGCTGGCCCCAACAGAACAAAATCTAATAGGAAGGTTTAATTTCACTCTCGCTCTCCCCTCATCTCTCTCTCTCTCTCTCTCTCTTTCTTTTCTCTCTCTCTCTGTCTAACTGCTTGAGCTGAGACATCAATCAGCCTTCTCTTGTCCTTGCACTGGTACTTAACACCGTTGGCACTTCTGGCCCTCAGGCCTTAGGATTTGGACTGGAATTTATACTGCCAGCTTTTCTGTTTCTCCAGCTCACAGAAGGCAGACTCCATAAGCATGTAAGCCAATTCCTTATAATAAATCTCACTCTATGTATATCCTATTGGCTCTGATTCTCTGAAGAACCCAGATTAATATAAGGAACAAAGGGGCATAATGTGGGCTATTTACTTCAATACCTTCTAAGACATAGGGGAAACTCAAAGGATATGGTGAGTATAGGTCATACATCATGAATCACCTGTGAGTCATGTTGGCTATTGACAATATAAGTTGAATACATGTATACTCACTATTTTAGTCTGTACCTTCTCTTGTGCATTAATTCTGGCTGTGTATTTAAATTGGTTTTTAAAATGATGTAAATCGAGCATCTTAATTTGGTCTCTAAGATTTTCTTTTCCATTAGCTCTTGGTTAGTGGCCTTGCTAGTGTATTTGGAGGCTGTCACCATATCAAGGTAATTGTCTAAGTCGCAATTTGTGCCTAAATGTTCAGACTGAGTGAAAAACATAAAATAAAATATATGGCATATCTAAGTATTTAATAAAAGCAATATGGGTACCACATACGACACTAAATCTTTGTAATAGTTTAAGAATATGAAAAAACAAACATGCAATAATAACCATAATATATCCTAAAGTAGGAGGTAAGCATTCATCTCTGAAGGAAAACGCAATGGTTACCAAACTATTAACAAACTTTTTATTTCTCAGAACTTGTACCTGTAAAGACCAAAACAAACGTTATACTGTTTTGTTTTGTTTTTTATTTTAAGTTCTGGGATACATGTGCAGAACGTGCAGGCTTGTTACATAGGTATACAGATGCAATGGTGGTTTGCTGCACCTATCAACCTGTCATCTAGGTTTTCAGCCCCCCGCATACATTAGGCATTTGTCCTAATGCTCTCCCTCCCCTTGCCCCCTACCTACTGACAGGCCCTTGCGTGTAATGTTCCCCTCCCTGTGTCCATGTGTTCTCGTTGTTTGACTCCCACTTATGAGTGAGAACATGCAGTGTTTGGTTTTCTGTTCTTGTGTTAATTTGCTGAGAAAGATGGCTTCCAGCTTCATCCATGTCCCTGCAAAGGACATGAACTCATTCTTTCTTATGGCTGCATAGTATTCCTTGGTGTACATGTGCCACATTTTCTTTATCCAGTCTATCATTGATGGGCATTTGAGTTGGTTCCAAGTCTTTTCTATTATAAATAGTGCTTCAATAAACATATGTGTGCATGTGTCTTTATAGTAGAAAGATTTATAATCCTTTGGGTATATACCCAGTAATGGGATTGCTGGGTCAAATGGTATTTCTGGTTCTAGATCCTTGAGGAACCACCACACTGTCTTCCACAATGGTTGAACTAATTTACACTCACATCAACAGTGTAAAAGCATTTCTATTTCTCCACATCCTTTCCAGCATCTGTCATTTCCTGACTTTTTAAAGATAGCCATCCTAAGTGGTATGAGATGGTATCTCACTGTGGTTTTGATTTGCATTTCTCTAATGACCAGTGATGATGAACTTTTTTTCATGTTTGTTGGCCACATAAATGTCTTATTCTGAGACGTGTCTGTTCATATCCTTTGCCCACTTTTTGATGGGGCTGTTTTTTTCTAGTAAATTTCTTTTCTTTTCTTTTTTTTTTTTTGAGACGGAGTCTTGCTCTGTTGCCCAGGCTGGAGTGCAGTGGCGCAATCTCGGCTCACTGCAAGCTCTGCCTCCTGGGTTCACGCCATTCTCCTGCCTCAGCCTCCCGAGTAGCTGGGACTACAGGCGCCCGCCACCAGGCCTGGCTAATTTTTTTGTATTTTTAGTAGAGACGGGGTTTCACCGTGTTAGCCAGGATGTCTCGATCTCCTGACCTCGTGATCCGCCTGCCTCGGCCTCCCAAAGTGCTGGGATTACAGGCTTGAGCCACTGTGCCCGGCCTGGTAAATTTATTTAAGTTCCTTGTAGATTATGGCTATTAGCCCTTTGTCAGATGGGTAGTTTGCAAACATTTTCTCCTATTCTGTAGGTTGTCTGTTCACTCTGATGATAGTTTCTTTTGCTGTGCAGAAGCTCTTTAGTTTGATTAGATCCCATTTGTCAATGTTGGCTTTTGTTGCAATTGCTTTTGGTGTTTTAGTCATGAAGTCTTTGCCCATGCCTATGTCCTGAATGGTATTGCCTAGGTTTTCTTCTAGGGTTTTTATGGTTTTGGGTTTTACATTTAAGTCTTTAATCCATCTTGAGTTAATTTTTGTATAAGGTGTAAGGTAGGGTTCCAGTTTCAGATTTGGCATATGGATAGCCAGTTTTCCCTGCATCATTTATTAAATAGGGAATCCTTTCCCTATTGCTTGCTTTTGTCCATTAAACTGCTTTAAGCAAGAAATGAAATTATTGACTCATGTAATAAGGAAGTTCAGGGCTATGCATTTTTTTTTCATGAACCTGTAAGTCAAGGGTCCCCTATGATGTAACCAGCACACTCTTTCTCCTCTTGACTCTGTTTTTCTGTCTTTTAGCTTCATTATCAGTCAATCTCACCCCATACAATGGCCACTGATAGATGCCCTGAGCACGTCTTGCTGTTCCTACCACCAGCTTTTCACCCACTCCTTCTCCATTCTTTGGAAGGACCTCTAGATTTAACCCTCATGGGTTCATATTGTAACACCTGCATCCCTGGGCCAACCATAGTGACAAATCTTGTGCTAAATACAACGAGGTCCAACCAGACCACATAGACCTTCAATAGAGGAGGTTCCCTAGAAAGAAAATTGGGGCACATTTATTAGAAGGGTTGATTCCTGAGGAGCAAAGAGAGAAAAGACTTGTTTCCTCTTCAAAGCAGGTTTACTTTGACATGCCATCTTGAAAGGGAAGAAGCAAATATTATAAAGTGTTTCACCACATGCCAGTTTCCATGTCAGGTGTTTTATGAAAAACCAGCTGCATGATTTATAAGCTCTGTGAACTTATATACCTTGCAAATGGCAGAAGCACACTTTAAACTAAGGACTGTTTGACTCCAAATAATAGTCATAATTGCATGATAATAAATAACATTTATTGACTACGATCTTACATGAACTGCACCAAGCATCTTACATTCGTAGACGCATTCCTTGCTCAATATAAGTCTATGAGACAGGGCCTATTATTCCCATTTTATTCAGTTTGAAATTGAGGCATAGAGAACTTAAGTAGCTTTCCAAAAGAAATATGGCTTATGATAGAAAGAATTTGAATCCGAAACCCCAGAGGTTGAATTCTGAGTCATAACACTCTCTCAGCTTACTTTGACATGTGTACCCTATTACACATCTAAGTTTGAGCATTAATACTGCTAATTGATGAATGACTGATTCACTGCTATTGTTCAGATGTCAGAGACAAAGTTGGACAAGTCACCTTTCCAGAGATCCCAGGCTGTGATTCTCCTACTTAATCTCCATCCAAACCTTCATGAACAAAAAAAATGCGTGGCTGTGGTGAGTCAGTGGTAACTCATCTGCCTCTGTTTCATTTAAGTATAGTTCTCACAGAGCTTGGCCACTCTCAGCAGACTAGAACACATTCTCCAAAGGAAGCATGGTCCTGACCATAGGCCAAGGCTCCCGAGGTCAGACCTCACATTTAACCTCAGATAGTCCTGTCTACTAAAGTTATCTGTTCAGAGGAATACAAAAAGGAAACTTCAGGTGGAGCGTGGTGGCTCACGCTTGTAATCCCAGCACTTTGGGAGGCCAAGGCGGGTGGATCATGAAGTAAGGAGTTTGAGACCAGCCTGACCAACATGTTGAAACCCCGTGTCTACTAAAAATACAAAAATTAGCTGGACATGGTGGTGCACACCTGCAATCCCAGCTACTCAGGAGGCTGAGGCAGGAGAATCACTGGAACACAGGAGGCAGAAGTTGCAGTGAGCCGAGATCCAGCTGGGGCAACAGAGGGAGACTCCATCTAAAAAAAAGAAAAAAAAAAAAAAAGAAAAAAACTTCTGGGAAGAACCAGAAAACTTTTTGTAAAAAGATAAACTTTTTTTTTTTTTTTTTTTTTTTTTTTTTTTTTTTTTTTTTGGAGATGGAGTCATGCTCTGTCACCCAGGCTGGAGTGCAGTAGTGGGATCTCGGCTCACTGCAACCTCTGTCTTCTGAGTTCAAGCAGTTTTCCTGCCTCAGCCTCCTGATTAGCTGGGATCACAGGTGTGAGCCGCCATGCTTGGCTAATTTTTGTATTTCTAGTAGAGACGGGGTTTCACCATGTTGGCCAGGCTGGTCTCGAACTCCTGACCTCAGGTGATCTGCCCACCTTGGCCTCCCAAAATGCTGGGATTACAGGCGTGAGCTACCGTGCCTGGCCAAAAGATAAATCTTTAATTAGAATGGCATGAAAGCATCATCTTATTTCAAAATTAACCAATGAAATATGAAATTGAAAGAATATCAGTCCAGATATGAGGGATAGAAATTGCCTTATGTCCCTCTACCCCTTTCTTATCCCTGTTTCTATTCAAAGTATTTTATGGACTCTTGGAAGTGCTGACTTGTTCTTGTTGACAAGTGCTCTCCATTGAAGTTCCTTTACCCCTAGTCCTTCATATTGTTCCTGCCACTTCTCACTATTAAAACTTTCCTATTTCATGTCCATTTCCTCACCTCTGCTGTCTGCTCCAACATAGTGACTCACAAAGAAATAATCTGTTTTGTTGAACTATCCACTTCCATGATTTTTCTCATTATAATATATGTGTCTAGAAAGAGCAGCTCTTTTAGAAGGCTGAAGTTTTTTAGGCAACTAGTCTATCCATGCCAGTCTATTCTCATTTCAGGATGGCCTACCTTGCTTTGGACAATACAGATCCCAGGAAAAAGTAAGGAGGCTCTGATCCTGACACAGAATGAGGCTAAGAATAAAGGATCAGAGGGTGACAATGATTTTTACTATATAAAAGTAAATGGGTGAAAAAGAACAGGGAATTTCTAATAACTGTTATCCTTTTATTCATGTTCCAATTCTGGCTTTATATATAAATAATATTCCAGGTACATATATTGTTTATATAACAATTTGAATAGTGGGTAATTGGATGTATGCACAATTTTAAAGTTTCACACCCTTTCTAACTTCTTGTTGATGTAGAGGGTGCTTATTTTAAACAACAATTAAAAACATGTGCTGTCGACCCAGGAAATGTTGCTGATGAAGAAGCAATGGTTCATAAAGTAAAGAAAAAAAGGCAAGAGTTGATTAGCATATAAAAATAACAGTATGTTCCTAAAGGAAATCTAACTAGCATATGCACACTGAGATATGAAAGGGGGTTGCCTTCCCAGAACTAAGAAGCTACTCATAGCATTTACGTCATACTTTGTCATTGGCGAAGTTCCATCACATCCATTTTCCTGTTTTATGTTCACAAAGAGATGAGGAAATATTAATATACTGAGTTAACAACATAGGGTTTGCTGAAGTATATGACTTGAAGTTTGGAATGACTTGTTCAAGGTCATAGAATAAGTAAATGGCAGATCTACGCATCATACCAACCTTATGACTCAAAGCTTTATACACTTTTGATGATGATTATGATTATGTTGGAGAATTGTGTTGCACATCATGTTTTGCAAACACTTAAAATATTACCTGTTTTGAATCTCACTAACACAGAGAATTCTTGGCAGAAGGAAGTTAATGATGGTAGAAGTGACTTATCAGAAATGTTAGAGAAATTTCTACCAATATAGTAGAGCTTGAATCTAAGCAGAAAAAAAAATGTCCTCTTTATTTAAGATGTAAGGGCCTGAAAAGATTGCTGTGGGCTGTAGCACAACATAAACATTTTGTAGGCTCAGATTACTTAGAACGGAAATGGCAGTTTTAGCCACAGGATGGCATTGTTAATTATTATTTTTTTCTTACATGGTCAGAATTTTTCAGTGACTAATACAATTTTTCAACAAATACAACCAACCAAGTTTGACAATTTATCTATTGTTTTGGCAAATGATTCACAACCGTCTCCCACCAAGTGCTATCTATTGGCAGTGGGTCTTCAGCTGTTCATCTTTCTAGGATTGCCTCAGCTGCAGAGAGCCAGTACTTCATCCAAGAGCATGCCCTTCTCTGTATGGCCCACATCTAATTACCAACATAAGGATGGGTATAAAGGCCTAATTTTGCCCTGTGATAGAAAACTCTGATAGTGACAGACCATTATGTTTCAGAACTTTCTGTGGTGCTAACTTTGGGGCCAATCAAACCTTCAATGCAGCGGCTCAACTTCTTCATCTCAATTCCTTCCCCTCTCTTTTATGATACCAAGGACATACCTTAATAAATACTAATAAATATCCTACACTGATCTGTGTCTCAGGAATTACATACCATAAAACTTATCTTGTGTTTGTTGATGCCAGGAATGGACTGAGAAAGCAGAAAATATTATTAGATTTTAGTGCTACACCTCTTGTTATTCAGCAGCTTTTTCTTATAGTAAAAGGAGCACAGACAGGACCCTGGCACCATGTGCCAGTCCAATTTTAAAACTTTCACTGGGGATAAATTGTGATGTATACTGGTAGAACAGATTGTACTAGCTCATGTGTTTGGTTCAGGAATTTGAAAATTATGTGGGTCGTAGAAGCCATAAAAACAGAGCAGTACATTTGACATTTTGACAGCTTCCACCAAAATAAAACACGAGCTTTATTTAAATAATAATCATACCCTTTCGGCTAAGCCAAGATGCAAACCACAAAGTTTCAAGCTTATAATCAGGTCCAAACACCTGGAGATGCAGTAGGTTAGCACACACTGTCTCTGACTTATTGAAATGACAACTTGTATACTGAACAGGGAAGCTCTTACCTGTATTGAACCAAGTAAATAATTAGATTTTAATAGGTAGGCTTAAGTTTTTAAACTTTATGCCACTTTTTTTCTTTTACTTTGGGCTGACTTTCCAATCACACTGACCACAACATTGCTTGTATAATTAGGTTTAAAAAAATTTAAATTATGTTAAAAGTGTTTATTATTGTATATATCAAGAGTGAAACATTTTCAACTCATTGGTCACACACAACTGGAAATGGATGTCTGAACTGCTATGCTGAGAAGGAGTATAAGGCTTCAGAGAAAGCATTCGACGTGATTGAAGAGAAATGTCTGCCAGAAGTACACGGGCAGCACAAGTGGAATCATGTAGATAAAAATTCTGTCACTCTCGATTATGTAGTTCAGAATGAATAAATGAAAGTTGAGAGCTTCTTATAAGACACAAGGAGAAGAGATTTCCCAATATCAACTGTAGAGATGAATCACTGCTTACTTCATCTTTGTTTTCTAAATATGGATTTGGTTTCACAGCATTTACTAATACCTTGATCATTTCCTGAGAAAGAACAGAAAATATATACACATGCATACTCAACCATGACCAAGAGATGGTGGTATTACATAGACAATCAAGCCGTTACTTTCACATTATAAAGCAGTTGCTCAAAGGAAGAGGCTTCTAAATGGAGGCAGATGTCTGATGCAAATCATCAGAGTTATAAAATGAAGTCTAGCAAATGCATGAGACAACAGTATAAATTTTCAATAATATAAATTATTCATGTTTTTAACAACTTTATTCACAATAGCCCAAAGTAGAAGCAACCCAGTTAATCATCCATGGGTGAAAGGATAAACAAAATGTGGTAGATATGTACATTGGAGTACTATCTGGTCTTAAAATGAAAATTTTGACACATGTAACAACATGGTTGAATCCTAAAGACATTGTGCTAAGTGAAAACAGCCAGTCACAAAAGGACAAATAATATATGATTACAAGAGTTTCTTTTATAAGCATCAGTTTCTTAGCACAGCCACATTCATAGAGACAGAAAGTAGAATGGTGGCTATCAGGGTTTGAAAGAAGGGGAAATGAGGATATTATCTAATGAGTACTGAGTTTCAGTTTGGGAAAATAAAAAAACTCTGGAAATGGATGATGGTGATGGCTGTACAACAATGTGAATGTATTCAGTGCCACTGATCTGTATACTTAAAAATGGTTAAACTGGAAAATGTTACGTGTATTTTAAAAAAATAAAAGTTTAAAAACAAAAAGTTAGAAATAATGAATAAATGAGTTCTCAAAAAATTAGACCAAAATCAAATATCTAATAATTGAAAAACAGGAGTTATTAAATAAACATCACCCACTTAATGAAATATTTATGTAGCCACTGATGGTAGCAACAAGGAAAATGCCCATGATGCAGTATTAAGTAGGGGAGAAGGGAAGATAAAATTGTCATATACTATGATTTCAAGTACAAGTAAGTCGGGCTCCAGGGATAAACTAAAAGGAAATATAAAAATGTTTTAAAAATTGACACTAGATGGGTTAGACTGGTAAAATCATTTGTTTTTCATTCATATATTTCCTGATTGTTTTGGAAAGTGGATGAAATAATCTTTAACAGAAAATATGTTTATAACCAAAATTGAAAGAACTAGGGAAAATTTTTTAAATAATGTAATAGTTTATTTTTTTTTTCAGAATTTAGTGTAGGTATCTATAAATCAAGATTTAATAATCACATATTTAATTTAGGTAGCACAGAATTTAACTAAAACAAAATATGCCACACCATCTGTCTTGCCTTCTGTTGAAATGTAATTTGCCATTCTTGCCTATATGACTTAAAGAAATCTGGTCAATAAATTTGTAGTGTCCAGAAAGGAAAGTGATTTAGGGAAACACTTTTGTATCATTTTTTTAAGAAGACTGAATATGGATATAGGGAATACGAGAGGCTTGTAGGGGTTGTACATACTAGAATAACCCCCCAAAAAACTGCTCCTTGGGGTACTTAACAGGTGAGCACATAAGTTAGATCTGTCATTCTTCTGTTTAAAACCATTCAGTGGCTTCTACTAATGTATGAGTACTAATGTATAAGTAAAGATGGTTTCTAAGAATATTTCTACCATCTGTTGTGTGAAATCACTCAGAACCATAACACGAAAGTACAAATAGAGAGATTGTGATTGTAAAATGAACATTTTCTATGTTGCTTCACTCCAGAAGTTTGTGCTTAGAGAAGAAAAATGTTTGAAAAGTACTAGGCCAAAAAGAAGCCTGAGAAATTAGCCTAAATCTTGTAGATCATAAATAAGAAACAAAAGAGATTTTTCCAGATTTGACATTAATCCTAAAAATTATATGTTACCAAAAATGATTGTGTCACTGAAAGCAACTACTTTAATGAAATGAAGAAACTCAAACCAAGCATAATAGAGACAATAATAAATTATCTTTCTATTCTTGCTATATAAAAAGTTATTGCAAAATCGATGTCATATGAAGAGGCTAGTAGAGAGCATGAAGCTAAAAGTCATAGGGAAAAATGCATGAAAGAGGGTGTCAGGCAGCTAATTAACAAAAATAACGTTATTTTTCTGCAGTTAGTGTTTTTGTGCAAATTGTCAGCTTTCTAAAAAAGTAATTGTAGTAATTTACTTGTCTCACTCTAAATAAATGTTCCCTTTTATACTTAATATTATATTTATAATCTTGTATTATTATTTCTTAAAAAGGGGCTCACAAATCATACGAGCTTCAAGCCCCACAAATCCTCAAGCATTCCTGTTCTCAAGCCAGAAATAATTTCTTATTTAAATTTTCTAAGACTCTTGTGCTATTTTTTTCCGCCACTTACTGGTTCCTAACTAAATACATATTATTTTAGTTCAGTGCCTACAATACACAAAAGATTATGCAGATTTAAGATGGCTCTCTAAGGAGAGAATCTTTTCTTGACATGACCTCAGTAGTGAACATTTAATAAATGAATATTTAAAAATTGTTACTATACAGAGTACATGCCATTTTATATTTATAATAATAATGCAATAAACAAGCAAAAAGGCCTTACCCTCCAAGCAAGAGAAGATGGATGTTAGTGCACGATTACAGATCCCCACATGGCCTTGGCTAACTAAGCTCTTCCTCCTCTTGTTTGCACTTTGGTTGCCCCGATGCCAGTCAGATGGATCAAAGCCCAGCATACATTGCTGAAGCCCAAGCACTGAGGGCCCACATGTTTGGCATTGGCTGGAGATTCTACTTGCCTTACCATCCACAGGCAACAATTATAGTAGATACTTTTAATGAACAGTTGAAGAAAGCCTTGACAAAAGGATGCTTGGCAGAGGCATTTCAACCATAGATTCTGAATGTCAGGGACCCTCTGGATCCTACATACTTCATTCCAACATAGTAAAAATGTGGCCCTGGGCCACTGGATGAAGCAGTGTGCACACAGGGCATAAGGGTACTATTGGAGGAGCCCCTGAGGGGGCATGTATAGGTGGTGAACAGAGAAGCACAAAAGGGAGTGGTGAACAGTGAATGGAAGGCAAATAGGGAAACTATAGCAACATGGACTATTTTCATGTCCTTGAAAAAACTACCAATCTTTATTCCCTGCTATAGCTGCCTACATGCTTCCTGGGATGGAGAAAGATGTGGACTGCCTGGCAGACAGACACACTGGAAGACTGTAAACATGTAGGATTAACCCAGTGGGGTGCTGTGACCTATTGTACGGGGCCTGTTGGCCCTGTGCATCCAGTCACTGAACTGACAAGCTGTGGGTGAACTTGGTGTGTGCCCCAGTGCCTCCGGAGCACATCCTTGGTTACCGAGAGGAGCAATGGTGATTTTGCTCATGGAACCCTCTGACCATGCTGGAAGGAGGGCATGAGTCAGGAGGACCTTGAGATGGCAGCTGGGAAGCAGTGGCAGAAGAACAGGAATAGAGATTGGGTCGTTACACCAACTTAGCCAAAACCTTTTCCAACGGTGATATAGTTTAGGTGTGTGTCTCCTCCAAATCTCATTGAAATGTGACCTCCAATGTTGGAGGTAAGCCTAGTGAGAGGTGTTTTGGTCATGGGGGAAAATCCCTTATATGAATGCCTTGGTGCTATCCTTGCAATAATGAGTGACTTCTCTCTCTACCAGTTCACTTGAGATCCGGTTGTTTAAAAGAATGTGGCGCCTCTCCACTCTGTCTCTTGCTCCTGCTCTAGCCATGAATATTGCTGCTCCTGCTTGACTTTGTGCCATGAGTAAAAACGACCTGAGGTCTCACCAGAAGCCAAGAAGATGCCAGTGCCATGCTTCATGTACAGCTTGCAGAACTGTGAGCCAATTAAACCTCTTTTCTTCATAAATTACCCAATCTCAGGGTTTTTTTTTTTTTTTTTTTTATTAAAAAGCTAGAATGGACTAGCACAGAAAATTGGTACTGTGGAGTGAGGCATTGCTATAAGGATATCCAGAAATGTGGAAGTGGCTTTGGAACTGAGTAACAGGTAGAATTTGGAAGAATCTGGAGGGCTCAGAAGAAGACAACAAGATGAGGGAAAGTTTAGAGCTTCCTAGAGACTTGTTAAGTGGTTGTGACCAAAATGCTGATAGAAATATAGACACTGAATGCCAGGTTTATGAGGTCTCAGATCAAAATGAGTAATTTATTTGGGAACTTGAGTAAAGATCACCTATGTTATGTCTTAGGAAAGAGCTTGGCTGAATTCTGTCCGTGTTCATGTCCTTAAGTTCAGACATAATAATGACGACTCAGGGTATCTGGCAGAATAAATTTTTAAGTAGTAAAGAATTCAAGATGTTGCATGGCTGCTTCTAACGACCTATGATCAAATACAGGACCAAGAAAACAACTTAAAATTGAAACATATTTAAAAGAGAAGCAGAGCAGAAAAGCCTGGAAAATTTACAGCCTAGCCATGTGATAGAAAGAAAAAAAAAAAGCATCTTCAGAAGAGTCCAAGCAGGCTGCAGAGCAACTACTTGCTAGAAAGATTAGCATGTCTAAAAGGGAGCTGACAGCTAATATCAAAGATAATGAGAAAGGCCCCAAAGAATTTCAGAGATCTTCCAGGCAGCTCTTCCCACCACAGGTCCAGAGGCCTAGGAGGAAAGAATGCTTTCAGGGGCCAGGCCCAGGATCCCACTGCCCTACACCACCCTGAGAGGCTCATCCCCACATCCAGGATGTTCCAGCTCTAGCCTCAGTTCAAGGGGAGCCCAGGTACAGCTTATACCACAGCTCTGGAGGGTGCAAGCCATAAGCCTTGGTAGCTTCAATGTGGCATTAAGCCTGTAGGTGTGCAGAATGCAAGACTTAAAGAAGCATGGCAGCTTTCACCTAATTTTCAGAGAATATACGGAAAGCCTGGATTCTCCGGCAGAAACCTGCTGCAGGGGTGGAGTCCCCAGAGAGATACTCTACTAAGGCAGTGAGGAGAGGGAAAATGTGGGGTTGGGACCTCCACACACAGTTTCCAGTGGGGCACTGCCTAGCAGAGCTGTGGGAAGGGAGCTGCCACTCTCCAGACCTGAGAATGGTAGATCAACTGGCAACTTGCAACCCCAGTGTGGAAAAGCTGCAGGCACGCAACTCCAATCTGTGAGAGTATCC
This sequence comes from Homo sapiens, assembly GCF_000001405.40. NCBI lineage: Eukaryota > Metazoa > Chordata > Mammalia > Primates > Hominidae > Homo > Homo sapiens. The sequence continues at coordinate 26,222,370 of NC_000011.10, read as the reverse complement.
ATGGGGGCTGCACCCTGAAAAGCCACAGGGATGGAGCTTTCCAAGGCCTTGGGAGCCCACCCGCTGCACCAGTGTGCACTGGATGTGGTATATGGAGTCCAGGGAAATTATTTTGGACTTTTAAGATTTAATGACCGCTCTTCTGTGTTTCAGACTTGTGTGGGGCCTATAGCCCCTTTCTTCTGGTCAAATCCTTCATTTTGGGATGGTAAGACTTATCTTGGAAATAAATAACTTGTTTTGATTTTACAGGCTCATAAGTGGAAATAATGAGTCTCAGATGAGACTTAGGACTTTAGACTTGATACTGAAACAAGTTAAGACTTTGGGGGGACTATTGGGAAGGGATGATTATATTTTACAATGTGAGAAGGACATAAAATTTAGGGGTTCAGGGGCAGCATGATATGGTTTAGATGTGTGTTCCCTCCAAATCTCATGTTGAAATGTGACCTCTAGTGTTGGAGGCGGGCCTTGTGGGAGGTATTTAGGTCATGGAGGTGGATACCTTGGTGCTGTCCTTTTAACAATGAGTGAATGAGTGAGTTCTTAACTTTTTTAGTTCATGTGAGATCTGATTGTTTAAAGTGTGTGGCACCTCCCCCTTTCCTCTCTTGCACCCACTCTCACTATGTGATGTACCTGCTCTTGCATCACCTTCTGACATGATTGAAATCTTCCTGAGGCTTCACCAAAAGCTGAGTAGATGCCAATGCCATACTTCTTGTACAGCCTGCAGAATCATGAGTGAATTAAGCCTTTTATCTTTATAAATTATCCAGTGTTAGCTATTTCTTTATAGCAATGAAAAAACAGACTAACACAAGTAGATAAGGAACCTGTGAGATTCCATCAATCTGCTCTTTCTACAGAGATGTGGTAGCAAAGGTGTGGAAGCATGAAGCCTGTGTTAGACAATCCCACCCTGTGGCCACTGTGAGTAACCTGATGATCTGTTGGATTTATAACCCTGGATCTCATTCTGTCACAGGCTATAGTGACCCTTTCCTGCTAATGGTAATTTATACGAGACTTCCTTATGCCACAGTGTACACAAGTGGAACCCAAGCCCTGAATTACTGAGTGAAGATCTGGCCTTTGCCCCATGGAAGACAGACAGAAGTGCCCTGTTTTAACTTTCCTGGCCTATGATAGCAAAACATCACAGCTACACATGACAAAATCTTAGTGGGTTAGTCCTTTGTCACACCACATTCCTTCGATTACCTAAAAGGAGAGGTGTTCATATGGCAATGAGCATAACAAGACCTGTCCTGTTGCTAACCCTCTGTGTAGAGGATTATTGTGTGGGGGAAACTGAGATCACATGACCCTCATAAATGAGACTTGGCTAAAATATGCCAATGGATCTATACTCTTGAATGAGCCACTGAGCATAAACAGAAGAAGCAGTGCTGTATGCACCCAAGAGCCACATCTTTATCTGTAGGCAGTCAGGGGTGACCTAAATATGAAATGCACACTGTCATGCCTTTGAAAGCTGATGGATATCAGGGTCCTGCCCAACGGGTATACCTGGGGTGCCCTAGATACCATCCCTGGGAATGGGATGCTCCATTAGGCCAGAAGCCTTAAGCTGTATACAAGGCTTACTAGGGACCTGTCAGAAGGTGTAACTGACACTGAGTGTTACATCATTTTTGAGATGTCTGATCCATAAATAGGAGTCAATGATCATGAGGACATGATAAGAAACCTGTCCCTGACCATGGCAGATATTGTCTCCTCCAATGAGAATGCCTTCACGGTTCACCAGATATTCCTCAATTTCTGTGGGAAGGTGATTTTAGACAACAGATTGCTCTAAACTTTCTTTTAGCCTAACTGTAAGAAGTGAGAATGACTGCCAACATCTCCAGCTGCACCTGGATAAACATCTTAGGTATTGTAGAGGCACAAGTAGAGTAGATCTAGAAGCAGGCCCACAGGCTGGAGACAGTAAGGCCTCGTGAGTGATCCTTCTTCAATCCATTAGCAACTTTTCATGTGGGTCACTGGGATCCTGGGCTAGCTTGCTGCCCCAGGCATGCCTGATCATCCTGCCTATAGTAAGGATCTTCATGGGTCTAGTGCCATGTCTTTTAGCCATGACTTAAGGGTGTTGCACCAAGGTCATACATTTTAAGGTGCCACATTGATTTGATGAGACCAATCTTTACCTCCAGATTTGGGGAAGTCACTGTTCATATAAAATAAATAGCTCAGCTAAGTGGAGGTACCTGGCTCAGGGAGTGAACTGTAGGAGGACAGGACCATAGATTACCTTAGCTGACCTTCCTCTTCTCCCTATTGCTTGTAATTCTTTGGTAGAATGGATTGAGAATGCAATATCCTGAGATAAGAAGGAAAATATCTGGAACAACCCAGGCTATGTGCTTATTTGTCCTAGAACAAGAAGTTCTGTAATATTTGAGTTCAGCATGCCAAGTGGCACTCAGGGTGTAAAATCCAAAATGGAGTGTTTTCTGGGTCCCTCAGCTGCAGTGCGGCACATGCATTTAAGATTCCATCCACCCTAGGCAGCTTTCCTTAGCCTTGATGGACCAGCTTGTTATGTATCCTAGGCTTCTGTTTATCCTTTCTCTCTATCTGTAAGTAATACATTTGCTTTGCCTAACTTCCTGTGTGAGGGTTCTGTCTCACCAGACTCATGAGAATGTACTCTGAGCTTTCGTTAGACTTATGAACGTTTGTGGTTATCATTCTAGGCTTCCTCTTGGATTTTGAGTAACTGGTTAGGTGCCTTTGATGAGGTGCTCTCTTTTGCATGTCTCACTTTCCCCAGCCACGAAAATTGGTATAATATTCAACATTATATTGTCTTGAAGAAAAGGTTAATGAAAAAACAGGGAGATCCTAAGGGAAAGAGCTTTGTTTACTTAACCATAATGAAAACAAGATATGACTTCCTTTTGCACTGCTAAAGAGTTCTTCTTCAATAAAACAAACACCAAGTACAAAACAGAATAGTTCAGTAGGCTCAGATAACACAAAGACATTAGTATAACTCTTTGAAGTTCTTCCCAAGTTTCTAACTCATATTTACTTTAAAGTTCTCTATCTCACCATATCCTTTTCTCATGGGTTTAAACATCTCTTGGAAAAGAATTTTTAAAATATCTAGCACAGCAGTTCTCAACCCAGGGCAATTTTGTCCACTACAAGATATCTGGCAATACCTAGAGACATATTATTTTTCTTTTTTTGGTCACAATTCATGGTGGATGTCGGGGAAGCTACTAGCATCTAGGGCATCGGTTCCAGGGATGTTACTAAATATCTTACAATGCACAGGACAGCCCCCTGCAACAGAGAATTATCTCACCAAAACTGCCAACAGAGCCAAGGTTAAGAAACCCTAACCTAGTAGGTGGTAAGCATTTAAGAATTAAAATTTCTCAACAGAGCTTAGGAGATGACTGTTCATCCTGTGGCAATTTAATATGACAACTTAGAATCAAGTTTTCAAATGATGACTGAAACTGTCATTTTGCAGGACACTATCTCTCTTTCTTCCTTTAAGTTTTGTGTTCACACAAAAACACACATGTGCCATGTTATGGGCTACAGGCTTTTATATTTTTTCCCTTAAGAAAAAAACAAAAAACAAACCAAAAACCTTAATAGCCTGGAGCTCCACTTGCTTCTATTTCTTTTAAAAGATCTGCACATCATTTACTTGTATAAAATTCCTCAAATATTGTCCTTTCATATTAGTACATATTTATATAGCTTATATCAGTACAGCTCTTTGGCAAATGCTAATTTGCAGTAAGATAAACATTGGTATGAGGCAGTCGCTTGGGACATAAAGGGCCAGGGAGTATAATTGAACACAAATAAGACGTAGGGAAGAAGTAAAGAAGCAGAGAAGAACCCTGGGAGGGTAAGTGTTACAGATGAAATTAAAATGTTATTGGTCCAACAAGAGTAGGAACTAGCATAAGAAAATACTGAAAAGAAAAATTCAAGATATTTGTAATAAAAAAATTAGAGAAATAATTACCAGTCAAGGGTTCTAGATTGCTCCAGGAAAAGGACATTTTCTTATTAATACTACTAAGCACAGCTACCATGTCATTTCTCTGGTCATTCTTCATTCCAGGGTCAGAACTCAGAACTGGGTGCGATAGGGGGCCATGATCTAATCTGCTTTGGCATATAGTGAAGCCAGGACCACTCAACTTCATAAACTGTATTTCCATTAAATACATTAAATATTGTGCACTAAAAGAATGCTACCTCACTTACTGAAAATGAATAAACAAAGAAATACATTTTAGAATTATTATGATTTTCCTGGTAGGAGTTCCTTATAATATTGGAGACCTGAAGGATTCAGCCATGGCTGTGACCACATTCTCTGGCCCACAGTTCAATGCCAATCATTATCACAATATCCACAAAGCAGATGACATTTCTCACTTAACATTTTGGTTCATGTGTTAACACAGGCATCTCTTCACCAACTCTAATAATTCACAAAGGAATGTATAAAAAACACAACACAACAACAACAACAACAACCTGTTTTTGACTAATTTAAAACATTTTAAATTTAACATGTTTAAATTTAAAATGTTTAAATTTTAAAAGAAGCATGGTAACAAATATCTGGAGATAATTTGAGCTTAAATCTGCATTTATATCTCAAATACTTTTAGAACATATACTATTTGCCAACTTTTTCCAAAGCACATAACAAATATTAACCAATTTGACTTTACATCACCCCTATGTATATGCATTATTATTATCCTCATGTAGATAGCAAAAATGAGACACAAAAAGCTATGTAAAACATGTCTAAGATCAGAATATCTGAGTCCAGAGCTTATGATCTCTCTCTATGACTCTCGAATCATTATTTGTGGTATACCTAACTCCCAGCTAAATCACATTACATGACAAAGGCCATTTTTACCTCAACCAGTTGCCAAGACACACGGACATTTACACTCCTTGAAGTTCAAGCTGAGAGAGATAAAACAATAGAGAGGGATAGAGATTGATAGATGGGGGGGATGATTTTAAAAAATGTCCTGTCTTGCATCCAATCCCTGCTGGAAAGTTATTACCTGTTTGTAACCTAGACACAGACCTTATCTTTGTCTCAAAAATTAATTCAAAATGGATCATAGACGTAAATGTAAAATACAAAACTATAAACCTTCTAGACAATAAAATAGGAGAAAATCCATATGATCACGTGGTGATCAATTTTTAGGTACAACATCAAATGTGCTATCCATGAAAGAAAAAAATTGATTAGTTGGAATTTAGTAAAATTAAAAATTCTTTGTTGAAAAAGCACTGTTAAGAGAATGAAAGCATAAGCTACAGATTCGGAGAAAAATATTTACAGAACAATATCTGACAAAGGACTTGTATACAAACCATAGAAAAACTCTCAAAACTCTACAATAAGAAAACTCACCACATGATTAAAAACTGCACAAAAGATTTGAACAGACAGCTCACCAAAAAAGAAGATCAGATGGCAAATCAATACAAAATATTTCCAACATCTTGTTGTTAAGGCTCTATAAGTTACCCAACAATGAAATACAAATTGTTGGACAGAGTGCAAAGCAACAGGAACTCTCATTCATTGTTGGTGGAATTGTAGACTGGAACAACCACTTTGAAATACAGTTTGGCTGTTTATTTCAAAGCTAAGCATAATTTTACTATACAATCTAGTAATCATGATTTCAGGAAATTCTCACACTGATTTTAAACTTATATTCATACAAAGCTTGCACATAAAAGTTAAGTAGCTTTATCTATAATTGTCCCAAACAGGAAGCATTCAATATATCTTTAACAAGTGAATGGATAAATGAAGGGTGATACTGTCATACAATGGAATATTATTCAACAATAAAATGTAATGAGCTATCAAGCCACAAAAAGACATGGATAAACCTTAAATGCATAGTATGATTCCAAATTATATGAGATTCTCTAAATGGAAAAATTATAGAGATGGTAAAAAAGATCAGTGGTTGTGTTCAGTTTCAGGAGGAGGGAGGTTAATTAATGAAGCCCAGTGGATATTCAACATAGTGAAATTATTGCTTATGATATTTTAATGATAGATACATGCTATTATGCATTTGTGAAAACCCTTAGAAATTTATGACACAAAGAGGCAACCCTAATATATGCAAATTCTAAAAAATTATTTTAGTAGTCAGAGTATTCTAAGATAAAAGGAATAACGTATTATACCAAAGCCTTCCATCTTTATTACAAATACATGAAACAACCTAACTGCAGGGGTTTGGGGCAGAATGTGGCTGACCTAAGCAAATTTGGAAATGAATGGAATCTGTAATACTAAAGGCAAAAAGAATATAAAAAACAGTATAAATAATCGTACCCTGGTTGATGAAGTAGTTTTGAATGGGGGTATGGGTTAACAGTCCTGATAACTTTACACATGTGTATTAAAACTGAAGATTAGGAAATAATTGGATAGTAGATTGTGGAGCTGTGGGAAGTTACAGAAAAACGGGAGGAGGCTGTAGTGATCTATCTGGTAATGGATTAGAGTCCGGTACATCAGTATTAACTCACATTTAGCTTAATATAGATAGAGATAGCTACCCATAGAAATAGTGATAGTTAAAAGTATATATACAGGTTATTATTCACCGCATACATATTATTTTCTTTCAGGTGAGAGACCCTGAAATTAGTAGCAATGTTGAATTACTGATAAGCATACTTAATACCTAGATCTTGGTTTCTAATAATATTTTTCAATAAAAGGAACCAGAGTTTTTAGAAAAATTGTTCATTGTGGATCGGGGAAGAAAATATACAAGTTGAGCCTCCAATATTTTGTTTTAACCAAAAGTAAGGAATGTCCCAATAGGGGGAAAAAAAAATCTTCACAATGATAGTGGCAGTTCAAAGGGACAACGGAGCCAACTGAAACAGCTCCCAGTGGCCAAAGCTGGAACAATTGGAGCAACCAAATAAAGCAGTATTGTATTAAAACCCAAAGTATAAAATAAGTATACTTTGTGGCCATAACAATAGAAATAAGCAGTTATATAAACAAATGAGGAAAAATAGGAAGAATTTCAAAATTTTCTCTTGCTACTACTAGGTCAAGGAGGTGGAAGCATAACTCTCTATTCCTTAAATGTGGGCTATGCACAGTGAGCTCCTTCTAAAGAGTACAGTATGGTAAGGGGAAGAAAAATAAATATATAGAGAAACCTGACAAACACCACCTCATTCAGGTGGTTAAGATTAATTTCAGTGATTATAAGTCATGTTGATAGTACGTACCTTTGTCATGATGTGATCATAATGACACTTTATTTCTGTGGTCTTTCCAAAAATACATAATCCTGGTCTAAATATAAAATGGGTATAAAACAAATATCAGTTGAGAGACATTCTACAAAATACTTGACCTGTACTCAAAACTGTTAAGGTAATCTAAAACTAGGAAAGCTTGTGAACCTGTTAAGGCCAAGAGAATCATGGCAACTAAAAGTAATGGGGTGTATTGGATGGGATCCTGAAACAGCAAAATAACTAAAGAAATCTGAATAAAGTATGGAATTTAATTAATAATAATATATCAATATTGGTTCATTGAATGTAAAATGCCTTGTACTAATGCAATATGTTAATATGGAAAATGGAGTGTGGTGTATGTGGTGATTCTTTGTACTATTTTCTGAAATTTTCTGTAAACCTAAATCTGTTCTAAAACTAAAAGTTTATTTTCAGATACTACATTGAGATGGAGAAGGAAAAACATAAATTGAGTAGAGGACAAACTATGAAGGGAAGTCAAACTATTTCTGATATTGGGGATCTGAATTCAGCCGTACATGTCCAAATACTGTTGATTAATAGTGATGCGATGACATCTATATTGCGATTGTTGTTAAAATGTGGACAATTTTTGCTAAAATCCAACCCTAGTTCTTTACTTAACAGTTCTCCATTGGAAAACAGATAATGCATGACAGTTGTAAACTCACAGAAACTGGAAGGTTCCATCCTACCCTACACTAATACACTGCCAAGTCTTAACTCCCAAAAGTAAAACAGAAAAAAAAAATTATTTTATTACTTATATTCATCAGTACATATGTATCCTTATGTGGTTTAGACATTGGTGACATTTGTAACTTGGCTTGCTTCACTTTGTCAATTTAGGAGAGTGATGCTATATTTTATTCAAATTACACTTATCTCATGGAAAAATATTTGGAAATCAGTGTGCTGGTATAATATGAATGCTCATCTACATAAAAATTATCTTTCAAAAGTCTCTTTTATTACTACATACAAATACATTCTAGATTCTGAAATCTAACTAAACCTACAGTAGTCTGAATAGAAATCACATCAATAAATACTTAAATATAAGCACTTTGGAGAGAGATAAATGCAAATTCAAATAACTAAACTTCAATGATTTGCAATAGTCCTTTAAAATACACTTCAGGTATATAAATACTTTTATCTCACCTTTACTAATTTGCACACAAATCAAAATATATCATTTAACTCTTTCTTGAAAAGTCAAAAACTTAAAGTAGTATTTTCTAATTCTGTGAAGAAAGTCAGTGGTAGCTTGATGGGGATAGCATAGAATCTGTAAATTACTTTGGGCACTATGGCCATTTTCATGATATTGGTTCTTCCTATCCATGAACATTGAATGTCTTTCCATTTGTTTGCGTCCTCTCTTATTTCCTTGAGCAGTGGTTTGTAGTTCTCCTTGAAGACATCCTTCACATCCCTTGTAAGTTGTATTTCTAAGTACTTTATTCTCTTGTAGCAATTGTGAATGGAAGTTCACTTGTGATTTGGCTCTCTGTTTGTCTGTTATTGGTGTATAAGAATGCTTTTGCTTTTTGCCCATTGATTTTGTATCCTGAGACTGCTGAAGTTGCTTTTCAGCTTAAGGAGATTTTGGGCTGAGATGATGGGGCTTCTAAATATACAATCATGTCATCTGCAAACACAGACAATTTTACTTCCTCTCTTCCTATTTGAATACCGTTTATTTATGTCTCTTGCCTGATTTCCCTGGCCAAAACTTCCAATACTATGTTGAATAGGAGTGGAGAAAGGGCATCCTTGTCTTGTGCCTGTTTTCAAAGGTAATGTTTCCAGCTTGTGCCCATTTAGTATGATACTGGCTGTGGCTTTGTCATAAATAGCTCTTATTATTTTGAGATAACGTTTCATCAATACACAGTTTATTAGGAGTTTTTAACATGAAGGGGTGTTAAATTTTGTCAAAGGCCTTTTCTGCATCTATTGAGATAATCAGGTGGTTTTTGTCGTTGGTTCTGTTTATGTGATGGATTACGTTTATTGATTTGCATATGTTGAACCAGTCTTGCATCCCAGGGATGAAGCTGACTTGATCATGGTGGATGAGCTTTTTGATGTGCTGCTAGATTTGATTCGCCAAGATTTTATTGAGGATTTCTGCATTAATGTTCATCAGGGATATTGGCCTGAAATTTACATTTTTTTGTTGTGTCTTTGCCAGCTTTTGGCATTAGGATGATGCTGGCCTCATAAAAAGAGGGAGGAGTCCCTCTTTTTCTATTGTTTAGAATAGTATCAGAAGGAATGGTACCAGCTCCTTTTTGTACCTCTGGAAGAATTTGGCTGTCAATCTGTCTGGTCCTGGGCTTTTTTTGGTTGGTAGGCTACTAATTACTGATTCAATTTCAGAATTTGTTATTGATCTATTCAGGGATTCAGCTTCTTCCTGGTTTAGTCTTGGGAGGGTGTATGTGTCCAGAAATTTATCCATTTATTCTAAATTTTCTAGTTTATTTGCATAGAGGTATTTATAGTATTCTCTGATGGTAGTTTGTATTTCAATGGTATCAGTGGTGATATCCCCTTTATCATTTTTATTGTATCTATTCAATTCTTCTTTCTTTTCTTCTTTATTATTCTGGCTCGCAGTCTGTTTTGTTAATCTTTGAAAAAAAAACAGCTCCTGGATTCGTTGATTTTTTGAAGGGTTTTTCATGTCTCCACCTCCTTCAGTTCTACTCTGATCTTAGTTATTTCCTGTCTCCTGGTAGCTTTTGAATTTCTTTTCTCTTGCTTTTCTAGTTCTTTTTTTAATATATACTTTTTTCTTTTAAGTTTTGAGGTATATGTGCAGAATGTGCAGTTTTGTTACATAGGTATACACGTGCCATTGTGGTTTGCTGCACCCATCAACCTGTCACCTACATTAGGTATTTCTCCTAATACTATCCCTTCCCTATCCCCCCACCACCTGACAGGCCCCAGTGTGTGATATTCCCCTCCCTGTGTCTATGTGTTCTCATTGTTCAACTCCCACTTATCAGTGAGAACATGCAGTGTTTGGTTTTCTGTTCCTGTGTTAGTTTACTGAGAATGATGATTTCCAGCTTCATCTATGTCCCTGCAAAGGTGAACTCATTCTTTTTAATGGCTGCATAGTATTCCATGGTGTATATGTGCCACATTTTCTTTATCCAGTCTATAATTGATGGACATTTGGGTTTGTTCCAAGTCTTTGCTATTGTGAATAGTGCCGCAATAAACAAACATGTTATAGTGTCTTTATACTAGAATGATTTATAATCCTCTGGGTATATATCCAGTAATGGGATTGCTTGGTCAAATTGTATTTCTAGTTCTAGATCCTTGAGAAATTGCCAAACTGTCTTCTACAATGGTTGAACTAATTTACACGCCCACCAACATTGTAAAAGCATTCCTATTTCTCCACATCCGCTCCAGCATCTGTTGTTTTCTGATGTTTTAATGATTGCCATTCTAACTGGTGTGAGATGGTATCTCATTGTGGTTTGATTTGCATGTCTGTAGTGATCAGTAATCATGAACATTTTTTCATATGTTCATTGGCCACATAAATGTTAGGATGTCGATTTTAGATCTGTTTCCCTTTCTCCTGTGGGAATTTAATGCTATAAATTTCCCTCTAAACACGGCATTAGCTGTGTCCCAGAGATTCAGGTACAATGTGTCTTTGTTCTCATTATTTTCAAAGAACTTATTTATTTCTGCCTTAATTTCGTTATTTACCCAGTAGTTGTTCAGGAGCATGTTGTTCAATTTCCATGTAGTCGTGCAGTTTTGAGTGGGTTTCTTCATCCTGAGTTCTATTTTGATTGCACTGTGTTCTAAGAGACTGTTTCTTATGATTTCCATTCTTTTGCATTTGCTGAGGAGTGTTTTACTTCCAATTATGTGGTCAATTTTAGAATAAGTGTGATGTGGTGCTGAGAAGAATGTATATTCCATTGATTTGGGGTGGAGAGTTGTGTCGATGTCTATTAGATACACTTGGTCCAGGGCTGAGTTCAAGTCCTGAATATCCTTGTTAATTTTCTGTCTTGTTGATCTGTCTAATATTGACAGTGGGGTGTTAAAGACTCCCACTATTATTATGTGGGAGTTTCAGCCCCAAATCTCCTTAAGCTGATAAACAACTTCAGCAAATTCTCAGGATACAAAATCAATGCGCAAAAATCACAAGCATTCCTATACACCAATAATAGACAAACAGAGAACCAAATCATGAGGGAACTCCCATTTACAATTGCTACAAGAGAATAAAATACCTAGGAATACAACTTACAAGGGATGTGGAGGACTTCTTCAAGGAGAACTACAAACCACTGCTCAAGGAAATAAGAGAGGACACAAACAAATGCAAAAACATTCCATGCTCATGGATAGGAAGAACCAATGTCATGAAAATGGCCATACTGCCCAAAGTAATTTACAGATTCAATGCTATCTTCATGAAGCTGCCATTCACTTTCTTCACAGAATTGGAAAAAGCTACTTTAAATTTTATATGGAACCAAAAAGAGCCCATATAGCCAAGACAATTCTAAGTAAAAAGAACAAAGCTGGAGACATCATGCTACCTGACTTCAAACTATACTACAAGGCTACAGTAACCAAAACAGGATGGTACTGTTATGAACACAGATACATAGTCCAGTGGAACAGAACAGAGGCCTCAGAAATAATGTCACACATCTACAACCATCTGATCTTTGACAAACCTGACAAAACCAAGCAATGGGAAGGATTCCTTATTTAATAAATAGTGTTGGGAAAACTGGCTAGCCATATGCAGAGAAATGAAATTGGACCCCTTCCTTACACCTTATACAAAAATTAACTCAAGATAGATGAAAGGCTTAAACATAAGACCTAAAACCATAAAAACCATAGCAGAAAACCTAGTCAATACCATTCAGGACATAGGCATGGGCAAAGAATTCATGACTAAAACACCAAAAGCGATTGCAACAAAAGCCAAAATTGACAAATGATATCTAATTAAACTAAAGAGCTTCTGCACAGCAAAAGAAACTACCATGAGTGAACAGGCAACCTACAGAATGGGAGCAAATGTTTGCAGTCTATCCATCTGACAAAGTCTAATATCCAGAATCTACAAAGAACTTAAACAAATTTACAAGAAAAAGCAAACAGCCCCATCCAAAAGTGGGCAAAGGATATGAACAGACACTTATCAAAAGAAGATATTTATGTGGCCAACAAACACGAAAAAAAGCTCATCATCTCTGGCCATTAGAGAAATGCAAATCAAAACCACAATGAGATACCATCTCACACCAGTTAGAATGGTGATCATTCAAAAGTCAGGAATAAACAGATGTTGGAGAAGATGAGAAATAGGAACGCTTTTACACTGTTGATAGGATTGTAAATTAGTTCAACCATTGTGGAAGACAGTGTGGCAATTCCTGAAGGATCTAGAACCAGAAATAACATTTGACCGAGCAATCCCATTACTGGGTATATACCCAAAGGATCATAAATCATTCTACTATAAAGACACATGCACACATATGTTTATTGCAGCACTGTTCACAATAGCAAAGACTTGGAACCAACCCAAATGTCCATCAGTGATAGACTGAATAAAGAAAATGTGGCACATATACAAAATGGAATACTTTGCAGCCATAAAAAAGATGAGTTCATGTCTTTTGCAGGCACATGGATGAAGCTGGAAACCATCATTCTCAGCAAACTAACACAGGAACAGAAAACCAAACTCTGCATGTTCTCACTGATATTGGGAGTTGAACAATGAGAATACATGGACACAGGGAGAGGAATATTATGCACTGGGGCCTGTCAAGGGGTAGCAGGCTAGGGGAGGGATAGCATTAGGAGAAATACCTAATGTAGGTGATGGGTTGATGAGTGCAGCAAACCACCATGGCACGTGTATACCTATGTAACAAACCTACACATTCTGCACATGTAACCCAGAACTTTAAGTATAATTTTAAAAAATGAGAAAACTTGACTTCTTCTTATGTTCACCTTGAAGTTAGCTTTTTCATTTACAGGAAGAGCACTCTTAAGACTATTTCCCACACAGTTACATCTTACATTTCCAGGATCATATGATCTGCTATCTGCCTTCAGTTTAAAAAATATATTTATGTCTTCAAAACTCAACAAATGTTAGTACAAAACTTTAAAAAATATTTATCAAAATCATCATTAAAAAGTTTCTTTGAGCAGTCTAGGTTTTTTATTTTCTTTTTCTGTCAATGAGGGCTAAAAATATTTTCAGAATATATGGACATATTTTGTTTTGATATTAATTTTAGTATTTCATGAATCATTCAATTCCCTGAGGTTAAATGATCCACAGAGTGTGGCTATCTTTGGAGAGCCTCCATTCTCAGTGTTCAGCAAGTAAAGTGCAAAAGCCTTGATATTTGCTATGGTCTGAATGTTTGTGTCCACCTGCAATTCCTTTTTTTTTTTTTTTGAGACGGAGTCTTGCTCTGTCACCCAGGCTGGAGTGCAGTGGTGTGATCTTGGCTCACTGCAAGCCCCGCCTCCCGGGTTCACGCCATTCTCCTGCCTCAGCCTCTGGAGTAGCTGGGACTACAGGCGCCTGCCACCACGCCCGGCTATTTTTTTTGTATTTTTTGGTAGAGATGGGGTGTCACAGTGTTAGCCAGGATGGTCTCGATCTCCTGACCTCGTGATCCTCCCGCCTAGGCCTCCCAAAGTGCTGGGATTACAGGTGTGAGCCACAGTGCCCGGCCCACTCCCAATTCTTATATTGAAATCCTAACCCCCGAGGTGATAGTGTCTGGAGGTGGGGGCTTTGGCATGTGATTAGGTCATGGGGGCAGAGATCTCACGAATAGACTAATTGCTTTTATAGATGAGATTCAAGAAAGACTTCTCACTTCTTCCATCATGTGAGGACACAGCAAGAAGGGTCATCTATGAATAAGAAAATGGGCCCTTATTAGACACTGAATCTCTTAGTACCATGATCTTGAACTTTCCACCCTCCAGAACTGTGAGAATTTCTGTTGTTATAAGCCACAGAGTTTATGATATTTTCTTATAGCAGCCTGAAGTAACTGACAATATTTATTATATAAATCCTCCTATTTTGTTAAGTAGCATTACTGAAAATATGCCTTCAATCTTACATACTATTTTAAAGGATTTTAGCATCATTCATTTGCAGAGATTTCAATGTTGTCCTATTACAAAACGTATTAAAAAGAAAATGTACTACGGTCAGTTTTACTGTAATCTAGTTAGGTCTTAAGAGCATTATCCATTTTTAAAAATCCCACTTTGCTCTACCATTTACAAATTGTGTGATCTTGTTAATATATCTGTGCCTCAGTTTCTTTTTTTAATTAGAGTGCCTTTCTCATTTGGTCGTTACGAGGATTAAATAAATTATAAAAGCATGCAGAATAGTACCTCGTACTGAATAAGTACTTAATGAGTAATTATTATTATCATTATTAAAGGTGGAGATTGTTTGAAAGGGTGAAGAAGTTGAAGGTATTTGTTCATGCAAGATGCTTAGTAGAAATATGTGAATGCAAACCCGTATCTTAACACGTAATGAGGCAATTGGACCGTAAGTACAGAAAAGAGTTATGGCTGAGCTTTTGCTTTCAGACTTCTAAAAAGCAAACACACAAACACCTAGAATATTAACTATGCATTTAAGAAACTGATTTTTTGTAAGCCATTTATACTTTTACTTATTTATTTACTTTTTCTCCTGCCTTCTTTATTGATTACTATTTGTTACAAGAACACTTAACATAAGATATACCCTATTAGCAAATTTTTACGTATGCAATATAGTCTTATTAGCTAGAGACGCTGTGCTGTACAGTAGATCTTTAGGACTTACTCATCTGGCACAACTGAAACTTCGTATCCTTTGACTAATCCCTTCCCATTTTTTACTTCCCCGAGATCTTGGAAACCACCACCCTGCTCTAACTGTTTTAGATCCCTCATACAAATGATATCACGTAATATTTGCCCTTCATACTTTTAAATTAAGCTTCACTTTTTAAAAACCCTTAATCCCTGTTGGGTGATTTCTCTGGGTACTACATTTCCTATTAACTTGACTTATTTTAGAAATTACCTATAATAAACTGAAACGGCGCAGTTTTTAAATTAGTGAAGCAAAAATGTAGTGTGACACTAAAATGCTCCTTGCTGGAATGTTCATTCATCTGCTCAATGACCAGCTTAATGTTTCAGTGCACTTATTGCATGCCAAAACTTCAGTAATATTCCCTAAATGAGAATAAATAACTTATTAACTTTGAGCTATACCATTTTGATTGAGAATACTCTGATTAATTTGTCCTTGTACATGTTTTTCTCTGCAGTTTCTGAAATAGCTTTGTATCACAGACTTAAAATAATTTTCATTTGTGAAGTAATAATTATACTGATGTCCTCCCTACACCACCTTGTCTTTTCCTTGAAGATATTAGTTCTTATTAAAATAGAAGCTAATTTTTTGACATTGTCTAGGAAGGAAATAATATAAGTGCTATTTTAATAGTAGTTATGAAAACAGAGATAAAGAAAATAAGTTTACTCAGAAACACATAGCAAGTTTATTTACACATGGCAGATTTCTGATTTTTTGAGAAGAATAATTATAACCATGTAGTACTTCAAACAATATAATGTTTGCATTTGAAGATGGTTGGATTAACTCATGTTTGGAGATCAGGGAAAGGTAAAATTTTGAGTATAAACTGGATGCTACACACATATGTAAAATTTAAATGATGTCAACTAAATGCTCAAATTAGTAATTTAGAAATTGAACAAGTATTGCATCCACATAAACCTGTATTTAAATAGTTCCAAATCACTAATAAAATCAAATTTCAAAATCTGCAATAAAATCCTGTTTGATAAATTCTTTACTGCAACCAGAAATAGCATATTTGTAAGCTTCTATGATATATTCAATAAAAACTTAAAGCATAAAATTTGAATTATAATTGAGAAACTGCAACAATACACTGTTGTTGGCTGCCGATGTTTCTTGCTGTCTCTACCCTTTGCATGTATAGAGGTATCTCAGTTTTTCTTAAAAGGCTTTTGTATTTTCTTTTAACATGTGCCGGTATAAAAAGACCATTAGAGGACACTCATGAAACTTAAGCTTTAGCTCGGGACTTAGACAATGCCTAAGCTTGGGCATGGATTAGTAGCTTTCATTCAACTGCCATTTTACTTGGAAATATGACTATACAGTATACCGTTTATGAGGATGATTGGGTCTTATGCTTAAAAGCCAGGTATATTCAAAACAGCTTGATAGTGAAGGCCATAAGTTCCCCAGGTTTTCGGAGGAACCTTCTGGAATAAGGTGACTGCTAGAATAGAGTGACTGCTCTGGCCAAAGCTGACCATACATCAAAATATCCATTGTTCAGACAATGACCTTTTAGTCCCAAATTATTATCTACTCTGTCAGTAGGCTTCTTGATCAAACATTTCAGAACTGAGCAGAATTGTGTTGGACTTTATAATGAGACACACTCAGGTTTATAGTTGAATTCTGCCACTAGGATAGATTATGTGCTCTGCATCAATTTCCACATTTGTAAAATGGGAATAATGATACCTAACTCTTAGGACCAGTGTGAGTATTAAATAAGCTGTACAATGTCTAACAGGATGCAAATGAGGATTTTCTCTCTTCTCCAGTTTAGAAAGATGCCCAAAGTTGCAAACAGTATGGTTCGGCTCTGTGTCCCCACCAAAATCTCACCTTGAATCGTAATAATTCCCACTTGTTAAGGGCAGGACCAGGTGGAGATAATTAAATCATAGGGGTGGTTTTTCCCATGCTGTTCTCGTGATAGTGAGTGAGTTCTCATGAGATATGATTGTTTTATAA
Organism: Homo sapiens; assembly: GCF_000001405.40. Lineage (NCBI taxonomy): Eukaryota > Metazoa > Chordata > Mammalia > Primates > Hominidae > Homo > Homo sapiens. The sequence continues at coordinate 26,205,074 of NC_000011.10, read as the reverse complement.
GGGGCTTCCCCCTTTGCTTGGTACTTCTTTTACCACCTTGTGAGGAAGGACTCGTTTGGTTCCTCTTTTGCCATGATTGTAAGTTTCCTGAGGCCTTTCCAGCCATGCAAAACAGTGAGTCAATTAAACCTCTTTCCTTTATAAATTACCCAGTCTCGAGTATTTCTCCATAGCAGTATGAGAACAGATTAACACAAGGTACAAATTATTCCCACATTCTAAAGAAAGGTGCTAGGCACATTTATAGAACATGAAGCACACATCTGATTCCCTTAGCACATCTTGCAGCTTCATTGCAGCTATCAGATAATATGGGAGATAAAAGGGAAGAATAAGAACTGCTATAAGAAAAGTGTGGCCTGCTGTATACGCCATACACCTCTCTCAGTGTACAACTCCCCTATCTCAAACCAAATAAGAGCAGCATCAGGAAAACTACTCCAGAGAGTGAGTGTGACTGCAAGGAGGAGGATGGGATTCTCACCCATGCGCATGTGAACTACAAAAATGAAAGGTTCTTAGGGCTTCCAAAGAACCAGAGTGATAAGTGAAAAAATTATTCTCAGGGAAAATTGACCTGTATTTCCTGGAGTTCCCATAGCATAGATATCCACGCCTACTTTTTCCTTGAAAGTTTGGAAGGACAGAGTTGGAGGTGTCCTCATGATGAAGCAAGGAGAGAGCTGAAGAGTAGCTACTTAGCTCCTTGCCCTTCTAGAATGTGTTGCAGGTATTACTACTGTGTTGTCCTGGGGGATAAGTGGGTACTTAGAAAGGTAAATGAACTCCAGACATATTGAAAGGGACCTACTTAAGAAGAGTGCCTGCCAAGGTAAATAAAACTCTATAATAAGGGGTGTGTGTGAATTGCAAGTTCTGAGTGTAAGCAGCCTCCCAGGGAATGCGGTATAGGAACTCCCCAAGCTCCCCAGAGGGGGTGTAGAGGTTTTGATCAGGGAAAGTCTCCAGAAAACACTAAAAAAACCATTCCATAAGAAAAAGATGGCATTTGGGCACTCAAAGGTCAGATTACAATAGTACTAGTCATATGACACCTTTATGTTCTTCCTCTCATCCTCTACCAGCTCTGGAATAATCCACATGTTGTAAAAACTGTGAGAGAAAGAGTGGAAAAGCAAGTGAAGAAATGGTGAATAACCAGGTCACATTATACCCCTTCCCTCTTGTCCATTGCTGTTGTTCTGCTGTTTCCAGTCCCAAGAAGAGAAGATGAGAGAAACTTTTGTAGGAGTTAAGACTGTGCCACTCCAAAATATACCACCCTGGCATATTAACTATTTTTAGTTAAAGGCACATGACAAACAGTAGATGCAAGATTATAACTCTGACCTTCAGTTTCCTAAAAGCGGGAGATAAAACTCACATGTGAATGATGTGCTTCCTATACTAGAAGAAAAGTGTCATCAAAGACAGGAAGTTGAGGCCAAAAGTAATCTGTACAAACAACCATTGTTAGATGAACACTTATCCTTCTAGCCACCTCTCCCCCAAATCAATGACTATAGCCCAAGCCCCTTTGCCTTGTCACATTTTCATAGTTTATTGATCTTTGTGTAATTCAGTATATCGGTTTTCAACTCCAACTGCATCTTTGAGTCTTTATCTCTTTATAAAGGCTCCTGTGCCATGTAAAACTTGCATTCAATGAATTTTATGCCTTCCTCCTGTTGCTCTACCTTATGCTAATTTAATTCTTGGACCCAATTTGGAAAAAGCACTAAAAAGGTAGCGTACAATGTTGCCTCTCCTAAATTTTGAATTGTATGAAAGTTTAAAGTTTTAAAATCATATTATTTCTGTACTTTCTAATCTTCAAAGTGACTTTTATAAACTTGAATGTGATTGGCAAAATAAGCAAAATTGACCTGTGTTATATTTCAAGAGCAGGGAAGGAAGATTTCTTCTTTTGAAACTATCAATAGCACAGCTTGAACCATGTCACTATCCTAATTAGACACCCTTGGTGGCATGTCTTCACTAGAGGAATAAAGGCTAAACTGCTTGTCTTATGTTTAAATCCTATTACAAATTGGCTCAATGTAACCTTCTTGTTTTCCATCTCTGTCTCACACAACCCAAAGTCCAGCTCCATTAGTACTCATTTAACGACTGTCTGTTGAACAGCTACTATGGCCAGGTGTTACGCTTGGTAAATCAGAAATGATCCCTGCTTTGAAGAATGTAGAGTGTGTTGAAGGGAGTTAGCCTAAGATAATCATAAATAAACTATTCTCCTAAATATATTTTGAAAATTCTAGACATCCAGAGGAATGATTGACTATTTCTGATGGTTTCTGGGTTGGCATTAAACACTGATTTTTTTTTTCCTCAACTGTGTGTTGCTTTCTCATGCCTTCGTGTGGTTGACCATGACATTCCCTTTACCTGGACTTCATTTTCCCCTTTATATTTTAACTTTATACAGAAATTTCATTCATAAGGTTTCTGTTCAAATGTCCCCTCCACTGTATACTTTCTCTACAGCTTCTTTCCTACCCATCTTGCAGAATTTAATTACCCGCCCTGTGTTTCCACAACACATCATTCACAAATTTACTATAGCACAAATAATGTTGCCTTAAAAAAAGAAAAGATTTAAGTGGCTGTCTTCCCACTAGACTGTGCCTAATTTGTTTCATTGAATAAGATCCATCATGTAGGATTCTTAAGATATATATATAAAATACACATATATAATATATATAATAATCTATATTATATATATCATATGTATCTATATGATATATATAATATGTATCTATATTATATATAATATATATTATATAGATATTAATATATAATATAATATATATTTATATATATAAATATAAAAGGAATGACATTTTGGAAATAATATAACTTAAAAGATTATGTGAGGTCAGTTAGAAATTTTGTATAAAATATTTTTAAGAAATTTTAGTATATGACAGTCCTACCCTAAACCTAACTAATTAATATCTTGAACCCAATCTCCAGGGGATCAGTTTGCTTCACTTTTTTTTCCAATGCAAGCTGTATCTCAAATTTAAACTGACCTTTCTGCAAATGAATAAATAAGTAACAGATATCGTAAGTGTAAATGTAAATATTCTGCCTAAAATCATTACAACTGTAATAGGTTTTTACTGGCAATCAAGCTTCCATTTGATAGCTATATGTTCAGAACTGGCAGGCTCTCAGGGATAGTAATAAAAATTGAAAATCTTACACCTCTTCTACAGATGAAAAACTGAGACCAAGAAAGAGTCAGTGCTTTATTCACATAGCTTGAATGTTAAAAAAAAAAAAAAACAAAACTTCCTTCAAATAACTTATAGTCTATTGAATGAAACATATTACTACTCCACTATCATGACATTCATGAGCTTAGTATTCAGGGTTTCTATATTCTTGAACATATTGCAAATCCACTTATGATTCACTTGTTATTTATTAAGTCACAAAGTTAAGTAGTATGAGTCACTTAGCTTTTGATCGAAGTCAGAGTCAGTCAGCTCTTCATATGTTTATCTCTTCTCATCTTTTCTCTATTTGTAATTTGAGTAAATGGTAGCTCTTGTAAAGTCACATATGCCGACTTTTATTTGGAAAAAAATATCCCTGGCATAAGGCAGAATAAAATCTACCTGAAGAAACTGGTTTAGAAGAAGGAAATACAAAGTCAATAGGTATGATAAAATGAATTCTTGGTTCTTATCTTGAATATAAAAGTTTTAGATATTCTCAAGAGTGAATTGTTAAACTCAGTGTTGGCCTACCATTTGAACGAAACCCATAATATGGGGTGTATGAAAATCAGAAAACGTATTTTCCTTTTTTCACTGAGTGCTCTAGTCAATGTTGTACTTTTACAGCATAGAAGATAAAATGTTGGTGAATACTGAAAAGATGTTAAGCTTGTGCTGTGGGCACATGGTGCTTATATATGTGACTTTTGGTGAAACTGTGATTCAGGGAGAATGTGCCAGCTTTGGTAAAATTTCTGCATTTGTGATTTTGGACATCTTTGAAGATCTTAGATATAAGGCTTATTAATGCCAAGCATCAACTCTCTAAATGTAAGTAAATAAAATAAAGGCAATGTGGATATTCAATAAAAATTAAACTTTGAGAATTTAAAGCAGGAAAGATTTTTGTGGAGGGGTGTTAATCAAGGAAGGTTCAGAGGTAAATATGTTTTGAATCATGTACAAATTCAATAATTTTTTAAAAATTTCTGTTATATACAAGTAATTAAAACAGCTCCCAGTGATTAAAACAAAGCAAATGAAACACTATTACCAAGAGGACAATACTCTCTAGGAATGATCACATTTAGTATTATGCAACTTTCTTTTGCTAACCCCAAGATATATCATACATGTAATATTTTGTTTGTAATATTCCTCTTGCATGGCTGCCCTGGTTCTCTGTATCTTCCTTTTGCTGAAACACATCATATCTCTAATTATCAATAACCTATCAGTTAAAATAGTACACATAGGGCATAAACCACGTTGGCCTTGTTCAGCATCAAATCTCTAAAGCTTAACCCAGTGTGGCACAGAAGAGGTGCTAAATAAATATATTACAACAAATTGTAGTAATTTACAACACAAGATACAGATAAGCAGACATAGCATATGATAAAGATTATAATAGAGTGACCAACTATACACCTGTGCCAAAGAAAGCCTCACAGATGAGACAATATTTGAGAGAAATTTTGAAGAAAAGGAAAGTGTTCTAAGAGAAGAGGCAGAAGGAGAAAATATTTCCTATGTTACCAAACTACAAATAGCTACATGTCTTGATATAAATTGGTTTAAGCAAATAAAATGAACTAAATTTTTATGAGCTCCTAGTTCAGGTTAGCTTCGGGCAGAGCCTGATTTATGCTCCAACATTACAGTAAAAGCAATCTCGGCTCTGTTTCTTTTGGGTTTTCTTCATTTTCAGGCTCCCCAGGTCATTTTTGACAATACCAGGCTCTCTCCTCATGACTGCGTCAAGTTTCAGTTCGAAGCCTCATAGTCTTTCCAAGCCCAGAAAGTAAGTCCAGAATTACCAACTAAAGCCTTAAAGTTCACTCTGATTGGATAAACTTAGGCTCCCTTCTAAATCTATAACATACTGTATGGTCATAAATTAGTCAGGCTAACTCCCAGACACTGTGGTTTTATCTACTAACATTACAATTGAGAAAGAGACAAAGGAAGGTTTCTTAAAACAAAACAAAATGAAACAAAAAACATGGCCACTGTTTCCATAAGGAAGACGATGAGCACTGATGTAGTTATATGCTGCAACTGCCAAGGTAGGCCTTATGTATTTTAACCTAAAACCATCCACTGAAGAAAATGTTTCCTCATACTAAGGAAGATAAAAATCCATGGGCATTTGCCCCTTAAGTAACCTGAAAATACAGAAGAAAAGGATAGTCATTAATATCAACAACTTCCATAGCCAGTTTCTCAGAGTGTAAAAGAATCTTTGGCCCAGTTCCTAACCAGATGGTTAAATATGACATATCTCAGTGGTTATACAAGTATAAATTTATTCCTGTGTCCCATCCCTGCATGAAATCACAAACAGGAACATAAAAGACCCACGTGAATTCTGCCCTGAAATAGAACTGAATCAGACAGGCTTGGCCAATCTGAGACCCCTGGAGGAGTTTCTGTAAACAGCCCAAGATTAAGCAGCTCCTCCTCCCCCTACAAATTAAATAAAATTTTCTCTTTAGTAGGAGGAAGAGAAAAGTAAAATGTTGCCTTAGGGACCCATTAAATTTCTATATGAGGCTCAGTTTCCATCTATTTTAGCTGCAAAAGGATATGGAGTCAGGAACCTTGAGAGCAGAGGTCAAGGCCACAGTTTGTTAGATTTCCATAAATGATGAGTGACTGCTTGACTGCGGGCACAGATTAATGTTACCAGGCCTTGAACAGGAAAAAAAAAAAAGTGGAAACCTAAAATTGATCTCCCAGAAATAGTAAGATAACTATCAAGGCTACTGGCCAATGCTATTAATTAGGATTTGAGGTTTGCTTTTCTATCCACATTTGACTTAACCTCCCACTACTTTAGAACATGCATCTTTTGTATGAGCCAGGTAGATCTTGCTGCCATCCACAAAAACTGGAAATTCATTATCACATCTGTCACTGAGAACTCTTACTGTTGCAAGTGACAGAAGTGTCAACTCAAATTAGGCATAAACATTAAGAAACGTACTGGCTCAACGATAAGCCAGTAAGTTGGAAGTCTGCATTGGAAGGCAGAATGGCTTCAGGCGTAGCTTAAATATGGGGCATAAACTATGTCAACAACTTCCATAGCCACAGGATATCCCTTGGAAAAGGGATAACTTTCCAAGAGAACATTAGAATATTCATACTGGAAAGAAAGGTATGTATGCAGGGATGGCAAAAAATAAACTGACAAACACACGAATGAATGCTTTGTGATAACATGCTCTTTGTTCTTGTCATTTCATTCTCCAGGAATGCCCTCCTCCTTTCTTTATAAAAGTCTGTCTTTCTTTATAATTTCTTTCCGTTTCTATCTTCTTTGGACCATATTTATCTATTCTACCAAAAGGCCAGAACGCTTCTACTTTATCATTTATTTTTCCTTCAGCATACACTATAATGAATAGCTACCTCATTTCTCCCTTAAATGACCATTCCGGAGTTACAAACAGCTCATGGGTGCTACAAGAGGTAAATTCAGAAGTCCATAGCATGGAAGATGGAAAAAATTTCCACTTAGAAACAGGATAATACAGAGTGACAATATCCAGGATATGAATTTAATTCATTTCCTGAATATGAATTTAATCCAAATTCCAGGAAATGAATTTAATTAATTCATTGTGTGACTCAGGTACAACATTAACATTTTAATTTGACTTCCAGAACCATCCTCAATCCCCTAGTCCTCCCTAACATGTGCCTCTTATGGTGGAGAGGGAATACTGCTTCCACCCACCATTTGCCTTGCTGAAACTGGGTGATGGGAGGAGGTCCTCACTCACCACCATTTTTGATGGCTCCCAAAACCTGAGGAAGATCTTCAGCACTGAAGAGACTGGAGTCACAGAGAAGGCACAGGGGCTCCACAGGTGGGCTTGAGTGAGATGCCATGGGGTCAGAGGATGCAAAAGAAAAATGTTATGTTCATTAGGGAAAAGAAGCCTAAGAAAAATGTTATATTCATTAGGGAAAAGAAGCCTAATGTGGATGAGGATTAAAACAGAGGCCAAGGCAGGGCTCAGAAAAGTGTTCATTAGAAAGAAGCGGTAGGGGAAGGCTGACAAGAATAAAGAGGTAGTATGACTTAGGACCATGAAGTAAACCCTGGAAGAGACGTTTCTAAAGCTTACATTTTAGGAGATGAAAGTCTGAAATTAAACTATATTAGGCCTGGTGTGGTGGCTCACACCTTTAATCCCAGCACTTTGGGAGGCCGAGGCGGGAGGATCACAAGGTCAGGAGATCAAGACCATCCTGGCTAACATGGTGAAACCCCGTCTCTACTAAAAATACAAAAAAAACTTAGCCAGGCATGGTGGCATGCGCCTGTAGTCCCAGCTACTCAGGAGGCTGAGGCAGGAGAATCACTTGAACCTGGGAGGTGGAGGTTGCAGTGAGCCGAGATTGCGCCACTGCACTCCAGCCTGGGTGACAGAGTGAGACTCCATCTCAAAACAAAAACAAAAACAAAAACAAAAATATTAAACTACCCATATAGTTTAATTTCATTCAATACAGACAGTGTTTTCTATTGCGAACCTTCCTCATGTAGGATCTTTTTTGTTTTCTGTTGCCTTCTCCTTCTTTGTAACCATCTATCACATAAGGTACTGATACTGACTTCTACAAGGTGAGATGAGAGTATGAAGATAAGGTTGAAAGAATGACTGTTAATTATTGCTGGACACCCATGGATGAGGAGGAGCCAGGGTATGCCAGTGATTCCTGGAATAATATTATTACCAGTTTAGGCAGTGTGCTTACACATATACACTGTTATGCATGTGTGTGTGTCAAAGCACATAGCATATATAGCTACTCTATAAGTACTAATGTAATGAGTGAATGTCTTCTCTAATATTAACTAAAATCAGGGGCTATGTTTTATTCTCTCTTAATGAGTTTTTATGCTTGTACAATGTCTTGCATTTTGGTAGGTCCTACATTATACTGTTGACTTACAAATAGTGAACATTTTATACACTGGAACTTTCACTAATTCTTATTCTGCTCACCTTTTTTGGTGATAAAATTGCCAATTTCAGTTCAAATCTATGTGACTGTGTATGTATTTTATGAAGTTAATAAAGCTCTATTTTGTTTTAATGAATCTTATGAAGTATACATATAAAAGTATATGAGGGAATTTTTGAGAATAGTTTTATTTGATTTTCAAAGCCAAACAAGATGAAAAAATGTCCAAGCTCTCTGTGGTCATCCTTGTGTTTACCAGAAATTGTAAAATATGTAGTATTTGTTTGTGGAAGCCATGATTTCCAAAACCCACTACTTGGCTCTACTGGAGAATTAACTACTTCTGTAAATGCTTTTGCTTTGAGAAATGGCTTCATGATGGCCTTGAAAATGGAGCATGAAATCTGAAATTTCACTAGCTAGAGTCAATTATTCAGTGGAAAAGAAGAACTATAAAATGCTGAGTTGTGCTTATCTACTGTGGAATCAGATAAGAATTCTGAAGAAAACATCTGCAGGACAAATAGAAGAAAAAGATAATTTATTTAATGTTAGAGGAAAATAAAGAAATGATGAGATGGGGATTCTTATATTACTAAAGATGGTTAGACTGACTCCCAGATCTTTGTATTTTTTGCAATTAACACAATTCACTCTCGAGAGCATTTGTTTGGTCTAAAAGTCATGTAGTTGCAGGAATTAACTAGAAAACTCAGGGTAATATGAGTATTTGTTAGACTTTTTTGGTTTTCAGATTCAATATGTATCTCTTGTCCTTATAGCAACTCATATGAATGGCCCAGGAATCTGGAGGTTGAGAAGTCACAAGAGAATAAGATAAATAGGCAGAACAATGGAAAAAAAGAAATGGGGCAACATCTCACCCATTAAATGTGTATTCTAGGCCCCTTCCCTGCACAAGGTATTTTTCGCACATTTTTTTAATTCCACAGTTAACTCTACAAAGTAGGTGTCTCACTGAGAATAGGCAGAGAGAAGTTTTAAATAACTTGCACAAGTTCTAAAATCTCCTGTGTCTGAGCTACATTCGTAGTTGTTCTATGTCAAAGTCCAAGTCATATATTATGTAATGATGACCCTTGGGAGTAAGAAGACACATAAGGGTATAACAATTCAGGATATAGAGAATTATAGGCTGACCTTTATGTCTAATTATCTGAGTGACCTGAGACAAGCCACTCTTTTGGCCTCACTGTCATATTCTCATATAAAAGAAGCTTATAAATTTAGCTATGCCCATCTACAACTTAGTCACTTTGGTCTAGATAATGCATGATTGTTATTGTTACTCTCTCCGTTTCCTCCTTTAATGCATTATTCATAATTCAAAGAAGGCATCTCATTTCTAAAGGCTACATTAACTCTTAATTATGAAAGCAGGAAGTCTTTTTTTCTGGCTCCTTTTTGTCCGGACTGGGAACAAAATAGAGAAATTTAATTTCTGGTACATACATAACCTCATTTTCCTTTTCCAATTTCCACTGAAGTAAAGTAAAATTTCCAGCTACTTTACAAGGACTCCTGATATCTTCAGAACACTGTTGCATGTTGCTAATACTTAAAGCTAACACAGCCACACTGAATTCAAGACAAATTACTGACCTCATTAAGACCATGGTGATGCCACTATCATCATCAGGCATCAACACCCTAGTAGCCAACAGAAACCAAGGTCCTCGTGCAGCCACCACCTTTCTGTTTTCTTTCCATTGCCTCACATACATTCTTTTAGAAATACTTCTATTGGTAGAAAAACAGGAATGCCCACAGACATCTATAGGTCAAAAGGAGTTTTTCTTTGCAGTCTGACATTTCATCAGAATGCAATTGGAATGTTTGTAACACAAAGAAAGAATAAATGCTTGAGGTGAGAGATATCTCTTTACTATGATGTGATTATTATGCATTGTATGCCTGTATCAAAATATGTCATGTACACACATAAATATATATACATGGCTGGACACGGTGGCTCACACTTGTAATCCCAGCACTTTGCAAGGCCAAGGCTAGTGGATCACCTGAGGTCAGGAGTTTGAGACCAGCTTGACCAATATGGTGAAATCCCATCTCTACTAAAAATACAAAAAATTAGCCAGGTGTGGTGGTATGAGCCTGAACGTGGAGAAACCTCGTTTCTACTAAAAATACAAAATTAGCCCAGCGTAGTGGCCCATGGCTATAATCCCAGCTACTCGGGAGGCTGAGGCAGGAGAATTCCTTGCACCCGGGAGGCAGAGATTGCAGTGAGCTGAGATCATGCCATTGCACTCCAGCCTGGGCAACAAGAGCAAAACTCCATCTCAAATAATAAATAAATAAATAAATAAATAATACACACACACACACACACACACACACACACACACACACACACACACACCACTATGTACCCACAAAGATGAAAAATTTTGAAAATTAGAAAAAGAATTATGACATTTGTTTCACTTCCTACCAAGTCCTTCTTTAATGTTAAAATGAATAAAATTACTCATCAGTAACATAAATGCTCCTGCACTGTGTGATATATATTTTATACACACTGTCAGATATTCCTGGGGATAACTGTGTCAGTTTGAGAAGCTCAGTTTGTACTACATAGGATTTTGCAATTTGCCTCATATAAATTGTGAGCCCCAGCACATGGTTAATCATCACCTTCTGGAAAACCATTATAATAAGTGACCTCACCTCCTTAGTGTATTTTGAATAATAGTTAGCATATGCTAGATATTAGTTGCAGGCATTGTGCTAAATGGTTTTTGACATTCTATCATTTAATGTTCTTAAATACTCCATGAGGTAGGGATTTTTTACACCCTTAATATATATGAGGAGTCAGAAACACAGAGTGATTCATTTAACTTTCTGAAGTCATGCAGTTAGTAGCAGAGCAAACTCAATACTAGTCTGGCTCTAGAGTCCAGGTAATTATCTGCTGCAAAGTTTACACAGTAAAAATGTTAATTTACATGGGAATCCTGAATTACCTGATAGGTTGCATTCCTAGGTAGGCAACTTCTACTTCTGTCCCAACCAGTATTCAATTATTATAAGTATTCAATTATTATATGTAGCTCAGAAAAGTACAAAAATAAATGACATAGACTTTTGCATTTATTTATGAATTGTAAAAAAATAAGAATATCAAATATCAGATTATCATTCTAGCTTATACTTTCTGCTCATACTGAAGGAAGAACTTTCTGGGTAGAATTTTCAGAGACTATAAATAAGTATATTTGCTTTTGAGATCTCAAATTATAGACTAGGAAAAAGTAAAGGGCAATCAAAATTAAAGCTGAAACATGAGAATGTGGAAGTAAGATACAAACATGGACAACACAGATAGTTTATTGGTCATCTAAAGATAGGCAAAATTGGGCCAGGTGTGGTGGCTGACGCCTGTAATCCCAGCACTTTGGGAGGCTGAGGCGGGTGGCACCTGAGGTCAGGAGTTTGAGACCAGCATGACTAACACAGAGAAACCCAGTCTCTAGTAAAAATACAAAAATTAGCCGGGCGTGGTGGTGCATGCCTGCAATCCCAGCTACTCTGGAGGCTGAGGCAGGATAATCGCTTGAACCCGGGAGGTGGAGGTTGCGGTGAGCCGAGATGGCGCCATTGCACTCCAGCCTGGGCAACAAGAGTGAGACTCCATCTCAAAAAAAAAAAAAAAAAAAAAAGATAGGCAAAATCAAAATCCCACTATCAATAATAGCAGCCTTTGAGGGGTGGGGGGCAACGGCAGGGAGAGCATTAGGACAAATACCTAATGCATGCGGGGCTTAAAACCTAGATGACAGGTTGATGGGTGCAGCAAACCACCATGGCACATATGTACCTATGTTACAAACCTGCATGTCCTGCACATGTATCCAGAACTTAAAGTATAATAAAAAAAAGACATTTATACTTTAGTTACTGATTACTTATTTTTAATTACATCAATCTCTGGAACACAAAGAGGCAATTTCCCTCACTGGACTATTTCTAAACTTAATTTTCAAGTAATACTGGGGAGAAAAAAGAACAGTAAAGTTACAGACAGAACAGATTAAAAACTCTCCAATTCAGCTCTCTCTCGGCTGTCCTGCTCCCCCTCACCCATACACACTTACTATATGTGTGACTTTAATCCAATTACATTACTTCTTTGAGCTTTGGACTCTCCTTCTAATGCACGGAATTTAAGATGAATGAATACTACCTTATAGATATTTTGTGAGAATGATTGAGATTCTGTATTATGAGATACCTAATAGTTACTATGTAAATGAAAGGTATAAACACTGTTTTTGATAACAATGGAACACTTCCTTTTAGACATACGTGGTTAAATTTCTATGGACTAACCTTCATCAGTTATATTTTATTTTCCCCTGCTAGGAATATGTGTACATGAATGTTGAGAACATACTGCCACACCACTGAGATTAAAAAGGTAGACCTCTCTTCTACTTTGGCTATCACCTCATTTTCATATACACACCCCTACCACTAATCCCAGTGCTAAGCCTGCAATAAATACATTATGAATGAATAAATAAAACTTGACTCTATTAAAAATAAGGTAAAAATTCCTAGCATACAAAATAGATTCTGGAAAGTTCAATGTTCCATAAAGTTTCAAATGAATGACAAATTCCATATTGTTACTATCCTGAATGATGATATCAGGCGGCAAATTGTGTGATAATTTCCACACAATATCTTTGAAAATCTAATGCAGAACATATATAACTTGACTTAAACAAATATACCTTATGGCAGAAAACTCATTTAAAAAGTATACTATGATGTGTTATTTGGTTATTTATTTAATCATAATTTTTATATGTGTATCATGCATAAGCCACAAACAATTGGGTAGTGATACTTATCTTCAAGAAACATAGTCTAATAAAAGTCATTGGCATACTATATAGTTATAATAGAAATTGACATGTAAACATTTTCATATATAGGACAAATACCTACAGATGTTCGGCAACAGGAAAAAAAATCCCTTTACACAGAGATATGGCCATATGCATTTCGGAAAAAGAGAGCATTTGATCTCAACAACATCATAATAAATGGAGGCAGAGGAAAATAATTATTGAAGATTATTTTGAAAGAATATTATCAGTGATTAAAGAGTGTAAATTATACTTGTGGAATATGTGTAGGTTACATGGGGCTTGAAATGTTTTGGAAAAAAACAGAGCTTAAATCATAGAGCACCAGGTTTATAACACAGGTTATACAGAATCATTGAAATAGTGAACAAAGATGGAAATGGGTGAGAGTTGTGCTTCGGGAAATATTTCCTAGCCATCCATGGGCAGGAGGTTTGTTATGAAAAATCTGGAGAAGGTGAGATCAGTTAGGAGTCGATACAGGTGTCTGCATTGAGGGAAATGAAGAGAGCGGTGTTTCAGTTCCTCAGCCAGTCAGTCAGTGAGTCAAATATATATATGTGTGTGTGTGTGTGTGTGTGTGTGTATGTGTGTATATATATATGTGTGTGTGTGTATATATATATGTGTTTTTTTTTCTTTTTTGATGGAGTTTTGCTCTTGTTGCCCAGGCTGGCGTGCAATGGCGCAATCTCAGCTCACCACAACCTCCACCTCCCGGGTCCAAGCAATTCTCGCCTGTCTCAGCCTCCCAAGTAGCTGGGATTACAGGCATGTGCCACCACGCCTGGCTAATTTTGTATTTTTAGTAGACACAGGGTTTCTTCATGTTTGTCAGGCTGGTCTAGAAGAGTGAAAATATATTTTTAAGAATGTTTTATTGTGAGACATCCTATTGGGTACAGAGGCTGTCATGGTGGAGATAGAGGTAGAGAAGATAGATATTAACCAATATGCATACAAATAAACACATAAATGCGACTGCAATAAATGTTAAGGAATATTGAGATTACTTAGAAGTCATAGAAAAATATGGAAGCAAAAAGGAGGAAGCATTTCAAGGGATTTCAACTGGGATGTGTTGAGTTTGAGGCATAGCCAGAATAGCAAGGTGGAAGTGTCTTCTAGGCTGTTCATAGTATGCATCTCTGGAAATGACATTATACCTGCACTATAGATGTGTATAAAGACAATAGTTGAATCTAATGGAATGGATGTGCTAACTCTGCACAAAGACAATAGTTGAATCTAACGGCATAAAGACAATAGTTGAATCTAATGGAATGGATGTGCTAACTCTGACAGAAATGACTAGAAGACAAAAAAAATGGTGAAAAAGACATGAATATTTAAACTATCAATTTTTTATTAAACTATTTTTCTAACCAAGTCTACTGTAAAAAGCTATGTACATCTGTAAAAAATTAATTTCCCTACTTCTATGAAATTTTAGGTTCAATATCTAGTAAGTCTCAATTTTAGAAGACAAAATAACAGCATAGAGATTTTTTTCTTATAGTTGAATGAAAATTTATAAAAGAATGTCTTATCTCCTGTTTACAGTATAAGAACTCTTATACTGTAAAACAACTCATATAATACATAATAATCTATGAGCAATAAATCAGAGATTGACTGGGGGTTATATAATAAAGAAGTTTGCCAAAATTCTTAGAAGAATCCTCTTGTTGTGTAATGGAATTTATTATTTCTACAAGATTTTTCATGTGACAAAGATCAGTGTCCAACAATATCCAGAGTTATAATAGCTTTGCTTAACTTTTACGTTCCCATTACAACGCCTTATTTTATAAGGAAGGATAAACAAATTATGGCTGTTTTACTTTAGTACAACATTTAAAATATCCATCAGGCAAACATTTTTTACAAAGCACAATTAATTCACTGTTGACATATAAGAGCTATTCATTATAAATCAGACCCTCAGAATTTTTTGATGAATGCAAACTATTAGTGTATAGTATTGTTCCCTCAAACCTGCAGAGCAAGAACAAAAACTGTGAGATTCTAAGCAGGTAACACTCAAAGGTTTAAAATTATTCTTCACATTTAATTATATTAACACTGTCAGCTCATATAGAATCTAAATCAGATCATAAAATAACTAAAATGAATATTCTCTTGTTCTTAATGAGAACATAAATAATATATTATCCTTTATATAATTGTGCATACGAATGAGAGATAAAAGAGATGAATTAAAATGGCAAGTGTTTTCTTTGCAGTTTATGGTTAAGATTCCTGATTTCATCGGTCATGCCATACAAAACTAAGCCTTGATAGGCCTGAGCATTCAGAGGAACAAAGTCTATTACATCATTAACATTTTTCTGAGTTTACTGACTTTGTTTTCTGACATTTAATTCTATGCACAAAAACTTCAGCCCTCTATTTTTTATTTCAAAAGTCTATTTATACATTTTGGGAAAAAACTAAAGAAACTAAAATTGGCATCAGCTATACCACCAGAAAATGGATGACATCAACATTTATTTATTACACATCAGACATTAAAGAAGTACAAACATAAGTTAAGATACTCATACATATCAATCTAAAGGTTAGCTTACCAGTCGGGACAGAACTGGAGTGCTGAAGTTCCAGTTGACTAGAATCACCAGAGAGTTCAGTCAAACAGGGTAAAGCAAAACATGAGTTGGAAGCGTGCTCATGTCTGAAGCCTTCAGGAGAAAAATTATCCAGTTCAAATTTTAAAACTGACATTGCAAAATTCCCATATAACTATGTAAAGTAAAGTTCACACTATTGAATTCTTTAAAATTAAGGGATAGGAAAAAAAATCACAGTATTCTAATCAGTCATAACTATAGGCTTTCCTGTAATTATTTTCACTTGGAAATCCAAAGGAAATAAAACATGCAGAGCTGACTCTAAGAGGTTTTCTGTGTTAATGCCTTTCCTAGACAATTAACTTCAATAGGATGGATGAATTTTAGAGTCTTTTTTCTTGAAGATATATTTTGCCTTTAAACCACAGCAGCACCTATCCCATCTCAGAGAGGCTGCAGTGAAAAGTAAAATGGGCTAAGTGAAGACATAGGCAAGGCTGCAGAGAGATGCTTTTAGTAAGCTGGTACTAGAAGTTCTCACTCATATTTCTGTATGCAAGAGATCAGCTGGGTGGGGCTAAAGACTGTCAGGGAGAGCAACTTTATTCCACTGGGCAGCTCATCAGAGGAATGTTTTAATTGGAAGGAAGTTAATACTAAAAGATATTTCCTGGATGCAGATTGTGAGACTGTAGCCTACTGCTTATTAAAACATGACTGTGATTGTGGAAAAGAAAAGATTTCTTTTTAAATGGTGGTCAAATAAAATATACAGCCTGAGAAACACAAAACGTGAGATTTCACAATACAAGCAGGTGATCCATAAGAAGAGCAAACTGCTAAAAAGTTGGCAACTGATGGAGCTGGTATTCTTGAATTAACTGAGAGGTAAAATAGCTGTATGGGTTGCCTTAGAAAATTTAATGTAAGATTTCACCTTTATTCATGCACTGCTCCTTAGTCCATGCATCCGCTGTAGACTGCCAGAGGTGCACACTGATGTTTTGTCAGAGACTAATTTAGTAAAAGTTATCATTAGTTTAGGGGTCCATACTAGATGAGGTCCAGGTATTTCCCTCATGGTGCATTTTAAACCATTAGTTATTCATTAATTTGCTGAACAGCATATTTAAAGCATTCTTACTTTTTTGGCTCAGCACTCTTTGAAAAAGATACACATACACACACACAGATACATATACATGTACCTATAAGAGTATTTGTGTATATATAGATATATACTATGGAATATATATTTTATACATTTATGTATATTTATATTTATATTTATAAAGTTTGCAAGTCAGTTGTTAATATAAAATGTATTCTGGACAAAAGGTGACATGTATTACTCATAGTTACAATAATTAAAAAAACGAGTAAAGAAACTGACTCTTTGCTCTATGTGCCTTCATAAACTATCACTCAGGCAGGGAAATGATTGTCATTCCAACAGCATGAACAGCAAACAAAGTATGTTGTGCAAGCCTAGGCCACCACTATTTCGAAACAGGCATGAAAATCTTTGACTAAAAAAGGCTAACATGGACATGTTCTACTGGTAATTATATGACATTTTGCTTAGATAAGATGTTGAAAGCAGGATCCAAATTATAAATGATAATTCAGTTTGAGGAAAAGACAGTTGGTAGTTAAAAGGAAAACAAATGTAGGGAAATGAGTAAATGGTGAAAGGTACAAACAAAGTTTACAGAAATAAAGTAGATTCTAGAATCAGGAAAGATAGACTTTAAAATTCTCAGCTGAAGTATTTGTTATGAAATATTGCCAAGGACACTTTCTGAAAGATGAAATCTAAATGGTTTCATTTGCGAGTTGGTCAATGAGGTTTAACTACCAGGAAACTTCTACTCTATATACCTCTGGTACATTTGCCCAAATCTTGAAGTGCTTTTTCTTTCAAATTATGCTTTATAGAATGTGATAACATAGAAATATGATTTGGCATGAGAAGTGTCATTATGATCATCTGATAAATGATTTCCCTAGGGGAATGATAGCTGAGCTCACAGGACAGTCTCATTCTCTCTAGCAGCAGCTCTTACATTATTTAAGAATGGGACATCTTTGGGAAAAAAAGAATATTTTATCTCTTTACATATGATACTATTATATTTTGAGTATTGATATATAAAAATTAATTAATAATCATGTAAAAGTTCTTGAGAAATTTACTATCTTTTTTTATTCACGTATATACCTTTGAAAATTTGTTCGTGTGTGAGAAATGCTACTGATTTTGCTCTAAGGCAATTGATAACATACAGGTCCATTTTTCAACTCTGTGCAATTACTTGATGTGGCATATGTAATAACAAATTGGAAATTACTATTCCATAATACATGAGAAATATATAAAGATTAACATTTCACTGATAGGTATAATATAGATGAGCAAATTCTCTCTACAAATTCACCTCATTTTTCTTTTCTACTAGTGACCTAAGTACAAACATTCCCGGAGGTCTCTAGAATGTTGGTAATGAAGAACTGATAGTTAATGTGGATACTCTAGAATGGGAACTCTCAGCATATCTCTATACCTGGGTCTTTGCTGAGACTCTTTTAACTTGCATCCAGCCCCAAGTGGACTTCAATGATGTATTTTCCATAAACTCTTGGCTGGCACTTTTATTTAGAACAGCTGTCTGAAAATCTTAGGAAATACCTGTGTAAACTTGTTACTCATGTCATTTTCATGATATGCAGAATTCTTCCAATTTTTCTTTCTTAGTGTGCAAACAGAATGTGGTAGGAAATGCTGTACATGAACATCTTCCCTTTGATATTTGACCAAACGTGTTGATGTGGTCTAGACACAAATATATATTTTGCTTAATCTGGATCTGTCGGTCTCTATTACAATAGTAACCACTGGCTGGCAGTTATAAAACAGTCAGGTCTCTGGTCTCCCATTCATTTCAAAGCATAAACTACATTTATGAATCCTTCTCTTTCTCAGGCATGCTTAATTTTGATATAATCTATTTTGTTTTTTTCAATGGGCCAAACTAACTTTATTTTATTTTGAAAATGGTTGAACTTATTGTAAGTAATGGCAATTTTAACTTAACCATAACAATACATTTTTAGAGAGGAGAAATAAGCTTGTTCTGCACAGTTTTCCATGTACTATATTTACAGGACACCAAATAAACAGTTCTTGGGAATTTAAGTCAGGCAGTATATTTTCATTAACACAGATCCTTTGCTCTCCTAAACATTGTGTGAGACAATTCACTAGACTTATGTTTATTATTTTTCTGGTTTCAGAATGACTCTTTGAACCCATAAGTTTAACCCCATTATTTCCCCCAGAATGCCATTAACTGAAGAAAAAAAATTTTAAAGAAGAGTGCTGAGCAGTAAAGTCTCAGAAAACTTGAGAAAACCCTGGAATTTATGGTGGAGGTGAGTGCTGAACAAATTGAATAATAGGCAATTCCACAATCAGCACAAATCATGTGTTAAGTAAAATGCAGGTAATTGCCTACCAACCAGAGTATCTCCACCTCATTTGAACTGTGGTGTTCTGATAGTTTGATTTCCAGCTTAGGCACTCTGAAGGGAATCCTACATTTGAACCCATTCTGATCTACTCACCACTCCCTGTGTGAAACCGGTCCAGATATTCTAGCAAGAGTAATAGGAATGGTAGGTAATAAAACTCACACTTCACACTGTATCAATATTGACCAGATCAGATCTACTGATGAATGGGATAGAGAGGAAGAAAGAAAGAGAGATGGAGAGAGAGAGAGAGAGAGAGAGAGAGAGAGAGAGAGAGAGAGAGAAACAAAGAGAACTAATACTTTAGAAACTAAATTGAACATTTAGATCAAATAAACTTTATCATCTCATAGTAAATGCTGAAAACAAAACATAATTTTACTTCCAAGCTTCAATTAGATTTGAGAGAATATTATACGCATAGGTTAGTAAAAACATGCTACTAGGAAAAGACAAAAATCAGAGCAAAATAAAGTTGTTGAAAATAAGTAAAAGCATGCCTTTAATAGCTACCTCTTTTATATTATTTTATTTTATTATACTTTAAGTTTTAGGGTACGTGTGCACAATGTGCAGGTTAGTTACATATGTATACATGTGCCATGCTGGTGTGCTGCACCCATTAACTCGTCATTTAGCATTAGGTATATCTCCTAAAGCTATCCCTCCCCCCTCCCCCCACCCCACAACAGTCCCCAGAGTGTGATGTTCCCCTTCCTGTGTCCATGTGTTCTCATTGTTCAATTCCCACCTATGAGTGAGAATATGCAGTGTTTGGTTGTTTGTTCTTGCGATAGTTTACTGAGAATGATGATTTCCAATTTCATCCATGTCCCTACAAAGGACATGAACTCATCATTTCTTATGGCTGCATAGTATTCCATGGTGTATATGTGCCACATTTTCTTAATCCAGTCTATCATTGTTGGACATTTGGGTCGGTTCCAAGTCTTTGCTATTGTGAATAGTGCCACAATAAAGATATGTGTGCATGTGTCTTTATAGCAGCATGATTTATAGTCCTTTGGGTATATACCCAATAATGGGATGGCTGGGTCAAATGGTATTTCTAGTTCTAGATCCCTGAGGAATCGCCACACTGACTTCCACAATGATTGAACTAGTTTACAGTCCCACCAACGGTGTAGAAGTGTTCCTATTTCTCCACATCCTCTCCAGCACCTGTTGTTTCCTGACTTTTTAATGATTGCCATTCTAACTGGTGTGAGATGATATCTCATTGTGGTTTTGATTTGCATTTCTCTGTTGGCCAGTGATGATGAGCATTTTTTCATGTGTCTTTTGGCTGCATAAATGTCTTCTTTTGAGAAGTGTCTGTTCATGTCCTTTGCCCGCTTTTTGATGGGGCTGTTCGTTTTTTTCTTGTAAATTTGTTTGAGTTCATTGTAGATTCTGGATATTAGCCCTTTGTCAGATGAGTAGGTTGTGAAAATTTTCTCCCATTTTGTGGGTTGCCTGTTCACTCTGATGGTAGTTTCTTTTGCTGTGCAGAAGCTCTTTAGTTTAATTAGATCCCATTTGTCAATTTTGTCTTTTGTTGCCATTGCTTTTGGTGTTTTAGACATGAAGTCCTTGCCCATGCCTATGTCCTGAATGGTAACTCTATAAAGGCATTGGATCTCAGGTGAATCACTACTAAAAAGCACATTGATTGATTAGAAAATCAATTTTAATTGATAATTAAATAATTTATTTTGAATACAGAGTAAAAATGTTAAGGTTGGAAATTATGATAGAGACAGTAAAGATAGAAAGTGCAATAGGTATAAAATACAAACAAAAAATTAATGGAAACTATGATGAAAGCATAAGAAAATGAAAACAAAAGGTTTATTGTGAGAAAATAGGTGCTGATTTTTCAAATTTAAATGACTATGTTAATCTCAGGCAAAGGTAGCAATTGATAGAAGATACAATTGAAACCAAACATATCTTGATATGATGTTATGATGTCAATTCCAAGATTTAAAGCAACATCTAACAAGTTTTTTTTTTTCTCTTTTTTTTTTTTTTTTTTTTGAGACAGAGTCTCACTCTTTCACTGGGGTTGGAGTGCAGTAGTGAGATCTTGGCTCAAGGCTCACTGCAACCTCCACCTCCAGGTTCAAGTGATTCTCCTACCTCAGCCTCCCGAGTATCTGGGATTATAGGCGCCCACCATTATGCCCAGCTACTAATTTTTTTGTATTTTTAGTAGAGACGGGGTTTCACTATGTAGGCCAGGCTGGTCTCGAACTCCTGACCTTGTAATTTGCCCACCTCTGTCTCCCAAAGTGCTGGGATTACAGTCCATCTAAGAAGGTTTAAGATTACGTTCAGAGCGATAGGAGGGATGTTGTGCAAATTTGATAGAATGAAGGACTTCCTATCTTCAACATTAAGTGATAGAAAAATATAAAGAAAAGTTTATATGTATCTGATTTAGAAAGATCAGGTCTCCATAATTAAAAAACATGGCAACAATTAAAACCTTATGAGAGAAAGAAGACTCAAAAATATGTAACCCATGTCATCGCTAAAAACATTATTTGAGGAAGTACTCCATCCAAAAGGGAAAACAAACAATATGAATCAGAATAAGGGATTCAAAAATAAAAGAATTATAGCAAATGGTAAGCAAAACAGTCTAATAAGAAAGGCTCATAAATTACTCATTTATGAGTAATTAATTGCTAAAAGTTCAATTCTGTAACTGCAAATATTAGAAGATTTCATAATTTTAAAATCCAGATTATTTTAACAAAATTTAGGATAAAGGAAAGCTTATCACTCAAGAAAACATAAGGCCAATTAATTAATTAAAAGGAAATAATAAAAAGGATGATAACGTAAAAATTTCAACAAATAAGTAAAATCTCAGTGAAAGTGGGTTAAATGATCACACAAAACAGAGAAGGACTCAGAATTTCTCTACTCCCTCTTTTTCCCCTCTCGCTCCCGTACACATTCCAAATCATATTCCAAATTCCAAGTGGAAACGTTATTTATGATAAATAAACTGCTTCATATTGAAAAAAGGTACAAATCACAAAATTTAATATAATATAATGGTTAAGGACATGTATATATGTATGTATATAGACATATGTGTGTATGTCTATACATATAATAGGATGTTAAATAAATTATATACGTATGTGTTCTCTCTCTCTATATATACAATGTTAAAAATGATATGCCTACTAGATCAGCTTTGACCATGGGGCAATACAATGATAATAAGTATCTGTCTGAAAATATTCTAATACTTAGGTTTTTCTTTTTTTTATTTCTTTAGTCTTTCTTACCTGGCTAGTAAATCTGGTACAATGTTGAAATGGTAATAGTGGGTACTATTTTATTTTGAATGCAGAAATATTTCAATATTTCATTATGTATGTAGTTTTTTGTTCGTTTTCTGTAGATATCTTTTATCAGATTAAGGACATTCCTTTTTATTCATAATTGGATGAGTACTTATTACTTCATAAAGAATAAATATGAGTTGATATTTTTCCTCTTTTCTCCTTTTACTGTAATAAGATGTCAAATTTAAAACTAATCTTTATTCATATAATGAATCCAACTTGGCCTTGGTATGGTGATTTTTTATGTATCATTGAATTCATATACTAATATTGTATCTATGTTTATGAGATAGATAAATATATAATTTTTTGTAGTCCTGGTAAGGTGTGGTATTGAAAATTATGCTATACTCATATAAAATAAAAACTATTATTTTTTCTTTTTTCTGAAATAATATTTAAAATACTGGTGTTAATTCTTTCTTAAATGTTTGATAAAATTAGCCAACTGGGAAACCTGTGGATTTGGTTTTCTTCGTTTGAACATTCTTAATTATAGATTTTATTTAACTATTAGAGAGCTATTCAGTTTTTTATTCCTGAGTCAGTTTTGTAATGTTGTCTTTTTCAAGGATTTTTTCGTTTCTATCTACCTTTTTTGTTTTTTTTTTTTCTGGAGTCTTGCTCTGTTGTGCAGGCTGGAGTGCAGTGGTGCGATCCCGGCTCACTGCAACCTCCGCCTCTCCGGTTGAAGTGATTCTCATGCGTCAGCCTCCCAAGTAGCTGGGATTACAGGCATATGCCACCATGCCCTGCTAATTTTTGTATTTTTAGTAGAGACACGGTTTCACCGTGTTATCCAGGCTGGTCTTGAACTCCTGACCTCAGGCAATCTGCCTGCATCGGCCTCCCAAAGTGTTGGGATTACAGGCGTGAGCCACCACGCCTGGCCTCTATCTACATTTTAAATTTTTCTACGTAATAGTCTATTAATTATTTTCATCATATCCTCTCAATATCCTTACTGTTTGTAGGATCTGAGGTTATATCCATTTTCATCGTATTTATGAACACATTTAAGATATCATACATAAAACTCACACAGAGTCTGGTAGAGGGACCGATTGATGTTTGTAACATTAGAATATATTTCTTAAAAATAGCTCCCACAATCCTGGCGTAACTGTCTTTCAGTACTATATGCCCTGCATTTATATTACCTGAAATTTTGTTTATTCTATAGCAGAATTCCATAAAAATGAGCTGATTTGCCTAAACTTCCAGAATGAGTTCTAAAAAAGAACCAAGGCAACTCTAGCTGGAATCAAAAAGCTTTTGGTATACTTACAGCCAGAACAAAAGGAAAGAAAATTAATATAAGCCTTAAAACAACTTATTTTACTTGTTATCCAACTTTAACTTTATTGAATGTTATTTTATCTTAACATGGCTTTTGATCCTAAATCTATTGATTCATCATTTTAACCCACCTAGGCTATTTTCCAGATATCATTTTATGTAATACCTCACATATAACAGATTCACACATCGAATCAGAATTACTCAAAGCCCTGCAATCAATCAAATTGGACCGCACATCCAAATGCATTTTTTGCAACTCCACCAGAGGCTAATAGAGGAAAAGGTGTTCTCATAACACTGCATTACAGTTCATATAGTTAATGCATGTTCCCAAAGCCCTGGGTATTTGCTTCCTAAGTTTCTCAATTGAGCTTTCAAAAATTAACTTTTGGGAATCAATTCCACAAGACAAATTATATTTACAAACTCCACTTACAGTTGGAAATATTCAACTTAGCACAAGTTTCACTGGAAATTATTTCATTGGAAATAACTGAATGCATTAGCTGCCCATTCCATCTCCGACGAAAGATAGGCACAAAACTTTTTGTCAAACCACACCTGCACTTGTGTCATTATTTAACTCTTATTTTAAACCAAAGATGCATTCTAGTACAGGAAATATAATTATATCCGTGTTCCTAAAAATGAGCATTAGTGCCAAGCAATCACGGACTTATCAGAAAGCCCCAGGGCATATCATGATTGTATATTGAAAGATATACAGGCTTCATAAAATAAGTTTAAACAACAAAAGTAAAAGGGAACATTGATATTTTTATGATATAGTACAGATATAACTGGCCAATTGTGGAACAGAGTTTTAGTTCTATTATACAATGCTTTATAATTCTGACTTAGCTCTGGGCATCATATGGTTAAGGATAAATGTATCTCCTGAAGTCCCCAAATTCAAGAAATTGAACATTATGTTTTACCAAATAACTTATTTCATATCTCAGTACAGTTACCAAGACAGATGAGAGTATATTGGGAAAAAATAAACATCCTTGTAAAACCACAAACTTGGTTTAATTGATATCTTACACTAAACAATGTTGTCATGCTATAAAATAGTGGCTTGTAACAGAGATAAAAAAATGTGCATTTTTCTAACTTTTCAGCCAAAATGACTAGGTAGGTAGCACATTGCAGTGGAAAAAGTGAGAAATCTAAAACCACATAGACCTAGATTCAAATTCTGTTTTACGTATTTAGTACTTACGTGCGTCCGTTAAATTTATTTTACTTATTTGAATTTGTTTCCCCATGTATTAGAAGTGGAATATTGATACCCATGCCTAGCAGGTTTAACAGTACATGAGATAATATGCTCAAAATTGCTAACATAATTTCTGAATCATGACTATTCATTCAACACACATATATTGAGCATCTGCAATATATTAATGCGATGCAAAAATAATTGCAGTTTTTATTATTGAATTTAATGGCAGAAAACATAATATTTTGCACCAACCTAATACAAGTCATTGGTTTAAGCATTGTTTAGCAAAACAGTGGAAAATATAGAATAAAGCCAATAAACATATAATGTAACATAAAGAACTGTAGGCATCATTAAAACACACACACAGATACAAACATACTCAGAGCAGGTAAGAAGACAACATGTGAAAGCCTGGTCAAGAAAGGATTCCAGAGGTAGTGTGTTCCTGGAAACTAGAAGGAAAGACGGGGGGCATGCTTTGTGGATATCCAGAGGAAGAGACTTCCAGGCAAAGGGAGAAGTCCACGAATAGGGTTTGTGTCTCACATGTTCTGGGAGGGATTAGAAAGGGTCTAATATGCCCCTAGAATGTAAAAGAGGAGATAGTATCACAAATATATATTAAACTGTATAGCTAAGAGCAAAATCATTGGGGTAAGAGTGTCTAAATCCATGTCCTGGGTCCACCTTTGGCAAGTCACTTAAACGTGTGGGCTTAGGTTTCCTCATCTCTAAAGTTGGGAAGACTATCTTCTACTGTTATTGTCAGAACTAACTGTGTTAAATATTAAGAAGCTACAACGTGGTAAATACTAATGAAATTTTATTTTTAAAATTAATAACAAGCACAAAATAGGATCCTATAATTCTCTTGCTGGAAAATCAATCTTCACTTCCCAAGTGTATAATTCAATCAGAATTCTTGAATTTAACATTTTAAAATACATCTTATTTGCATGAAACTTGTGGGCATCCTCTGTTCTAGAAATATGCATTTCCTGTTCTTCCCTTGTTTTGTTTTTTAAAGGGATTTTTTGGGATAAAATTAGAATTTTCTTTCTTTCCACAACTCTAGAAATCTTATTTAAGAGTTCTGCTATCTCTTGAACATCAGTGAACTATACAAACATTCTAAAGATTGATGAATCACAAAATTCTAAGAATTTTTAAATCGAAAAGCAAATATTTTTGATGTTTTCTTTTTGAAAAAAATTTACAGCTGGATTAACGTTTTTATCTACTTTAAAGGTGCCTGGAATTTAGCATTCTAATAAAATGCAGATTTTATTGCCTGTAATAATGCCTTTTGCATTTCAGCTTAGAATTTGCTACTTGCTTTTCCATGTGTTTCCTATCTAATTCTGACAACAATGTCAGAAAAAGTTTTATTTCTCCGTTTTGAAAACATATGAAACTAAGATTAGTACAAAGTAACTTAAAATAATCCTGAGGTTAAGTGTTAGAGATAAAACTTAATCTTAGGCATCTTAAGTCCAGCACTTATTCCCCATTTAATAATATCTGCCAATTTCAGTTAGTTTTGAATGAACTACATATATGAAAAATCTCATACTAATGGCATCAGCTCATGTTGGAGGCATAAATTGCAAATATTTTCTCCCATTCTGTAGTATTTCTGTTTACTCTGTTGAATATTTTTTTTCTGCTGAGAAACTTTTTAGTTTAAATAAGTTCCATTTGTCTATTTTTGGTTTTGTTTCATTGCTTTTTGGGTCTTGTTATAAATTCTTTGCCTCGGCCAATGTCCAGGAACAATTTTCCTAGGTTTTCTTGTAGTATTTTTATAGTTTTAGGTCTTACATTTAAGTCTTTAATTCATCTTGGCTTAACTTTTGTATATGGTGAGATACAGGGTTCCAGTTTCATTCATCTGCATTGGCTAGCAAATTTTCCCACCACCATTTATAGAATAGAATAGGATGTTCTTTCCCCATTGTTTTTATTTCTATCAACTTTGTCAAAAATCAGTTGGTTGTAGATTTGTGGCTTTATTTCTGGGTTCTCAATTCTGCTCCATTGATCTATGCGTCTGTTTTTGTAGCAGTACCATGCTGTTTTAATTACTATTGGCTTGTATAATTTGAAGTCAGGCAATTTGATATGTCCAGCTTTGCTTCTTTCACTTAGGGTTGCTTTGGCCATTCAGGCTTTTTTTTTTTTTTTTTTTTTTTGGTTCCATATGATTCCATGTGAACTTTAGTATTATTTCTTTCGTAATTTTGTGAAAAATCATGTTGGTGATTTGATAGGGATTGAATTGCATCTGTAGGTTGCTTTGGGCAGTATGGTCATTTTAACAATGTTGATTTTTCCAATCTATGGGCATGGGATGGTTTTTTTGTTGTTGTTCATTTTTGTCGTTGTTCATTTTTGTCATCAAGAATTACTTTCATCAGTGTTTAGTAGATCTCTTTGTAGAGAACTTTCACCTCCATAGTTAAATGTATTCCTAGGTATTTTTGTTTTTGTTGTGGTTATTTGTAAATAGGATTGAGCTATTGATTTGGTTCTCAGCTTGAACATTATTGGTGTATAGAAATGCTACTGACTTATGTACATTGGCCAAAGGAGAAGAGCAGACATTTCTCAAAAGAAGAAATGCAAGCAACTAACAAACACATGAAAAAAATACTCAATGTCACTAGTCATCAGAGAAACACAAATTAAAACCACATTAAGATATCATTTTATACCAGTCAGAATGGCTGTTATTAAAAAGTTAAAAAAAAAACCCAGCAGATGCTGGCATGTATGTGAAAATAAGGACATGCTTCTACACGATTGGTAGGAATGTAAATTAGTTTAACCTGTATGGAAAACAGTGTGGAGATTTCTAAAATAACCAAAAATAAAACCCACCATTCAACCTAGCAATCCCACTACTGGGTGTCTACCCATAGGAAAAGAAATCATTACATAAAAAAGACACTTGCACTCCTATGTTCATCGCACTTCTATATTCACAGTAACAAAGTCATGGAACCAACCTAGGTGTCCATCAGTGGTTGACTGATTAAAGTAATTATGGTATATATACACCGTGGAATACTACACAGCCATAAGAAATGAAATCAAATACTTTGCAGCAAGATGGATGGAGGTAGAGGTCATTATCCTAAGTGAACTAACTCAAAAACAGAACATCAAATACTATATTTTCTCATAAGTGGGAGCTAAACTATAGGTACCTGTGGACATAAAGATGAAAATAATAGACACTGGGAACTTGAAAAGTGGGAAGAGGAAGATGGTTGAAAAGAAATTACCTGTTGGGTACAATGTCCCCTATTTGAGTAATGGGTACACTAGAAACTCAATCCCCACCAGTATGCAATATACCCAGGTAATAGGCAGATGTATTCCCTGAAGCTAAAATAATATTTTTTAAAGGTGGCCTGATTCCTTTTAGTTTTCAGCTTTATGGCTTCCACACATAAACGTTCCTTTAAACATGTAGACTGGCTCCTATGAAAATCAAGGAATTATTTTAAAATTGTCATATATGACTCTTGGTTATTATGTACTATTATCTCCATTTAGACACTGTAAAATGTTAACTACAAATCTTAACATAAAAATGAGTGTCATTACATAAAGTGACACCTCCAAGGGATTGTAATAGAAGAAATTACGTGGTGCAAAGTGCTTCTCTTGTATAACATAACAGTGAGTTTGTAAACTTAATCTCCTTCCACTCCACTGCTTTCATTCAGAAACGCATCCTTTCGTACTAGGATTGTTTTTATTTCCCACTTGGTATCAATCACTGCCCTTATTCTAATTTCATTAATCTGTCATTCAAATTTCTAATTACATAATTTATCTTTGGGAATGGGCAAATTTGTATTTTTAGATGATTTACAAGATGTTTTTAAAAGTTCAAGGAAGAAAATGTTTAAATGTCCATAGTCTCACCTTCCAGAATCAACCACTTTTAATATTTTGACATAAGTGTTTTGAGATTTATTCCAGATTTATAATTTTGAAAAAAAATCAAAGTAATGGTTAATGATTTATTTATATTGGTAATAATAAATGTTACATTAAAAAAAGATCTTCATTAAAAAAAGACCATTCATGACTCATTTTACTTTCTTTACCCAGAACTTTCTAGGTAAAAAGTAGTAGAAGGAGATTATTCAAACCCCATTGCCAGAATAAAGTTTTTATACCCATCCAGGATTCATAGTTTTATGTAGTAGTTCACTGTATTCTCATAGCCTTAAATCCTACATAGAGTCTAAAAACTTGTTGCATTTTTCCATTCCAGAGGACACTTTTATCTAAACAATCCTATCCTACTTCTTTACTCATAAACATTTGGCTCCATTAAAGGCTCTTTAAAAAATAATACATCTGATGCCCTTCTCTACTCATTAAGCAGAGCTGATTCTCTCTCTGTCATACCTGCCCCGTGATTATGCCTCCACTGTAGAACTTGTAACGCTTCTCTCTGTAATTTTGTGTAGCCTCTGTTGTAGGTCTGTGAAGAATTTGAGAGCTGAGGTTGTTTCTTCTTCATTTTTGTAGCTTCTGAATGCAGAATAATACCAGTCCTTAACCTGGGTTCAATAAATTTGTGTTTTAGAGGAAAAGCAGAGAAAATGGTTATTATAGATATGGAGGGATGACAGGAAGGACAGAAAGAGGCTCTAACTTGATTTGTGATTTATGAAAATTTGATAAAATGTCTTAGGTGAACAGTTAAAATAGTGTATACACTGCAAACTGGAAAAGTCATACTAACAGGTGACACCTAATTAAAGCTACTATTGAGTAGCTTTCCTGGCATAAATCATTTGTTTAAGAAATCAGGTTGTGTTTTGAGCACTAGAAAAAAGTTCTGTTTTACAGAATGAGAATTGTTTTCACAGAACATTTTAGAATATAAAAATATCAAATGAAGACGCAGAGGCAAGTCTTTTTATTATAGTTACCTTTTTTTTATTATACTTTAAGTTCTAGGGTGTATGTGCACAATGTGCAGGTTTGTTGCATATGTATACATGTGACATGTTGGTGTGCTACACCGATTAACTCATCATTTACATTAGGTATATCTCCTAATGCTATCCCTCCCCCCTCCCCCCACCCCACGACAGGCCCCAGTGTGTGATGTTTCTCTTCCTGTGTCCATGTGTTCTCATTGTTCAATTCCCACCCATGAGTGAGAACATGAGGTGTTTGTTTTTTTGTCCTTGCGATAGTTTGCTGAGAATGATAGTTTCCAGCTTCATCCATGTCCCTACAAAGGACAAAGGGACATGAACTCATCATTTTTTATGGCCGCATAGTATTCCATGGTGTATATGTGCCATGTTTTCTTAATCCAGTCTATCATTGTTGGACATTTGGGTTGGTTCCAAGTCTTTGCTATTGTGAATAGTGCCACAATAAACATACGTGTGCATGTGTCTTTATAGCAACATGATTTATAATCCTTTGGGTATATACCCAGTAATGGGATGGCTGGGTCAAATGGTATTTCTAGTTCTAGATCCCTGAGGAATAATCACACTGTCTTCCACAATGGTTGAACCAGTTTATAGTCCCACCAACAGTGTAAAAGTGTTCCTATTTCTCTACATCCTCTCCAGCACCTGTTGTTTCCTGACTTTTTAATGATCACCATTCTAACTGGTGGAGATGGTATCTCAGTGTGGTTTTGATTTACATTTCTCTGATGGCTAGTGATGATGAGCATTTTTTCATGTGTCTTTTGGCTGCATAAATGTCTTCTTTTGAGAAGTGTCTGTTCATATCCTTTGCCCATTTTTGATGGGGTTGTTTGTTTTTTCTTGTAAGTTTGTTTGAGTTCTTTGTAGATTCTAGATATTGGACTTTTGTCAGATGAGTGGATTGCAAAAATTTTCTCCCATTCTTTAGGTTGCCTGTTCACTCTGATGATAGTTTCTTTTGCTGTGCAAAAGCTCTTCAGTTTAATTAGATCCCATTTGTCAATTTTGGCTTTTGTTGCCATTGCTTTTGGTGTTTTAGACATGAAGTCCTTGTCCATGCCTGTGTCCTGAGTGGTATTGCCTAGGTTTTCTTCTAGGGTTTTTATGGTTTTAGGTCCAACATTTAAGTCTTTAATCCATCTTGAATTAATTTTTATATGAGGTGTAAGGAAGGGATCCAGTTTCAGCTTTCTACATATGGGTAGCCAGTTTTCCCAGCACCATTTATTAAATAGGGAATCCTTTCCCCATTTCTTGTTTTTGTCAGGTTTGTCAAAGATCAGATAGTTGTAGATGTGTGGTATTATTTCTGAGGGCTCTGTTCTGTTCCATTGGTCTATACCTCTGTTTTGGTAACAATACCATGCTGTTTTGGTTACTATAGCCTTGCAGTGTAGTTTGAAGTCAGGTAGCATGATGCCTCCAGCTTTGTTCTTTTGGCTCAGGATTGACTTGGCAATGCGGGCTCTTTTTTGGTTCCATATGAACTTTAAAGTAGTTTTTTTCCAATTCTGTGAAGAAAGTCATTGGTAACTTGATAGGGATGGCATTGAATCTAAAAATTACCTTGGGCAGTATGGCCATTTTCACGATATTGATTCTTCCTACCCATGAGCATGGAATGTTCTTCCACTTGTTTGTGCCCTCTTTTATTTCATTGAGCAGTGGTTTGTAGTTCTCCTTGAAGAGGTCCTTCACATCCCTTGTAAGTTGGATTCCTAGGTATTTTATTCTCTTTGAAGCAATTGTGAATAGGAGTTCACTCATGATTTGGTTCTCTGTCTGTTATTGGTGTATAAGAATGCTTGTGATTTTTGCACATTTATTTTGTATCCTGAGACTTTGCTGAAGTTGCTTATCAGTTAAAGGAGATTTTGGGCTGAGACAATGGGGTTTTCTAAACATACAATCATATCATCTGCAAAGAAGGACAATTTGACTTCCTCTTTTCCTAATTGAATACTGTTTATTTCTTTCTCCTGACTGATTGCCCTGGCCAGAACTTCCAACACTATGTTGAATAGGAGTGGTGAGAGAGGGCATCCCTGTCTTATGCCAGTTTTCAAAGGGAATGCTTCCAGTTTTTGCCCATTCAGTATGATATTGGCTATGGGTTTGTCATAAATAGCTCTTATTATTTTGAGATACTTTCCATCAATACCTAATTTAATGAGAGTTTTTAGCATGAAGGGCTGTTGAATTTTGTCAAAGGCCTTTTCTGCATCTATTGAGATAATCATGTGGTTTTTGTCTTTGGTTCTATTTATATGCTGGATTACCTTTCTTGATTTGTGTATGTTGAACCAGCCTTGCATCCCAGGGATGAAGTCCACTTGATCATGGTGGATAAGCTTTTTGATGTGCTGCTAGATTCGGTTTGCCAGTATTTTATTGAGGATTTTTGCATCAATGTTCTTCAGGGATATTGGTCTAAAATTCTCTTTTTTGGTTGTGTCTCTGCCAGGCTTTGGTATCAGGATTATGCTGGCCTTATAAAATGAGTTAAGGAGGATTCCCTCTTTTTCTATTGATTGGAATAGTTTCAGAAGGAATGGTACCAGCTCCTCCTTGTACTTCTGGTAGAATTCAGCTGTGAATCCGTCTGGTCCTGGACTTTTTTTGGTTGTTAAGGTATTCATTATTGCCTCAATTTCAGAGCCTGTTATTGGTCTATTCAGAGATTCAACTTCTTCCTGGTTTAGCCTTGGGAGGGTGTATGTGTCCAGGAATTTAACCATTTCTTCTAGATTTTCTAGTTTATTTGCATAGAGGTGTTTACAGTATTATCTGATGGTAGTTTGTATTTCTGTGTGATCGGTGGTGATATCCCCTTTATCATTTTGTATTGTATCTATTTGATTCTTCTCACTTTTCTTCTTTATTAGTCTTGCTAGCAGTCTATCAATTTTGTTGATCTTTTCAAAAAACCAGCTCCTGGATTCATTAATTTTTTGAAGGGTTTTTTGTGTCTCTATTTCCTTCAGCTCTGCTTTGATCTTAGTTATTTCTTGCCTTCTGCTAGCTTTTGAAGGTGTTTGCTCTTGCTTCTCTAGTTCTTTTAATTGTGATGTTAGGGTGTCAAATTTAGATCTTTCCTGCTTTCCCTTGGGGGCATTTACTGCTATAAATTTTCCTCTACACACTGCTTTGAATGTGTCCCAGAGATTCTGGTATATTGTGTCTTTGTTCTCATTGGTTTCAGAGAACATCTTTATTTCTGCCTTCATTTCGTTATGTACTCAGTAGTCATTCAGGAGCAGGTTGCTCAGTTTCCATGTAGTTGAGCGGTTTTGAGTGAGTTTCTTGATTCTGAGCTCTAGTTTGAATGCACTGTGGTCTGAGAGATAGTTTGTTATAATTTCTGTTATTTTACATTTGCTGAGGAGTGTTTTACTTCTAACTGTGTGGTCAATTTTGGAATAAGTGCGATGTGGTGCTCAATAGAATGTATATTCTTTTGATTTGGGGTGGAGAGTTCTGTAGATGTCTACTAGGTCCGCTTGGTGCAGAGCTGAGTCAAGTCCTGGAAATCCTTGTTAACTTTCTGTCTCGTTGATCTGTCTAATGTGGACAGCAGGGTGTTAAAGTCTCTCATTATTATTGTGTGAGAGTCTAAGTCTCTTTGTAGGTTTCTAAGGACTTGCTTTATTAATCTGGGTGCTCCTGTATTGGGTGCATATATATTTAGGATAGTTAGCTCTTCTTGATGAATTGATCCCTTTACCATTATGTAATAGCCTTCTTTGTCTCCTTTGATCTTTGTTGGTTTAAAGTCTGTTTTATCAGAGACTAGGATTGCAACCCCTGCCTTTTCTTGTTATCCATTTGCTTGGTAGATCTTCCTCTATCCCTTTATTTTGAGCCTATGTGTGAGTCAAGTCTTAAAATTTAAATTTTCCTGTAAGAAGAGACAAAGATACTGAACTGAAAATAACTTTCTATTTGAAATCTCTGAAATGAAACCTTATAGCACGGAAAATGAAATGAAGACTTATAACAATAGATTTACACAAAAAGTATCTTTATTTGTTCAAAGTTGCATATGACTCCAGGGAGATCTTTCAGTTTCTGGATTCTAAAATTCAGATAAATAATATTGATTAGTAAAAAAATAAATTTTGATTAATTTGTATTTAGTAACTAATCCGGTAGGTTTCAAAGCAATAATATTTTTGATATTTCTTTAATCTCAAAACAGGACAATTTTGCAGTTACTAGAAATTATTTCCAAAATGTATACAATCTAGTTGTTTAAATATGATTGTATGTCAATGTATCCAAATAACACTTCTATTAGCTATTTAAAAGTGATAGCTCTGTGTTATTTATTAGGTAATAGTTATCAGTCAATTACATTAAATAGTAAACAAAATTGAGTGAGTTTGAAACTAATAAGAGAAAATGTGATTTGTACTATAGTGATATAGTTGTGTGAACTCGCTGGCTGATTCTTTCTGGATTTTTGGAGATCAATCACTAACAGTAAATTTGCCATGTAGGATATAAGTTGATCAATCATATGTGTCTTATATGTGTCTTAAATCAGTTAATTAATTAATTAATTTTATTGAGACAGTCTCACTCTGCTGCTCAGTCTGGAGTGCAGTGGCGTGATCTTGGCTCACTGCAACTTTCGCTTCCTGGGTTCAGGTGATTCTCCTGCCTCAGCCTCCTGCCTACCTCGGCCTCCCAAAGTGCTGGCATTACAGGCGTGAGACACCACGCCCAGTCTATATGTGACTTAAATCTTAATCAAACCAGAAATTGCTTGCCAGAGTTGCTAAGACCATATCACTTCTTAGAACTACAGCAGATAAAATGATGAGAGAACTCTCACTAAATTATCCTTGTGGGCTCCTTCCAGTGTTTTTTACATTTCAAAATGAGTTTCAGTCTTGCCAGTTACAATATCACTGGTTATAGATTGAATATAGGTACCAACAGAAAGGACTAATCCAGGTAGGAGAATTAGATAAAATATGCCTCAGAAATGGAACTATGTGGTGGCTTTTAGGTGACAGAATTCATCAGAAAGTATATTAAATTGGAGGAAAGGAAAGCAGCAGAATGTATTAACTAGGTTTGTTGTGTATCAAACAATATTTAAATCCTATTTATTACTCATGTCTGTGTGTCATACAGAAATACAGATTAATTTTGAGCAACAACTGAATTCTTTTGAAGTAGTAGCAGTTAAAAAATCATCTAATCTTCATGAAGATCTTAAAGTGACTTAAAATATAATAAACACAAGAAGAATACTTTATATGTCAGATGGAATTTTTGTATTTGCTACCAATTTAATAATCAGTTTGTGTCCTAAGTCATATTGAGCCAAATAATGGGAAAAACGTGTTTTCAGTATTACATTTAGTATATTTTTAACTTAGTTATTTAAATATTGTAACAGAGAAATATAATTCAAAACTTTGCCCATGCCTTAATCATTTTAGATCCTTTATTTTTCTTTGAGGTCAGCCAAGTTCTTCAATAGTATAGGATTGTGAAGGTGGTTATTAATATCATTAGGTGGAGTTTGATAATTCTAAAATGTGGAAAACGTATTGCAGTTTCTGGATGGCCTTTTCAGGCAAGGATCTAAAAGTCTATCTAATAAATTTTGGGGGCATTTATTTCATATACGAACTCAATCCATTGATGAGTAATAAGTACTAACATTTGAGTGTGTAAATGTAACATGTTTCAAATAAGCACTTGAAGTGCACTTTTATAATCTCACAGTGATCACAAAAGGAGTAGAGTTTTTTCAATGTCTACTTTGCAGAGAGAGATAGGTTGAGGGAGGTAAAGTTACATTCCAAGTTTACTCATGTAGTAAATAAGGAGTCAGGATGTGAGACTAGCTCCAGCCATAACATCAGCAGCCCACTTAACAATAAAGAAAAAGGTAATGCAAGTATTTATTTTCTCCAATAAAAAGGACTCTAAGTTTCTCTTTGCAATTTAATTCCCCCCCACCTTTTCTTTTTTTTTTTTAACCAAGATTCAGTTATATGGCCACAGAAGCCTAAAGGAGATGACTTAGATACATTGTTTAATTGATTTCAGTTACTGAGGAAGACAGAGAAAGTGGGTATTAGAAGGCTCTGTACCCAAACGGGAGTCGGTGTTCCTTTTTTCTACTTTGTCTTACCTCATAAGATTAAAGTCTTTTAGCATATTAACACATCACTATCATGCAAAGTATGGGAGACAATCAATATCAACAAAATATATTTATATGTCCCTTATAGATGCTCCACTCTGAGTAATATTAGCAACCGCTAAAGGAAAAAATATGAGAAAATACAGAATATCCTGGTGTGAAAAAAGTGAGGAACAAAGTGCATGCGGGGCAATGTAGGATGAGAGGACTTGGAGTAACCATGAGGGGTTGTCAAACTCCAGTGGACAGATAACATTAGGTGAATGGAAAGTAAAAGTTCTCTCTACTCTTTGAACTCCCAAGTTACCATGAATAAGACCAAATTCTTCCTGTGAATACTGAATCCATGTACTTTCTCAGCTATTGCAAAGTAATTAATTTCAGAGTTACAAATAAATGAAAGGATCGATTAATGGTTGAACAGCTTATTGAGTTATATTCATCTGTAGCCTCACAGTACTACAAGAACCTGTTGCTTCATTCACCTAACAGAGTTTAAAATAATTCAGATTCTTTGAGGATCACTTAGACAAAAACCTTTTGACTATTTCCACTTTTTCAAATGGTTGTTACTTTGTAATGTTTTTTTGGTAAGAGATATGGGATGTTCATTATTTCTCCTTTAAGTATTTGGTTGAAGGGCTCTTCAGAGATCTCTAGCTCACACTCTCAGATAAGCCAAAAATTACATAATCTACTAGCACTTTGGTAATACACAATCTCAAACAATGTCCATGTCATTTTTTGTCCTATTCCAAAACTTTGTTTTCACTGGCCGTGTCTAAACTTCCTTAACATTTCTGTATGACTTTGAAATCTACTAAAATTCATATCAGAGAGTTTTCTTACTTGTGATCAAAGGTCTAGTTGACACTAAAATCATTCTGGGTGTCTGTAAGCTAAAGGAATCAAGGTGCTTGTTTTGGTCAGGCAAGCCAGGACTGCAACTAGTTCCAAAATTTATCCATGCCTTCATAGAAATTAGAGCTTATGTGCTATATCATGATTTTTGTGGGCCTCTAACCTTCAGGGTATTCAACAAGTAGTTGACGATGCTCTGAACTATGTGAAGGCTCTGGGTTCAATATTGATGGAAATATACTTTTAAAGAGCTTTTACTAAGAAGGTTCCCCATATTTATAGGGGCAAGTGTAGCCAATGAGACTTCCTGAATAGCCATAAATGTATGAAATTTGCAACCACAAGGCCGGGTGCGGTGGCTGACGCCTGTAATCCCAGCACTTTGGGAGGCCAAGGCAGGAGGATCACGAGGTCAGGAGTTCGAGACCATCCTGGCTAACACGGTGAAACCCCGTCTCTACTAAGAATACAAAAAAATTAGCTTGCGTGGTGGCGGGCGCCTGTAGTCCCAGCTACTCTGGAGGCTGAGGCAGGAGAATGGCGTGGATCCGGGAGGCGGAGCTTGCATTAAGCCGAGATCGCGCCGCTGCACTCCAGCCTGGGCGACAGAGCCAGACTCCGTCAAAAAAATAAATAAATAAAAATAAATAAAAAAAAAATTGCAACCGTATCATGTTGGTGTAAAAATGGAGACAAGGAAAGAGGATATGGGAGATGGGGGAGAGAGAGAGAGGGTGATCCTCAAATTCACAAACCAAATGGTTAAAAAAATTGATGAAAATGCCTATGAATGGTTGATCTATCACTCAGTTCTTTAAAAAGAACATATATAAGTAGATTCCAAACTATGTTCCATAGAATACTATTATCTTTAAATGTCAAAAATGTTTTTATACATTTATAATATAAGTCCCTTGGGGGATATTAAAATGCCCATAAGAATGTTAAAATTTCTGAAATGCTTTGCAGGAAATAGTTAGATTGACATTCAGTATTAGTTAGATTAAAATTTAGTATTTCTCCAATTTATGTATCCAAAAACAGATCCAGATCCACTATTTTTTTCCCTGTTTTTTGGATGAGCAGTTACTAGCATTTTGGTAACAGTGTACTGTAGAGCACTGTGTGGGAAAAGCTGAGTTCATTAAACCAGACTGTCATCAATATGACAAGTAACAAGTAGGAGAAAATCACATAACCAACTGCCATTTTATCATAATAATTTTTAAATGTTCAGACTCGTTAATATTGATATAAATTATCAAAGTAAAATTCAGCTTTCATAGAAGGTAGATTCTAGGATCAAAATATAATGATTTCCTGGGCCAGTCCATAACCTTTGCTTATGAAATAATTTAATAGCATAAAAATGTTTTCATTTTCACTATGTACTTGTCAATTCTGTGAGTACAAATATAATGCTGTCACTAACTCTCATACTACATAGTCCTGTTTGGAATTTGACCCCTATTTTTCTCATTGTCCTCTGCACATATTATTTTCCTTGCCATTTTATGTTTCATGTTGCTTTAACTTGTGTCATTTTAACTTTTGTCATGTTTTCATGGGAATAAATCATCCTTTTCTCTTTCTCCCTAAAATTATCACACATAACTGGTTTGAATTTCAGAAAGAATCCAAGCCAAGGAGGAAGCTGGTTTGGCTTCCTGCATTTATTTCCCATGAATATCTATTGTGATTTTTTTGCATATGCTCTCTTAAAAAATGTTCCTTGTATCTATTTATGCATTTGTTTCACCTTCCTCTCATTTCTATAATTTTCAAGTTTTGCTCTCTATTGTAGCATATGCCGTTTATTTTTTAAAGCCAGATTAATTTGTATTTATCTTGGAAATTGCAGTCTCATTTCTCATAAAACCAAGAGACCTATTTAACCTGTGATGACTATCACACTTCAAAGATAGCAGAATCTTTTAGAACTGAAGTTCCTTGAAACAAACTAAAAATACATATAAGCAAACAGAAAAAATAAGTTTAAAAACAACTTCAGTAAAAATCCAGCTAATGATCTGACCTCCCAATGAGTCCCTAAATGCTTAAAAATGTTATAGTCTTGACAGAAATATAGAGGTTAATTATTCTTTATTCATTTTTAAAATAACTGACATGTACAGTTATGCACAAGTAACAGTGGAGGTAGTTATGATGAGGAGCTATTTTCACTAATTAACCAGATATATGATATAAACAGGTATTAGCTAAATCGCTTTTGATCGCAAGTAATAAAAGTCCCAGTGATTTTAGTACTAGAGGTTAAAAATGTAACTCAGAAGTCAGAGGTAGGGTAGGTTTACTAGTTGTAATAGGGTTCAGAGTCATCAGGTTTTTGCTATGTCGTTCTGCAGTTCTCTCAGGCTGCCTTCTCTCATGGCACTGCTCACAGCCTTCCAGGCGTGGTTGTCCCAGGGAAGATAGTCGAGGAGAGGATGTGTGTGTGTGTGTGTGTGTGTGTGTGTGTGTGTGTGTGTGTGTGTGTGTTGGGGGCAGGGGACCGTGTGCTGTAGTTATTCATTACCCATGAGGTAATGAATATGTTAATTTCTTAATTATTTTAATCACTTCACAATGTATAAATATATCAAACATCACATTGTACATCTAATATCTAGAAATATGATTTATATTTATCAATTATACTTCAATAAATCTGAAAAATAGCATTGGTGAATAAATAGATATTATTAAATGTAAAAAATAAAACTATTAAAACTACAACAACTTTTAAAAATCTCCTAGGTTTGCCAAGACTTCTGGAGTTAAAGCTGCCTTCTTACAACAGCAAGTGGATGACATGATCCTTACAGGGTCCCCTGTTGGATTCAGAAAGCTTGTGAAACCACATAAAAAGAGTCATACTTGGTATCCTTTCCTCTTTCATTGACCCATTCATTTATTCATACGGGAAATATTTATTAGGATTTTGTTATGTACCTTACAAGACATATGAAGATAAATTAAGCAATGACTAGAAATAGAAAGTCTCAAGTGTACTCTTCTTAGTACAAAATTAGGTAGGACCCTTCTGAAGTGACTTCCATGTAAAATGGTGAAAATCATGGGAAAAGCATTCTGGGCAGAATAAAATGATCTGAGGCAAGGGTGATCACTGGTTGGATTGAATTTTAGCAGGAACAGTGTAGTCCTACTAAAACAAACTAAAGATACATGCAAGCAAAAAGGGATATTTCTTTTGCATTGTAAAAAAATAAAAATAAAGAAAACCCAAAAAACCCACTTGAAGTATTATGTTTAGTAGTCCACACACAAAGAAGCTGTCCCTGTTCTGCCTCTTCCCTTCTCTGGTAAAGGGGTACACTTCATCTGCTAGAGGGAGTAGGAAAATACCTTAGGACCTTGAATGTGTCAGAAGGAGTAGTTACTGGTTTCAAAGTATTCCACTAATCTAGTATAAAAGGTGCAATGAAATGGTACCTGAAGGAGAAAACTGCTAAAAGTAGAGTAAAAGGAAGAAACAATCCATTTACCCCTGATGAAATCAGAGAAATTTGGTGATTGGTGCTGCAGATACAATTAAGTATGGAGCTCCATTAGTGAGTGGAAGACAACAGTGAAAGACAATTTGGCTAAATGAAATCCCTGAGATTATCAACATCATTCTAGAAGAGTTTGACTATTTGGTGGGCAATAAGCAGCCACAATAAGTTTCTATGAATCAGGAATAGAAATCAGAATTACTCTATCCAGAATGAGAGTTGCTAGCGAGAAGGAGAGGAAACAGAACTACTTAAGAGACAGTTGTCAAAGTGAGTTCAAGTTCAACTGGGAACAACTCAAGAGGCAATATTGCATGCCTGTATCAAAACATCTCATGTACCTCACAAATATATACACTTACTATGTACCCACAAAAAATAAAAATTAAAAACAAAATATAAGATCTTCTTGTATTTATTTTGTCCACCACCACCTTCTGATGTACTTCAGGGAGATTTCTCCTTCTTCCAATGTGAATGTCCCTGAATGCATGTCCAGACTCAGAATGCAGGTCCTGATAACCGGGTGATACTTCTGCCTCACAGTCATCATCCTGACTTGCATCTTCACCACATCCAGCATCGTATCTCAGCCAATGACTGAAGGAGATGGCTATAAGTAGAGTTCAGGGAAGAAACAATCCACATACCCATACTGGAATCAGAAATATAACTACCTTCTCTATTACCTGTATATAACTGTACATATCAGTTATTTAAAAAATGAATAAAGAATGATTAACTTGTATTTTCTGTCAAGGCTATAATTTTTAAAGCATTTTTGGACTCACTGGGAGATCAAATTATTAGCTGGATTTTTACTGAAGTTGTTTTTATATGTATTTTTTCTGTTTGCTTACATGTATTTTTAGTTTGTTTCAAGTATAGCCACATAGTGAAGGACAGGAAGAGGGATAAGGAATGAGGCCAGGGAAGGAGCCAGAGTCAAATCAAAATTTAGTGGGAAATTTTTGTAGGTTTTTGAGCAGAGTATGATATGATTTGATTTGTATTTTTAAAATCTTGCTGTTACTGATTTGGGGAAATTGAGTATAGAGGGTCAAGACTGGAAATTGGGAAGACATTTAGGATACATGTGCAGTGGTACAGGCTAGATATAGTGGTTTAAATTAGCATGCAATTAATTAAATATTTGTGAATTGATAGAAATAGAAATACTGATGAAAGTATGATATATTTAATATACTTTGAGAATGTCATATAGTTAATACACTACAATGGAGATATTACCCTGAATAGCACCGTGATATTTCATTTATTTTTTTAAAGCAGGCTAAAGAACAGACAAATCAAAGACTGTTTTTCCATCCCAGTGTTTAACACTAAAAGTTCCTTCTTGTAAGGCATTCAATAAATATTGATTTCCAAACTGTGATATTACAGAAACATTCATGCTATGTAATCCAACGGACACAAATCCAGATCTTTGTCTCACTTAGAAGCCTCATAACTTTGGACAAATTTCATAACTTCTGTGATTCAATTCCTTCATGTATGGAGTCAGGATGGTAATAAGTAACTCAATAGACTTTTTCAAGCATTAAGTGAGATTGTGAATGTGAATCATTGAGCACACTCCCTAGCATGCATTAGCAACTCAACAGGTATAAATTTATTCTCTCCTATATTCTGAATAATTATTTTCAGGCTTTAGATATCATGAGAAGTTTCACTGTGCATGCACTACTTTGATGTACAATTCTTTTTAAGGGTGAAGATGGTCTTAATGACATACCCAGTGGTCCAACAATTTTCCAGCAACTGCCAGAGGCTCTTAGAATAAGATGTGACTATGCCGTGGAGATGAAGAAAAAAATCTTTATGAGCTGGGAATTTATCCATTCTAGGCATAGATAATTTTCCTTTGGCAGAAGGCCTGACTGTTTACTGGCTTTGCTTTCTATTCTCTGAAAGGGAGAAAAATAATTTTCCCATGAAATTTCTAAGTTCCCAGAGCTATCAAGCAAAATGATTTTTAGTAGACAAACTATTATAATTTTACTGAAATTATTAGAATTTAACTGAGCATCCTGTGATCTTCAGCTATCACTGAACAAAATCGCTAATCTCCATGACTCTCTAAGTTGAACATTTTATTCAGATTCATGTATGATACTATATATGTTCATTTGAAAAAAAATATTGACTGCTCTTTCATTTATGATGGCAGAATGAACCAAATTTACCTCTGGCAAGTTACCTTAATGCCTGTTAATTATGATTCTTGTATCTGTGGACTGCACTATGGTTAAAATACAAAGACAAGCCACCTCCTCTGCCCCCAAATTATTAAGCACACAGAAATATAGGTATAGCTACATTTTGATACTGATAATACCTATACACTAATGGAAGTTCATATGAACATGAGAGTGAATTGTGTTTTACTCTAATAACTTTAGCACTTTACTGTCAAGTACCTACATCACTGATACTTTTCTGGTGAAAGTCAACCTCAAGTCTCTGGTATCTAGACTCTTCCCATATTCCCCTTTGCTCTTGCCTCTTTTAAAAAAATTTATTTTATTTTTGTTAATTTTAATTTTTAATTTTTGTGGGAACATAATAGGTGTATATATTTGTGGGGTATATGAGATGTTTTGAAACAGGCATGCAACATTGCTTCTTGAGTTGCTCTCAGTTGAACTCGAATTCACTTTGAGAGCTGTCTCTTTAGTAGTTCTGTTTCCTCCCCCTCTAGCATCTCTCATTGTGGATAGTGTATCTTTCATTTCTATCCCTGATTCATAGAAACTTTATGTGGCTGCTTATTGCCCACCAAATAGTCAAACTCTTCTAGAATGATGTTGAGAAATTTGGGTATTTGGCTTTAGCCAAATTGTTGTCTTCCACTCACTAATGGAGCTCTGTACTTAATTTTATCTGCAGCTTCAATCACCAGATTTATCTGATTCCAACAGGGGTAAGTGGATTGTTTCTTCTCGGAACTCTACTTTTAGCAGTCGC
Source organism: Homo sapiens (assembly GCF_000001405.40). Taxonomy (NCBI): domain Eukaryota; kingdom Metazoa; phylum Chordata; class Mammalia; order Primates; family Hominidae; genus Homo; species Homo sapiens. The sequence goes on along the minus strand of NC_000011.10, from coordinate 26,161,389 downwards.
CTCCTTCAGGTCCCATTTCATTGCACTTTCTAAAGTAGATTAATGGGATACTTTGAGACTGGTATCTAATACTTCTGTTCAAGGTTCTTAGGTTGTTTTCCCACTTCCTCTACCAGGTAAAGTTTACCCCTTTGCTAGAGGAGGGGAGAGGCAGAACAGCTACAGCTCCTTTGTGTATGGGACTACTAAACAAAATACTTTAATTAGGTCTTTTTGCCATGAAAAAGTCAATCACCATCCTGTTTTGGAATGGGGTCGTGTCATTAAGGATCAAGTTGCTTCGTCTAATAATGACAGAATTTTCGTCTACTATTGGCTGACATACCATGCTGGGGGTGATAAAGATGCAGGTGCTAGTCAGGATGGTGACTGTGAGGCTGAGGTATCTCCAGGTTATCAGGGCCTGCATTCTGAGTCTGGACATGCATTCAGGGAAATTCACATTGGGAGAAGGAAAAATTTTCCTAAAATACATCAAGAGTTGGTGGTGGACAAAACAGATCAGGAGAGATCCCTCACTTCTAGAGGAATGTGTCATATAGATTCTAGTAGCAGTGATTCTGACATCTAATCTTACATCTATTTTCTTCTTCATTTTCACATATTAATCTATGCATTTAACATCTAATTTTTATGGACCTTCTATGTTCCAGGCACCCATCTAGGTGCTATGCTTACAGTGAGAGGCAGATTTATGGGAATCGAATAGAATTAAAGCATCAGGGTCTTTCCATCACATGGGGACTCTTCCAAGGAGGCTTTATTAATGTCTTTCTATAAATTTTTCCACATAAGGTGGTTTAACCAAAATCAGTTAAAACTTTTTTGTCTTTTTATTTCTACTCCCCGTCATCATATTTCTCATCCAGTCAGTGGCTTTGGAGTAGCAAAATAAACTCCTGGGATAGCATTAAAGGTAATTTGGGTTTACAATGTACACTTATTTTGAGATGAATGAAATATTTTTGTATTTAGTAGTAATTTCCATGTGGAGTTCAGTTATAGTTATTACTAATTATCTGAGGATAGAATGGTGTCCAGCAGTGCTCTGATCCCTGATGCTAGATGATAATGAGCTTCCACTTAGGTGATGCAGCTACTGACACCTCTAAGCAACCATCATTCAGGGCAAGAGAAAGATTTGGATCAAAGTGAGAGAATGCAGGAAATACTGGTTGACAAGGACACAGTGATAGAGCAAAAGTGGAAATCAGGAGGAAGATTGCACTGAGAAAGTGTCTGTGATTGGGGATGGTTAAAATAGAAACACCTTAATGAATCAATTTGGGTACCCATAACTGCTGAGAAATAATTGGTTACAGCTGACATGTAATTTCACTTGCTGCAGGTTAAAGTAGTGTCATATTATCACACAAACACCATTTATTGTGGTAACATCAACTTTCCTTTGACATCAAGTTTTGGCAGGTTGTTCTCACCTGGTATATACCTGGTAGATACTTTAGATTTTAAGGTATATTTTGCAGCCCTTTTATACCCTTTGGTATGACAAGTATTGCTAACTTTAGTCACTGTTCTATTTTTGTACATTTAAATTAGCATGATTTCTCTGATACTTTTATATTTCATAGCCATAGACTTGATTACGAATATCCAAAAGCAGCTCTTGACTAGACAGGGACACCATTTTAATGTGACCTCTTTTTCTTTTAGTTTATACTCAGCACTGAACATAAGCATGGGCTTATAGTACATTTACCACCCCCCCCCAATTCATATTCAGATAAGGTAAATAGAAAATAACAAAGAGATGAGCATCCTGTAAACTATTTGTTATAGGACTTAACCTAGGCATCTGTGCCCTGCAATTAGAAAGCAACCTTCTCTATTTTACGAGCAGATTTGTAGGAAATATTATAGTACCAGAAACTAAGACCGATTGTTCCAGATCATTCCATCCCTTTCGCTATGTGATTTAAAGGAGATATTTCTTCTTACCACAAACTGCTAAAAAGCAATCCAATTCCATCCTGTCCCTGTTCAGTCAAATAAAGTTGAGGATGACAAATTCAAAGCTTATAGGGTAAGGGCCTCTACAGTCTTTTTTGCCCAGTACTCTGCAACTTTATAAAAGGCAATAAAATTTACTTGACTTTCTTTTTCCTTATTTGTTTTTTTTTTGTATTCTCTTGGTTGGATAGCTTTTAAATTCACCCATAAATATTTATAGCTAAACTCTCCTCCATAATATCTCTTTCCTATACATCATAGCCAATTTAGACTTCATGAATATTTTGCTGTGAAAAAAATTCCAGTTGATGTTCAGCATTCTCTTCAGTGATAATCTCAGGCCTTTAAACAATGGCTGAGTATGCCACTTTCCAGAAGATTCTTCAGAAATCTATGTACGGATATTCTCAAACTCATGATACAGGATATCTATATCATTTAATATCCAAAAACAATCAAGCAAACAAAAGCCTCACAGTGTTCTTAGATACATGGGAAATTCCAGGCATGAAAATTCACATGAGCACAAATTCATGGTTGTATCATGGATGATTTATTGTTAATATGTATTGCATTATAAGAAGCCAGAAACCTACACCAAATTCAAGGCAATGTGTTGCTCAAAGAGGATTTAGTAGCAGAAAACAACAACTCCAAACCAACCAGTTTATAAGCATTCCTCACCGGATCCCTAGGACCAAATTTGCATCTCCATGATAGTCTTTTAAATTTAATGCTGTAAAAGTCTTCTGGAAGCTGACAGGTGTTTTATTTTATTTTATTTTATTTTTCTCAGACCCTGCAAGTCTTCGTTCTTGATCTATTTCTTCCACAATTGTGTAAGGTCTAATTTGCCTTACTTCATAATATTCTTTCTTAGGGGTTCTGCTTCTCTAATTTGGCTGTAACAGACGTTCTCACAGATTCCCTCTGGATGGCCAGTAAATTATTAACCTCTCTTTTGACCACAACTAATGAACCAGGAAAGAAAAACTGATCAAATAAGAAGCTCATCTTTAGACAAGCCTGTTGAGAGGAGATTATGTGAGTCAACTAGATCTTTTTGCATTTTAGGATTAGAACACAGGGATTGTGTAGATTAGTCAGTAGATTTCAAACAAATAACTTTATATAGAAACGGGGCAGGGATTCTCATTGTGAAACATTTTGAAGGATCATATGAAAAATATGTAGAGAGGAAAATAAAAAGAGAGATAAAATAATTTCTGAAAATATAACATCTTGCCACAAAATTGTGATTCTGTTGCAAAAAATAATTTTCTGTAAAACTGATACATCACTATGTATCATGCTCTGTGCTAGGAACTTAAAAAAGAGAGACTTTCATCACCTCTCAGTGTTTGGAAGACAAACCCAGAAACAGAGAATTATTAAACAATGTAATGACATTAGTGATACGCAGAGTAATATGGGGAAGATACTGCATTCCATCTTTTACAGAACTATGCTTTTCTTCAATTAGGAAAAGAAGGATTTCAGGAACACCTGCAGTAGTAAGTCTGAGACAGGAAAGGAAGTACATTCTTCTTCAATAACATTCATTTTGTTTATAACCTATAACAGCTTATATTATCACAGTCAATTATTACAACTCCCTTGCAAACATCCTCAACTGTCATTTCCTTACTTGCTTTGCTATACACTTCTGAAAAAGAAACACAATCCAAGTTAATCAAACTCTCCACTTGTGCCTGCAACTTTGCAGATGAACATAACTGAAGAAATAGTGCCGATCCCACTTTAAATGTACTACATCTATGCTCCAGTGGGCCCCTAATGTTGCCCAGGATCAGACTTTTCTATCTTTTCTCTGACCTAATCTTTTGTTTCTCCTCCAGTCTTTTCTCTCTCCTGTTCTCCTAGATAGAAATCTCAGATTTGTCTTTTCTTTTCAAATCTCCAAAACCCCACACTCCACATGGTCACCTTCACTCCCAAATTCCCTACCTCTCATCATGAATTTATTCTTCTCCATAATAATTATGTTGAAAATACACTATTTGACCCACTCTATAGTTTGCCTATTTGTTTTATTAGTCTCACAAAGAATAGGTCTGATGAGCACCCCACAGGGGTGACAGAGAGAGCTGAGCAGCTCCAGTTTTATTTGCTTTATTCCGGGTTTTCCTAACAACATTTTATTTGAAGGGAAAATAAATCAATAAATAAAAAAAAATAAAAACCACTCATTTAATGGATGATAGATTAAAAAAATAAAGACATTCATTTCTCATGATTTTGTGGTATAATTTTAATTTGGAAGCACTAAAAAATGCAAAGAAAAGTTGGAAGAACAGGAAAAACGGCTTATTTTTTCATGAACCATTTGTTAGTAATTTGAGAACATGATGCCCCATCATCCCCAAACACTTTATAGCATTTTAGATTTCTTCTTACATAACAACAAAATATTAGAATCAGGAAGTTAATATTGAGTCATTAGCAATCTAACACTCAGACCCCAGCAAATGTGGAATGGTCCAAAACATGTCTTTTACAACTCAAAAATACACTTCAGAATCATGATTGTACTTAGTTGTCCTGTCTCTTTAGTCATTTTCAAGATGGAACAGTTCCATAGTCTGTCCATAACTTTCATGACTCTGATACTTTTGACGTGTATAGGCCAATTATTTTATAGAATGTTATTCAGTTGGCTTCATCTGATGTTTCCTCATGAGTAGATGCAGGTAATGTATCTTTGGCTAGATACTACAACAATTATACTGCGTTTTTCTCATTGTAGCCCATCAGGGGCACAAGATTTCAATTGTCCCATTGCAAATAATGTTTGGTAACTTGAGATAAATAATAACTACCAGTGATTGCTTCAAAAAAGTAAAATATTTTGCCCTTTGTAGTTATTAAATATTTGGCAGAGAGGCATTCTGAAGATACATAAATATTATGTTTCTCATCAAACAAATACATTTACTTATGTATCTGTTTTTATTAACCTAAAGTGATCAGTTTCCCATCTTTTTCAATAGATAATTATCCATTACTATCATGTTTTTGTGCTCAAATTGTCCCAGAGAAAGCTGGTTTCTGTGTCCTCCAGATATTATTCCTTGAACATTTCCTCGCTTGTCAAAAGCAGTGTCAGGCTTACATTCAAGATTGGTTGCCCTATCTTTGAATTCAGTCATTTATCTAAGAATCCCCATTTCTTGAAGAAGAGAATAGCATACAGAAGCTAAAATCTAGGAGGCAGGCATATATGATAACATGAGTTTCCATTAGTACTTTCAAATTCAGTCAAACACCATTATCCTTTTAACATTTTCGGTCCCATGCTTGCAACTCTATTCCCTGATACTAACTTCCATCACCCTTAACATATGTAATTAATGAAAATCCTCGTTACAACACTCATTCTCCTATGTATGTGTCCTCTTCATCTTACTTTAGCGCTGGCAGTCTGTGTAGCCTCAAATGCTACCCATGATGTAGTTCCTTCTTATTTTTCCCATGCTGCCTAACTCTGTGCCAAAAAAGCCTTCATAGCAGAGATGCCCCTTCCACCCAGTCGAGGCTCTGGCACCCTGCGAAGGGCTGCCTGCCACATTGCCATGTGGACACAGCTTTGACTCACTCAAAACTCAATATCTCATACTGGACCTCCCTGCTTAGTTTACTGGACTTCTGTACCTTACTAACATTTCCCTCCTATGTGAAAACCTTCCCCATTACCCCAGGCTCTCACACACTGTTTTGATCACTGCGGCTCTTTTCCACTTAGTGCAGACTACTGCTTCGCTTGGATTTAGGACTGGATGGCTCAGGAAGGGAAAGGAAGAGATAGAAATGGTAGAAGAGTGATGGAAAGGAGTAGGGTAAGAAGGAGAGAAAGGGCAATTCTTACGATTTCAATACACATATATATTTGTTTATTCCATAGGCCCTCCTCTCAAATTTTTATCCTCCTTTGGTCTGTCTTCCTTAAATGACTGTTGTATAAAATTGAAGGACAATTAATGAGGATACCTCTTGAGCAGAATTGGCAGTAATAATGTTTATTATAAACCTGAATGACTGAAATATTTCATGATTTTACACTGTAAAGAAAATAATTCCCACTCAATAGCAGAGTTGGATGACTATAGTTAAGCACAATGTTTTATGTATTTCTGAATAGATAGAAGAGGATACTTGAAATGTTCTCAACACACAGAAATGATAAGTACTGGAGGTGATAGGCACCCCAAATAACCTGACTTGATCATTACACATTCTATGTATGAAACACAACATTACATGCAACCAATTGATATGTAGGAATATTATGTATCAGTAAAAATATGCAGCAGATCTCACAAGAGTTAGCATAAAAAAGAATGCAAAATATATCCATAAGTTTATACTGCTTACATGCCCAAATAATAATTTGTAGATTGGCACTTCTTGATCCCTTATTTTTCCTGGGTGCCAGTCTTCTGTTAGAGGGCTGGGAAATACTGTATATTGAGTGATATGGTTTGGCTATTTGTCCCCACTAAATTTCATGTTTATATTTGATCCCGAGTGTTGGAGGTAGGGCCTGGTGAGAGGTGCTTGGCTGTGAGGGCCATCCCTCATGAGTGGCTTGGTGCCCTCCTCATGGTAATGAGTAAGTTCTCAATCTATTAGTTCACACAAGATCTGGTTGTTTAAAAGAGACTGGTACTTCCTCCCTTCTCTCTTGCTTCCTCTTTCATCATGTGACATGCTTGCTCCCCTTTTGCCTTCTGCCATGACCCTTACCCATGACCCTTACCAGAAGCAGAGAAGAAGCAAGCGTCATGCTTCTTATACAGCCTGACGAATCAAGAGCCAAATAAACCTCTTTTCTTTATTAATAATGCAGTCTCAGGTATTCTTTTATGGCAATACAAAACAGACTAATCCACTGAGCAAAAATTCTTAAGCGATAGGTAGCAAAACAAATCTGATATTAGTATTTCTATTAACTCTAAGTTAAAATGTGAGGTAGGTGAACATATATGTTTCAAATTTTTCTGCCTACCAGCCCCATGTTGCTTCTTGTCTCTTCTATTTTTTCCCCATATCTTCTAGGCATTTTGGAAATCATATCTCTTCCACTAATGGATAAGGATGGTCCTGTTCGCAATGATAATCTGCTTCTTCACTTTACTCCGAGACACTACTTTCCAGTAAAAAGATAATGAAAGCCATGGATGCAATATAAAATGTTTCCAGTAGCCTCATTAAAAATATTTTAAAAATGGGCTAAGTTGAGTTTTAAAATACATCTTAATTCAATATATACAATTTATTATTTTCGCATGTAAGCAATATAAATTTATTGAGATATTTTGCATTCTTTTTCCACACTAACTCTTGTGAGATCTGCTGCATAATTTTATTGATACATAATATTCTGACATATTTATGGGTTACGTGTAATATTGTGTTACATACATAGAATGTGTAATGATTAAGTCAGGGTATTTGGGGTATCTATCACCTCCAGTATTTATCATTCCTATGTGCCGAGAACATTTCCAGTCCCCACTTCTAGCTGTTTTGAAATATACATTGTTCTTAACTATAGTCACCCAACTCTGCTATCAACAATAGAACCTATTTCTTCTATATAACTGTATGTTTATATCCCTTAATCAATCTCTCTCACATCCTCTCCCCCCAGGCTACCTCACAGATCTATATACGCTTCTTAGCCTTTGGTGTCTATCATTCTCCTCTCCAAAGGTGTCTTTACCTTCCCACATGTGAGTGAAAACATGCTGAATATTTTAACTTACAGAACATCTAATTTGGATGCTAAATTCCCATCTGAAATTTTGATTTATACTGAGATTACATAAAGTCATAAGTTGAAAAGGCAAATTCATAATTCCAAATTGGTTCAAATGCACTTAAAAGCTTCCCAGTGTATGAAGTAACTATTCATTGAAAGGATTAAAATTAAATTAATTAAATTTTAAAAAGTTTAAAATTCTCAGTCACACTAGCCAGATTTCAAGTGCTCTGTAGACACATGTAATTAGTGGCTACTATAATAAATAGTGCAGGCACAGTCACTTAGAATTAAGAAGAGTCTGAGTCACAGCACGCTGTTGGTGTGGATAAGAAAGAGTACTAACTTTAAAGTATGAAAATTTAAGAGGAAATAACAGAATAACTTGCATTACTTGCCTAATATAATTCTGAACAATGTTTCTCAAATTTTAGTGTGAAAAAGTTTTCTGGAGGAGTTACTTAATAGTACTTATTTCCTCTCTTTAGCACTGTTCCCTCAGAAATTCTGGTTTGGAAATTCTACAGTGGGGCTTAGAAAACTGCATTTTAGTTGATTCCTCCTCAGATCATTTTGGACTAAACTTTGGGAAATAGTGCCCTCCAGAATTTAACTGTATGATAATCAGTTTCCAGTCTTGTATCAAATCTTTATTGAGAAGCCAATGTTTTCTGGCATTGATTAGGCAATGCTAATTCAGTATCATTACCTGTGGTTCATTAATGGTACACACCTGCACTCAAAACTCAGGGTTTAAAATCTTGACAATATGTGAGGAAAAACTTTGAAGTTCTCAGATCACTGAAAACACAGCAAATGTTAAATTGTCTAAGACAGAAGTTATTTAAAAATCAAGTCTACTGCTAATTTGCTCTCGGGTTGTCAGTATTCAAGCAGTGGCTATGCTTCTATCCAAAGACATTTTCTTGGACTACATTTACAGAAAGTCCAAGAGAAGTCATGTTCTTAACAACAGTTGGAGGTTATTCCAATGTGAAAAAATAATTATTGATGTTTTGATTATATATAGTGGCATTTATTTTGTTTTATATTGCTTTATTTTCTTTCCACAATGTGTAAGCTTGCCTTATAGACACAAACTTGTCTCACTAGATCTAAAATAAAGTTTTCTGTTTTGCAAAACCTGCTTTTTCTTTCCTTCCTTCCTTCCTTTCTTTTCTTTTTCCTTCCTCCCTCCCCTCCCCCCCTTTCTTTCTTTTCTTTCTTTCTTTCTTTCTTTCTTTCTTTCTTTCTTTCTTTCTTTCTTTCTCTCTCTCTCTCTCTCTCTCTCTCTCTCTCTCTCTCTCTCTCTCTCTCTCTCTCTCTCTTTCTTTCTTTCTTTCTTTCTTTAGTCCTGCTCTGTGGCCCAGGCTGGAGTGCAGTGGTGTCATCTCGGCTCACTGCAGTGTCCACCTCCCAGGTTCCAGCAATTCTCTTGCCTCAGCCTCCCTAGTAGCTGGGACTACAGGCACACACCACCACACCAAGCTAATTTTGTATTTTTAGTAGAGGTGGGGTTTCACCATGTTGGCCAGGATGGTCTTGATCTCCTGACCTAGTGATCCACCCACCTTGATACCTGTTATTTCTTAATGATTTATCATTCAGTCTTCAATCATAATTATTCTTACAAAAAAAAAAAGAGAAAGACACTAAAGGAAAAAAAAGCTTTGTTGTTTAGACATTCCTATGTATGACTTCATTTAAAAATGTATGTGTGTCAAGGTTACTTGATTAAAATTTAATGAGGAAAATTAAATATCTGGAAAAATAAGTAAAAGATATAATTGGTGATCATGGGAATCTGAGTGGCATTCTTGGAGAAATTTTTCTGTGAATCTCTACAAGTACTAATGGGAAACTTAGTGTTTGAGAAACATCTGATAGCATCAACACAGTATCTCATTGCTATGACATTCTGTCATGCGCTTCCTAGATAACACACCCTTACCCCTCATCAAAATAAAGTGGCAGCATTCAGGATAAAGTGTGCCTTGCTTCAGAATGGTCCTTTCTGAAAAGAAGTTAAATATTATGTGACAGAAATCTCCATTGGCTGTAGCAAAATTGGACTAAAGGCTCCATAAAACTATATCTTGTACGAAACATTGATACAAGATATGTGCCACAGATCGGCTGAGAGTCTTAGAAAACTCCCTTAGCTCACCAGCTGGGTAGGAGAGATTGGCTTCGAATAGGACAGAATTACCAGCCCACATGGAGCTTCATGGCTGAAATCTATGCAGTTCTTTACTGAACATGTAACTGAAGGAAGCAGTGGCTTTATTTCTTCCATGTCAGGAAACTCACTCCTCCAGCCTGACACATCCATCTGACATATTTCAGTCCCCTTCATCCATTTATTTGCCAATCTTATGTAGGCAGTTACTGTGGTTTACCTCTTGTTTCATACCCTGAAACAAAAATAGGCATATCTGAGTTTTCATTGCCTTAAATCTACTTACAAGTTGATCTATTCCTGGAAAATCATCCTGCACAAATCGACACCCAGACTATGCTTCATTTAAAATCAGATAAGAGAAGTTATTCTTCAGGATGCTAATAATGGGGAAAGTAAAGAGTGGAATAAAGTCAACTTCTTGTTAATGTTTAGGAATATGGAAAATACATTTTCAAGTGTGACCAATAATTATATTTATTCTTGGAATTCACATAGCTGAAAAGTTTTATAGATATATTCCAACTGAATGTCATTTCTTTTGCCTCATTAGAGTATTGAAAGGGAAGAGATGGAAGTTGTTTCAGATGCTCTATGTCAACAATTGCATTAATTAACCCTATTTTGATAATGTATTTTAAACATATTTCATACTTGTTCAAAATTAATAATCAGACATTAGTAATTCTATCAAGTTCAGAATTCCTTCAGGTATTTCCATATGTAAATACAAGGATAAGCCAATCCTACTTGACTGTTTCTGTCAAGACACTGGTTCTCAGCCTCAGCAAATCCAGGGAAACTGTCTCCTTCCTTCGATGATTCACTCTAAACTGTCAGCATGTGCCATTTGTTAGACATCAGTAAGTTAAGCCTTCAGGACACAAATAAAAGCATCTAGGGCCAAATCTTTTAAGAAGTTCATAGTTGAGTGGATAAGTCAAGCAAGAGAACAAATAGTAATTGTCATTGTGATAGGGACAGGAGGCAGAGAAATTCTAGGCAGAAAAGGGCGAGTCCCTGGTGACAACCCCACCCTCAAGCCAAAAAGCCTGAAACCGCAGCCCAGAGTGAGAACTTACATTCCTATATTCCCGCTTGAATGTTGCCTTTTCCTAAACGACCCGTGGCCCTGCCCTGCCCCATCCTGTGCCTATAAAGACCCCAAACTCAGCTGGCAGAGAGGAGAAGCAGCTGGACATCAGAGACTATGGCTGGATGTCAGAACGAAGCGGCTTGACTTCAGAGTGACAGCTTGATGGCATAACTTCGGAGAAGAATCCAGCTGGAGATGGGTAGACTTCAGGGGAAGATTACTTACCCCCGTCCCCTTTTCAGCTCCCCTTCCTGCTGAGAGCCACTTTCATCATTGGCAATAAAATCCCCTGCATTTACCATCCTTCATTTCACTCATGTGACCTCATTTTCCCTGGGTGGCAGACGGGAACTCAGGAGCCACGAGTGAAGATACAAAATGCTGTCACACTGGCCCTTTGCCGCCACTGGCGTCTGGAGGGCAGTTTTCCCATGCGATGAGGCAAAGTGCCCACTAAGCTGTTAACACCTCAGCCACTCACGGTTGGCATAGCTAAAAGAGCACTGTAATGCGCCCTCTGGGGCTTCCGGAGTTGCAGGTACCTCTACTGGACGGTGCCGCAGGACCCACACAGAGTTCGCTCCTGCCGGCATCAAAGTGGCCATCCGGTTCCAGCGCTCGTGCACTCCAGTTCCCGCCTTGTCTGCTCGCACGCTCACTCCTGCAAGGAATTGAGAGCAGCGGCCTGAGTAAACGAGGCACTCCCCTGTTGTGAGTCCCGCGAAGGGGTCAGGGAAATACCCTGCTTCATCTGGGGCTTGTCCAAGATTCGGCAGAAGGTTGAGTAAATGAGGATCTGCCGGATCTGTCTCTTCACTTTTTTCCAAGACGTCTTGTCCTCAGACTTTCCTCTGAGCTATGCCATTTTCAGAGAACAAGATGCAACTCTGCCACATCTCTCTTTCTTTCGGGTGAAAGGAAAGTTGGGTCTGTTTCCCTTCATGGAAGTCTAGCCAACGCGTGGGACCAGAATAAGTCCCGGGGCAACTGAAGGCATCTAGCCAAGGCCATTCCTCAGTGTAGCTGGAAGGCTCCTGGACTGGACCTTGTTCCCGATCGCCCATTAAGGCATGGGCCAAGACCCCTAGACTTTTCTATGGTATCTTTCTTTTCTTCTTTCACAGTTTGAAATGGCTCCTATTTCTTCTTTTATAATGTTAAGGGTTTTGCCACAAACTGCAGAAACGTTAGTAGGTAGAATAAGCATTTGGCCCAGCAACCAGATATGCAATACAGAACAATGTGATTTCCATTTGTTCTTAGAGGTGCGACCCTGACCCCAACCCCAACAACTGCAGGTGCCCACTGTGCACAGTGGCTCCCCTTCTCGCCTCCTCCTCTCTTGGCTGAGGCTCTTGGGCACGTCCGCAGCTGTGCCCAACAGCCATGCAGGGCGGGAGAGAACCCTGGCTGCCTCCAAGGCCCCAGGCAGTCTCAGGGCCAGGGACCTCACACGACTAGTTGGCCAATGTTTTCTGCTCACTGTCCCCGTCCCGCAATGCTCCCATAGAGTCTTTCTTCCCCTGGCTGAGGGGTCTAGCTTGGTCCAGAGGAAAGATACAACAATTAAAGGAACCCATTTGCATAGAGCAAGTCCCTGCATTGCACTTAAGCTGTTTTTCTCTTTTTCCCTTTTCTGTGTGAGAGAGTTTTCTTTCCCACCTTAGCACTCTGCTTATGGTAGGTAAACAACAAAGGAGTGACCCCACTGGCTAATAACTGCAAATTTGGCAAGGCCCGTCTGGGACTTAATCTAAATTAATCCATGCACCCTCTGAGACACCTTTTTTTCCAAACTAATTGTAAACTTTGGTTGAAGCCCAGGAAGGGAAAATGAGACCCGAGGGATCCAAAGCCAGACACTGAGCAAAGTGTAAATGGGCAGGACTAATTCTTGCTGATTAAGCCCCCCCTTCATGGAAGGAAGTCATGCTCCATGGCATAGGTAAGGCCCTAAGGAACCCAAAGGTGGCCAGCAGTAGGGGGGATGGAGGCGTATGTGAATGCAGGTAACTCCTATTTTCTAGGCCCTCCCTGCTTCACAGGTGCAGGCCACAATAGCACCCATGGGTGGCATCCATCTAAGGTTGCTGGGACTCAGGAATAAAATGATGGAAGAGAAAAGGGAGATGCCTATTTTCTTTCTGCTTACACCCTGAGTTTTCACTGAAAGAGGGAAAGAAAATTAGGGATGCCTATTTCCCTCTGTCTCAGAATGGGCAACCAACGTTCCCTCCCACGAGGAATTGAGAGTGGTGGGCTGAGTACATGAGGCACGCCTGTCGTAAGTCCTGCAAAGGGGTCAGGGAAATATTCTGCTTCATCGTGCACTGAAAAAAAAATGTTTACAATAAGGTTTGGAAGATTTGGGACTGGTTCATAGAAATGTTTCAAATTAAGGGAGTAGAAGTTTTCCCCATAGTGCTAACTAAAAAGGCATTCCAGACAGAATAAATGGCAGTTACAAAATAGAGTTGACAGCTATAGTATGTTTTTAAAAATGCACATAGCTCAAACAGCAAGAGTGCAGAAATGCATTCAGGAGAATCAAGAGAAATGAGATGCAGCTGAAGGCCTAGGCTGTAGTACTGAGGGCCATAAGCATCATTCAAAGTGAACTAGATTTCATCCTATAGAAGATGATACATGGATGAAGGATTTTAAACAGGGAAATAATAGCTTGAAATTTCTAGTTCAACCAGATTATTTAAGATTTGTATAGAAACTATAGTTACTGCAATCACAAAGAAATAGGTTTTAGTTCCACAATCCCTAACTCACTTTCTTTTTCTGCTTTTCGTCGCTTGGTTCCAGTTCAGGGGCTGATAATAAAAATTCTTAACTAATTAAGAATAGAAAGAAACTCAATCTAAAAAGGGCATCCAAGGAAAACTTACAGGTAGCATTATAACTCATGGTGAAAGGCTGAGTGTTCTTGTTCCAAGATCTAGAACAAGGCAAGAAAGTCTCACCAACCCTATTCAACCTTTCACTGGACATCCTAGCTAATAAATTAATGCAAGAACCGTAAAGTTTACATAGGAAGTAATAAAAGTTTCTCTTTTCAGATGACATGGTCTTTCAAAAAGGAAGAAACAAAGTGTTTCTGTTTGCAGATAACATGTTTTTCCATGTAAAGAAAAATCCTAGGGAATAAAAAAATGGAAGCTTATAGAGCTAACAAGTACTTTTACTATGTTTAGTATGTCTATATGATAGTGAAGAAAAGTACTTAGACATACCAGGCCCATGAATTGAAAGATTCAACATTAATAAGATGTAAATTTTCTCCTAAGTTATTATAGACTCAACTTGACCTCAATCAAAATTCTGACAGGATTTTTAAAAATACATTGATAAACTATAAAATTTATTGGCAATTTTAATGTCCTATACTAGCTGAAACAGTTTGAAAAAGAAAGGCAAGTTATGCTATATAATTTATGTGCCTAGCATATAAAAAGTGAATTGTATATATTCATTAAATTAAGGAGTACACATCACATTTATTAAATTAAGGAGTACACATGTCTTACTATTATCAAACTTCACATTCACTTCTGATAGGAAAAATGAATCGTGAGAACAGCAAGTGATGATATAGAATGAAGTAGGAAATTAAGACAATTAATAGATTTTAAATTCTATTGAATTTGAGACAGACATATTATCAGGTGGTTGGTAGCTTTGCCATTTGTAGGTTAATATCAATTTTTTTTCATAATTTTGTCTTCAAAAATTTAAATCAATATTATACTCTTTCATAGCCAGTCCTATATGTTGTTGCTCTTCTGAAGTATTTAAAGGTGCAGAAGGTATAAAATTTTTTTTTTGAGACGGAATCTCCTCTGTTGCCCAGGCTGTAGTGTAGTGGCACGATCTTGGCTCATCGCAATCTCCGCCTCCCAGTTTCAAGTGATTCTCCTGCCTCAGCCTCCCAAGTAGCTGGCATTAAAGGTGCCCACCAGACCCAGGTAATTTTTTGTGTTTTTAGTAGAGATGGGTCTCACCATGCTGGCCAGGCTGGTCTCAAACTCCTGACCTCAGGTGGTTCACTCGCCTAGGCCTCCCAAGGTGCTGGGATTACAGGCGTAAGCCACCACGCCCAGCCAAAAGTATTAACTTTTGAGATATAATAGTCATTAAAAGTGTTAAAACAGTTAAAACTAAATCAGTCCATACTGAGATCTCTAAGCATGGCTAACCTGTGAAAGGTAAAGAATTAGGGAACCTGAGGAGACATTCATCACCTCATATAATCAAAGTTAAAACAAATGATCTCTTAATCCAGTCTATCATTGTTGGACGTTTGGGTTGGTTCCAAGTCTTTGCTATTGTGAATAGTGCTGCAACAAGCATACGTGTGCATGTGTCTTTATAGCAGCATGATTTATAATCCTTTGGGTATATACCCAGTAATGGGATGGCTGGGTCAAATGGTATTTCTAGTTCTAGATCCCTGAGGAATCGCCACACCACAATGGTTGAACTAGTTTACAGTCCCACCAACAGTGTACCCGGGGACTGTTGTGGAGTGGGGGAAGAGGGGACGGAGAGCATTAGGAGACATACCTAATGCTAATGATCAGTTAATGGGTGCAGCACACCCCAACATGGCACATGTATACATATGTAACAAACCTGCACGTTGTGTGCATGTACCCTAAAACTTAAAGTATAATAATAATAAAAAAAAGAAAAGAAAAGATCTCATAATTAGAAAACAAAGACAAAATCAAATATACAAAAAATTATTTTCTTAGGCCCAAATTCAAGTTGTTGAACTGATTAAGTGGAAATAAACAGATGTCCATATGAACTTTCTTTCCAGAAACATAATCTCTTCATTTTCATTGTGTTTAGCAAGCTTTTTACTATGCCTATCTGCTTCTAGTCTGATCATCTTAGCCTGGAGATTATTTCACATAATTTTGCTAATGACTTGGAAATTTTCCAAGTAGCTGACAAAATATGCTAATTATTGTTGATCTTAGCCTAGCAAAGGCACCTAATGAGGAGAAATTGTCATCTCTTCTACGAAAGATATTAACCAACAATGGGCTAAAAAGTAGGTACTCCTAAATTGCCATCATCACATGTTAAAATGAGATTTGCAAAAATTCTTTTCCACCTCTCATAAGCAGTAATGCCTTTCAGAATTATAGGCTTATTTCATATATAGAAACTAAAGCACAAGGAAAAATTTACTCTAACTTGGAGGGTTTGTTGATTCTGGATGGAAACCTGTCATTGGGGAAAACAGAGGCAATTTACATTACTGATGTCAACATTTTCAGTGAGTTATTATTTGAAACCTTTATTGTGTTTTGTTTTGCACTCATGTCCAGAACAGTAATACAAGCTGAAAAAGAAAGGGATAGGGCAAAACAAAAAGTCCCAGGAGATTTGCAAAGAGAATCTCAAACAAATGAGATGATCAAAGTGGAAATAACAAAACAGAACAAAACATTTTGTGAAATACCAGATGAGAAAGGATTACTGAGAGAAGACTGAAAACTATGAACGGTTGAACAGGTGAAGGCAATATGAGAGGCAGTCGACCCTGAGTGAGAGGTCCAGTAGATCCCTGAGTTGAAAGAAGAAATGCAAACACCCCCAGACTCCAAAACATATTAGGAGTAGGCATGTAGAGAGTGATGGTGGGAGGAGGTTCTGAACTATTTCATTTAGACCCTAATAACCACTTTATTCACCTGGAAGCGTTGATGTTTCTCGGCAACTCTCCCTATGGTTCAAATATTTGATTTTCTTCCTTTGAACTGTCTGTGATTAAGACAGCTAATCAAATACTCCAGGATAAAAATAGTGACTTCAGTAAACAAATATGTCTACAACCAGTAGTGGCCCATGTGATTTAATAGCAATTTCTTCTACATTCTGAAAGATAGGACAAGATTGTGAGCATATTTCACACTGAATCACCAGCTCTCTGAAGTTCCTGTGTTACTTATAGGTTTGATATGACTATTAAATTAACTAAAGTAACTAGTATTTGTTTATAATTTGTATTTTCAAATTATAAGCAAATAGTAATATTCATAGTTTTCTCAAATATTTGCTATAAATTTCACAACAGCTCTAGTTGTGAAATTATCCTAATTGTGCATGTAAGGAAATGGTGGCTCTGAGAGATGAAGTTGCTTTTTTGCAGTTATGCAGGTATGCAGTGTGAAAGCCAGGTTCAAACACAGCTGAATTTCCTTTATTTACTTTAGGACAACACTCATTTCCTTTCACCACCTCATCTCATGTTTTTTGCCCTTTGCTTGATGGTGTATAATCTGAACTTTACCCAAAACTGTTGCTCTAATTTTTCTTGGAGTATCATCAAAAAAGAATTATCTCTTGATACTAAGGAGAAATAATTTCAGAGACACTAATGGATTTTAAATTCCTTCAATCATTAAAACATACACTCTTCCTTAAATGGCTGTAAAGTCTAGCTGAAAAAAAAACAATGAAACTCTCAGACACATAAAGAAAACTACTGCATGCAGAAAAAGAAAGTTCAGTGCATATCAATGGTATGAGATAAGCAAGGCTTATTCTCAAACAGCCTCTTTTGGTGCATTAAGTTCATGACCCAGCAAAGTTATAATGACATTATTACAGAATTTTTTGCTAGTTCCTGAATTGTTAAAGCTGTATATATAGTGATGGATGAAAGGGCCTTTTGTATCCATAACTTTTCTCCTTTTAAACAGTAAGTTTGTTATTTGGCAATGCTCATAAACTGACCTCTTTACCATATAAATGCAAATTTATTTCTCTTCAGTGTATCTTAAACAACAAAAGAAGCATATATAATATAATCCAATAACATTAGCTGCATCCACTCTATAATTGCAACTTCATTATGATATGGTCACCCAGTTCATGTTTTGTCACCTGCTTTTTGAAGCAGTTCAGCCCATCTTTGTAATATTCTGAGTAAAAGAAAGTTCTTTTTTATATTGAACTGAAATCCAAATGTCTACAGTTTCTATCCCCACGGAGATACTCAAGACAAATCTTCTGGTAGGCATTAATGCTTTTTTCTTAGGTCTCATTTTTGTAATTCATCTAATTATAGCAACCAAACATACAAACAAAAAACAAAACACAGAATTTAACACAATATTTTTATTATTAAAAATAAGAAGTTTTTTGTTTCAAGAATGTTGAAGCGTTTCACAGACTCAAGGAAAAAACTGAACCTCTATGGAATTTAGCAAGCCTGAAAACCAGGGAAGCTCCAGACTGCTGGCTAGATAATTTTGAAGAACACTGCATTCCTGCTTCCTCTTGAAGGATCTTGGCCTCCTTTACTGTTTTAGAAAACAACAACCTTTCAGAAAATTCTTAATGGAAAGGACATTCTTTCCTTTATTTTCTAAATTTTTTCCCATTTCCCTTCTGTTTCTGTTCAAAGTAATATATGAACTGCTTCACTCTTCCAATGCAGGTTTTCTACCTTTCTTTGAAAAACCTTCAAATAAAGCAAAAAATAAATAAATAAAAATTAAAACAAAACAAAACAGAAGTCCTCTTTATATCCATTGAAGGCCCCTGTTAAACGCATCAAAAAGTCTGCAGTCAAAAAATAAAATGTGGTTTGGAAAAATTTATGAATTTTTAATACATTAAGCATCTGTCAGTGACTTGTATAAGCAATTACAGAAAATTGATGTCCTTGTAGTCAAAAAATGATTGTGATATATCATGAATTCCTTGGTGTTCAATTTTTCTCACTTTTCTTTCCACAAGTATAGATTGATTTTTATATAGATCGATTCTGCCAGGTAAATTTATCTGAGGCTTGTCATAAAGTTTTGTCATTAAAATTGTCTATTTTATCCTCATTCCATCTGTTCATCTTTGCAATCTGAAGTTCATAACCTGTGATTTAAGTTTTCCTTCTATTACTTTATTTTATAAAACTATGTACATTAAGTATCGAAAGAACCCTGAAGTCACTTAGTTCAGGCTATTTACTTTACAAATGCAAAAATTGAGCTCCACAGAGAGTAGATTTCTTGCCCAAAGTGGTGCATTTGGGATGGGGGTCCACTTTTTGTATTTACTTAGCATTCTTTCTTCAACACCACTCTTTCTATGTTACATAGTGTATATGTAAAATTCAAAGCATAAAAACAGATGATTCACATAACATCACTTGAATCCAAACTTGTTAACTATCGAACACGTGAAAATGGCTGACTACTCACCTCATCCTCATCTTCTGGCTATGACTTCACTAACAGTGCTGTTGTTCAAGCCTGAGCAAATATGATAGTTAATAGCAAAACAAAACAAAACAAAACAAAAACAAAATCTATGGCAATTGAATAAGAAACCATGGAAAGTTTTTTTTTTTCCAACTTTTTGAACCAGGGCTTACATTTTTACTGTGCACTGTGCCCCAGAAATTGTATAGCCAGCCCTGAATGCAATTCAAGTGGAGGACAAGCTTTTGAGGAATGAACTATCTATAGCACACATAATAATTCAGCTTAATGATGATAATTGAAAACAATTGATGCAAGTACTGTAATTTCTGACGAAACTAGAGCGTATATACACACACACACAAAAAATTCAATGCCTAACCAAAAGCACAAAAGGAAAATTGGAGGACCTCTCTAGCAATGTTTAAAAGTGATTTAACTTCAGTAGTATATATGACTGAAAATCAATCCCATGACTTGAAGATAAGTTTTTAACTGTACCACCAGTTAAGTGCCCAGCCTGCCACGCTTGATAGACTAAAGTAGAAGTAGGCAAACTTCAAACTGCCTAAATCTGTCCCATCACCAGCTTTTGTAAAGGAAGTTTTTGTAAAATAATTTTATTCATATTAATTTGCCTATTACCAATGGTTACTTTCTAATGGCAGAGTTGAGCAGTTATAATAAAGAACATAAGCCTGAAAAACTGATAATTTTTATTATTTGGCCCTTTACAGAGGAAATTTGTTGACCCCTGTGCTGAAGTAATGATACTAGTAGGATGGAATGAGATCCTGATTCAGGAAATGAGGACATTTGATTAGGACCTACAAGGCTTAGAATTTTGAATTTCCAACTCCCTATAAACTTTTTTGCTAGCAAGGACGTACTCCTACAATGTCCTTTCAGCCCATAATGAGAGTTAGATACCAGTATAAACCGGACCAGAAATATAAGGTCTAAACCAACAGTCAATGCCATAAATTCCCCAAAATATTGGGAATTTAATCATTTTAAATCGGAATGATTCTGAAGAAAAATGTTATGTGAATGAATTTTAAGGATGTAAGTAGAAAGGATAAACAAGATCAAGTTAAATGTATTACCTGATATATAATATGTTGATTGAAGACTTGAAATCACAGTGACAATATCACTTCATCCCTATTGTCTTGAAGGACTTGACTTGAGAGACATGTGTGATGGCCTGCTTAAGGCTCAGCTAGAGTACCAGCTAAGAGAAAACACCCAGTGAGATTGGGATGATGTCTAATATGATATGGATAACATATCATGCAACCTTCCTTATAACTATAGTACACTTTCAAGAATCAAGAAGTGGAATGGAGACCCTATCACTATTTCACCTAATATTCACTTAAGGAATTTTTGATTCTTGTTTCCATGATCTTGGGCTCAGTGAATTTGAAGCCTATGTGCCCAAAGTAGTACTGTGTCCATCAGGAGACAGTCATGGTCATATGAGTTACTCATGTCTCTAAACCAAGAGGGAGATATGGTGCTCATTATAGCAGCCAGAATCATTGATACCCTGTTTACAGAGCAGACTTTGGGGTTTGTGCCAGACAATGGGGTCAAGAAGGACTCTGGAACCCAGTGAATTCTTTAGGATTTTAAAAAATGTGTTTCCTTGCCAATGGTGCAATTCAAGAGAAAACTGTGGTAGCCAAATAAGGTCAAAAAGAACACAGATAATGCATAAAGGAAGGTTTGAGTTGTCCACCAAGCAAAGAACTTTCTTTCTCACAAAGCTGACTTTTAGGGTCTTTAGATTCTTACTACCACTATAGATGTAGATGCTATTGATTATTCACTTTTCTTTGGAAAGAGACCTTGCCAATTCTGCTTGATATCCCTGCCTTTCTCTTCTCTCTGCAATCTTCTGAGAACATAGGCATTTCTATCTTCATTACAAAATAGAAGAAAACAGCGTTAATTTGTGATGTTCTATGATTTCCTTATATCTTAGCAAGTCAGGAGGATGATAAACTACTAGTTATCCTGCCTGATGTACAAGCCATGAGTATTTTACTCTACCTTGTCAATTAGAAAATTTCCCTTCTACTATCTTTATTTATGACGTGACATTACTATTATAAATTTCCATTTAGAGAGATCTCTTCTTTCCCTTGTGTTCCATTTTTCTTTTTGTCTTCCTATTTTTGTAACATATAGAAATAATTTCTAAGATGTCTTATTCTCCTAAGATATATTTATTGTCATTAAGAGAAAGATTAAATCATGAATTTGCAAGGCACTTTAAAGTACACAGAACAAATAAACCAAATCATTTCATGTGATTTGTCACATTAATGTTTATATCCAGCAAATACTTGTTGAGGAGTTAATTTGTCTCTCAGGTTATTTGTGGAAGATATAGAGGGTATAAAAAGCAATTTAAATACAGTGAGAGTGAGATTAGCACTATTAGCACTGAGTCAGCACAGAGGAAGAATATGATATTCATCTAGCCTGGGAATCAGGAATAATTTCATGAAATTTCTATGGATCAAGTTTAGAAGTATTGTATTATGAATCTTTTATGCTCAAAATAACTAAGCACCTATTTGCCGTAGAGTATAGGAATCGAGCCATGTGCCCAAAGAAGGGAAAGATGACTATGGCGAATGGCTAGAGTTTTCTATTATACCCTGACTCTTCTTATGCCCTCCTCTGAGATAACCATCACTAAAAATATTATTTGTGCTCTCTTGTAATTTTACAACATCTTTGTGTACTTGAAGTATTCTTCTCAAGAGTCATCTCTTGAGAGATGAGTAGAAGTTCAACATCTGGATCCTTGGGTACACATTTAAAATTTTTATTTTAATTCAACTTTAATTGGACTATAGAAAGATTTTATAAGCATACAGTGATTCACATTCAAATGACCTTTTTATTTACATTCTCCACAAAACTGTTTATTTTAAAGTTTTAACTCATTAAAAATCTATACATATATATGATGTATGGATAGGGTCTGGGTTTCCCCACACCATGGATTCATATATATATATATATGCAGATTCCAGAGAACAACCTCAGACAAAGTTCTAGCCATCGGTCAGCATCAACCTCTACACAAGTAAGTCTTCAAAATAAACCTAGTCCCAATCACCATCTGAAAGCAGCCACATGAAAGATATTTATCTAAAACTACCTAGTTTATTCCAGTCATCCCCCAAAACCATAGAAAATAAATTTTTTTTTGTAATTTCACTAGTATTTGGGGTGACTTGTTCTTCAGCAAATGATAACTCAACTAGATTTCAGTACCTAGAATTTTATACTACAAAAACCACCTAAAATACGTGGTATTGGCTTTGGGACCAGGTGGCGGACTGATGGAGGAAGAGCCTCAAGGAGAGTAGAAAAACCTAAAAAGCATCAGGAAAAATAATACTGAAAACCTCAGTGACCTTGAGGAAGTCGTTAGTGAGAGCTTAAAGGGAGGAAAAATAAAGCTAGAGGATAAGGGATATTTGTTATGTAATGGCAGAAATTTGGCAACACTGTCTTATGAAGTAATGTGGAAAATAGGAAATGTTCCCAATGGACTTGGTGATATAGAGATTTCTAGACAGAATACTGCAAGCACTACTTCACATCCCTGTACTGTATGTAATAAAATGTGAGAAGACAAAGATAAGCTAAAGAATTAGCTGTTAAATAAAATGAAGCCAGGATTTGCTGGGTATAAAAATTAAACTTTCTCATTCCCAGTATCTCCTGAGAGCACAACGGCTTAAGGTTATAGATTAACTTCAAGGTTAGACAATTACATTTTTTTAAAAGACATCGGAAATATTTTATGCAACTACCCATAGGACCATTTAGATTGTCAAGGATCCTCTAAGGTCTTAAGGACATGCCACACGGATTCACTCTGTTAAATAATAAAACTTCTAATAATCATTGGGATATGGTTCCACATCAGCTTCAAAGATAACCCAAGGTAAGAAAGGACTAATCTAAAAAAAAAAGAAAAAAAAAAAGATTAGTGGTTGTGGCTTTTGTCTAATTCAGCAGCCCAAATTAAATTCATAGAAATCTTACAAAATTTTAAAAGTAATTTTTTTTCTGTTTTTAGTTTCTGGTAGATGTACTACCAGCTTGTACTAAAAGTCCAGAGACAATAATAAAAATGAAAAGAAACCTTTGCCCCCTTGATCTGCTACAGGAAGAAAGCTGAACAAGGAGACTACCTAGCAGCAAACACCAGTAATTTTTTATTAAAAAGGAAGGGTGAATCAGAGGACAGAGCCAACAGCCAAGAGGGTAGAGCCCAAAACATTGCAAAATCATTCTCAGGCACTAGGACTGACTCTTCATCAAGAGATTGAAAACTTATACTCAGCAATATTTCAAAAAATTTCTAAGGATGAGTGACTGCTGTGACTGCCGTGTGAAACTGTTTCCCCCTTTATTAAACGTCAGTTATTCTATGCCTTCCTAAACATTGCATGTTAATTGTGGGGGAAAAAATAACTTGTCTCTTTAGTTCTGAGTTCTTTATATTGAAAAAAAAAACTGCACTCAAAAATTGCTATTGTAGGAAACATATTCCCAAAGTTCATCTGGATGTGGACCTGAAATAGAAGACAATATCCAGCACTTGACCTTGACTATAATTTCATAAAGAGATGCTACTTTGGGAAAGGGGTCATTGGAAGTAAATGAGTGTTGTTTGCATGGAGTTGATATGTGAATAATCTGTGACCAGAGAAACAACAACTCTGACAGTTTCAAAACCGTCACCAAATTAATTGACATTTGTTCCTTTGGAAGGTAGTATCTGTGTCTGCTTCCCTTGAAGATAAACTCTCTGATTGAACAATAGAATATGGTGAAATTGATATGTGGCACAAGGACAGTTTACAGGCCCAGGGCGTAAGAATGTGACAGCTTACATTTTTTTATTTCTTGGAAGGTGTTCTCTTTAAACTCAGCTACCATGCTGTGAGGAAGGTGAGGCTACATGTGTAGGTGTTCTGGCTGCCACAACTTTAGGTCTCAGGTGCTAACCAAGGTCAGTCACCAGGCAAGCAAGTGAAGAAGACCTGAAGCACACCCTAAGCTCAGTCGCCTCTGCCTGCCACCACATGGGAGACCTTTAATTAGAACTTCTTGGCTGAGCCCAGTCAACCTCTAGAGAAATAAAAGGTAATAATGACACTATTTTTGTTTGATTTAGTCATTACATTTTGGGCTGATTTGCTATATAGCAATACGAACTTTAATAGTATGTATCTCTAAAACTTGAAGTATCTTGTAAAATATCTATATTTTAATTATAAAATTAACAATAATGGGAGAAGGGATTTACTTTTAATAAAAATTTAGATATATGATATGTGATAATTATACCTTCATCCTAGCTCTCATATTTACAACCAATCACACTAGATAGGGAGGGCTTACACATAATACAGTTACTAGTAACTTAAAGACCATTTATTGTCTTTAATCAACCAGAAATAAATTATGTTAATTAGACCCTACACAGTAAAGCAACTCTAGGGTTGAAACAAAACAGAATAAAAATCGTTTCAACTTAACCTGACTAAATATTTTTATGTAGAGGTTATGCACCCTTCTTTTTTTTTTTAACCAAACATTCCAATAGAGATTTTTCTGGTATCTCTGTTTAAAATATTTAAATGTCTGTAAGGAAAACCAATGAATCATTTGTGCTATGAAAGTACAATGACTGATATTATATACAATGTTCTATTGTTCATTTATTACCTCAGTTTTAATTGGTTAAATTGGATATTTGTAAATAATTTAATTTCTATATCAGAAATTTATAGTTCAGAATCAGATGGCTTATATCACATTTTCTGGGTATTGTACTTTTAGGAAACCTAACTACTGTTTTCTTCCTTTACAGAGAGATAAGATTGAAAGTAATTTAAATACAGATTCCTCTCAAAAATCATTTTTAATTTAAAAATGCTTTACAATCTTTTGTTTTGCAGTAGACTCATATCTTTTCTTATATATACTCATGTTCTATGATTTTATAGACAAGTTTATCTTTGTATAGTTTTGAAATAGTCACAGTGCACAAAAATAATTTTGTCGAAAGGAGGAAGAACACAGGCTTGTAGCCAGATTTTGCTTTTAGCCTTCAATCCATGTGCAAGTCTTCTCAACTATAAAATATAAAAGGCAATATCTTCCCTGAATATTTCACATGATAGTTAAAATTATGTGTGAGATTAGTCACATGGACATGTTTTGACATCAATGTGTATTTTTATAAGGTAAAATTTTGGCATATGCACTAGACTAGGGGAGTGAGAATGAACTTGCCCATAAACTAAAAAGAAGCAAAAAGGTTGATGCCTCTAAAAGACATCAAAGACAATCACTCTCAATCTTATCATTTTATAAATGAGACCTAGTGACTTTTTCACGTTCACATTTGACTGTAATCTGTGCCTCTTGACTCTTAAGACAACATCTTAAAAATAATCAGCAAGTAAACAACTACGTTGAATAATGTGCTATATTTTTATTTTTGCGTTGAACAATGTGCTATATTTTTATTTTAATAGCTTTGATTCTGATGCAATATTCCTAGAACAGATTTTGATAATTGCCTAGCCTTTCCCACCAGGAAAACGAATCAGAGGAAGCACTGAATTTCAGATGAAAGTAAAGCATACCTGTGCCATGTTGGTGTGCTGCACCCGTTAACTCGTCATTTGCATTAGGTATGTCTCCTAATGCTATGTAACAAAACTGCATGTTGTGCACATGTACCCTAGAACTTAAAGTATAATTTTAAAAAAGGTAAAAAAAAAAAAAAAGTAAAACATATCTTCTTCAACAACAGCTTTAGTAGCCTTGGCTCAAATTCCTTGGTGCTGCCTAGATAGCGCACAAAGAGAAGAGCTTCAGAGAAGTGACAAATGATCCCAGCAGCAAACACAGATCGTGTCAGAAGATGGCAGTAAAGGAGCAGAAGCAAAGATAATCCAGGGCTTAGATTCCAGGTTGCATGTATTCCACCTCCTCTTATCTCTTATTGGAACAGAATTCAATGACTTCATCTGTGTGTATATATATATACATTTTTAAGTACAATTGGAAACAATATTAGAGGTAGTATGTGTAAAAAAAAAAAAGCAGTCCCTGTAGTTGGCACTGAGGACATGAGATGCAAATTACATTAAGATGTGCATCACTACACATGGTTTGACGAGTGCTAGAAAAGACACATTAGCAACTAATGAGTAAATAGAAGTAGGTGCAGCATGCTAGGGGATAGCAGAGAGGGAATACATTGATAAGCCCAAGAGTAATGGGAGTCTTTCCTGGAGGAAGAAATGTTTGAGCACCAAGAGCAAAAAGAATTGGACCAGGCAACAAACATAGTACAAAGGCTTCCTGGCAAAACAAAACAAACCAACAAACAAAAAAAACCGCATGCCTAAAATGCAGAGAGAGAACAATCAGGTTATTCATGTAGATTGCATTGGGAGTACGCATGCAATAATCAAGGAACCTAATTTTTTTTAGTACAAAGGGAATATATATGTACACACACACACATATTAATTCCTTTAATCCTCACCATTTCCCAATTTGCTACGTTCTCATTATCTATGTTTTACACAAGAGAAAATTGAAGTTGAGAAAAGCTAATTAATGTGCTAAAGATCATATTATTAAGAAACAGTAAAACTGACGTTTGAACTGTCTTCTTGACTCCACAATCAATACTCTTTACCAGCCATTGGTGGTGGAATACTTAAATATTGATAAGATCAATTCATGCAGACAGAAGATTTTCAAATGTCAAGCTCTTTGCCATGTAAATTAAGTGTTTTCATTGTTAACTCTGTATGCCCACTATGGGGAGATATAACCTTAGTTTGTATTTGTTCTGCCATATTGTCAAGATTTGAAAATAATATGTGGTGAACACATGTCAAATGGGGTATAATAAAGAATGTTCTGTAACTCTAGCCAGTTTGCATGTTCATTTGATTTGTTTTAATTTTGGTTGATTTAGATCAATGTTCTTTTTCATTCATATAAAAAATCAGGGCCTTAACATGGATGCCAACAGTGCATTCTGGAAATATATTAAAATTTAATATATAATTTTAATTAGATGATAGTCTGTTCAGAAACATTCTTTGCCTTGTATAAAACTGAAGTGAATTGATGTGAAATAACTGATGCACAAGTAACGCATATCCTTTCCCTATGTCCATTGATGACATCATTAACCTCTCCCAATTCTCTTTGCTTCTAAGGCCAAAAATGGCTTTGGAATCCTTTTTTAACGTGGTGTTCCAGGCAATACAACATATTAATCAGATAATTAAATGTATCTTTTTTATGACATGGAAAACCAGAATTTTATCAATCTGTGTTGGAGTTTCAGGGTACAAGTTGTTATGTAGTAAATAATTCATAAAAATGATTATAATGTTAATTGACTCAACATAAGCTTATGGAAGAATTCCTCATTGCCAGAATTAGCTGGGTGTCTGCACAGTTACCAGTATTATGTTTGGCACAATGGGGAATATAAGAATAGGTTTAATGTGTCACTTGTTCTTGAGTCTCTTATAATCTTTCTTGATAATTCTGATTTTCTCCATTCTGTAGTTCAGAAAATTCAGAAGAGTGTGGCATTCCAGGTACAAATGCAAGATAACTTTTTGCCTTATATTTAGAGGAGCATGAGGGGAAGAAGTCATGTGAATGATGGCATTGGAAATTCGGATATAATTGAGGGCTGCAAATTAAAGAATAGACTCTACAACATAGCATCTCATATATCCATCACCTAAAGAGTTATTGAACTATGGTGAGAGTCATCCAAGACAGATGAAAAAAACAAAGAGCTTCCACCTTCCCATTTTTTAATGGAAAACACAGTGTGGTCCATGTCACTGCAGCGAATCCAAATTCATTTACTGACAACAAAGGACCAGAATATTTTATTAGTACAGACAGGGAAAGATTTTAGAGCATAAATATCAAGGTTACTAGATAATCATTCAAAACCACAATTGCACACATAATATAAAAGCATTGATAGAAGCACTGTCAAACATGACTAGTTGGGAAGGTAAAGATGTTTGCTTTGCTCATAGGTTTCCTCACTGACACTGGAAGTGAGATTTCTGTCTGTCAAAATATGTCCTGTACCAGTTGTGACTATACTGGCTCTCAAGTACAAATCCACACTCCTTTGCCTTGTCTTGTAATATTATATGTGGACCTTGTAAACATTCCTTTTATACATGATGACTTGATGTTTAGCTTTGCCAAGAGGGCAATGGAGGAGCTGCAAAGACATAGCAAGAGAAACAGACTTCTCTTCCTGGTTTCAGTGTGCTGTTTTAGGCCTGGCTGCCAACAGAATAGCAAATGGGAGTCCTCTTAACGGCCGTTAAAGGCTAGCTAAGGGTTTTCTGCACCTACCAGAAAGTTCCTTTCTTGTCCAGCAGGTCTTTCATAGGAACTAGACCCATGCTACATGCACCTTCAAGAAGTCTCTCAACCACCAGGCTGGTCATTCTTACGTACTGACTCTGACTCAACCACACCATGCAGCAAGGTAGTTGTCTATGTTATCCATGAAATTACTTATACATCATGTTTAAAATTTGACTTGAAAGCAAATGCTCATCAATGAAAAATTGAGGAAGAATGAAAACTTCTGTGCTTGATAAACTTCAAGTTCCAAAGTATTTACAGTATATTAATTACAAACCCAAAGTATTTGTTGAGTATCTTCTGAGGCTGAGAAATTGTGCAAAATTCTCTCAGGAGAGGTGCAGAGAGAAGACTTATTCATGCTACTGATAGTGAGTAACTATTTGTGAAATGCACTGTGTAATACATATATAGAGAAAAGAGAGAAAGACTTGACTTTAGTACTCCAGCTTAATAATAAACAGTGGGGAATATAGGTGCTAGACAAACGATGACAAATGTGATGTGCTTTCCAGAAAGTGTTATATGGGTAGGGCTAGTCATTGATTTATGCTTTACATTAGGACCTAGTACAATTCCTGTTAAAAAACAGAAATTTGATAAGATGAAAACGTTTGATGAAATTTGATAAGATGAAAAAATTTGGTAAGGATGAAAACATACTCATCCTGAAGCCTTATTGAGTACTCCACAAAGTATTAAGTACACAACTTCCTTAAATAATTCACAAAGGATTAAATTGTCTACAAAATTATTTCATGAACCACATTCCTAATTTTCTAGAATATCGTTACATTTGCATATGTATCGAGAGAGGGGGAGAGAGAGAGAGAGAGAGAGAGAGAGAGACAGAGCATACATGCTTGGTATTCATAAGGCATGTATATGAAAACTTAGGGAATTCCCATAATCACAAATGCAGAAATAGCTTCAAAGGCTTGTGAATTTTCTTTGAAGTACAATTCCACCAAAAGTTACATATCTGGTGCCATATGTTCACACTAAAAGTTAGCTGTCTTTTTAACTTTCACTTATAATTTATTTCTCACTTTTTGGAAGTTTTACATTGCCTCAAGGACTCTCATTGAAACTGTTGAACATAATTTTTTCTTATTTCAGTATACACCATATGGCATATTGTTCAGATGATAGATCAATCCTGCATTTGGCAATCCAATCTTGATTTTATCTAAATCTTCTATTTCCTAAGAATCAAAAATCTCTTGTATTCTCTTTTCTTCAAATCAATGTCAGCAGTTAGATTTTAGCTTTTGTAAATTTCCGTGGCCATTTTTAACACACACAAAAATTATTTTTTGCTTTTTTGACTATGTACTCATTGATGAATGGAGAAAAGCTGAGTAGAAAACACTATTGTTTGGAAAGTGTTGTTGGCCTTGTTCAGAAGTGGTGTTTTATGTTATTCAATGTTGTGCTAGAGTGAATCACAAAGGATTTTTTAAACATAGTGGATTTTTAGGGTTTTATTTATCATGAAAATAAAGTTGATGAATGCCATGGGTACACAGTAGCAGTACTTTTAAAAAAATTATTATGTTTTATTTCAATGGATTTTGGGGGGAACAGGTGGTGTTTGTTTACATGAATAAGTTCTTTAGTGGTGATTCTGAGATTTGGGTGCACCCATCACCCAAGCAATGTACACTGTACTCAATGTGCAGTCTTTCATCCCTTGTCACTCCCCACCCTTCTCCCTGGGTCCCCAAAGTCCAATGTATCATTCTTATGCTTTTGAATCCTCATAGCTTAGCTCCCACATATGAGTGAAAACATATGATATTTGGCTTTCCATTCCTGAGTTGCTTCACTTAGCATAAGAGTCTCCAATTCCATAATTCCATCCAGGCTACTGCAAATGCCATTACTTTGCTCTTTTTTATGGCTGAGTAGTATCCCATTATATATATATGTGTGTGTATATATATGTATATACACACACATATATATACATATATACATATATATACACATGTGTATGTATATATACATATATATACACATATATGTATTTTTTTTCCTTTATCCACTCATTGATTGATGGGCATTTGGGCTGGTTCCATATTTTTGCAGTTGCAAATTGTGTGGCTATAAACATGCGTGTGCAAGTATCTTTTTCGTATAATGACTTATTTTCATCTGGATATATATCTAGTAGTGGGATTGCTGGATCAAACAGTAGATCTACTCTTAGTTTTTTTAAGGAATCTCCACACTGTTTTCCATAGTTGCCATATTAATTTACATTCACACCAACAATATAAAAGTGTTCCCTTTTCACTGCATCCCCGCCAACATCTATTATTTATTTTTATTTTTTTGATTAAGGCCATTCTTTTAGGACTGCGATGGTATCATGTTGTGGTTTTGATTTACATTTCCCTGATAATTAGCGATGTTGAGCATTTTTCCATATGCTTATTGACCATTTGTATGTCTTCTTTTGAGGACTGTCTATCCAAGTTCTTAGCCCACTTTTTGATGGGATCGTTTGATTTTTTCTTGCTGACTTGTTTGAGTTCTTTGTAGATTCTTGATATTAGTTCTTTGTTGGCTGAATATATTATGAAGATTTTCTCCACCTCTGTGGGTTGTCTGTTAACTCTGGTGATTGTTTCTTTTGCTGTACAGAAACTTTTTGGTTTAGTTTAGTCCTGTCTATTTATCTTTGTTTTTGTTGCATTTGCTTTTGGGTTCTTGGTCATGATTTGTTTGCCTCAACCAATGTCTGGAAGGGTTTTTCCAGTGTTCTAGAATCTTTATGTTGTTGATGGTATGATTGTGTACTCAAAAAAACCCTAAAGACTCATCCAAAAACCTCCTAGAACTGACAAATGAATTTGGCAAAGTTTCAGGATAAAAAATTAATGTACCCAAATCAGTAGCTCTGCTATACACCAACAGCAACCAAGCTGAGAATCAAATCAAGAACTCCATCCCTTTCATAATAGCTGCAAAAATGAAATAAAATAAAATACTTAGAAATATAACTAACCAAGGATGTGAAAGACCTCTACAAGGGAAACTGCAAAACACTGCTGAAATTATAGACAATACAAACAAATGTAAACACATCCCATCCTCAAGGATGGGTAGAATCAATATTGTGAAAATCACCATCCTGCCAAAAGCAATCTACAAATTCAGTGCAATTCCCATCAAAATACCACCATCATTCTTCTGGAACTAGTAAAAGCAATTCTAAATTTCAGGTGGAACCAAAAAAGAACCCACATAACCAAAGCAAGACTAAACAAAAAGAACACATCTGACGGCATCACATTACTTGACTTCAAACTATACTATAAGGGCATTGTCACCAAAACAGCATGGTACTGGTGTACAAATAGGCACATAGAGCAATGGAACAGAATAGAGAATGCAGAAATAAAGCCAAATACAGTCAGCTGATGTTCGACAAAGCAAACAAAAACATAAAGTGGAGAAAGCACACCCTATTCAACAAATGGTGCTGGGATAATTGGCAAACCACGTGTAGAAGAATGGAACTGGATCTTCTTCTCTCACCTTATACGAAAATCAGCTCAAGGTGGAACCATATTTTTTTATAATATTTTGTTTCTTCATAGGATAAGATTCAGATATTCAGACCAGACCTGTAATAATGTGTGACATTATAGAAGTAGCAATAGAGCAGGAGGCAGATAAAGGTGGATACCACTTCAAACTGTCACTCAAGTGTTGTGTAGATAATCTTTTAAGCTCTCTGAGTTTCATTTTCTTCATCAATAGAATTAGTTTAATGAGTCGTAGTTTTATTTCTGACTCTGACTGTTTGCCAATCTTTAACAAACAGCTTATAAGGAGTAAAGAATGTTCAACAATGCACGCCTAATGAATTTTGATAGACTGAATGATCAAAGTGCTCCTCTCCTCTTCTTTGTCATTGATTCTTATTTGTGAAACATCAGTAAGTGTATAGGATACAACTTATGGCCAAGGAACATAATGAAGCTGACCATTTTTGGGGGATGAAGTTCAAAATATAAACCTTATCAATATTGCTTTATAGCTCATTCTTATAATTGATATGATTCAGGTAAAACAGATATCAACTAAAATTTGTCATGTCTATTCAGATTTCTACTAACCTTGAATAAGGTCTTCTACATTATAATTATTTCCTGTGGATCATTTCTTTATATTTTTAACAAACTTGTATAAATTATATATGTTAGGCAACTTTCTAGATAAGTATTCAAAATCTAGTGGGAAGGACAGCTATGTATATACATTGCAATGCAACACACTTATTGCTATAATGCACTCATGAATAATGAGTATGAGGCTGGAAAGCAATAGTAATATATTCTGCCAGAAATAAAAGAAAGTGGTATTACGAAAGGATTTAGTCAGAAATGGAAGTTTTGAACTGACTTGTTAAAAATGAGAAGTTTTCCAGAAAGTAAAAGCAGAAGAGTGGAAGAACATTTTAGTAAAGGGAGTAACTTAAGCAACTTCAGGAGGTCACAAAAATGTATGAGAGGCTGGACATGGTGGCTTACACTTGTAATTCCAGCATTTTTGGTGGCTAAGGTGGGAGGCTCCCTTGAGCCCAGGAGTTCAAGACCAGCCTTGGGAACACAGGGAGACCCCCGTCTCTACAAAAAACAAGAATTAGAAAATTAACTGGGTGTGGTGGCACACACCTGTAGTCCTACCTACTTGGGAGACTGAGGCAAGAGGATTACATGAGCCCAGGAAGTCAAGGTCATAGTCAACTATAATCATGCCACTGTTCTCCAGGCTGGGCAACAGAGCAATGACAAGACCCTGAAAAATAAAAATAAATAAATAAATAAATAAAAATAAAAGAATGAAAGAGGGAGGGAGGGACGGAGAGAGATTGAGAGAGACAGCAAGAGCACAAGCAAGCATGAGAGTTAGGAAGCAGAAATTTACCTGTGAAAACACTTCAGAAACCTCCAGAATTAGTTAATGATGTATCTAAATTTGATAGTAATTTGTTCACTTATCAACTAACTCCCTGTACCAGACTCTAAATTACTTAATGCATGAAGCATTTCTGCTTTACTTAGAGCAACATCTGGCCTTGGTAGCTGCTCAGCAGATTATTTTTCTATGAATACATGAGGGAAATCACAACTTCCCTCATGTATTCATAGAACAACAATCTGTTTAGGGTTTGTATAAGATAGATCCTGAAAGATCAAGCTAGAAGGTTAAGCTGGGTTAATGTGTGATGTGATTTAAATGCCAAAATAAGCCATTTAGCTTTAGTTCATTGGAAAACAATTTTCCAATGGTATTTAATATGATCAAATATGTAATTCTAAAAAAACAGTTATTTTCCACTGTTTTTGAGACTTTCAAAGTTAAAAAGACATTTACTCTAGTCCTCAAATAAAGCCAAATAGCCCCAGTAAAATAAATGAGGCTTCTCTTAAATGATGTAAGTCACTTTGATCATGTACAACTATTAGGTTTTATAGTAAATACAGTAGCCTCAACAATTATTTTGGTAAAGACTACAGGCTTTCTTCCTACAACCTTATTGCCATTTTGCAATAAACAAGTCTCAGATAAGATTCTCCTAAACACACATACACATTTATTAACAAATATGCACAGATTGGTTATTCTGCTCTGTAAGTGATATGGTTTGGCTCTGTGTCCCCACCCAAATTTCTAATTATAATCCCCATGTGTTGAGGGAGGGACCTGGTGGAAGATGATAGATTTATGGGAGTGGTTTTCTCCATGCTGTTCTTGTGATAGTGAGGGAGTTCTCATGAGATCTGATGGTTTAAAAGTGGCTGTTTCTCCTTGCAATGTCTTTCTCCTGCCACCATGTAAGGTGTGCCTTTCTTCACCTTTGCCTTCTGACATGATTGTAAGTTTCCTGAGGCCTCCCCAGCCATGCGGAACAGTGAGTCAATTAAACCTCTTTTGTTTATAAATCACCAAGTCTCAGGTAGTTCTTTACAGCAGTGTGAGAATGGACTAATACAGTAAGTTTGATGGAATCCCAACTGTCTGTCCTTTTAGGTGCCTTACCAGTATCTTCCATGAAAGGCTAACCAGAGAAAAATACAATAGTGTTCTAACGCAGGATTCAGCTAACCACCTAACTGGAGTAAGGCACCAAAGTAACCTCTGAATCAGCAACTGAAAAATTACCTTTTAGGAGTTAAACCTAAGTTACTATATTTTTAGTATATGAACTATGGGTCCCCAGATGTGTAAACTATTGACATAAGGGTAGTGCTATAGATTGAATGTTTCTCCCCTCTGAAACTCATGTTGAAATTTAAAATTGCCATTATAGCAGTATTAAGAGGGGAAACTTAGGAGGTGATTAGGTCATGATAGGTCTGCCTTTGTCGGGGTAATAATGCTGTCCAAAAAGGGTGAGTTTGGTCTTCTCTTGCTCTCTTGTGGTCTTGCCCATTTGCCTTGTCATGTGATCATGCAGCAAGAGGGCTCTTACAAGATGCCAGCACTTTGATCTTGAACTTCCCAGCCTGTAAAACTGTGAGTCAATGACTTTCTCTTTATTATAAATTATCACATCTTAGGTATTCTGTTATAGCAGCACAAAATAGACTGAGACAGGTCTTCATGTCTGTATACCGTTTATTGACAGGCTAGATATTTTATCAATGACATGTAACGTTTAATTGGGCTTATTAACAAACTGTCTAATGTTGACTTCTGATAAAGTTTGTCTAGGTGAAGTTCCTTATCCAGTACTACCCAAGATGGCTCCAATGATATTAACTTTAATAGAAATTTATGCAAAAATTGGTATATGTCAGAAATTGGGCTAGACGCATCAGTTAAGAAAAATACAAACATTAAAATGTCAGGAATTGCATGAATATTATACTGTGACCATTGCCGTAATCGAGAGTGGTGCCACGTGGTTTGTATGGGCTTTGTATTTTCTTAAATATTCAGGTTTTAAATGTTCATTTCTACTGTCAGAACACATTTCTAAGCTTGTCTTAGGAAGTATAGCCATTACTAGGATAAAATATCAGGGAAGGCTTTCCAGAGAATGTAATATTAGAGCTGAATCAAAAAGAATAAATAACACCTTCCTATATTAAAAATAGGTGGAAAATAATATTTCAGAAAAAGAAAGCTATATGTGCAAAGAAACAAGGACACAAAAGAAAGAAAATGTAGTCAGTGTTGATGTATAACTGGAGCTTCCATAAGAAATTGGTAGAAGATCCTACACTGTTAGTTTTAGCATTGCAGGTAGACAATCCCAGGGATGTATGTGAAGAAAAGAACTGGACCTAGAATGAAATCCTAAAGTTCTAATACTCTTGCAATAAAAAAAGTGGGTCAGTTGCAGAAAAAGAGCCTGAGAAAGAGCAGTCTGGAAGGAGAAAATTTTAACAGATATGAAATTCAAAATAAGCAAGTTTCCAAACGCAATGTCCTTCAAACCAAGTTTGATACTGCCCTCTTTAAAGTTAATGTAATTAAAATTATGCAATGATGAGAAAGAAAAAAATCTTGAAACAAAGACTAAAAAAAAAAAAAACAAGACAAACAATTTTAGCACAAGAATTAAGAATTATGAGTAACAGGAAGGCAGAAAGAAGCTGAGAGCTATAGACTGAGCAGTCCTTGAGGATTTAATACCTTCAACAGAAAGTAGATGTCATCGGCCGGGTGCAGTGGCTCATGCCTGTAATCCCAACACTTTGGGAGGTTGAGACGTGCGTATCACTAGGTCAGGAGATCGAGACCATCCTGGCTAACACGGTGAAACCCCATCTCTACTAAAAATACAAAAAAAAATTAGCCGGGCATGGTGGCGGGTGCCTGTAATCCCAGCTACTCGGGAGGCTGAGACAGGAGATGGCATGAACCCGGGAGGCAGAGCTTGCAGTGAGCCGAGATTGCACCACTGCACTCCAGCCTGGGCGACAGAGCACAGAGCAAGACTCCATCTCAAAAAAAAAAAAAAAGAAAGCAGATGTCATCCTGTTGATGATTGTTCATTGTCCTCATTTTCTTCTCCCATCTTTGGCTCATATTTATATTCTGCATTGCTCTTTTCAGTTGTTTGTTTGTTTGTTTTGAGTACAATGGACAATTCAGAGTCTCTCCAACCAACGGAATTGCTAATGTTTATTTTTCCTTGATTTGAATGTCCAATTGATTCAACACCATTGAGTTGCCTTGGTACATTGTTAAAAATCTATTTTTCATACATATTTGGGACTTTTTCTGGACGTTTAATTCTGTTCCATTGGTGTATATGTCTACATTTTTGTCAATAATAAATTATCTTGTATACTGAAGATGTATAGAAAATCTTAAACTCAGGTGGGACAATCCCTTCAGCACAATTAGTTCAAAGAGAGCTAGTTAGGTGCTGAAACATCACCATTTATATTCTGATAATTGTATAGCTGACATATTTGGAGAACCATAATTCATAAATTCATAAGTTCCAGGTATGTTTATCATGTGTACACATTGGTAGATCAAGTATATTCTGCTGTGACTATTCTAAACATAAGAATGTTCCCAAAGTAGATATCCTAAGATGGTCATATTATATTTAAAAGGAGATTTCAGTAATTCTTTCTCCCCACTTTCCTCTGGGTAAGAAAGAATGATTTCAGCAAACTGGTTGCTAAGCTTTTTCTTTCCATCTGCTTAATTAACAAATCCATTTATTTAAAATATTTTGAATAATGTATGAAATAATCACAATGCTAGGAGACATCTAAAAATGACTACACTTGTCCCTGTTTCTTAGAGAAATTCATACATGTATAAACAAGAAAGAATCACATACAATGGTAAGTCTTGGGAAAATTTGAGCAGAAAGGTATAAGATGAATTTAATGAAAACTAGATTTTAGTAGAAGTGGAAAGAAACCAGGAAGGACATACAAGACAGTGAGGAATGGTGAATGCAAATGCTTGTCTTATCTGGACCTTCTCAAAAAGAACTTTAATAAACAAAAATGTTTACTACAAAATAAGGAAAAAATAATTCCTCCAGGGTTTCAAATGCTAGAAGATGATTTTGGTAAGTACAGTTCTAGTGCTATAGAGGAAAATCTTCATTTAGGAAGGCTTGGACTTTAACTACCAGAGAGTATCATATTTCTGTGGCCACCTTGATCTTTGTGAAATGAGCACGTTGTCCACACTGGGTAAGTGAATGATCTACTAGGGATTTTTACAGGATGTATAGAGAAAGAGACTCAAATTTTAAAAATGCAGCCACTTAGAACTATATGATCTTAGAGATGCCAGGCAACATCATAAAGGAAGTATGTCAGATATCTTCACTTATGAAGATAAAGCTAACTTCAAGGTGAAAGAGGAACAAGTCAAGTTTTTTTGTGTTTTAAATAACTTATCCAAACCATGCATTTTTATTAATGTGAAAATTGATAAATACTATTATTGATAATTTTTATTTGTTGAAATCTTTATTCTATTAATAAAATTAATAAAGAGGTCATAAAAACCTTATGGATATCTGAATTATATAAAATAACTACTATATAAAATGTTCATCACAATTTATTATAATTTGTATTTATCTTCCAACCAAATATATTATATTTACTTATTTCTCAATTTTATTTTTATTTCAATCAATGTAAGGTCAATTAGCTTTAAATTTTCAAAATGTTGTTTGATATACTCATATAGCTTCTAAAATATTTCTATATTTTTCTCAAACATTTAAATAAATTTTGAATTTGGAAGACCATTGGAAAAACAGAATTTTAAAGGGTGATTTGCATAAATTTAACATTTCATTTTGCAACCAGCACACTTATTTCAGGAGAAGTCTTTGAGTTGTGCAATAGACAAAATCTACACACAACATATTGTGATCCTTCTTCCAAAATGACAAAAATGAGGCAATCAACTACAAGTATAACCTACTTCTAAATCACGTGAATATGTGTACATAATTACGAATATAAAATTAGAGTATTTTCTGTTTTTCTGTGTGTGTGTGTGTGTGTGTGTGCGTGTGTGTGTGTGTGTGTGCGTGCAGGTGGTTGGCTATCTTGTCTGAAGTCATGAAACTATTGAGTGGCAGCAGTGGGATTAGAACCCATATTTGTATGCTTCAGAAGTCCAGGCTGTGACAGACTGTGCTACCCTGTCTCAAAGCCTCATGGCTACTTTGTCTCCACTGTATCACTCAGGTACTCACCACTCTCCTCTGGGTCTTTAGTTAATAATGTCTTAGAAAATCTCCAGAATGTTTCTTCTCCATTACATCTTGAAAGGTATGTAAAAGGGAGGGAGAAGTATATCTGTGTTTTTTACAAATACATATTATAATAAGTCATGAAGCTATGAAAGTTCCATTTTGCCTGTCACATAAAATCGGGTAAGGTAGAACCTTAACTCTATAGGTAAGATGGTGTCTGGCAGAATATACAAGATTTTCCAGGTCAGGCATCACATCCTCTTCATTCATGTTATCCAAGTACATAATGCAACACTTTACCCAGAGTATACAGGGTGGCTTAATTGTGAAGGCCTTGGACAGATGTACATTTGAATCCAAACTCCACCTCTTGCTACTTTTACTTAACTTCTCTAAACCCAGTTTTTTCCTTTGAAAAACAAATTGACATTTTCACCTTGCTTTTCATGCAGGATTACTATATGGGTAATACGTGATATAAAGCAGGGATCTCCAACCCCTGGGCCGCAGACTGCTATCCGTCTGTGACCTGTTAGCAACCGGGTCGTACAGCAGAAGGTGAGCATGCAAGGAAACTTTACTGCCTGAGCTCCACCTCCTGTAAGATCAGCTGCTGGCATTAGATTCTCATAGGAGTGTAAACCTTATTGTGAACCAAGCATGCAAGGGATCTAGGTGGTGCCTGCCTTATAAAAATCTAATGATAAATGGAATGTGCTTGAATCATCCCCAAAACATCTCCACCCATGCCATCCATCTGTGGAAAAATTGTCTTCCTCTAAACCAGTCGCTGTTGCCAAAAAATTTGGGGACCGCTAATATAAAGCACCTGTTTGGAAATAAACAGGAGTTCAATACATACACATTTACAACACATACATATTTAGTTAATTTTCAGGAAGACTGCATTCAATTACAGAAAATATAAGAAAAATGATACCTTAGGATAAACCAGACTCAACATAATTTGTGGGGGCATGCAATAGAGGAGAAGACTTGGGCATTTTGGTGAATGTAGTGTGATTCTTCATTGG
This sequence comes from Homo sapiens, assembly GCF_000001405.40. NCBI lineage: Eukaryota > Metazoa > Chordata > Mammalia > Primates > Hominidae > Homo > Homo sapiens. The sequence continues at coordinate 26,121,394 of NC_000011.10, read as the reverse complement.
GATACAGCTGTCAAAAACTGGTTTGTGGGACTTTTTGTTGGCATATATGTATGTATCTCTTATTGTATACATGTTCACATGATGACTTGTTGAAGTTGATGAGGGTCTGTGCTTCCCTGGTATTAATGACCCAAGTGGTAAGTGTGTTTTCAGACAACTCAAAACTTTGGACTAGGCCAGAGGAGGTAGACATAGGAGAAAGGATTCAATCTCTGTCTCTAACTCTCTTGACAATTTTCATCAGACCCCCTCATGGATGCAGAAATGTTATATTTTTGATAACTTTCATGTTGCAAAATGTATAAATAGAGTTTCTCTAACACACATATCTGCTGGGAAAAAAATTAGAATGTACCTCTATGTCTTTCTGCTCTTCCCCAGGGAATATTTCAGTATTTATAAATATTATAAAGTGTATCCTATATGTAGAAATAAAGTAATCATAAATTCATTTCTATGATTTACATTGGGAGGTACTGCCTTTCATAATTTATCATACCTCTTAATACCTATTTAATCATTATGGGACATAAAATCATCAGTGATAACAATTATGATTCCCATGTCCCTCTGACAGACATCTCCATTTTGCTCTCTGCCTCTGAGACTTTATATTTCTTTTTTAACACAGCAACTTAGGCAGTCAGTTCCAATTTTGTCTGATCAATTATTTGAAACATGTTTCCATCTATTTATAAAATACTGAATGCTTTAAACATTATTTTTCTAAACCTACTATTTACTAAAGTCAATTTATGTCAAATCTAATGAAAATTTAGCAGTAGGAAGAAATAGTGTAATAAGAGTTTAAAAAGATGCAAGCTTTTAAAATCTAATTATTTAGCTTTATTCAAAATAGTAAGGGTTTTATAGCTCAGTACATACACAGTGATTGAAGTAAGTCAAGCACAATGCATCCTAAACTATTACAATCACAGATGTTTAGATCTGACTATAAGTCTGAGACTTTATGGTTTACAAACATTTTCTTTTTCTTTCTCTTTTTTTTTGAGTCTACTTGTTTTACGTGGCTCGAAGTATGTTCACAATTAGAAATACCTAATTGAAATTAATTGTGTCAATTATATCATCTTAATGCGTTTAACTAAGTGTGATGGAAAGATAAAACTTGGCAAAATCCTAATTCTTACTCTTTATAAGAAATTTTGATTTTGGCATAACCATTAAAATTTAAGCGTAGTATTCTCTAATGAGCAACTAGCAATTATTATTCTTAAGCCTAAGAAAAGAGTTGCCTCAGGGTATTAGGAGGAAGGGCTGTTGTCCTCATAATGATCACCACCATCATCATATCATCACCATTATCATTATCAGCTAATATTTACTGCGTGCTTTCTACATTCCAGGCATTTTTCTAAATGCTTCCCAAATTATTTCATCTGATATACACAATAACCTCTGTGATAAATTATTACTATCCATCTTTACAGATGCAGAAACTGAACTCAGCAGGTTTAGGTGGTTTACCCACTGTCACAGAAACTAAGTGACATGCTGTGTGCTGTGGGTTGAATTCGGGTAGTGTGACTCCAAAGTCAGACAAGGACAGGAGTTTCTTTACCACAATGTCAAACTCTGCCATATAGCAGAGATTTATGACTTGCTACTCCACCTTTTAGGGATGAACACTTTTCAGCTCCTTAGGTTATATACAGTCTTTCATGTACTCTTCATATTTTACCCTTGAAATAATTCTTTTTTTTTTTTAGATTTACTTATTATCTCTTTTTTTTATTATTATCATACTTTAAGTTTTAGGGTACATGTGCACAATGTGCAGGTTAGTTACATGTGTATACATGTGACATGCTGGTGCGCTGCACTCACTAAGTCGTCATCTAGCATTAGGTATATCTCCCAATGCTATCCCTCCCCCCTCCCCCCACCCCACAACAGTCCCCAGAGTGTGATGTTCCCCTTCCTGTGTCCATGTGTTCTCACTGTTCAATTCCCACCTATGAGTGAGAATATGCGGTGTTTGGTTTTTCGTTCTTGCGATAGTTTACTGAGAATGATGATTTCCAAGTTCATCCATGTCCCTACAAAGGACATGAACTCATCATTTTTTATGGCTGCATAGTATTCCATGGTGTATATATGCCACATTTTCTTAATCCAGTCTGTCATCATTGGACATTTGGGTTGGTTCCAAGACTTTGCCATTGTGAATAGTGCCACAATAAACATACGTGTGCATGTGTCTTTATAGCAGCATGATTTATAGTCCTTTGGGTATATACCCAGTAATGGGATGGCTGGGTCAAATGGTATTTCTAGTTCTAGATCCCTGAGGAATCGCCACACTGACTTCCACAATCGTTGAACTAGTTGACAGTCCCACCAACAGTGTAAAAGTGTTCCTATTTCTCCACATCCTCTCCAGCACCTGTTGTTTCCTGACTTTTTAATGATTGCCATTCTAACTGGTGTGAGATGATATCTCATTGTGGTTTTGATTTGCATTTCTCTGATGGCCAGTGATGATGAGCATTTTTTCATGTGTCTTTTGGCTGCATAAATGTCTTCTTTTGAGAAGTGTCTGTTCATATCCTTCGCCCACTTTTTGATGGGGTTGTTTGTTTTTTTCTTGTAAATTTGTTTGAGTTCATTGTAGATTCTGGATATTAGCCCTTTGTCAGATGAGTAGGTTGTGAAAATTTTCTCCCAATTTGTGGGTGGCCTGTTCACTCCGATGGTAGTTTCTTTTGCTGTGCAGAAGCTCTTTAGTTTAATTATATCCCATTTGTGAATTTTGTGTTTTGTTGCCATTGCTTTTGGTGTTTTAGACATGAAGTCCTTGCCCGTGCCTATATCCTGAATAGTAATGCCTAGGTTTTCTTCTAGGGTTTTTATGGTTTTATGTCTAACGTTTAAGTCTTTAATCCATCTTGAAATAATTTTTGTATAAGGTGTAAGGAAGGGATCCAGTTTCAGCTTTCTACATATGGCTAGCCAGTTTTCCCAGCACCATTTATTAAAGAGGGAATCCGTTCCCCATTGCTTGTTTTGGTCAGGTTTGTCAAAGATCAGATAGTTGTAGCTATGCGGTGTTATTTCTGAGGGCTCTGTTCTCTTCCATTGATCTATATCTCTGTTTTGGTACCAGTACCATGCCGTTTTGGTTACTATAGCCTTGTAGTATAGTTTGAAGTCAGGTAGTGTGATGCCTCCAGCTTTGTTCTTTTGGCTTAGGATTGACTTGGCAATGTGGGCTCTTTTTTGGTTCCATAAGTAGTTTTTTCCAGTTCTGTGAAGAAAGTCATTGGTAGCTTGATGGGGATGGCATTGAATCTATAAATTACCTTGGCAGTAAGGCCATTTTAACCATATTGATTCTCCCTACCCATGAGCATGGAATGTTCTTCCATTTGTTTGTATCCTCTTTTATTTCATTGAGCAGTGGTTTGTAGTTCTCCTTGAAGAGGCCCTTCCCGTCCCTTGTAAGGTGGATTCCTAGGTATTTTATTCTCTTTGAAGCAATTGTGAATGGGAGTTCACTCATGATTTGGCTCTCTGTTTGTCTGTTATTGGTGTATAAGAATGCTTGTGATTTTTGTACATTGATTTTGTATCCTGAGACTTTGCTGAAGTTGCTTATCAGCTTAAGGAGATTTTGGGCTGAGACAATGGGGTTTTCTAGATATACAATCATGTCGTCTGCAGACAGGGACAATTTGACTTTCTCTTTTCCTAATTGAATACCCTTTATTTCCTTCTCCTGCCTAATTGCCCTGGCCAGAGCTTCCAACACTATGTTGCATAGGAGTGGTGAGAGAGGGCATCCCTGTCTTGTGCCAGTTTTGAAAGGGAATGCTTCCAGGTTTCGCCCATTCAGTATGATATTGGCTGTGGGTTTGTCATAGATAGCTCTTATTATTTGAGATATGTCCCATCAATACGTAATTTATTCAGAGTTTTTAGCATGAAGCGTTGTTGAATTTTGTCAAAGGCCTTTTCTGCATCTATTGAGATAATCATGTGGCTTTTTGTCTTTGGTTCTGTTTATATGCTGGATTACATTTATTGATTTGCATTTATTGAACCAGCCTTGCACCCCAGGGATGAATCCCACTTGATCATGTTGGATAAGCTTTTTCATGTGCTGCTGGATTCGGTTTGCCAGTATTTTATTGAGGATTTTTGCATCAATGTTCATCAAGGATATTGGTCTAAAATTCTCTTTTTTGGTTGTGTCTCTGCCCGGCTTTGGTATCAGGATGATGCTGGCCTCATAAAATGAGTTAGGGAGGGTTCCCTCTTTTTCTATTGATTGGAATATTTTCAGAAGGAATTGTACCAGTTCCTCCTTGTACCTCTGGTAGAATTCGGCTGTGAATCCATCTGGTCCTGGACTCTTTTTGGTTGGTAAGCTATTGATTATTGCCACAATTTCAGCTCCTGTTATTGGTCTATTCAGAGATTCAACTTCTTCCTGGTTTAGTCTTGGGTGGGTGTATGTGTCGAGGAATTTATCCATTTCTTCTAGATTTTCTAGTTTATTTGCGTAGAGGTGTTTGTAGTATTCTCTGATGGTAGTTTGTATTTCTGTGGGATCGGTGGTGATATCCCCTTTATCATTTTTTATTGCATCTATTTGATTCTTCTCTCTTCTTTATTAGTCTGGCTAGCGGTCTATGAATTTTGTTGATCCTTTCAAAAAACCAGGTCCTGGATTCATTAATTTTTTGAAGGGTTTTTTGTGTCTCTATTTCCTTCAGTTCTGCTCTGATTTTAGTTATTTCTTGCCTTCTGCTAGCTTTTGAATGTGTTTGCTCTTGCTTTTCTAGTTCTTTTAATTGTGACGTTAGGGTGTCAATTTTGGATCTTCCCTGCTTTCTCTTGTGGGCATTTAGTGCTATAAATTTCCCTCTACGCACTGCTTTGAATGTGTCCCAGAGATTCTGGTATGTTGTGTCTTTGTTCTCGTTGGTTTCAAAGAACATCTTTATTTCTGCCTTCATTTCCTTATGTACCCAGTAGTCATTTAGGCGCAGGTTGTTCAGTTTCCATGTAGTTGAGCAGTTTTGAGTGAGTTTCTTAATCCTGAGTTTTAGTTTGATTGCACTGTGGTCTGAGAGATAGTTTGTTATAATTTCTGTTCTTTTACATCTGCTAAGGAGAGCTTTACTTCCAAGTATGTGGTCAATTTTGGAATAGGTATGGTGTGGTGCTGAAAAAAATGTATATTCTGTTGATTTGGGGTGGAGAGTTCTGTAGATGTCTATTAGGTCCGCTTGGTGCAGAGCTGAGTTCAATTCCTGGGTATCCTTGTTGACTTTCTGTCTCGTCGATCTGTCTAATGTTGACAGTGGGGTGTTAAAGTCTCCCATTATTAATGTGTGGGAGTCTAAGTCTCTTTGTAGGTCACTCAGGACTTGCTTTATGAATCTGGGTGCTCCTGTATTGGGTGCATATATATTTAGGATAGTTAGCTCTTCTTGTTGAATTGATCCCTTTACCATTATGTAATGGCCTTCTTTGTCTCTTTTGATCTTTGTTGGTTTAAAGTCTGTTTTATCAGAGACTAGGATTGCAACCCGTGCCTTTTTTTGTTTTCCATTTGCTTGGTAGATCTTCCTCCATCCTTTTATTTTGAGCCTATGTTTGTCTCTGTATGTGAGATGGGTTTGCTGAATACAGCACACTGATGGGTCTTGACTCTTTATCCAATTTGCCAATCTGTGTCTTTTAATTGGAGCATTTAGTCCATTTACCTTTAAAGTTAATATTGTTATTTGTGAATTTGAACCTGTCATTATGATGTTAGCTGGTTATTTTGCTCATTAGTTGATGAAGTTTCTTCCTAGTCTCGATGGTCTTTACATTTTGGCATGATTTTGCAGAGGCTAGTACCAGTTGTTCCTTTCCATGTTTAGTGCTTCCTTCAGGAGCTCTTTTAGGGCAGGCCTGGTGGTGACAAAATCTCTCAGCATTTGCTTCTCTGTAAAGGATTTTATTTCTCTTTCACATATGAAGTTTAGTTTGGCTGGATATGAAATTCTGGGTTGAAAATTCTTTTCTTTAAGAATGTTGAATATTGGCCCCCACTCTCTTCTGGCTTGTAGAGTTTCTGCCGAGAGAGCCACTGTTAGTCTGATGGGCTTTCCTTTGTGGGTAACCCGACCTTTCTCTCTGGTTGCCCTTTACATTTTTTCCTTCATTTCAACTTTGGTGAATCTGACAATTATGTGTCTTGGAGTTGCTCTTCTCGAGGAGTGTCTTTTTGGCGTTCTCTGTATTTCCTGAATCTGAATGTTGGCCTGCCTTGCTAGATTGGGGAAGTTCTCCTGGATAATATCCTGCAGAGTGTTTTCCAACTTGGTTCCATTCTCCCCATCACTTTCAGGTACACCAATCAGACGTAGATTTGGTCTTTTCACATAGTCCCATATTTCTTGGATGCTTTGTTCGTTTCTTTTTATTCTTTTTTCTCTAAACTTCCCTTCTCACTTCATTTCATTCATTTCATCTTCCATCGCTGATACCCTTTCTTCCAGTTGATCGCATCTGCTCCTGAGGCTTCTGCATTCTTCACATAGTTCTCGAGCCTTGGCTTTCAGCTCCATCAGCTCCTTTATGCAGTTCTTTGTATTGGTTATTCTAGTTATACATTCGTCTAAATTTTTTTCAAAGTTTTTAACTTCTTTGCCTTTGGTTTGAATTTCCTCCTGTAGCTCGTAGTTTGATCGTCTGAAGCCTTCTTCTCTCAACTCGTCAAAGTCATTCTCTGTCCAGCTTTGTTCCATTGCTGGTGAGGAACTGTGATCCTTTGGAGGAGGAGAGGTGCTCTGCTTTTTAGAGTTTTCAGTTTTTCTGCTCTGTTGTTTCCCCATCTTTGTGGTTTTATCTACTTTTGGTCTTTCATGATGGTGATGTACAGACGGGTTTTTGGTGTGGATGTCCTTTTTGTTTGTTAGTTTTCCTTCTAACAGACAGGACCCTCAGCTGCAGGTCTGTTGGAGCTTGCTAGAGGTCCACTCCAGACCCTGTTTGCCTGGGTATCAGCAGCGGTGTCTGCAGAACAGTGGTTTTTCGTGAACCGCGAATGCTGCTGTCTGATCGTTCCTCTGGAAGTTTTGTCTCAGAGGAGTACCCGGCCGTGTGAGGTGTCAGTCTGCCCCTACTGGGGGGTGCCTCCCAGTTAGGCTGCTCAGGGGTCAGGGGTCAGGGACCCACTTGAGGAGGCAGTCTGCCTGTTCTCAGATCTCCAGCTGCGTGCTGGGAGAACCACTGCTCTCTTCAAAGCTGTCAGACAGGGACATTTAAGTCTGCAGAGGTTACTGCTGTCTTTTTGTTTGTCTGTGCCCTGCCCCCAGAGGTGGAGCCTACAGAGGCAGGCAGGCCTCCTTGACCTGTGGTGCGCTCCACCCAGTTCGAGCTTCCTGGCTGCTTTGTTTACCTGAGTAAGCCTGGGCAATGGCGGGCACCCCTCCCCACCCAGCCTCACTGCCGCCTTGCAGTTTGATCTCAGGCTGCTGTGCTAGCAATCAGCGTGACTCCGTGGGCTTAGGACCCTCCGATCCAGGTGCAGGATATAATCTCCTGGTGTGCCGTTTTTTAAGCCCGTCAGAAAAGCGCAGTATTCAGGTGGGAGTGACCCGATTTTCCAGGTGCTGTCTTTCACCCCTTTCTTTGACTAGGCAAGGGAACTCCTTGACCCCTTGCACTTCCTGAGTGAGGCAATGCCTCGCCCTGCTTCCGCTCGCGCACGGTGCACCGCACCCACTGACCTGTGCCCACTGTCTGGCATTCCCTAGTGAGATGAACCCGGTACCTCAGATGGAAATGCAGAAATCACCCGTCTTCTGCATCGCTCATGCTGGGAGCTGTAGACCGGAGCTGTTCCTATTTGGCCATCTTCCCCTTGTAATAATTCTATAAGATAATTATGATGATGCTCTAAACATTGAAGATAGAAAAATTGTAATTTGAAGAGGTCTGGTGATTGGCCCAAGAATCTCAAGGTAGTAAGTCAAGTTCTAAAGCCTGAACTTGAACCCAGGTCTTCTAATCTTAAACCCCATTTTTAACACTTACTTTGAATTTTTTTATTAGACATTCACATGGTTGACAATAAAATCTTTGCTTAAAGTGAAACCCCAGGTGGTGACTTACAGAGTGGATAAACTCTAAACTTCTCTGGTGACGGCTAATGTCACTGAATGGCATTTGTATATGCAAAATTCACCTTTGTGGTTTGCAGTTACAGGGATTAAGTAGGAATCTTGCAGCAAGTTTACAATGCAAGACATTAGGTTAGAATGGAGACATTCTTGAAAGAGAAATATTCCTCTCTTCATGAGTTAACAAATGCATTGCCAGATACCACTGGACAAAGCTAGCTCTAAGTGATATCTACATGATATGCCTAAGGAACTAACTTAAATGTTTTTAATACTTGCCCACATTTTATACCCCCAATTATACACTAGGCACCTACTCTGTGAGTTAAAATCTGTCCTTTACTTTTAAATTCAGATGTATGTCAGGAGATGAATAAATAAGGACAGTAAACCATTCCTTCTATTCTCAAAAGTAAACAAAGCTGGTCACTAGTTAAGTGGTAAGAGCAGATTTTTAATCAGTACCAGTTACTGAAATATAAAAAAGAGTCTAGGGTGAACTGAACTCAACCTCGATTTGTGTAGAGATGACTGGGACTTTTAGTGGAAAAATAAAAGAGTAGGGAGGGTGGGTGAGCTGGCCTTGAGAAAAGTCAATGAAGTGAAAATTTATAAAAAGCAGGAAGAAAGGTTAGTACTTGTGACCAGGACATCTGGGTTTGCTAACTGGCACTTGCCAAAGATAGCCTTCTACTCTACCACAGAAACTGAGAGACAGAGACCCTATTTTCAGGTGTTTTTCCTGGGTAGATACTTTAGTATATCACCATCCTAGGGACATGGCCTTGCTCAGTTAGAAACTATGCTAGTGTTTGTTTGTTTAAGTCTCTTAGTGCAGGGGATAGACAACATCATTTGTGCTGAATCATCAATTTTAATAGGCCAAAGTTAAGGCCTAGTTGAGAAAATGGCTCAGAGAAGCCTGACTAGAGTTTGGTCAAAGAGAGAGTGTTTGTCACTACTTTTCTTGAGGTGTAGGGGTTGGGAGTGGAGCCATTATGAGTATAGTAGGCCTTTTAGTCCTAGACAAGATTTCAGAAGTGACAAAGCAATAGTTAGTTAGGGAACTAACAGAAATTTCTGCCAAATTTAAACATTGTCCAAGTCAGGTCCAATGGGTGCAATTAGGAAAACCCTTCATGGCTGTTTTCTTAGGAAATAAGCAGGCTCTCAGTTTTTGCATCACATTTATTCCTACAACTTCAGAAAATTGAGGTTAAGGATGAGGGAGACTCTCATAATTTGGGGAGCAAAGGGCAGACACATGTGATCACAGTTGTAATTAGCTCTATGCAGCCATGGTTACATTATTTAACTTCTCTGATAACTAGTTTTCTCAACTGTAAATAGAGCTGATAGTCATTGTTTTCTCATACAGTTGAGTGAGGATGGCAGGAATAATCATAAATGTTACTTGATAAAGACAAAGCCTGAAAGAATTACCTCAGGTTATCAGGGTCTATGAGAGTATTGTATCCTTTGAGAATTGGATCAGAGAGTACTAAATAACACAGAGGATGTCACTGCATCTGCTCTCATAGAGTTAGAACACAATTTGTATTAATAAATACACAACTTAATTAATAAAACATGAGATGATATATTTGCAACCATTTATATAAGGTTGGAACAAAAAAATAATTCAGTCAAAAATTTGTTGTTCAAATACTTTTTTTTTTTAATGGAATCTTGCTCTATCACCCAGGCTGCAGTGCAGTGGTGCCATCTTGGCTCACTGCCACCTCTGCCTGCTTGGTTCAAATGATTCTCCTGCCTCAGTCTCCAGAGTACCTGAGATTGCAGACATGTGCCACCATGCCTGGCCAGTTTTTGTATTTTTTAGTAGACATGGGTTTCACCATGTTGGCCAGGCTGGTCTCGAACTCCTGACCTCAAGGGATCTACCCAACTCAGCCTCCCAAAATGCTGGGATTCCAGGTGAGAGCCACTGTGCCCAGCCAGTTGTTCCAATATTTAATCGAAGTTCTCTCACTTCTCTGTCTGGGTGCTCTCCTTCCTCCTCACAATTCCCAGTGAAGGATGGTAGTAGAATTTAAAGTCCAGAAGTGTGTTTTAATTTCATATTTGTCACTTACTAGCTATGGAAATTTGTTTATCATTTCTGAGTGTGAGTTTCTTCAACAAAATTATATGTTTTGCTTGAAGTATTGTTTGAGGTTGAATGAAGGTAGGGAAGACCACTATGGAAAGATCTAGGCAATCAGATGTAAAATCTCTACTTGGTGCATGTAGATTAGAATAAACATCAATGCATGTCCTTTCCCTTCCTCAGATTATTTTGATTATTTTAGGTTTGGCCTCAGTTGGTATAAAACTTGCCTTGTGTTATTTTTTTAAGTGAGATTCAGATACACTTTCATTAATCAGGTGACTATTGATTGGATTTTTTCTTTTGTTTGTAAGAATGCTTGAGTTTTTATTAGGCAAGATTTAAATATTATTTTATTTAAATACTCTGCACTTAAAATAAGGTCGACAATAATAATACTTACATTTTAAAGAATTATTACTTTTAAAAACTTCACTAAAATAGATTAGCAATTTTGAAGACTTTTCTTGTTTTTAAAATTGCATGAGCCACTGAAGATGCACTTGAAAATGATAATGTTTATCTCTGGATCTTGTCTTGAGCTAAGGTGTTTTTATTCTTTATATTTTTCAGTATTGTGTAAATTTCTTCATGAAAAATTATTTTTTAAAAAGTAAATGTGAAAAGAAAAAAATACCAAAATGCATAAATTTAAGGTATTAGTCTCTATTTCCAACCTTATTCTATAATTTGGGGGCTTAGTACCTTTCACTTTAGTAATTCCTCCTTACTTAGAAATTCTATAATTTTTAAATGAATGTATTTTTAATTTCAAATATTAGTAGTTATTTCTGTGATTCTATAATAAATATTTCTTTTCTAGTGAATGATTCTGAAGTCAAGAACTGAACAGTTTATATGAACAGTTATGTAAACTATGTATTAACTATATAAACCAAGGTTTCCACATATAAACAGTTTAGAGTTTCTGGGAAAATGTTTATCTCCCTCAATAGAAGAACCTCTTGGGTGTTGTGTATGAAATAATTTGCATGTGGTTATGAATTCAAACACTAAGGGAAAACAATTTAATTTTATGCCTGCATTCAGTCCAATTAAGCTTGCTTTTTTGAAGACTGAATTCCCACAGGCATGTTCTAGTCCCAAAGAGCAAATGTGATGATAAAAATGTAAAACTTGCCCATTTGACTGTACAGCTTTTATAGATTCATGGAAAGTAAAAGTACCTCTCTCGATGCTAAAAATTATTAACAAAATATTTACATAGTATAACTTTTTAGTGTTCAAAGTTAGATCTTGACTCAAATTACACATGGATAAGGCTGAAAATAAGTTGAGATGACTTGGTCCAGTCCTAGGCTGCTCTGGCCAATGGCCAAACAAAACATTTTTATTTAAAATTTGCAGTCATTGAACACAATTATGTATTCATTCATTCATTCATTCATTCATTCATTCACTACTTCCTATCTAGTACGAGCTAAACATTGTTCAGTGTTCTACATCATTGAAGAAAACAGACCAAGTGCTTAGTACTTGTAAAGCTCATATTTTACAATGAATCAATTCATAAACTATAAATATTATAAATATGTTAATTAAATACTGTATTACAAATTGGTAGATGAGAAAAAGAAAAATGTAGAGCAGAGTAAAAAGACATATAAACTTATTTAATGTTAGCCTGTTTTTATGTTCAGAAATTTATAGAGATATTGTTTAACTATTTACTTGCTAATGAGGTGTTCTCATAAAAGGAACAAATACATTGTAATTTTTAAAGAGCCTTCATTTATAATTCAGAGGTCGCTCAACTGGTTTTGAAGAAGAGGTTGGCCAGATGATTGGAGATTTCCCTACAAGTCCTAAATTTTAATTCCTGTGGGACCATAAGGTGGTGATCTTCCACTTATGCTTTTAGGAGTGGCTTCATGACATTGAGACAAGAAACCAGGCCAACTGTGTCATTATGAATAAAACAGCCTCCTGAAAGTGGTTCTATGACTGAGTTTAGCCCAGAATTCTCCAGTGTCTATTGCCCCTCAGCAGTTCCCACCCCTGGTTCCTCTGTGTTTGCAGTCCTCTCTGCACAAAACATTCTTCCTTTCACCGGATTAGACTTTCTGGCTCCTTTTCACAAACAAGTTCTGAAGTCAAATGCCACCTTCTCTAAGACCTTTCTGACACACAATTCAAATTATCTGTTCCGCTCTGGAATTTTCTGTCATAATAATAACTATTTTGTTTTCTCCACAATGCTGAAGTTAAATAATTACATCTTGCTTCCTTTTTATTGCTCCCTCTTCTACAATTTGAGCTCCCTGGAGAGCCTGTCTCTAGTTTTTCTTATTCAGAGCTATAATCACAGTCCCATCACACACACTAAATAAATATTAGCTGAATGAGTGATGAGTGGCCCTAATTTCCCATACTTAAAATATTCAGTCAGGGTAAGTTTCTCCTTAGTTTAGTATTTTCATTTCAGTTAAATTATTGTCCTAGAATAAATATAATTAAAGAAATTGGCTCCTTGTGCACGAAATAAAACATTTATAGTATAGTATAGTTTATTCTAGTAGTTAAGGTATTGGGTTCTAGAGTTCAAATTGTAGCTCTGATTTTGGCAAATTTACTTAATTTTCTATGATCTTGGAGAATTAATTTTACCTTTTTTACCTTAATTTTCTCATCTGTAAAATTAGGATAACAGTCATGAGAATGACTTCATAAGAGAAAAATTCTTAGAAAAACATCTGATATAAAATAACTCAGTAATTATTATTATTTTAGAAACATTGTATAGAGTAACTATAATTCTCAACATTGTGATTGTACTGGTACATATTATAAAAACAGCATAAGAGCAACTATTGAATATACGGTTAGGCTGTCACTAAAAGTGTAAGTGATTACTATTTCAACCAAAGCAATATGTCTCTTCATGGAATAGCTGTTTTCAAAAATCCATTTTGGTTGGTGAATTACAAAAACCCAAATGTTTTGTAAAAATGGTGCCCTCTGAAAGCTGCTGAGTATGTAACAGCTGAAATCGGTACTTGCTGGAAATTCTCTATTGTCCCTGCAATGCACTTTATCTTCTGATGTTCCTCAGTCCTGTAATGCACCTGTGAGAATTTTTTTTTAATCATTGAAATAGTTCCTCAGAGATGCAAAATGTCAGAATGGGGCTCTGACAAAATGTTTTCTTTAGGTATACTTACTCATTTTTATTTTAAATTTGTTAACTAAAATATTTTGACTCTCTGAGTAAATAATGTGAGTTTGATTTCAATTATACTTACAGTGTGATGGTAACTCCCTTGGCCCAGGGATGGTAATTCCCTTGGTCCAGGCCTTCCCCAAAACTTACATTAAACTAGTACTATTTTGTGAAAAACACAGTACTCAAAGCCTGTGTGAAATTCCTCAGACCTCAAACGTGCCCATCAATTCTTCTGTAATAAGCAGAGGTCAGACTCAATGGCATCATCAAAATAGGAGCCAGAAAAAAAGTATTTCAAAAAGCTGATGTATTTTCTCAGAACTAGATAAAACCAAATGTTTCATGAGGGGGAAAATGGCCTTAGGAGTTGATATTTGAGATTTTCAAATGGCAACAATATTTGTTGAGGAAATTACTTACCAATAATATTAAAATATCAGATGTTTAATTTTCTGGTCATTTTAATAAAGCACCTTTCTGAAATATAAGAGTTGACAAATGTTCTGGTTTAGACAGAAAGATAGTTTGTGAGGTTTAGGCCTTAGAAAGAAAACAACGTTCCCTACTTATACTTAAATTATCATACTGGCAATTTATTTTGGTATCTTAAGCATTGCTCTAGCATTTACTCTAATTCATCCAAGACATATAACTGATATTAATCAAGTTCCAACTGAACCACAAATTACTTCTCTAGGTGACTGACTCCTCCATTTGCTGTCAGACACATTTCTTAGCTTTAAAGTAACAGCTATATTTTAAATCAAACATCTGATAAGAGAATTTAATCCATAATATATAATGAACTCTTAAAACTTAAAAAGATTAAAATCCAATTAAAATGGGAAATTGACATTTCCCCAAGAAGATATACAGATACCTAATAAGTACATAAAAAGATATTCAGAATCATTAGTTGTTAGAGAAATGCTACCATTCATATCCTCTATGATGACTGAGTTTGAAGATTTTCAGATGTCATCATTGCTTCCTGAATAAGGGTCAGATTCATCCAGCTGGAACTTATTATTCCAGATAATCTGCTCTCTGCCTAAATTTCCAGCAATGGGTTCTACTATCAACATCCTTTACTTACTGAATTGCTTGCTGTTTCTTCCACCAGGCCTACCACATGTTGATGTTGTGCAGATGCTCCATTTTTAGCAAACCTCCAGGTGGGAGCGCTGCATATGGTCTCTGAAGAACTATCACCTAGCTGATGTCTTGCATACAATAGCTATGAAAACTCTCACCTGTAAAAGTGGCATGTCTATCCAGCCAGATGCTTCCAGACTGCAAGTTATGTGTGCCTTGCAAGTATAGATTTGTTCATGCTTATTTGCTTGATTTACATAGAACAAGAGGACTGTTGTATAACTTATATTAATAAAAAAAATCTACATGGGAGCGGTGAAGAGAACTTGAAATTATTGGCTAAAACAAATAATCGCTTGCATTTTGTAGACTTAATTGATCTTTTGTGGCTAAAAATACAATTTAAAGTTACTTCCTGGATCTATAAAAAACTTAATTCAACAAGCAAAAATCAACCCCATTAAAAGTTTAGGCAAAAGGCATGAAAAGATACTTGTCAAAAGAAGACAATCAAGTGGCCAAAAAATATATATAAAAATGCTCAACATCACTAATCATCAGAGAACTGCAAATCAAAACCACAATAAGAAAAGGTCTCACACCAGTCAGAATGGCTAATAATAAAAAGTCAAAAAATAACAGTGGCTACCAAGGCTGTAGAGGAAAGGAAACGTGTGTACACTGTCAGTGGGAAAGCAAATTAGTTCAGCCACGGTTGAAAACATTTTGGAGATTTCTCAATAAAATAAAAACAGAACTATCACTTGATCACTGAATGGGATCAGTAATCCCATTACTGGGTATATACCCAAAGGGAAATAAATCATTACACCAAAAAGGCACATGCACTCATGTTCATCACAATACTATTCACAATAGCAAAGATAAGGAATCAACTTAGGTGCCCATGAGCAGTGGATTGGATAAAGAAAATGTGGTACGTGCACACTACAGAATACTGTGCGCAAAAAGAATGAAATCATGTCCTTTGCAGCAACATGGATGCATCTGGAGGCTATTATCTTAAGCAAATTAATACAGAAACAGAAAACTGGAACAGAAAACCAAATATCACATGTCCTCATTTATAAATGGGAGCTAAGAATTGGGTACTCGTGAACATACAGATGGGAGCAATAAACACTAGAGACTACTACAGGGAGGAAAGAAGGAGAGGGTCGAGGGCTGAAAAACTACCTATTGGACACTATGCTTACTAACCCGGTGATGGGATCGGTCATTCATCACCAAACCTCAGTGTCACTCAATATAACTACATAACAAATCTGTACATGTACCCCAGAATCTAAAATAAATGTTGAAATAAAAAATGGAAAAATTTAAAAAAATAAAGTGTCTTCTTGCGATTTATAACATTTCTCAAAACATATCATGCTTTGTTTGACAGGAAATTTCCAGAAATTTTAATGGGAATAGAATGTCACCTATTATTGATTCTGACATTAGAATCTCATGGAGAATTGGTGGATTATTTGCCATGTAGTTTTGCTCCTTGAGAGATTTCAAAACATAAATCATGGGTGTTATTCTGGAGTGTTCTTATCCTTAGTAGAACTGGGGGTAGACAAGTAATCCAGTCACTTAAAAAAAAAGTTAAAAACATCCCAAAATATAGCTCCTCAGGTTAGCATATAAGACAGCTTTGAGAGATCATCTAAAATGTATTTCTTAGATACACAAGTATTTTTCTTCTTGAAGTTCCAGATATGTAGCTGTATCCTGCACTTACTATACTAGAATCTTACTATGTGGGAGCCTAGGAAACCCTATACATTAATCAAATTCTACTGGTGACTCATATGCATGCTAGAGTTCAGGTATTAGTGCAAAATCAAGTGCCAATGTTGCCTACAGCACTATGAATGGAAAACAAGGCAACATCCAGAGCTGAAATGTCTAGAGACAAGGGTAGTAGTTAAGGCGGTGGAAATATTTTTCATTTTGCCCATTAAAAAATTAAGTTATAGAAATATTGCAAGAATTATAGAATTAACACCCGTACACAATTCACATAGATTTATCAACTATTAACAATTTATCTGTCTTCTTTGTTATTTGGATGAACAATTTGATATATTTTGCAGTTATCACTCACTTTACTCCTAAATATTCTTGCCATTATCTCCTCTGGAGGAGCCTTCTTAGCCACAACACAGTCACATTCAAGAAATTTAACATCAACACAACTCTATTACCTCATGTAACTACCCAATTGTGGTACCGGTCCGTGGCCCAAGGGGTTGAGGATCCCTGATTTAAACTATAACCTAAATTTCTTCCAAAGTTAGCTCAGCCTAAACCCAGGAATAATTAAGGCAGCTTGAAAACTAAAGGCAAGAGGTGGGTAGGTTAGATCAGATCTCCTTCACTGTCATATATCACTTCTCAGTGATATAATTTTTCCAAGGCTATATATATATATACATATATATGTATATATATACACATATATATGTATATGTGTATATATATACATATATATACACATAAATACACACATGTATATAACTTATTCAAATGTCCCCAATTGTCTTGATACTGTCTTTTGTACTGTTTTGTTTCAATCATCATTTTTTTTTTGAGATGGAGTCTCACTCTGTTGCCCAGGCTGGAGTGCAGTGACGCGATCTCGGCTCACTGCAAGCTCCGCCTCCCGAGTTCACGCCATTCTCCTGCCTCAGCCTCCCAAGTAGCTGGGACTACAGACACCTGCCACCACGCCTGGCTAATTTTTTTTTTTTTTTGTATTTTTAGTAGAGACGGGTTTCACCGTGTTAGCCAGGATGGTCTCGATCTCCTGACCTCGTGATCCGCCTGCCTCGGCCTCCCAAAGTGCTGGAATTACAGGCGTGAGCCACCGCGCCTGGCCTCAATCATCAAATTTTTTTATCAAGTTGCACATTGTATTTAGTCGCCATGTTTTGTTTAATCTCCTTTAATCTAAAATAGTTTTTCTGCCATTTTTCTTTCATTACACTGATGTTTTTGAAGATTACAGAAAATTTGTTAAATGTCTATACATTTTTACTTATCAGATCATTTATTTGTAATTCGTTTTAGGTTCAATAGTTTTTGGTAAGAGTTGTATAAGGCGATATGCCATTCTCAGCATATTGGTAATGCACTGAGATATCAGTTTGTACCATTATTGGTGATAGTAACTTTGATCTCTGGATTAAGATGATTTCTTCCAGATTTTTCAGTTGTAAATGTATATCCTTCCTTGTCATTAATAAGTAATATGAAGACTGATCTCAGTGATTTTTAATGTCTTTTTATAATAACACTTAGCTGAAATGATTACAGGTCATCAAATGAAGATTTGCGAGTTGAATCATTTCTTCTATAATCAAAAGTTGGGATTCTTTGTAAAGGGTAGATACCCCTCTCAATATTCCTATTCTTTGTTTTCCTTGGCTTTGTTTGCAACACCACGTGGTCATAGATTCTTTTCTCCTTTGTAGGGTCAATGCGTTATAATTCATTACTATCATTGTTTCTATCCATTCTCAAATGTCTCAAATGTGGTCAAGGGGAGCCCTTTGAAACTGGGTCCTATGTGTGTTCTTTGATATGTCCTTATCATATTTAAGTATTTCCACACATTTGGCCACAACAAAGGGTCTCATTTTATACATTCTCTACTTTTGCCCTGGAATTAACAGTTTATCCAAGTGTTACAGGTAGATAGGCATGAGTGGGGCAGGAGAGGGCTCTCCCCCAACCCACTAGAAATATTGAGTGATGGTGGCCGGGCGTGGTGGCTCACGCCTGTAATCCCAGGACTTTGGGAGGCCGAGGCAGGCGGATCACGAGGTTGGGAGATCGAGACCATCCTGGCTAACACGGTGAAACCCCGTCTCTACTAAAAATACGAAAATTAGCCGGGCATGGTGGCGTGCACCTGTAGTCCCAGCTACTTGGGAGGCTGAGGCAGGAGAATGGCGGGAACCGGGAGGTGGAGCTTGCAGTGAGCTGAGATGGAGCCACTGCACTCCAGCCTGGGCGACAGAGTCAGACCCCGTCTCTTGAAAAAAAAGAAAAGAAAAAAGAAATGTTGGGTAATGATATGGCAATTGCCACATTACCCTCTAAAAGTCATAAATTGGCAGCCGGTACCAGGGAAAAGCCATTTCCTGATGGTCCACATCTGTTAACATTAAAGTGTTAATTAGAGGCACACCCCAGGGAGAAGCAACTTCCTGGGCATGCACATTAAGAGATAAAATGGCAAAGTATGATCTTCCAGGTACACTCCACCAGAAAAGAGAAGAAAGCCTGAGATGGGCATGCGTACAACTTCCTAAACACACTGCGCATGCTCAATTCCCAAGGGTAAGAAGAGCACTGTGCGTGCAAAAGGCCAACTCTAAGGGAAGAATCATGGAAAAGAGGTGAGTATATAAAGTCCCAGGATCAAAGTTAAGCGTCCCCCTCTTCTTTTTCTCTCTCTTTGACCTTCAGACGCCCACTTGTATCTCTCTCAAGGGTTCTTTCTTTTCTTTCCTGTTCTAAGTAACTTCCACTCTTGCTCTGGACTTGCTTTGGTTTCTTTTTCTGCTTCATGCCCTTCGGTGGGATTCTTGCTTCTGAGAAGGCAAGAACTGAAGTTGCTGCAGACCCACACGGATATGCCGTTGGTAACTCAGGGTAACTCGGATCTCTGCCACTGCTAACACAAGAAACCCTGGCTATTTTAGTGGTGAAGGAGATTTAGAAACTAAGATCAAGTGTGTCCTATAGGTTGTATGTCATAATTTTTTGGTCCATTCCTCTACAGTGCTAGAAGATTTAGAAAATCATGAGTTCATAATGACATTCTAGTTTTCATCTTATACCACAAAGTTCTTCTCCTTTCCCCATTCCATATATTTCTCCTTTTCCACATAGAGAACACTGGTTATCCAAAACTTTAATATATTTTTTATCATTTGCTTAATATTACAATGCACATTAGTTTCAGAATCACTGTCCTAATACCATTACAATAAATAAGCTGCTATTAAAATTTAAGATTTATTTGCATTTTTTCCTTAAAATATATCCCACTGAGGATATATAGTCAAAGTACTGACTAATTCAAAAGTTGTCTGACTCATCTTTCATTTCTTCCTTCTGTATGTTTGTGCTATCAGCTTAAAACATATTTAGATTTATTTGTTCATATTTAATTATAAATTATACATTGTTTCCCATCTATTGGTTATTTTAGAAGGGAAGAAGTCAAACATTAATGTGGTTCAAAAATCAAAATATACAATATTAAGAAAATTTATATTGTCTATCATTTTCACTGTGATCCTACCTACTCCTTGTCAGTGGTTAATTTAACTCATTTTTATCTTCCCATATGTGCCTCTTTGCAAAATAAGTATACATATACACACAGACACAAATGCCTGTATGTGTGAACGTATACATACCTATAAAAAGTTCATATATGTATATGTTTATAGTTTTTACACACACATACACACACACCATTCTTATCTCCTCTTCTTTCTTACATAAAAGGTAGCATACCATATATACTGCTTTGTAATTTGCTTTTTCCACTTAACCTTACATCTTGGAAATCACTATGAATTAGTCATAGAGATCATCTTCATTCTTTTTGTCAACTGTGTGATAATGGTTCCCTATTGTATAAATGTGTGGGTAAGTTACACTTTATTTACTGTCTTCTATATTTGGCATTGACCTTGTTTTCAATATTTTGCTATTATAAATAATGTCTCAGGGAATAAGAATATGCATTTTTTTCTTACTCCTGCAAATGAGCCTTCAGGGTAAATTTCTAGTAGTGCGATAGTGGAGTAAATTGTAAATTGATTTGTAGTTTGGTTAGATATTGCTAAGTTTTTCTCCAGTAGGGTTGTAATCCTAACAGGAACACATGAAAAACTACCTGCTTTCCAACAGAATAGGGTCTGAAGGCAGGGAACTTAAAGCCAAGTCTTTCTGAATCAAAGAAAAACACGAAGGTTTTGGGGCAGAGAATCTGAGGCCAATTTGTGCTGATTTCCCAAAGCTGGAGCAAAAGGAAAACACCTGGGTGTGGGGGCAGGGAACTTAAGGCCAATTAACACAAAATTCCTAAAGCTGAACCAAAAAGAAAAAACCCATCTTCTCAGGCCTAATAACACAAAATCAAACGCTACTCTCCCTACAACCCTTCCCGTTCCACCATGTCTCAGATGAAAAGAGAGAGTGCCTTAGATTAGCCACGTGCTAAGCAAGCACCATCCCTTCATCTGCATAGGGCACCTGTTCACCTCAGCCTTTTATTAGCCACAGACCAAATCCTTCATCCAGATAAGGGATAACCAATGGGGGCCTCAAAAGGAGTACTTAAAACCCAGAAAACTTTGTAACTGGGCACTTGAGCCGCTTGCTCAGCCCCACTCCCACACTGGGGAGTGCTTTCTTGCGTTAGTAAATCCCTGCTTTCACTGCTTCATTCCTGTGTTTTGTTCCTTTTTCACTTTGTGCGTTTTGTCCATTTCTTTATTCAAAACGCCGGGAACCTGGACAACTTACATTCAAGGCCCTCCCTCCGGTAACAGCCTCACTTGTAGGGTAGGTTTGTTGAGCTTTGGAATCTCTGCTAATGTTATGGGTGAGAAATGACATGGCAGTGTATTTTAAGTTGCATTACTATTATGGGGGAAGATGAGCATCTTTTTATAGGTTTGAGGGCCGTTTGTATATCTGTTTTGTGAACTATCATTTATAGTGTTGCTTAATTTAAATTGTGTCTCTGATTTTTAATTTTTTTCCTTAAGTGGTGTGCACTTTTTTTATGCTACAGAGATTATCCTGTATCATCGATATATTTTGAAACATTTCCTCAATTTTCATTTATTTTTTGACATTATCTCCAGGGTTTTTCACCTTGCATAAGTACTTAAATGTAATTGAATTTATTATATATTTCTTTCATTGAATTTTTTCGAATCATAGTTGTTTTTTCTTCAGATTATAATTTGTTTTTTTTCTAGCAACGACAAAACTTATTCTATTTTAGTTTATTTTGGAATTTACTTTTGTATATTGTACAACATATTGGTTCAATTGCCTCTTCTTAATTTCTATCAGGTTGCCTACAAGTTATTAAAAAGTCCATTTTTCTTCAATGATTTGATATACTTTTCTAGATTTCCAGATGTACTTCATTGTTTTTGAACTATCTCTTGTGTTCTACTGGTTCATTTATTCATGTGCAGGTGGCAAAAGAGAAGTAGTTTTCATCAATTACTCAGTGACTATTAAAATTGCAAGTACTTTCATTTGTGTCAATTACTCAAACATGAAGAGAGAGACCATTGGAAACCCTAGGAAATGATCTCTATAGAAACAGTGTTAAATTCAAATCAATTAGCCTCAGTCTTTTACAGTTATGATCTCTCTGTGCTACCTGTATGTTTTGAAGACGGGGGAGACTTGTTGAAAGAGCCAATTGTTTAATTCACTTAGAATTTGAGTAGCAAGAAGGAGGATTGAAACACTTAGTATATTCCAGTCTGGTCTCTTTAAAGTTCCTTTTTTTTTTTCTTTCCTACAGCGAGAAACCTATTTGTGTCTCTGATATTATTTGCTTTGATTTGTTTTTTGATATATGTAACTTGAATATAAAATGATATACAGAAATGCTACATAAAAATGATGTCAAATGGTGTTTCAAGAGGGAAGTAAATAGGATTTCACTCAAAGGATCTTTTACATACATTTTTATTAATCAACACAAGGTGCTAGGTTATATGATTTATGCCCTCACAATATCCTCAGACACAAACGTCCTGTTGAAATAGCTTGTTGCTTTCTTTCTTTCTTTTTTTTTTTTTTTAGACAGAGTCTCCCTCTGTCACCCATGCTGAAGTGCAGTGGCATGATCTCGGCTCACTGCAACCTCTGCCTCCCAGATTCAAGTGATCCTCCTACCTCAGCCTCCTGAGTAGCTGGGACTACAGGCGTGTGCCACCATGCCCAGCTAATTTTTTTGTATTTTTAGTAGAGATGGGGTTTCACCATGTTAGCCAGGCTGGTCTCAAACTCCTGACCTCAGGTGATCCACCTGCCTCAGCCTTCCAAAGTGCTGGGATTACAGGCATGAGCTACCATGCCTGGCCACTTGATGCTTTTCTTAAATTCACATTAATTTGTTTGTTCTTGCTAATTTTAAGAGAGCCGAAAGTCTGATTGTTTCAATTTTTTTATTGTCTTCAAATTTTTGTTATTCTATTTTAAATAGCAATACTATGATTTTAGAAAAATATACTGAACAATATTTACATTTGTTGAGTTCTGTGCAATATTCTGCATTGAGAATGTTGACCTGGATTAACCCGTGTATGGTAAATGCACCTGATAGCAATAATGTAAGCGTACCCTGAGAATGACCCTGTATGGCAGTCTCCTTAATGTGTGCTCCAAGCTAGGAATCTGGGAGTGGCCAGCCTGGAGATTTGTTCCTTTTCTATTTGGAACATCTGAGCCCCTGGCTTGTCCCATGGCACACAGGCCATGTAGGGGATCAAGGCATCGAGTTTGGGGTTCCCTCAAAGTTGCCAGGTGTGGGTTGTTAGGGAAAGGGTGCTAAGTGAGAATGCTACCTTAACTGCACATCTTTTGCAAGTGGTTGTGGTTCTCCTGCCCAGTCCATCATCACTCGACTCTCTCCCCTGTATGTAAACCCCCAATAAAATCCCATGTCTCATTTGCTGTCTCTGGGTCTCTTCTTCAGCCTCTTGCACTAGGTGCCATCTCTACTAGAGTCAACAGGGATTTGGCACAACAACCACACTGCACACAAGGATGTTAACTATCATAGTTGGTCCTGATATTGCTTTTTTTTTTTTTTGTAGAGATGGGATCTCACTGTGTTGCCCAGGCTGGTCTCAAATTCCTGGCCTCGAGTTATCCTCCCGTCTTGGCCTACCAAAGTGTTGAGTTTACAGGTATGAACCACGGTGGCAGCTTGATATTCTTTAGAGCAAAGCCTTCAAGAATTCTTCTCTTACATAATTTTCTAAAGTCAATAAAGAGACTAATTATTAGTAATTGAATGCACACTATGAGATGAGAATTAACACATTCTTCTAGACTGTCAACTTAGAACAGGATTCAGAAAACTGTGCCTGAAAACCAAATCCATTCATCTGCCTATTTTTGTAAATAGTTTTATTGGATCACAATAAAACTATTTGCAGTTTATTTACCCATTATCTATAGCTGCTTTTGCACTGCAAGTGCTGAGTTGAGTTGGTATGACATAGACCATATGGCCGTTAAAGTCTGAAGTTTTTACTGTCAGGCCCTTTATAGAAAATGTTTGCTGATCCCTGACTCGGAAGATACTATATATTGCAAATTGTAAGTACTATAAAGTGATATTTTACCAATTATGTTACATAACGAAACTACCTTTAAAACCTAATGGCTTAAAATGATAATTTAGTTTTTCTTATTTTGTGACTTGGTTGAGCATTTTCTGCTGCTTTCACCTGAATTGCCTGCTTTCACCTGTGTCTAGAATGTAATGGAGTTACATTCTGTTGGATAATACCTTCTGCTAGAAAGTCCAAGGTGGCTTCATATGTGCTGGCAGTTGGTCCTGACTTTCATCTAGGAGGGCTCAGTTCTCCTCTGAGTAGCTGATCATCAGTATGAAAGTCTGGCTTCTTTATACACATGGCTCAATGTTTCAAGGGAATAAAGGCAGGAAACTGCATAAAATATTGCAGTGAATATCTGTGAACTATGTCAGGGAGAAGCCAAGCTGTACTTATACTGCTAGTAGCACTTGGCACTGAACTTTGTATATGGCTTGTAGAAAGAAGAAAGGGATTGATCAAAATTATGGATCACAAAGCAGAGTTTGAAGAGGATGAGATTAACCATGACAATGGCAATCTTTAAGGGGAAACCTCTAGACGTTCCATTCCCTTATGTGTCTAAGGCTCCTAGACAAGGCCTCTGACAAAAACTGCTCGTTTGCCTGTTATGTCTTCTTTGTTAAGTGTTGATTAGAGAAGCAGTGTAGATGACGAACATTGTTTTGGCTAAATGTAGTGAACGATGAAATAATATTCTGTGTGCATGGTCAACATTAACATGTATGTTAACAAGGCACTCTGGGATGTAAACTTATAAAGGAATTTCTAACACTTGGGTTTTAACTTATTCTGTGGAATTCAGCCATCTGGTAAACTAACTGTAACATTCCAGGCCCTCGACCTTCACAAGGATGAAGTATTTCCTTTCAAGCCAGTGACTTATGAGTGCCTCTAACATTTACTTGAAAGGTCGATCAGTTTAAATTGTGCACTAAAGTAACAATCATATTTGCTTCACTTCAGCCAATTTCTTTGGGTCGGGTATCCTAAATATTTTAAAAGTCAAGTATATTGCAGCATTTTCTCTCTAACTGGGGCAACCTCAGAGATAAAAATAATAAATATAGAAAGGTTAGAAAACGGGTCTGGAGAAGCAAACTATATGCATAGATGAGATAACCTTTTATTTTAGTAAACAACTAAATTAAGACAAATGACATTATTATCTGCCTAAATCTTTCAAATTCATTATCATTTTTAGAGTATTTGGCGTAAGATAATTTTTAAAGTATCTGCCTACATAGACATTCATTTTAAATGAAGCTTGAAGTTAATTTTACTGGAGGTTGGCAACACTCAGCATCCTCGTTTTCATAATGCATTTTAATGCTATGCTAGTTTAAATGACTCTGTGCTTTCCAAATAACAACTTGACACGTGGTCGTTTTTAGCATAGGTCGATTTTCGCGTTCTTTGCAAGGGAACTGTACCAACCATGCAAAATCAAGATTTGACAAAAAATTGTCCATCTAAATTTCAGACTTACCATGTTAAATTTAGAATCTTGCATTAAAAATTGTATGAAGGTAAGAAAGTATTTAAACAGTTTTCGTTCAAGATATTATTACCTTTTGCTTAATAAGAACCTATTAAGTATCAAGCATTCATTCTACAGGACCCTTTAATTGCTTTATTTATTTTGTCCTCACAATAACAATTTGAGGTAGGTCTTAATATTCTATTTGCACAAAGAAGGAAGTTAAGTAAATAACTTGCCCAAGTTAAGTGATAGTCTGACATAGTTTGACTCTGTGTCCCCACCCAAATCTCATCTCGAATTGTAATCCCCACGTGTCAGGGGAGGGGCTTGCTGGGAGGTTACTGAATCATGGGAGTAGACTTTCCCCTTGCTGTTCTCCTGATAGTGAGTTTTCATGAGATCTGGCTGTTTGAAAGTGTGTTACTGCCCCCTTCCGTCTCTTTCTCTTCTACACCTTGCTAAGGCATGCTTCCTTCCCCTTCACTTTCCACCATGATTGTAAGTTTCCTGAGGTCTCTGAGTTGTGCTTCCTATTAAGCCGGTGGAACTGTGAGTCAATTAAACCTCTTTTCTTTGCAAATTACCCATCTCCGGTAATTCTTTTTAGTAGTGTGAGAGCAGACTAATACAGAGTCAACATTCAAAATCAGACCTTCGCTATTCTAAGGCCCACACTGTGTATGATCCACTACATGGTTTCACTGTAATCATGTGTTCAGCCATGTTATGTGTTATCCTAAGTGAGGAACTGATTTGAGAGTCAGATGATGGCACATCTTTTAAATTTCATAGAATGATGAAGTGGTTACCCAGAGACTTCTGAGGCATTTGTGACACTATAGAATAAGTAGCCTTTAAGTTTGGCAGGTAAAGCCTTTTGCCTTTACAACTTCATTATGTATCCTATTGTCTGAAATTGTTCCACGGGCAGTTTTATTTATATTATTTTAAGAGTATGGTGCCACTAATAAAGAAATGAGCCTTAGGTATAGATTATCTTATTATAAATACCAAAGCTATCATTTACTAGCTATACTAATTATTTAGGTAGGCCATTCCAACTCTCTCTGTCTTGGGTTATTTGTAAAATAAAATAATAATTGCAACAAACTCATTGAGTTTTGGTGAAGATTTAGGGAGCACTATATATGGAATTTGTTGTCACTAAATATGAATAATCATGATCCTTTTGTTGCTTTATTTAAAAGTTCGTAGTCATGTACTATAGGATGTCTATTCATTCTTATATAGTATTAGTTTTTTTGTCTCCCCTGAGTATTAGGAGCAGGGATCAAACCTGGAGAAGTGCATAAGCGAAAAAGTTGAGAATACCAGAGTGGTATAAACAACTGGATAAGAAAGAAACTTTTACTGTGGTATCAAGATATTCATGTTTATTAATTACAATAGCCATTGTTAACTTACCTAGTACAAATAGAACATCTGTACTTTCTTGCCAAAGCCAAACACACAAAAGCAAGATTGCTTTGCAGCTCTTGAAGTTGGGATGTCTGATTTGAAGTGATATTTGAAATAGATCCTGAGGAACATGAAGGTAGAAGGAAATAACTGCATGTAAACCTGAAGATGTTGATTGAAACCTGATTGTGAGACCCTCTAATGTCAGGTTGAAGGCTTCGTATTTTTCCTGGGGAAATTGAAAAGTCATTTATATAAGAGCTATCAGACACCAGTGTGGATTCTGTCTTGAAGACAGGGACTTACTGAATGACAGAGTAGTTAGGGGGATTTTGGAGGTGCTACTGGTGTGCAGTGACAGAGATATGAACTTAGACTGATGTAAGAGCCTATTGATAAATTTATTCAGCAAAAATTTACAGAATAATTTGTATATGTCCAGCATTATTTGGGATAAAGCAGCAGACCAAAAAGAAGGAAGAGACAGGTGTGACAGATAATAGGATATGGGAGCTGTTACAATGTCTAAGAAGTTTCAGGTCTGAATAACTGGGAACAAAATGGAAATTTCTTAAAGATAATTAGAACTAATTCTAGAAAAAAGATGTAGTGTTAGTCATGTTTATGTGGCAAATATGGTTTTGGATGGGAATTGTCGATTGTGCATTTGGAGCTCTGGGTATAGAAAGACATTTTGTCTAAAATTATAATTTTTAAAGTTGTTTAAATTGAGAATTGAAATAGTAGCAATATAAGTAACTATATAAAAATAAAACTGGAAGATCAGGCATGAATCCATGCGGAATGCCCTCATTTAGAAGGAGGGAAGAATTGAGGGAGTCTACATGAATTTGAGAAATAACAAGACACAAGACAGGAAGAGTTTGCAGGACAAAACAGAAGGAAAGCTATTCAAATGTTGTTGAGTGCTACTGACTAGCTATCTAACTTGCATCTCTGAACTTGTTTATGCATCTATATAATGGGCACAATAATACACAAAAAATGTTAGGAATTAAAGAGGTAATGAAAGAGGCAGTGTGGTTGTTGGGTAAGAGTGCTGGTTCTGGAGCCTGAAGGCCTGCAGGTTGTAATCCCGTCCCTTCCCCTCATTGACTATGAACATTGAACAGATGACAACCTTGTCATTTCACTTCCCTCTTATGTGATGAGGGGGGATGATAATAATAGCCACCCTGCATAATTATCCTGAGGTGTATATTAAATAATACATGTTAAAGAGCTATCACTTCCCTGGAACACAGTAAAATGTAAATAGATGTAGTTAGCTACCGTTAGATATATAGTGAGGGGTTGCTTTGTACAGTGCTTAACACACTACTGGGCATATACTGGGCCTCAATATGTGGTTGTTACTTATTTTCATTTAGAACAAAGAAAAACCCAATGGTTTACGAATGGAAAAACAGTAGTTTCTGACATATTTTTATGTCAGGCTTGGTTGTCTGGACGTGGAAATACTGGGCATTAAACAGGAAGACAACTGAATAGCTTTACCTCAATAAAAATATGGTATTAATTTCATTCATATATTTCAAAATTGTGATTTGGGAAGTGTGTTAATAAAATAACTGAAGGTTTTTAAAAATTGATACTGTTGGCTGGGTGTGGTAGCTCATGCCTGTAATCCCAGCACTTTGGGAGGCCGAGGCAGGTGAATTGCCTCAGCTCAGGAATTCGAGACCACCCAGGGCAACATGGTAAAACCCTGTCTCTACTAAAAATACAAAAAAATTAACCGGGTGTGGTGGTGTATGCCTCTACTCCCAGCTACTTAGGAGGCTGAGGCAGTAGAATTGCTTGAGCCCCAGAGGAAAAGGTTGCAGTGAGCCGAGATTGTGCCACTGCAATCCAGCTTGGCGACAGAGTGAGACTCCATCTCAAAAAAAAAAAAAAAAAAAAAAAAAAATATATATATATATATACTGTTAAATTGTTTTGCTATATCATTAGTGTCCAATATTATTTAATGCTAGGAATAACCATGGTAATAGTAATTATTTTGTCCTGACTATTCAGATGCTTCACACACATTTTTTCAATGATTCTACTTACCAATCATTTAAACATTATTATAATTATTTAAAAATCTGTACACTCTTAACTGTCATATAGATATAAAGTGTTCACATGAAAATTATTTCATTTCATTAATGAGAGAACTAGTTACAATAGATTTAAAGGAGAATTCATGTGCCATGTATATTTAGTCAAATAAGGAATGTTGAAATGAATTTTAAAATAGATGCAAAACCAAAAGAGGCTCTCTTATATCTACAGGCCAGTAATCGATTACATTCTAGCAGATTCAATTGAATTTGTGTTGTAAACCAAAAATAAAATTTGAAGCCCTTCAAGCAACCGAATAGAACCCTCCTCTCAGCCAAGAGCATTCTAAATTAAACTGAAACATTAGTTCAGGCCATAACACGAATGGGTTGTAGGCTTTTGTAGGAATGGGTGGTTGGACATACATCATTATCCCTTCCTCCCATTGGAATTCAGACACAGCTGACCAATAATCAACATTAAAACAGGTTTTTAAGACTGATAAAGCAGATTCTGTAGCAATAAGATAGCAACATGACAGAAGGCCGAAAATATATTTCTTTGCTGTATTTTGAAATATCCCTGCAAAGCCGTCTCTTGGGAAAATCTACATTCTGTAGAGAATCCTCTTCCATATCCAAGTCTTTCTCCTGATCCAGAAGAGAATTAACTAAGAGCCTGGCAGCTTTTTACGTCAGTAAGAAACATCCATCCTTCAGGACCAAACCAATGTGCATCATAT
The DNA here is from genome assembly GCF_000001405.40 of Homo sapiens. NCBI lineage: Eukaryota > Metazoa > Chordata > Mammalia > Primates > Hominidae > Homo > Homo sapiens. The sequence goes on along the minus strand of NC_000011.10, from coordinate 26,091,734 downwards.
ATGTATTGTCTGATGGCTTATGTCTGCCTAAAATGTATAAAGCCAAGCTGTAAAATGTAAAAGCAAGTTGAAGCCTGACCACTTTGGGCACATGTTCTTGGGATCTCCTGGGGCTGTGTCATGGGTCATGGTCCCTCATATTTGTCTCAGAATATATCTCTTCAAATATTTTGTAGAGTTTGATTCTTTGTTGACATTCTCATCAAGAATTCATACATTAAGTTTTCTATAAGTTAGTGTTGTAAAGGAGCTCAAAGATACTGAATGTTGAAGTCTCCCATTTAATCAGATATGCTACACATATTTCCATTGAAGATACCATAAAATCTTTTGGCTCATTTAAAATTATCTTACAATTTGTCCTACAGTTCACATTTTACAGACTAAGAAACTAAACACAGAGAGGTGCTAGCTTAACCTGAATCCCACAGTGATAAGAGTATGAATGGGAACTAAGATCTGACTCCAGGAACACTTAGTCTATAAGGAAGTGGTTCTCACCTATGCATCTTTTTTGCCCAAGGGCATATTTGGCAATTTCTGGAGGCATTGTTGGTGGTCACAACTTAAGTGTTCTCTGGCATCTAAGGAGTAGAAGCAAAGGATGCTGCTAAACATCAAAGTACTCAGTACAGTCCCCTGTAACAATCACTGAGCTCAAAATGTCAATAGTGCTCATGTTGAGGAAAGATTTTTTTAGGGCATAGACTTTTAATCGGCTCATGCTGAAAACCACAATTCTTTTTCATTTCTAGTTATCACAAATAAACTATTAAGTGAAACAACACATTTTGAAATAACACATGCCAGCTAACATTAAAACTGTTAAAGCACTTGTGAGCTTTCTTTCCTCCATGGTTTCACATCACTTAAATATAAACATTTTCCTTAGTGATATTCTTTATTATGTGTGCCGGCCCTGTGGAGAGTATGCGATGCTGGAGGAGCTCTTTGCAGCAGCATGGGAAGAAATCACAAAGGCACAGACACCAAAGGGAATGCTGTGCTGTTTTCAGAAATTTATTTTGAATAAAAAATACATGAAGCACAATAGGTGAGCCTGCCTTATGTGATTTAGTAACACATCATTTAACTCTCTCTCTCTGCCAGAAGAGGTTGGTAAAATTGCATAGACAGCTATCATAAAGAAAATATTATATGTGGACTTGATATTTAACCCCTTCTGAAGGCCTATAATGTGTTTTAATGTGTCCAACTAGATCTATTACTTTAAATGGAACACATTGTGATAGTTTTACACTATTATTTTCTTATTTGTTCTGCAAACTAAAGTTGTGACATAATTTTATATTATTATTCTATAAATGCTGTAAAATTGCCCAGGTACCTAAAGAGCAGCTCCACTTCTTTTATCTTCTATCTTGTTCTCCATGAAGGTATATATCTAGTTTATGTCCTACGAAGATCCAACTCAGTCAATACCCACAGGTTTTTATTGTCTCTGATAGAAAAAAGTGACTGTCGAGTTTTTGACCAGGTTTCAAGGTCATATCCTAGTATCATGTCTTGCTTTCCTTGTTTTGTTTCTCTCATCCCTATAAATGTCTTCCTTCAGAGATATTTGTGTCTTCCATCGTGGCCTTCCCACCAGTGCCTGCTGTTTCCTAATAGTTACCTGCATGACTATGTGACCCCTGGCTACCCTAATTTTCAGGTTTCTTAAGCTTCTTAACTTCCCCTACAACCTTAACTGTTCAGATCCCCATGCAACAAGTTGCTCCAACTACTATGACTCTAACTTTGTCTTTGGCAGAGACAGGAGAGCAATGCTTGGCATTTTGAAGGAACAGTCCAGACAAGAGATGAGGGTGGCTTAGATGTGTGTTGTAAATGTAGGTGGCAAGAAACGGTCAAAATCTGGATATATTTTGGTGAATTTAAATTTTGAATGCATTTACATGGTAGCACCCGTGTAACTTAAGTACAGATTGAATGTGGGATATGAGAAAAAGATATCAAGAATGACTGCAACATTTTTGTCCTGAACAAAGAGGAGAATGAAATTGCCATTCACTGAGGTTATAAATTTTTTTCTCTATCTACAATTTATTTTGTTATGTCTATGTCCTAAAAAGAATAATTAAATATAATATTGCCAATTATACCAATTAGTTTTAAATTAGCAACTTATGAAGGTTAAATTGATGTATAGTTGAGAAAAAGCAGGTGAAGGGGATTGATACATTAAATAGGTACGTGATTTATTTTTTCATTTTTTTGTGTGTGCAGCCAAAACTTGTGAGATTCAGAGAAAATATATTGCAAATTCTCCTGTTCAGAATAGAATAATTAAGTTCAACATTTCTAAAAGCTGATCCCCAGAAATGTTAATAAATATATACAGCAGGAGCAGCAGCAGGGGCAAAGAATATAATTCAATAATTTGGAATCACTGCTTAAACTGCAAAAGTTATCAAAGCCAGGATATATTAGTAAATTTTGTAAACCTTGAAAAAGGAGGCATTATATGTGTCATTTCTGAGACATATTTATAGTACACTATATTTAAAAAAATCATGGGAGAAGTCCTCGGCAATAATCTATTTGATAATAACAAAAAGATGAAATATAGAATGCTTATGGAACAAAATGGCAGAAAACCAAAATGGGATTGCTATCATGACGGGGTTGCTATCATGACTTTCTCGTGATACATAGTTGTATTATTTTAAAAGTCTTACAATGGTCTGAGACCTATTCACTTTAATTCCATGTTAAACAACTCATCTTTCTTACTAATATTAAAATGAAACAATTTTGGCATTTTTTTCTGTGAAACATGGAAATGTGTTTTAACCACAGGAGTTGAGGATAGGAACATCTTTGTGAACTGTGGTGGAAAATTAAATTTCTTGGAGGAGTCTGTTGACAATGAAGAAATAGAATCTACATCAGTTAAGAACTGTATTGAGCTGCAAGAAATCAAAAGGACCATTCTGGTAGCTTAAACAGAAGAGGATTATTTTTCTCACATGGAAAAATCTGAATGGAAATAATTAGTATTCATTCAGCTACTCAGTGATGACGTTTGGGTCTCTGGGTTTTTTCTTCCACTCTATTATAAATCAACAAGGACCAAAGTCTATGCTTTCTGATTCTACATTCAATAATCTTTAGACTACAATATCTAATTGTCTCAGAGTGAGAGGGTCACTTAGTCAGCTAATAGGTTTTAGGAAGTCATAAATCATTTTGCTTAGAAAAATAAAATGTGAACAAATAACAAGTATGTGCACATACCATTGGCAAACCAAAGTTAATTCCTTCTTAGTGACCCATGATATCATTAGAGAGTTTGGAGACATGGAATTTGTTTTTCAAAAGTCTTTACTACCAAACCCTCATAAATCGAGTTGGGAAATATATTTTCATTGTCTCCAGAAAGATCTGATTTCAAGTTCAAAATATTCTACATATTAAATATATATAATTTTCCTTGGATTATTTAATACCTCTGAAACTGTCTAAATTGGGGATAATGCATTTCAAGAATAATGTGAAGACTAGTTTTTTACCTATGGAAACTTCAAAGCAAATGACCCACCTATCTTATTATGCTGTGTTGACTTTCTGAATACATGCTGCTGCTGATGGTGTTAACTGCTTCTTCATTGATCACTAAAAAACATAGGCTGGCAGATTGTGTTTTTTCCCTCCAAGGCACTACAAGATTTCTTGTCTTGCATGTTCTTCCCAAGACTTGTCAATTCATAACCAAGATTTGCAGTCTATATTCCCTTTATTTGAAATTGATCAGGACTTTTTGAAGTCTCACCAAGTAAAATACAGTGACAGATATTCCATGACTTCCACAACTGCATCACAAAAGGTGATACGGCTTGTTCATGGCACAGCGTCTCTCTTGGGACACTCACCCTGGCAACTTATCTTCCAAGTAATGAGGAAGTCCAGAAAACACTAAGAGCCATCTTGTCTGTGTTGCACATAAGGCCATGGCCAACAGTCAGACTCAACTACCAGACATGTGAGTGAACAAATATTCTGATAATTTCAGTTCCCATTTTAGAGGCACTCCAGCTGTAGCTGGGTAGATTTAAAGAGAACCTGTTTTCATTGAGCTATGCCTAAATTGTAGCTTCATAAACACAATTATATTGCTGTTATTTTAAGCCACAAAATTATTCAATGGATTACTACAGAATAACAGGTAATCGGAAGGGTGATAATATTCATCAAAGTACTGAATAATGAATAACAAAATCCTGAGTCCACAGTTGTCTCCGTAACACATTTTTTTTCAATTTGAAAGATTATGTTTTTGTTTCAGTTTAATCATAAACTCTCTGAATTAAGTAGCTATGTATTTAAATATCATGTTTAACTGTGATTCTGCCTAGTTGGGGGTGGAATGTGACCCCCATTGACAGCTGATATCAAACAGAGATTGAAACAGACCTTCCTAGAGGAATTGAAACCTTACCACAGGTGTCACAGCTAAATTCAGCATCATTTTAAAACATAATATGATTTGGTAGGAGCCAGTTTCCTTTTTCATGTTTTCATACTTAAGCAAGTTATTTTTAAAATAATATATATGGTTATGTGAAATTCATGTTTCTTTATTATCTAAAAAGACTTTAAAAACCACACTATTTTATTTCTTCTCTTGAGTAAGCATGACAATATTTTTACACATATTTCAAAAAATAACGTCTTAATCTATTCTTTTTCATTTGATCTAAACATCCCTTAATGAAATTTAACTTTTCATCTTCAAAGTGTCTCTGTAATAAAGTGTCTTCACAATACAATGTTAGACCTGAAAAAAAAGAAATGCTATATAAAAGGATGTAATCACCATGACTTAAGGGGATGAAAGCCTTCTCAAAGAAAGGATATTATTCCAATCATTGTAACTACCATTTGTAGTGTATTTATCATGGGCTTTGTTTGTTGCTAGGGGGCTTCAAAAAATTATCTCCAATCCTCAATGAAAAGTTGTCAGTTTAGTATGATTTTGTTCCTTTTATATGGAGAGAGAGGAGCTCAGAACATTTAACTCACCTGCTGTTATATAATTAGTAAATGGCAGAAGCAGACACATGATCATATTCTATATTTTATACAACTAAAAATATAAAACAGATGCATCAATATAAATCTAACTCTACCCTTTAATAGAGAACACAATATGTCCTCCTCCTTGGTTGCAAGCGACATAAAACCTTTTTAAAAATTTGTACAGTTTGAAAACTACCATGCCTATCTTCTAAAATGTGTAAATACAACATGTTTATATCCTGTGGATCTGTTTAATACTTGGTCTGAGTTGGAACCTGAAGTATTACTTCCAGATCATTATAAAACATATTTTACCAAGCTATTATAATAATACAGAGAACATCAAGCACCTATAATCTCTTGAAATAAGAGATATATTGCCTTTCCAGAAGGACAATTCACTGAACTAAGTGGAAGCTAAGAGGTCTCCACTTAGCTTCCACTTAGATGAAAGATGAAAAACAAACTCATCTGTCCTTTCATTAAGTGAGATGTCATGAGCTGCTTAAGGCCATTCAGAAAGAAAAAATATACTAGAAGCTCTCAGAGAAGAGGCCTATTTCCTCTCTGCTCTCTACTCTTGTTTATTCGGTCCCACTGGGCCAGGCAGCATTTATTATGGAAGCAAACCCAATTTATTACTGATGATTTTTTAAATTGCTCACTAAGGGCAATTGTTGAGGTACTAGGAAATCCAATTCCATATTTTCCAAAATGCCTGAAGCTAAACTTATGATTAATTCTTTTGATTATCACCAAAGATGCATTTTTAATATTTCTTCCAACATGCAGCAGTCAGTAGAGAAAATGCTTTCAGAAAACAAAAAGAAAAAAAATACACACACAAACACACACACATAAATATTACAGACTCATTGATTCTGAGAACTAAATATTGATATTAATTTTATAGCTATTTTTCCTTAAAATTTTAATAAACTATACAATTACAGAAATAACAGACTAATATTAGCATTTTTAGGGAAAAATTATGCTGATATTTAAACATGGATGTTAAGTATTCAATTTGTTTTCTAATACAATTTTAAATAACTGAAATCTCAAGCTATAAAATCCATATAATTCAGGAAAGACAGATTAGTAGTAATCAAGGTACAATTAATACCTACTGCACCTCTAAGAATAGTGAGAGTCCTCATATTTTTAAATAAATCTCTTCTCTCGAGACTTCTAGGATGCAACTACTACAAACCATCTGACTCCTGCTCAACAAGCAATTTTACTTTGTTTTGTCAATGAACTAGTCAGTTGGAAGTTGGTAAGAAATTTTTTCAAAGGTAAAACTGAATGATCTGTTTTCTACCCCTCAAAAACGTATTTCAGAACACAAAGAATGTTGCATTAACATATACAAAGTCTATTTCTCATATGAAGCTCTTATTGCTACATATTTCCCAAGAAGAAAGAAGGTTTCTCTCTCATCCCTTTAGGCTATTTCCTGACAAAGCCCACTGGAACTTAAAATTCATGCATTTATTTGATATGTTTATTATACATCCCTGTATGCCTGGATCTGATTTGGTTTCTTCTCAAATCGATAACTTCTGCTATTTGGTGTACCCCAGGGCTTAGTCCTTGGACGTTTTGTCTTTCCTAACTACACCTACTCTGTAGGTGATCTCTTTGAATACTATTTATGGTTGATCAATCCAAATGCACATTTAATGCCTATTCTTCTTGTCTGATTTCTAGACAGGCGTAGGCAACTCTCCATTCTTTGGGGTGTTGTATTTTATCACCTGGGCTAAACTGAAATTATGTCTTCAAAATTCTTTTCCCAGTATGTGTCCAGGTTAGTGTTAGCAAAATAGAAATTTGACTGAGAATTGGAAAGTGAAATGAAACAATAGTCATTATACTCTAAGATGCATGTACAGTTGCTTATCCCTTATTTCTGTTTAGTTTCAATGGTTGCAGTTTACTAGTAGTCTAAATATATTAAACAGAAAATTACAAAAATAAACAATTTGTACATTTTAAACCATGTGCTGTTCTGAGCAGCATGATGAAATCTCCTGTTGTCCTGCTCCGTCTTGCCTGAGATGTGAATCAAACCTTTTTGCCTCATATTCATGCTGTCTATGCTATCTGTCCTTTTGCCACTTAGTAGCTGTCTTGGTTATCAGATCGACAGAATGTGACAGGCTTTGTGTTCAAATAACCCTTATTTTACTTAATAATGGTCCCAAAGCATGAGAGTAGTGATGCTAACGTTTCAAATATGACATAAAGAATTTCTAAAATGTGCCTTTTAAGTGAAGAGGTGAAAGTTCTCCACTTAATAAGAAAATAAGATCATATGCTGAGTTTGCTCAACTCTATCATAAGAATGAATCTTCTATCCATGAAATTTTAATGAAGGAAAAAGAAGTTTGCGCTAGTTTTGCTGTTGCGCTATAAACTGCAATTGGCCACAGTGTATGATAAGTGCTTAGTAAGATGGAAAGACATGCAATTTGTGAATGGAAGACATGGACAGAAAATGTGTTCCAACTGACAGCAACTTTCACCAGATAGCACTGAGTCTATATGAAAGTCTTCAGCAAGTGATCCACTGAAGTGAGTGACACCAAGCCACGTCCTGTAGATAAGGTATACACAGATTTAGAAGCACAGATGGTCAATATTGCTTAATGTTATATCACGATACCTACAACATTCTCCTCACTTAATGTCATCATGTAAGCATTGAATCATCTCACATCACAGGAAGGCTGAATACAGTACAATAATTTATTCTGAGATAGAGATTACATTCACATAACTTTTATTACAGTATATTAGGATTGTCCTATTACTGCCATTGAAAGTAATGACAAAAACAATTCCTTTTTTTTTTTTTTTAAGTTTCAGGATACATGTGCAGAATGTGCAAGTTTGTTACATAGGTGTACATGTGCCATGGTGGTTTGCTGGATCTATCAACCCATCATCTAGGTTTTAAGCCCCGCATGCATTAGGTATTTGTCCTAATGCTCTCCCTCCCCTAGCCTCCCACCCTGCGACAGTCCCCAGTGTGTGGTGTTCTATTCCGTGTCCATGATTTCTTATTGTTCAACTCCCACTTATGGATGAGAACATGCAGTGTTTGATTTTCTGTTCCTTAGTTTGCTGAGAATTATGGCTTCCAGCTTCATCCATGTCCCTGCAAATAACATGATATCATTCCCTTTTATGGCTGCATAGTATTCATGGTGAATATGTACCACATTTTCTTCATCTAGTCTATCACTGATGGGCATTTGGGTTGGTTCCATGTCTTTGCTATTGCAAATAGTGCAAAACAGCAATTACTTATGTACCAGCCTAATATTTATCTTAACTCTTGTATTATTGTCTGCTAGAATTTAAGCGTCATGAGTGTTGGGTTATTGGCTAGTTTGTTTAGGCATAGTTCTCTGGCATATAATAGGGACTCAGAAAATACTTCTTGGTTGAAGGAAAGAGTGCTAACTTTAATAGCCTAAAATTTTACAAAATGTATTGATATTTCTTCACTATATTAGAGGAATTCTATAATGAATGAACTGTTTCTACTGTGTGCTAGACCCATAAACATACCTATGTCTACTTCATCTGTTGGGATGAACCATATATGGTTGCCAACATTCTTTTTTTTGACCAAATCACAACTTGATATGGGCATTTTATATGGATTAATCTACGTGTAAAATGAGATCCAGGAAAAATGAACAATAATCTGGAGAAAGCTGATTGATTTCTCCACTGACTGTCCAATGATTCATAAGATTCGGAAGTATAATTCCCACTGTCTGTACTTATTTGTATAACTGCTGGTAACTTAATTTAAAAAAAAAATGCACTGTCAATCATCCCGTAATCTAACTACACAGGATTAAGCTGCTCCTCTGTAATTATATGTAAGTGAAACATTAGCATGGATAGCTTAGTGAAAAAGCTGTGGACTCCACTGTAATTTTGCATCATCATAAAAGATAATCATTTAATGACGACTTTTTAATTATAAAACTACAAAAAAAATCCTGCCTTGTGTACCCACAAGATGGATAATTTAACATCTGGCCTGATTCTCACATAGCTTTTATACCTATTTCTTGTAGAAATGTATATATGACTAGTGAAGTCAATATTCCATTTGCTGTGTAGCTCTAAGAGGTTTTGGAAAAGGGAGGAAGACATTATGTGTTTTAATTTTTCATTGGAAATATTGGATTAATGCTTTGTGGACTATCAAATTTTGGGAGAGATATTCAATGTTTGTGAGGGAATCTGCACTACAGGAGCTCCATTATCCAAGAATGCTAAGCATTGAAGACCTTGCTATCCCAGGATTTCATTATTCAGAGTCTTCACAAATCAAATTGCCCAGGGTCCAACCCGAGTCAGTGGAATAAGACTTTTTTTTTTTTTTTTTTTTTTTTTTTTTTTTGCAACAAGTGGAAGAAATGCATTCTCTTCACAGGTGCTTAACATGAAGCTCTCTGTCTAAATCTGGAGAGCCCACCTGACTCTCCTTTGGTATACGAGGTTCTTGGTAGTGTGAGCAGTGTAAGGATGGCAACAAGAGGAGCTCTGGATCTCCGGCAATGGTAAAGGGGTTGCATTTGTATGTGTGTATTTTTCAGTGAGAGAACCCATAGCTTTCATCAGAGAAGATGGATGAAAATATAAAAATAAAAGGTTATTGACCACTGATCTAGAAGAGAACTCTAGTGGGTTTTAAGAAGAAAACCAATTTTGGTCCAGCTCTTGTGGCTATAAATCTCTCTAAAATAAATTATTCCATCTTCTTGCTTCATTAAGTTCATTGAAGTGAAGATGATGGGCTATTTCATAATGTGATAGTGCTTCAGGGTCATCATTCTGTAAATGGATTCTTATGCCTGCCAGCAAATGAAATAGCAGTAGAAGTTTGTATCTCATATATAGTGAACCCAAGACATGTCCAAGATGTTTGTGCATAGTTTTATCACTGTGATTTACTTTATTTCTTTTTTGCTTGTCTTATATTGTGAATCTTAGCAATTTTAATAGATAGGTGAACAAGGAACATTTTATTAGGCAAAAGACCATCTATAAAATATTCTAATATTTCTTAATTAGCATACATATATAGTAAGGTTTGTGTATAGAGTTCTAAAATCACGTATGTATTGAATTTATAATATTTTCCTAATGATATACTAGGTTCTACAGTAGAATATTAAAATGGTTAAATTTAACTCATACAAAATAATCCTTGTTATTCAGAAATGTAAAGATTTGTATTTGCATATTATATAGTAGATGCTATATCATACCATATAATATGGCATATTTATGAAAAATAATTTAATTTAAATCATTACCAAGCAGATATGGATAAGTATTCCAATAAAATAAAATGCAATTAAATGCTATATGTGTCAAATGAGGAAAACATCCTGTCCAGCCGTGACCACCAAGGACTTTAAAAAAACGTAGGCTTTAAAAGGAATGAGGGCATAGGAGCTTAAATCTATCTGCATACAACCAAGAAAGCAAAATAAAACAAAATTGATGTCTCCAAGTTCCATCATGCTAAAAAGTGTTTTATTTATAATGTGAATACAGTTATATTTAATGGTTGTAACTGAATACAGTTTCAAACTAGCTTGTTTGCAAAGACTATCTTTGCAATTTCAAAAAAAAAGATATGAGTAAATTCTTTTAGCAATCATTTGGGCAGTCTCTCCTGTTTGATATAGCCAGAGTTCAATATGCAAAAAATAAATGTGAGAATATAATCAGAAATAATGACAACAGAAAATCTCTACTTTGCAAGGCCAGATAAATTTTACCCATAATTTCACTGGTTAATCATAATCCTTGGTTCGCAGCACAGTTTCAAGTTTGAATCTTCATTGCTCTGTTTTATGTAGTTATTTTTAATAGTATAATCACCAGGAAAGGCTAAGAACTACAAGAATTCCTTGTAGGACTCTCATTCACAATGTATAAATATGGAAATGGAAGGTCATAGAGGTGAAGTAACTGGCCAATGCAAAATAGCTGGTAAGTGTTGAGAATGGGATTTGCACCCATTCTGCCTGTCTGCAGAATTAGTGCCCGGCTGTTAAGTGAAAATCTTATTGTGAATATAAGTCAGTGTCTTTTTTTTTCTTACAGACTTACATTAAGCTTGATTGAGGATTGAGTACCCTTTTTATCTCTTTTCTTCTAATATAATTTCAACCACAGTCAACATTTATCCTGTTTTGACCTGTTCTTTCTTCTGCAATGTATAAAACCTTCCATGCTTTATCAGGTTAAAACGTAGATTTATTTCAACCTTGAAGAAACTTAGTTTTAAACTGTGCACTAATTTTTGCTGTTGTTTAAATAAATTGATCCATCATACCTGGTCCCTCAAAACTGTATCAGAACCCTCTGACCTTATTAGGTTTGACTAGCTTTGAGTTGTCCCACCTTTCTGGACCAAACCCATGTATGCCTCACATGCAATGATTAATGTCTTATGTCTCCCTAAGACATATAAAACCAAGCTGTAACACAATCATTTGGACACGTGTTCTCAGGACCTCTTGAGGCTGTGTCACGGGTCATAAAAATCTCTTCAAATATTTTACAGTGTTTGGCTTTTTCTTCTCTCTCTCTCTCTCCCCGCCCTCCCCCCTCCTCCTCTCCCCCTCTCCCCCTCTCCCCCTCTCCCCCTCTCCCCCTCTCCCCCTCTCCCCCTCTCCCCCTCTCCCTCTCCTCTCCCTCTCCTCTCTCTCTCTCTCTCTCTCTCTCTCTCTCTCTCTCTCTCTCTCTTCTCTCTCCTCTCTCTCTCTTTCACAGAGTCTCGCTCTGTTGCCCAGGCTGGAGTGCAATGGTGAGATCTCAGCTCACTGCAACCCTCACCTCCCAGATTCAGGAGATTCTTGTGCCTCAGCCTCCTGAGTAGCTGGAATTACAGGCATGCACCACCACCACGCCCAGCTAAATTTTTGTATTTTTAGTAAGAGTCGGGGTTTCAACATGTTGCCCGGGCTGGTCCCAAACTCCTGAGCTCAGGCAATCAGCCTGCCTAGGCCTCCCAAAGTGCTAGGATTACAGGTAAGAGCCACTAAACCCAGCCAAGGGTTTGGCTTTTTCGATTACACTAAAATTTGGCAACTAGATGTGAGCAGATGTGATTTCTGTAAACTCTGAGCCATGCTCTTACTAGAAAGCTACTGGTCATCTTCTTCCTGTCTCTCTTTCCCATTACTTGACCTATATAACCTGATGGTGCTTGGCTATCTTCAACTGTGTAACCAATAGAAATACTGTGGGTGATGTTAGAAGATAAATTGGATTCCTAGAAAAATCCCATCAAACTTCTTTCTAGTTTCTGTAAATATGACTGTGTTAATTACTATATTGAGAGCTCTTTATGGCAGGGAAAATTATGCTCAAGTACCATTAAAGTAAGCACTATATATGTATTATATGTAATAATTCCTATGTATTTGTTATATATTTCATAAATAAAATATATATGAAACACATAAAATCTATAATATATAAGGAAATAATTTAAATTTAATATATAGGCAAGATGGTGTATGAAAGGTCCATTACAATGAGTAATCATTTAACTTAATTGTCAATATGTAAATTACTGAAGTGTGGCCCTTACTTGGAAATAGATAACAATGTTATTTAAAGAGTGCAAATGAGAAAGATTGTTATTTACTTAAAGTATTGACGATAGATTTGTGAAAATGTCTGACATTTAATTAGGAAGCTTACTGAGCTTGACAATATAACTTTGGTGTCCTTTTCCCATTACAATGTCTTTATTATGATGACTATAATGAAGGCAAAATAACACATTTAAAACAAACATATTATGTTTGACAATAACATTGTGGCTAGGATTCTAATTAACTGATAGTATCTGAATTGTCAGACTCAGACATCCAGTACAACCTTCTTTTACAGATGGGAAGCCCAAGGCTTACAGAGGTTAAGCTCTCGTTTCATGAGAGCATGATTTTTCTATCTAAACACTTTATCTCCATTTGGCACTAGCTATAAACCACAGAAACTATACGTATGGCTTCGTTTACATAGTCACCAAATATAGTTACTTGAGTTGGTGCTTAAACACTGTAAGTTTTGATTCTTAAGGTAAAGTGACTTGTGTAACGGAACACACCTTTGCATGTTAATATTTGATTGCAGGAAACATTTTTTACAAACTAATACCTGGGATATGATTTTATTTTCAGTCTAAGCTCTCACGAATTTCTCAGGGCTGTGAAGAGATTGTAATGTATGACTCACTTGTGGAAACCCCAAGAGAGTGGCATGTTATATATTTTATTATTCTATATTATTTTTAAATGTTCATTAAGACACTTTAAAGAGTAACTTAGTTTTCAAATTGGAATTGCAAAACATGTTTGTATAGGAACAAAATGTAGGAAGAAAGAAAATTGCAAACATTATATTTCTTTTTCTTAAATAAGTACTTGGAATATATTGGCACATTTTACATAATATATTTTAAAAATATGATTGGAATCCCACCATAAACACGTTTCTATTTTGTTCCACTTAATATAACACACAATCATATGTTCTCCAATCAAATATTTTTTGTAAATATCCTATAAATAGCTGCTTATTTGTATCACTGGATCCTTCCCTCAAGTTTACTGTTTATTTTGTTTTTTTAGGTTTTTTTTTTTTTTAGTTTATAGTCATTTTTGGGGGGCGGGGGCAGGTGGGCATCATGTAAAGATTTCTATTGCCAAAAAAATTGAAACTAATTTCTTTTTCTGTGACTAACGACTAGAAGAATCATCTTTAACTCAATTATGTACTAAATATTTACCTACATTTTCTTATAGTTATTTTTTGTGACAAAGTGAATTTCTAAACTGTATACACAATATTGGTAAAAACACCTAAAAGTTTTTTTTTTATATTTCTTGAGAGAATTTAAATACTCAAACAACTCTACTTATCACTAAAATATGACTAGGTTGACAGGCTTGCTTACCCCATTAGAGTTTTTAAAACAAATATTTGGGTCAATCAAATATTCTGATTAATACAAATTCACAATTTAGCCCACTTCTTTTCTTTCTTATCCTGTACAAATAAAATATTTTTATTCTCTTAATAGCTAGAGATTGCAATCCTTCTGAAACCCTAGATGATTTATTTTCTTCAGTATTAAACTCTGAAAATTTATTATTTTTCTAGGGTTTTGAGTTTATCATTTTGAGGATCAGTTCTCATTGTGATGGACTCAACTTCTATAGTTCAAGGAGACTGAGCTGAATGTCTGTTGGTTCTAATAGATTCAATACTTCAGTTTATGGGGAATTATTTGCCTCAGTTCTTTCATCTTTAAAATCATACTATCTGCCTCATGGGTTTATTGTGAAGAAGGAAGAAGTCTACGTGTGGAAAAGACTGAGGATATGATTAGCATTCATTTTTATTAGCTACTTTCACAATTATTACTGTTTCTACCAAATGTGAAATTGTGAAAAAAATTACATATTGTCATCAAATGGTTTGTTTATATCTGTTAAAAGAACCAGTGAGAGGTGCTAGGGTCATGTTGCGAAGGTAGTTATTAATTAGTGGTTCTAATTTACTTGTTCCTAAAGTTTACTGATCTTCCTCCCTACCTTTCATCTTTTCTATTTTATGCAAGATGTTAGATTCTTAAATGTTATCATGAGACAGAAAAAGCAGGACTTTGCATATAATAATTGCCCTTACTGCTCATAAAATTAGTTTCTCAGCACAACAAACTTGAGCATGGTACCCCTGGGGTATTTGTATAAACACTATCATCACTGCCTATACATGCTGTGTGTACAAAGTCCAGTTCACAGGAAGATCCTGTGACTAGAACCCCACTTCAGTGGAACAATATGTTGCATTTATTCATTCATCTTCCTTGCTCAAGGCCACTTTCCACAATTACATCTGAACCACTGAAATCAATTACACTCCTCTAACATATTAGTCCCACAGGTTTCCTCATCTGTGAAAGTTATTCAGACAAAATTAAAATTGGAATCATCTCAGTTGCTTCTCTTTCTCTCGTACTCTGCAGTGGGCGCACCAACACATCCAATCCTGTCCTAAGTTCAACACTATTAACTATCCTCTTTTCTGGATTAAAGTCTTAATTGGTCTCCCTAAATCTACCCTATTCCTCCTTAACATTGAAGCCAGAGGAATTCTATTGCAACAGAAGTTGCATATGTCACTCCTCACTCAAAACTGCACGGTGGCTTTCCTTATCATTCAGGGTAAAGTTAAGTGAAAATACTTGCAGAGTCTGAGAATGCCCTTTATGATTTACTCCTCCATTATAGCTCTGTGCTTATCTCATTCTACTCTACTCTGGAAACAAATTGCTTTGTGTTGAAAAAAAAAATCACATGTTCTTTTAAATTAGTTTATATTTTGATTTATAAGTTTATGTATCTACAAATATACACATTTTGTGTACATTTATATATTAATATGTACAATATGTATGTTATATATAGCTAACTTCATAGATTATTTTTTAATGATAATCATGTTTTTGACTCTGAATCCTTGCAATCCCATTTGACAAGATTAGAATTCATTTCACCGTGGTTATTCATTCTCCACCAATCCTTATTCCCTAGGAAAAAATTCTATATCCACGCCTTA
Source organism: Homo sapiens (assembly GCF_000001405.40). Taxonomy (NCBI): domain Eukaryota; kingdom Metazoa; phylum Chordata; class Mammalia; order Primates; family Hominidae; genus Homo; species Homo sapiens. The sequence continues at coordinate 26,076,008 of NC_000011.10, read as the reverse complement.
AAATAAGGAATTGGAGAAATCTTGGGGATGTGAGCTGACGTAGAAATTATTTTGGGTCAGAAATTAAATGTCATGTTAGAGCTCAGACTACAAGTTAGTTATCATACTTAGAATGTATAAGGGGAGATATCCATTTGGCCACATATATAGTTTCAGGTAATAGTAAATGGAACAAAACAATTGTCTGTACCTTAACGTACCACTATTCAAGTAGACCTCTTTAGTCAAAACTCAGAAATTAATTTCTCACAAAATATCTTTATTCCTCATACACATTATCCTCACTCGTGACCTAATCATCTTTCAAAAGCATCACTTCTTAATACCATCCATTGAAGGTTAGGTTTTGACATATGGATTTTGAAGGGAGACAAACATTCAGACCCTAGCAATTTATTTCTTAATTCTTTTATCTCTATGTTATGATTACACCTTCTACTGGATTTCCAACTAAGCACACTCCTAATTGGGTCCTAAAGGGGCCTTCACTACTTTAATATTCCATAACTTACACATTCTTGTTTAAGGCTATGTATCTTTGTGTGTACTTTTTTGATATTTTTCTATTATAAATGCGTAGGGTATTCAGTTAATCATTGTTGGTTACTTAGGCAACTTTTTTCAAAATTAAACTATTTTATGGTATAGTTTACCACAAATCAAGAACCTTATTTTTCATTTTTTAATTCAAATTTAACTTTTAAAACCACATATTTTAGTAGAACATAATGAGGTTGTTGAGGGGAGCTCTAATATTGTTTCTATGTAAAATATATAAAACAATAGCAAGGATAGTCTGGTAAATATATTTAAGCTATATTTTTACATGACATTCAGAAAGCTACTTAAATTCATCTTCTGCCATTCGAAGGGCAATGCCAACATCTCTATCATATTCAATCCATCAATCACCTATCATATTGATTTGTCGAGGTAAAATTAGGATAAAAATGCATAGACTTCTTACCATGGACTTCTTTTAACTTCCTCAACTGTTTTTAGCCTATAATAGGAAAAATAAATATATGACCACCTTTTGTTTAATTTGTAGAACACATGTGCTTTTTAATGTCTTTTTCATGATGAACTCAACAGTCTACTCAGTACCTTATTTGTCAAATATATCTGAATACACTGTGCTCTGTGATGTATGGGAAATAAAGCACAACTGGTAAATGAGATTTCTGACTTTCAGAAACTCATAATCTAGTGAAATTAATGTAATTACCAATTAAATTTCTATTAGTTATCAAAAGGGTTAGTCTCTGATTTAATTAAGAATTGTACTGGTCAGTCTCTTTTTTTATAAAGAGGGGATAGATTTGTGAATTTTCATTTTAGGGTTTCCAAACTGTTCTCTTGGTACTTAGGGGAAACTTGAGCTTACAGGTGACATAGATGCAATTTGAGAGTCCTTACTTCTCTTTGATCCAAATTTCTAAATGTGGAAACAACAGAATCTTTGATATTGTAAATAACAGGTCATCACTTAATACAGGATCTCTTTCCCAGTTAGTGGTTTTTATTCCTCCAAACAAAATGGAATTTCTTCCCCTTGTCTAAGAATTATGAAAATTTGCTTTTATTGATCCCTCCATTTTTTTAACTTGATCCAATTCCCTCCCCTCAGCATACAAATATTTATTTAGCTATCAGAACTTAATGTTTTATGCTTCTCTATTCTCTAGATCATGCAAATTTATGTGACACTAATAATGATGTAACAAAAACAGCTACTCCTACAATTCATTGAGTGCCTATTGTGTGTGAGGTACTGAATTAAGCATTTTCCTTCTATTATCTTTAATCCTAATGACAATCCAACAAAGTAAGTATTATGATCTCTGAATCACAGAAAAGAAAATATACATAAGGAAGATGAAAGACATTCACTTTCCCAAGCTCACATAAAAAGTCATAGAGAGTTTGACCAAGTTACATCTGTCTCTAGAGACATATTATTTTCATTTAAGCAGCAATCTCCTTTTGTCAGGTTCTGCCTTTGTTTCTTTGTAGCTCATCTCCCAGTGCTACTATGGTCTTTTCACTGCTCATCTCAACTTACATTCTGCCCTACCTGCCTGGACTCCAGTAGCAGCCTTGGGATTAGTACCTTATCCAGCAAAATATGTGGCCCAGATGGGATACCAATCTGTCCTATAATTCCACAACTATGGCCTCTATTTCAGATTCATTTCATCTAGTTTTTGAGCTGGAAAGCTACCATCTGTCAGTATGGCTGTGTCCACTTTGGACTCATTGTTTCCCTTGCAGTGATTTCTGGATTTCTTTGAATTTCTGTGAATTCCTGTCCTTGTCATGCCCTTTGTCTAATTCCAGTGCTTTAAATATGATCATCTTGTTATCTCCTTAATACCTGGATGAAAGCAAATTGCTGTGGCAGTAACAGTTTTGACGTTGTAGTCAGAGAACCTAAATTTCAATTTTATCTCTGCAACATGTTGTGAACGAGTTATTTTATCTCACTTTATTCTGAAGAGGCCTTGTGTTCCTATGTTAATCGAAATCCTGCAATGTTTCAGTGGGCCAGGTCAGATTGTTTTATTTATATCATTGTTAACATATTAACTTTTGAGAATTTGCTCCTTGTTCATAGGTCAACTTTTAAGTTACAGAAACTTTCTACTTTATAGCATCTTACTTTATATTGATTTACTTTATAATTTCCTGTTCTGATTTGTTGCTAAACAATTTTAGCAACACAGTTAACAGTAATAGGAACCCTGGGGGCTATATGTATGCTTTGGGCTATTGCCCTAACATGAAAATATGAGCTGCTGATGTTGACTGCCTGCAAATGCCTGTGGATTAGCTATGGTGAGAATAGTTTTATGGATTGCTCTGACCCTAATTTGCCCCCCTAAAAAATAGAAAAATAGAAGCAGGTGTTCAAACATGCTTTTACTAGCTCTCTTGAGATGCCATAGCTGATTCAAACATTGTCATAGTGAGTTACATTTGCTAACATTTCTCCTTTGTCTTTTGTACTCAGATGATGATCATTAATCATTTATTGCTAGAAGGGAGAGAAACATACAGTCTTTCCAACACTGAATCTGAGAGAGAAGTGGAATCTATTTTCATTTACTCTGGCCTTGAACATCTCGCTTCAAGTAATGTGAACTGAAAAGGATGCTTTTAAAATGTCAAGTTATCCATCAGATCCTAGGCAGAAGGTTAAGAGTCTAACCAGGAGTGTAGCCCTCCGAGCATTGTAGGATTCCCTTTAGTCATTGTACTGAAAGCTTGAGAATAAAGCACCTTAAATCAAACTCAGCAGAAGGCAAAGTGATGTGCATAGATGCTTGCATTACTTATGTGTACAAATGACTCTTCTAATCTGCTACGATGTGCATTTTGAGTTTAGTTTCAAAAAATGAGTGATGAGGGTACACTTACTCATTTTCAGAAATGCACAGGATCCTGATGGTGCCCAGTAGTTTATTTATTCAGATTGGCTGAGACTGGGGTCCATAGTCAAGAATTTAAAATAAATGACAAGATTTAGTGAAAATTCACAACCCCAATTTTGGATTCCTGGCCATTTTGTTCTACTTCCTTGAACTAAATGCTCATACAAATTCAGATAGATATCATTTTGGAATAAAATGGCTTGATTTCAAGGATCAAATGGACGTGAATGCAGCTTTTGAGTTAAAGTGATATAAAATGTTATATGCTAATAAAACAGAATACATATGTCAAATATATTAGCCTCGTGATTATCTAGATTGTAGAAACAAATTCTAAAAATCACAGAATTTTAAAGATTTAATGGGTCTGAGATCATTTGACCATAGATGATTATCTCATATTTTAGTTGAATAATTTGGTAGAGAAAAATTAAATGTTATCAAAACTAACCTCAAAGGTAGTGATGAAATATATTTCTTTGTATTCCTAATCTAATTTATTCTCCAAAGTGTTTATTTATAGCTATTTATAAATTTTTATTCTGGATCACTGATGTGGTACAAATATAGTGACACAGATAACATTCACATTTTAAAAACTGCAATTTTGAATAAGATGATATTACTTTTTTACTATCAATATGTTTACTATTTTTAATGATTAAAATAGTTTTACTATTAATATTTTCTCTTATTATATAAAAGTGATGTCAGATTTTCAGAGATGGGTGCAGTATTTTTGTCCTCATCTCTGGGTTTTTTTTTTTTTTACATTTTTTTCCCTGAAAATTGATACAAAGTCAGTAATACACTTATTTTCAACTTGGAAAGTTTATTATTACCTGATTCTATCTGATAGGTACAGCATAAAATATTTTGTGATTAAGAGGATTAAAAAAATAACAAATGTCAAAATTGTATAGAGAGCTTTGCATATCACAGAGCACTTTTATGAGCTTCTTACACTTGATTCTGCTGAAACCATGTGAGGTATAATTTCTACCCTCATTTTATCAATTAATTTTTTTTGAGACAGGGTCTTGCTCTGTTGCCCAAGCTGGAGTGCAGTGGCATAATTACGGTTCACTACAGCCTCAACTTCCTGGGCTCGAGCGTTTCTTCAGCCTCAGCCTCCTGAGTAGCTGGGACTACAAGAGTGCACCGCCATGCCTGGCTAATTTTTTTATTTTTTTTGTAGAGATGAAGTCTCACTCTGTTGCCTAGGTTAGTCTCAAACTCATGGGCTCAAGCAATCCCCCTGCCTCAGCCTTCCAAAGTGTTGGGATTGTAGGCGTGATCCACTATGCCCATCAATTAGAAACTGGAGGTTTTACAGTTTTAGTGACCGCACAAATCTTACTACTAATAAGTGGTAGTGACTTGTAACCACATCTTCTTCTATGGCCTGAGTGCTTTCCAGACTTACAAGGTGTTGCTTTCTCAGCATCGGAGAAAGCTGCCGTTTCTCTCCTCTACTTGTACACTTGTTTGGGTAATTTAGATTTAGTACCTTAAGATTGGAAACAGATTTTTTTAAAGTGCAGTGAACTTGATTATATCGAGATTAAATGAACTCATTGTCAACCCTTCACCTCCATTACCTCCACTAAGAGGTACAACCTCTCCATATGCCATGCATGTGCCAGCACGACCCTAGTAGCTGCAAAGAGCACTTGAATGCAGTGACTGTGGCTTTGTTCTCATTATCTGTGAGTAGTTAATGATCCATGATGCATTTTCTGCTGGCTTTGAGGTACTCAGGAGATTCATTTTCGTCCCTAAACTCCTTTCCCTTAGAAATTATTTTGAATTTTCTAAAACGTTTGGAATTTTCTCAAACATAGCACACTTTTATATTTAAAGTACAAGTTTCATTTTGGAAACAATCACAATTCATTTTGAGTCGAGTCTGGTGAATAAAATTCATGACTAAGTAGAGTCACGTTTCTTAGGTGTAAAAGAGTTTTAATCATAAGCAAATGCATTCTTCCAAAGTCACCTTGATTTGTCTTTTTGAGTAACCTAATTCAAATATTCTCCTTTTGTCACATTTTCTCATGTTCAAACTTATTTTGGGAGGGTCTGTCATGAGTATCATATTATTTCGTTATTGACCATTGCTTTGACAAGCTTCTGACAATGAGTGTCCTGCTATTTAATTCAATTCGGACACTACCCAGAGTTAGCATCAGACTCCACAGGTTTAAGAGCTCAGTCCTCTACAAGACTACCCTCACTTCAGGGGCCAGTTGCAAGTCTTAAGGGCACCCACATTTCTGACCAACCAGCTATAAATTCAGAAATTCTCATGACACCATCAATTTCAATAATATGTTAGAATGACTCACAGAACTCTATGCTGACAATTCCAGTTTTGTTATAAAGGATAAAACTAAGAAATAGCCAAATTGAAGAGACACATAGACTAAGGTCTGAGAGGGTTCCAGATGAGCTTCTGTGCCCTCTCCCCATGGAATCAGTGTATCACCTTCTCTGCATGTTGATATGCTCACCAACAGGAAAGCTCTTTGAGCTTTGGATGGCCAGAGTTTTACTGAGTTCTTACTATGTGATTCGTCAAGTGATCGAGCTCAGTTTTCATTCCTCTCCCTTCTCAGAGGTGTGGACGGAAGTGAGGTTAAGGCTAAAAGTTCCAACCCTTCAGTCATGTACTTAGTTTTTCTGGTGTGGCCAGCCCATCCTGTAAAATGATCTAAGGGCCCCTCTTGAGTCCCCTAGTTAGTATTATTTCATTTGTGGTCAAAAGGGGCTTCTTTAACAAAAGATACTTATCATTAAGAAAAAAATAAGAAATTTCCAGAGGTTTTCGAAGCCAGGAACCTAGATCAAAAATAAGATACATTTTTTTTTTATTTCAACACAACCATTGACCATTAATAATTTCCTTCTAAAAATGATTTTAAAAATCAATTGTTTATAAAAGGTAACATAAACTATAATAATTTAATTTTGGAATAACATTATATGTTAACGTATGTATATGCATGTCCATGTCTTTATGTGCTGTGAAGGAAAAAAGACAGAGGAAAATAATGCCAAATCTATTGCAGTACGGCAACATCGGTAAGTCCTAACTGGAATATCAGTGACCAGGGCATTGGTTAGATGTGATGGGTTGGATTTGCTGATGTTCAAATTGGCTAAACTTGAGTCATTGATTAACTATTATAGAAGTTCAGATCTCTTCTATTCTTACAGAAGAACGGCTCTTGCAAGGAAGTATTGTTCCTTATATATCGTATTTTGGATGGGAAGTTTTTGTTTCTCCTAAGTACCTATCTAGGAAAGCTCAAATTAATAAATTGTGTGGATGTATAAAGTACCACTCACTAAATAGCTGAAACTATCCCCACATTCATGTCTCATCCCCTAAGGCAAACTATTGTTCTGTGTAGCAGGGAGATGTGGAGGTAACACTGCATGGTAGATAGGGTTGCAGGAGGAATTCAATCATCTGTTTTCAGATCGAGCTCCATCTCTCACTAGCTGTGTTCCCTTGGGCAAGTTTCTTTCTCTGCTTCAATTTACTCATGAATAAAGTGGGAGATGACAATACTCCTATTGTCACTCAGTGTGAAAAGTAAATTAATATCTTTGAAATACTTAGCAGTGCCCAGCACATACGGATAATTGAACACATGTTACTGAAGGATTCTGAGTTTTTATATTGGCTCTAGAAAACTTTCATTGTAGCCTGTGATCTAAAATTCATTGTTGAGACTTTCTGATGGTCTCACTGAAAATCTAATATTATTCTATTATAATTGTACCATGCACATAGCTCTACAACTAAAACACAGTTTTTGCTTATTGTCTTTGTCCATCTTCTGCTATAATAGAATACCTCAGACTGAGTTAATTATAAATGATAGTTTATTTGGTTCACAATTCTGGAAGCTGAGAAGTCTAACAGCAAGGTACTAGCATCTGACAAGGGTCATCCCATGGCTGAGGGGTGAAAGGTGAAAGCAAGAGCAGGAGATAGAGAGGAAAAAAGAGCCAAACTCTCAAGATAACTAACTCACTCCTGAATTAATTTATTCATGAAGGTGGAGATTTCATGAGTCAGTGTCTCATGAAAAAGATCCTGTGTCTTAACACTGCCAGCAGAACAAACAAATTTCTAACACAAAAACTTTTGGGGAACACATTCAAACTATAACACTTATCTTCATTGGTTTAATCAGTTGTCATTGTCTAACCCCTTTTAGTTTGATAGCTCTTGGACAGCTAGTTATTAACTTCAAATGTAATTTTCTCTTCTACAGAGTATTATCTACTTATGGGAGTGTTGTGAGGATTAAATTAAATAATGTGGATGGATATCTAGTACCTGGCAGGATGAACTCTAAATTTCTAAATGTGTGAGATGTGTCAAAATTAATCTGATTGGAAGATGGACTGTTCATTGTTTTGTTAGAATTGCTGTTATACCCTTGTTAAAGCAAATTAAATATGGCCTGAGAAGGACTCCGTATTTCTATATTTGAGTCCATGTGGATGAACTGTAACCTAGCTTAATAGACAAGATTGAAAACCTAACTTAGGAGTATGTGCCTGTAACAATAACTGAGTCTTGGCCACTCCCAGCTGCCATACTTCAACCACTCACAGACTGCTAAGTGTTAAAACTGTGTTCAAATAAGGCAAACACCAACCTGTAACCAATCTAGCTGTTGCTGTACCTCACTGCTGATTTTTGTACATCATTTCCCCTTTTTTTCTCTGTAAATCTTCCAACACGTGGCTGCACTGGAGTCTCCATGAATCTGTTGTGATTCTGGGGGCTGCCTGATTTGCAAATCATTCATTGCTCAATTAAACTCCTTTAAATTCGGCTGAAGTTTTTCTTTTATCTCACCTTTGATTGTATATTTCCTTTGGAGTTGACTGACATTGGACTATTGAGAGAGCTAAAGACTCCCAAAATGCATCATAACACCTCCTCATGATGCTTCCTGACAAAGACGCCTTGATAAATGTTAACTCCTCTTTTCTGAGTAGATTTCTGTAATGCAAATTACAAAAGTAAATTTCTTTTTACAGAGATTTCTAATTCTACAGTTAACTAGCATAAACCAAAAGGAGAGTGTCTGAAACAGGTCTCAATCAGTTTAGAGGTTTATTTGGCCAAGGTTGAGGTTGTGTCCAGTAAAAAAAGAAGACACAACCCACATAGAATGCATAGCCCACCCTTTCTCAAAGAGGGTTTTGAGGGCTTTTCTATATAAAGGGAAAAATGTATGTGGGAAGGAGGGGAAGTAGGAAAAAAAAAGCAGGTAGGGGTAGACAAATGAGGCAAGTGATTACATTCTTTTGAGGCTTTGGTCAGCATTCACTGAATCCACATGTTGCGTGTGAAGAGGAGGGGGTAGAGGAACAGTCAATTATGTGTTCATCTTGTGCTCTCTAAATCTGCATTTCACCTAAGATAATGTAAACAGAGTAGAGGAAGAAAGCAAATATGTATTCATCTTGGGGTGGACAGTGGGATGATTTCTAGTCTCCTCTTGTCTCATAGCCATGAAGATAAACTTGTTATTTATTTATTTATTTATTTATTTATTTATTTTGAGATGGAGTCTCACTCTGTTGCCCAGGCTGGAGTGCAATGGCATGGTCTTGGCTCACTGCAACCTCCGCCTCCCAGGTTCAAGCAATTCTCCTGCCTGAGCCTCCCAAGTAGCTGGGACTACAGGCACGTGCCGCCACACCCAGCTAATTTTTGTATTTTCTGTAGATACGGGGTTTCACCATGTTGGCCAGGCTGGTCTTGAACTCCTGACTTTGTGATCCACCTGCCTCAGCCTCCCAAAGTGCTGGGATTACAGGCGTGAGCCACCACACCCGGCTAGATAAACTGTTAATTTACATTGTCAGGGTGAGGGAGTCTACCTGGGGAGATATCTGTTTGAGAACAAAAAGAAAGGCAAGTTTTTTGGGTGTGTGCCTCAGTTTACAGGCTTAACTTTTCCTTTGGGCATAGTGAGCTTGGGATCCCAAGATTTTATTTTCCTTTCACGCTAGAATCAGATTTGTCTTAGTAGTTATAATTAGATGTATCCACCCAAGGCAGATGGACATTCTAAGAATCAAAGTTGATAATGAAGATGACAATATGAGAATGGCTGTAATGTGCTTAGATGACATGTTTGGCATATACCATATGAGTATGATGTGTTCTTTATATCCTATAATTATAAAAACAATGTTTCAAGTTAATTATTACTTTTTCTCATTTAAAATGGGAGAAGTTTAAATATTTCCTTTAAAGTCACAAAGCAAGCAAGCAGCATTACCAAAACTTAATTCTCTAATTCCTTCCCTTTTCCAGGAAGCCTCTATATACAGTGAGGTGGCTTCCTGTCTACTCATAGTTTACTTCAGTTTTGATCACTTGAGATAGAAATAATTGTTCACTACTGTTCTAATTTTCAGTTGCCAAGGTAACAACTGTTCTCAGAACTTATCACAGAAAATCTATGAAACACGTGGTATTATGAGCAAATTTATTGACTAAGTTCTCTTAAAACATCTGCTGGCAAGACACTAGGAGGGTTTTGGATTTATAATTAAAGCATGCTTCTGAATTATACATTTTTCATTTGTTTCTTTAAAGACATTTTAAAGCTTTCGTTACTTGAGAAGGAAAACCTCTGAGGGTTTTCTGACATGATATTAAAACAAACAGGAAGACAAAATGGCCGATTTCCTAAATATGACACGAAATAACAATATAAAGAATATTTTTGTTATTGTTTCTTCACACTGATACTCTGAAGTACAGAGGGGTTTTGAAATACATTTTGAAAAATCAAATTATTTTCTTTGATTATTTCTTTGAAGCTCAAATATTCTTACTCCAAATTAAGAACTGTAATTTAATTTTCACAGAATCTGAACCACAACAGTGTGTTAGAGTATATGCCTCTAAATGTTCACCTAGCTGGTGTGCAAGGTAGCAGAATACATATGGGGGAATCAGTTTGGAAAACTAGGATAAAAGCACAGCCTTTCTTTTACCCTTTTAACGAACTGTTTAAGAATACGAAGAACTATTGTACCTGTGCTGGGTAATGTCCCAAATCCCATCAGCACTCCCCTAGGAAAAAATAAAGAAATTCCCTAGATCTGGAAGAGAGTTGAAGAAGATGCATCTTCAGCTTTTGTAATAGACCTTACAACACTTGTTCCATAGGAAAGAAGCTGATTACAGTAATCAAGGATAGTGGAAGCATTAGGACCAGTGCATAAAACACAAATCAAAAGTAAGGCTTATTAGAATGCCTCTACCTTTCCCACCATGAATATAACCTTGTTTCTCAAATGTTTAAAAAATGCTATTCATTTTTTTTTATGTGTTTAAGGTACACCTAGTACCAAGAGGTAAAAACTTAACCCACAAGAAGACAATAAAAGCAGAATGTTATTTCCTGTGCCTTTACTCACTCTCCTCTTCAGATTTCTCCTCCCTCTTCTTCACAGTTGCCAATACTGAGTAGTTTCTACATTCTCACACTATTCTAAGTGCTTTAAATATGATAAGTTAATTAGCACAACATTCCTTTATGGTAGAAATTATTTTATTCTCACTTTACAGATAAGAAAACTGAGGTGAAAAGAGGGGGATTGACTTGTGCAAGTACCTACAGCTAGTAAATTCAATCCAGGCCTGCAGAATTTATCTCCTAATCACTGTGCTATATTGCCTTCTTAAGTAATTTAACCCTGGGCTCTCTAGAGTCAATTAGAAGTACGTTCAAATATTAGCTCTGCCAAATATCAACTTTCTAAAACATAAGCCAATCATAGTAAAGTTACTTAGCGTTCCTCAGTTCCATAAAATGTTATAAGTAATATTTATCTTCCAGACAGGTCTTGAGTATTAAAGAATTATCACGGTAACTGGCAGTGAGACATCAAATCCCAAAGTAAAACTTTGCAAAACTTTGTTTTTGTTTGTTTCCAAAAGAATTAATAAAATTTCATGTTCTTTTACAGTGAAGCTTAGTCCCTGGTAAAATTGTGTTGATAGCTAAGATCAAGGACACTTTTCAGCAAAGGTACTATACAAATGAAATGAATATCACCCAAATGAAAGTTGCAGAAATAGATACCTCCCAAATGTAGGAGTAAATGATAGCAAAGGATATTTATTCAGCGTTTGATTAGCAAAGGTGTCAGCCACCATCACTCAGCAGAAGCTCAAAGGCAGGCAGGGGAATTGCAAAAGTTTATAGTGGAAAAAAAGGAAGGCTTCATGTATGCACCCATGAGAGGTTTTTTGCATGGTGAAATTGGGAGCCTGGCTAACTGGATGCAGCAATGATATATACTTGTTTAGGGGAGCATATTTGCTTAGTTCTAAGTTAGTAGCAGGGGAAAAAATTAGGGAAGTTGACAGTTACTAAGTTTTGTTCATTTGGGGTAGATTTCTTCAAAGGTTGTGGTTTGGCTTTTTGGGTTGTTTCCTGCTGCAGGTTGTAGGTCAGTGTTCTATATTTCTATATGGTCTGGTCATTGCTGTTCATTGTTCCTTTGATAATTAATCTCTCAGTGTCTAATTAATTTAGCTAATATACAACAATGCTAGAAACCATGGAATTGAGGAGGGGATTTATGCAGCTTTGGGATGCCTTGATTCTACCTCAGAGCACCCCATCTCTTCCTTTTTGTTTTACTTCTCCATACCTTATTTTCTCCCTATCCCACCCCCTCCTCTTTTCTAGTAGAAGGAAGTAAATTATTTGCTTAGTGTGGTTATCTAGGAATGAGAGAACAACTCTTAACTTTACTCATCCATTCTTCTCCATATACACACTTAAAGCTCTGAGAGTAATAAGACTGGAAACTCTCTCCACAGTGCAGACTTCCCAGCAAGTATTTCTTAGGGAATCTTTGTGAAGGAGCTTGGAAGCATCCTCCTCTCTTATATAATAAACAGAGCTGGGGTTCTTGACCTGAGGTCACATTGTACTACACTGCGATATTTGCAACACACTAACTTAATTCAGTTGAGTTACAAAAAAAAAAAACCAACCAGATCTGTGACCTTATTTTACAATCAAAATATGCCGAATGGATGAGATGAAAGACAACAATTCAATCAGGGGCACTGAATAGTCAGAGATGAAATGCTTGCCTGTTCAACCTACCCATGTTACATTCACCTTCAATCTAGCAGTGACTCTGGGAAAAGTAATGTGTCATTTGCTTTCCAGATGATAGTTATCCCCAATTCAGTGTTCATCTTGGGAGAATGAGTAGAATCTGACAGGACAGATCTCTGAAATTTTAGACAGATGCAAAATGTAAGTAAATTTATGAACGGCACAGTTGTAATGTTTCCAAAGCATAAGATAAAAAATGCAATGCCTTCTCTAAACCATTTTCTATTTGAGGTCAAGTTTGATTTTCTTAAATACTTCCCCAAACTCTACCCTGGAAGAACAATTTTGTAAGTGGATATTTTTACCTTATTTACACTTTTCTATGGTTATGATTTCAGTGTCAAATGCATCACCAAAAAACTGTTAATAATTCTTTCTGCATTTGCCACTAGAACCAAAATGATTTTTAGCAAAAGTGTGGGGTAGATCTAGCCTTAAAAACACTCCTTTGTTTCATGCAACGTCATGAATACTATTTTAGTTTCTAATTTTAATTGGCTCAAACATTTCAATTTATTTATAATACACTATTCTCTGAGGGCTTGTATATCCCAAGGGAATGTTGTTCCCACAGAATCAGCATATGACCTATCCATCAAAGGCATTCATGAAAGAATTTCTGAAAATATCTCCAAGAAAGTTTAAATTTTCTTAAACAAGGAAAATAGGAGATTATTATTCCATATTCTAGAAATAGAATTACCTAACTTTATAGCTCACTCTCCCTGTCTTTTCAAAGCATCTGTGATTTTACCATTAAAAAATATTTTATTCACATTATAAATAAACTTTTCTAGTTTGGATGATATATTGTGCTTTGGTAACCATGTCAAGTCCTTTAGGTTTATTATTTAATTGGATCTTTAGAACAACGGCATTAATTGGGTAATATTTTACCCTCCATTTTGTTTTATTGTTATGAGATCTACAGAAGTTAAATAAGTGGCCCAATTAAACATAATTCATAAAAAATGAATTTTTGACAGAGAAAACTGGGACATTCCTTCAGTGGGTGTACTCATAAAAACTTACAAAGATACAAGTACTTACAATGAAGTGTTACATGTTATTCTTAACTCTGTTTATATGTGCATGAGCATATTCACTTTTAGGGAGAAGAGGTGTAATATAATAAATACTCTAGGTTTTAGAATTATATATGTTTCAGTTTGAAACCTGACTCTATCACTTATGGCCAGGTGATTTGAGGAAATGCTACTTAATTTATTTGAGCCTGTTACCTAATATGCAAAATGAAATACAATAACATTTTTTACATAAATATGAAATGAAAATATATATAAAATTTTTATCAGTGTTAAGCAAAATCTTAAAATTGACAGTATTATTAAAGGTAGAGAGCTTTTAATTATCAGCATTGCAGGTGAAACTCAAGAATTTAAGGAATTAATATTTTATAAGTATTGTTCAAACTAAAAGAAGAGGACAGAGAACAGTACTGAGAGGTTAAGTTACTGAAGGCAAGTGCCATGGAGGAGATAAAAAGCAGCAATTGGCCAATCAAGAAGGCAGCGGACACACAACTAGGATGCTTGGTTAAATTCTAAATTTCCATTGTCTTTTCCAAATATGAAGATTACAGGCTTCATTACTTTTTGTTTTCAAACATCTATTGGTATAATTCTCTAGGAAAATTAATTTAATGCAGAAAAACATTTGTAGATGATTATTTTAAGTCAGACAGACTGATAAAAACTTATGGCCTGTGGTTATCAGACATATTATCTTGAGATCTTTAGGCCATTTACAAAGAGTACTGGATATGGCCATTGAGATCACCTAGCCAAATATGTATCTTATTTAGGGTTCTCCCAGAAACAGACACTGAGAAAGCTTTGAGTGCAAGTAGTATAAGGGAGGCAGAGAAAACTCCAAAATGAGATAAGGAAAGAATAAATAACCGATAAATGACATGCGTTTATGTAAACAATGAAAGCAAATGAAGCTTAATTCTACAACAGAAAAAAAAAGCCACCAAGATGTGAGTGATCTGGAATATTTATATCCCAATTTAGTGTAAATAATGGTTTAAGGCTGCTTCTTCTCCTAGGGACATAACATCCTGGCTCATTGTAGTTATGGATCCTTTCACAGTTGATGCTGGCAATGGACTGTAAAACCAAGTGGCCACAGTTGTGGCCCTACAAGGTTTAGCTGAGGCGAGAACAGAAATAAAAGTACATAAATCACATGAAACTTAAGTCACATCAGAAATACTTTGGGGGGACACTTTCCCAAAAGTTGGGATGCTGGATCCTCAAATTACTGAAATAGCTCTACAATGTTTGATTTAAGCCATATGGTAACCACAAAGCAAGAACATATAGTGGACACAAAAAGATTAAAAGTAAGGAATCAAAGCATGCTACTGGAGAAAATTATTTGATCACACAGGAAGAAAGTAAGAGAGAGATAAAGGAACAAAGAACCTACAAAACAACCAGACAGTAATTAAAATGGCAAAGGTAAGTTCTTACCTAGCAAAAATTACCTTAAATGTAAATAGATTTAATTGTTCAATCAAAAGACATAGAGTGAATGAATGCATTAAAAACATGATCCAACTAAAAATCTCTAAGAGGGTCACATCATCTTTAAAAACACACAGACTGAAAGTTAAGGGATGGGAAAATATATTCCATACAATTAGAAACCAAAGTAGAGGAGAGATAGCTATCTTTATATCAGAAAAATTATACTAAAAGTCAAAATTGTAAAAAGAGACAGTCACTTAATGAGAAAGTTCATCAAGAGGATATAACAATTAAAAATATGCATCCAGCATTGAAGCACCTAAATATATAAAGCAAATATTAATAGATATGAATAGAGAGATAGGCTTTTGACACACTAATTAATACTAGTAGGGAACACAACAACTTACCTTTAGCAATAGAAAGATTATCCAGATAGAAAATCAATGAGGAAATATTCAACTTAAACTACACTTCAGATCAAACAGACCTAAGAGGCATACAGAATAGTTTACTCAACAGCTATAAAATGCATGTTTTTCTCAAGCGCAAATGGGATTGTGCTACAAAAATAGTTTTAACATGTTTAAGAAGATTGAAATAAAGTATCTTTTCTGACCACGATGATATGAAAGTAGAAATTTGTAACAGGAGGATTTCAGAAAACGTACAAAACATACAAATTAAACATACTCCTGAAAAATGAATGGGTCAAAAAAGAAATCAAGAATTTAAAAGAAATATTGAGAAAAATTAAAGTGAAACAAAACATACCAAAATTTATTATAGCAAGCAACAAAAGTAGTTATAAAAGTGAAGTTTATAGCAATAAATGACTATATCAAAAATGAAAGAAAATGTTACAAATAACCTAATTTTATACCTTAAGGACCTGGAAAAAGAATAATATACTAGAAAAACACTAAAAATGGTCAACAAAACTGAGTTTGTTTTTTGAAAAGATAAAATTAACAAACCTCCATCTGCCTAATCAAAAAGAATACTCAAATAAAATCAGATATGAAACAGGAGACATTACAACTCATATAAAAGAAATACAAATGGTCATAAGAGACTACTATGGACAATTACATGCCAACAAATTGAGAAACCTAGAAGAACAAATGGATACATTCTTAGACACCTAAAAAACTACCAAGAATAAATCATGAAGGAATAGGAAATATAAACATAGTAATAATGGTTAAGGTGATTGAATCAGTAATAAAAGGTCTCCCATCAAAGACAAGCCCAGGACCTGATAGCTTCACTGCTGAATTCTACTGAACATTTAAACAATAAAACTAATACAAATCCTTTTCAAACTCTTCCAAAAACTGGAAAAGAATAAGCATTTTAAAGCTTATTTTACAGGGCCAGTATTATCCTGAAATCAAAAGCTAGACAAGAACACTACAAGAAAAGAAAATTATAGGCCAATATCCCTCATACACATGGGTGTGAAAAATTCTCAACAAAATTCCAGCAAATTGAATTCAAGAGCACATTAAATGGATCACTCACCAGGATCAAGTGGAAGTTATTCCAGAACTGCAAAGATGATTCATATGGTCTGTCACATTTATTGATTTTTAAATGATTCAGGTTTTATACATCAATAAATGTGATCATATTAACAAAATGAACTAACATTTTGTTAAATATTTTTTTCTGCATCTGTTATTAACAAAATTCAACATTCTGTCGTGATTAAACACTCTCAACAAATAATGTATAGAAGGAATGTACCTCAACACAATTAAAGGCCATATGACAAACCCACAGCTAAGATATTCAAAGATAAAAATTTGAATTTTTTTCCTCTAAGATCAGGGTAAAAACCAGGATTCCCTTTTGCCACTTCTAATCAACAAAGTACTATATGAAGTCCTAGATGGAGCAATTAGGCAAGAGAAATAAAGGTATCCAAACTGTAATGGAAGAAGTTAAATTGTCTCAATTTGCAGATGACATAATCACACACACACACACACACACACACACACACACACACATATACACACACACACATATATGGACTCCACCAAAAAATGATTAGAACTAAAAGAGAAGTAAAGTTGAAGGATACAATATCAACATATAAATATAATTGGCATTTCTATATACTAACAGTGAACTATCCAAAAATGAAATCATGAAAACAATCATGTTTACAATAGCTACAGTAAAAAACCTTAGAATACATTTAACCAAGGAGGTGAAAGAGCTGTACATATAAAACTTTGAACCATTGATGAAACAAATGGAAGAAGGCACAAATAAATGGAAAGATATCCTCGCAGATTGGAAGAATTAATATTGTTAAGAAGTTCATACTACCTAAAATGATATTCAACTGCAATGCAATTCCTTTCAAAATTCCAATGACTTTTTTCATACAAATTTTAAAATATCAAAAAATTATTAGGGGGATCTCCAAAGAACCTAAACAGCCAAAGCAATCTTGAGCAAAAATAACAAAGCTAAAGCCATCAAAAAACCTGAATTTATAATACATTTAAAAAGCATAATAATCAGAACAACATAGTAACAGCATAAAAACAAACACATAAACCAATGGAACAGAATTAGAGTCTCAGGAATAAATCAGTGCATTTATGATCAACTGATTTTTCAACAAAGATGTCAAGAATACACAATGGGAAAACACAGTCTCTTCAATAAATGCTGTTGGGACAAAAAAGCAAAAATAGACAAATGGGATTATATCATACTAAAAAGCTGCACAGCAGAATGAACGCAGTGAAGAGAGACAACCTATAAATATTTGATAATATTTGTAAAACATACATCTGATAAGGGTTTAACATAAAATATATAAAATAAACACAACTCAATAGCAAGGAAACAAATAATCTGATTAAAAAAAGGACAAAGGATCCAGATAGACATTTCTCAAAAAAAAGACATACAAATAGCTAATAAGTACACAAAACAATCCTCGACATCAGTAATCATCAGGGAAATGTAAATGAAAGCCAAAATGAGATATCATCGTATGCAGTTGAAATGGCTATTATCACAAAGACAGAAAATAACAGGTGCTGGCAAAAGTGGTCCATGAAGTAGCTTGAAATTTACCTCATTTTACCACACAGGTCAGTTTTTACTACCATACAACGAGAATTTGAAAGTGTCTCTGTCTGTCTGTCTGTCTCTCTCTCTATATTATAATATATATAAATAATATATATATAATTTATTTAATAATATATAATAAATATATATTATTTTAATATATAATAAATATATATTTATTTCATAATATGTATAATATATATTATATATAATATATACAATATAAATATATATTATATGTTGTATATATAATATATAATATAAATATATATAATAAATATATAATATATAATATAAATATATAATATATATTATATAAATATATATTTTATATATAATAAAAATATAAAATATATAAAAAAATAAATATATAAAAATGTATACATAATATATAAATATATAAAAATATATATAATATACATAATATATAAATATATAATATACATTATATAAATACTATAATTTATGATATATTATATTTATATAAAATATATAATATATTTATATAAAATATATAATATAAATAATATAGTATATAATATATTGTATATTATAATATGAATATTATATAATATATTGTATATTATAATATGAATATTATATAATATATTGTATATTATATAATATGAATATTATATAATATGTTATAAAAATTTAATATATTATCAAGTATATTATAATTATATATATTTTATAATATGTATATATTATAATATATTTTATAATATGTATATTATATTTATATTTATATATTATAAAAATATATATTATATATATATATTTAAAATATATATATAAAATATATGTAAATATATATTATATAAAATATATATTATACTATATATAATATACATTATATATTATACTATATATAATGTATATTATATATTATACTATATATAATGTATATTATATATTATACAATATATAATATATATTATATATTATATATATTATATATTATATAAAATATATATTATTACATTATATATAATATATATATAAATTTTTTTGAGTTGGGGTCTTGCTCTGTCACCCAGACTGGAGTGCAGTGGTGTGATCTCGGCTCACAGCAACCTCCGCTTCCCAGGTTCAAGTGATTCTCCTGCCTCAGCCTCCTGAGTAGCTGGGATTACAGGAGTGCACCACCACACCCTGCTGATTTTTGCATTTTTAGTAGAGACAGTGTTTCACTATGTTGGTCAGGCTGGTCTCAAACTCCTGACCTCGTGATCCACCCACCTCGGCCTCCCAAAGTGCTGAGATTACAAATGTGAGCCACCATACCTGGCCTGAAAGTCTATATTCTTAAACCACTATTTTGCCAAATATCCACTGCTATAACACTAATCAACAGTGAATGCTAAACTTAAGAGTAATGTTTTATCTTATGAGATGGACACATGTGTTAGAGTAGTACGTTCTATTATTACAGCTATTATATAACCGATGCATTAGAACCTTTTAGCATATAAAAGCCTATATTCGGTGTGTTGATAGTCAAAGTCATATTTAATATGTTAGGAGTAGCTATAATTGTACCGATAATTTTCCATATGATAAATATTCTCATATTTAGAAGACTCCAGTTGACAGGAAGATTCTAACAGACTCTCTATTTTAAATTTAAAGAAGGAATTTGAAGCTTTGGTTTATTTTTAAAACATAGATACAAAGCAAGTATATGAACTTGTAAGTGTAAAGAAAGACATTTAATTTTTTTTTTTAAATGCCTGACAACCTTGGAACATGGTAGCTAAAACTTGAGAGAAGATGACTTTCTTTCAGATTTGACTTTGCAATATCTTTGTGTAAACGTCCAATGAGTTCACCTTTCCTGTTGTCTAGAAAAAGTCGATTTATCAGGACAGGAAAATTGCAATAGAGAAAAAGTAATTCATGCAGAGCCGGCTATGCGGGAGACTGGAGTTTTATTATTACTCAAATCAGTCTCTATGAGACTTCGGGGATCGGAGTTTTTAAGAATAATTTGGTGGGTAGGGGGCCAGTGAGTCAGGAGTTCTCACTGGTTGGCTCAAAGATGTAATCTTAAGGAGTCAAAGCTGTCCTTTTGTGCTTCATTGCTTCCTGAGTGGGGAACACAAGACCAGATAAGCCAGTTTATCAATCTGGGTTGTGCCAGCTGATCCATTCAGTGCAGGGTCTGCAAAATATCTCAAGCACTGATCTTACGTTTTACAATAGTGATGTTATCCCCAGGAGCAATTTGGGGAGGTTTAGAATCTTGCAACCTCCAGCTGCATGACTCCTAAACCGGAAGTTCTAATCTTGTGGCTAATTTGTTGGTCCTGCAAAGGCAGTCTAGTCCCTACATACGAAGAGGGTTTGTTTTGGGAAAGGGCTGTTTTCATCTTTGTTTCAAAGCACAACTATTAACTATGTTCTCCTAAAGTTAGTTCAGCCTAAGCTCAGGAATGAAGGAGGACAGCTTGCAGGTTAGAAGCAAGATGGAGTCATTTAGGTAAGGTGTCTTTCACTGCAATAATTGTTTTAGTTATTTTTGCAAAGTTGGTTTCATTGGGAGTGGCTGAACCAAGTCAGGTGTAAAATTCTCATTAAGGCTGGGCGCAGTGGCTTACGCCTGTAATCCCAGCACTTTGGGAGGCTGAGGCGGGCGGATCACGAGGTCAGGAGTTCAAGGCCAGCCTGGTCAACATAGTGAAACCCCGTCTCTCCTAAAAATACAAAAATTAGCTGGGCATGGTGGCACGCACCTGTAATCCCAGCTACTCATGAGGCTGAGGCAGGATAATTGCTTGACCTGGGACCCAGAAGGTGGAGGTTGCAGTGAGCCGAGATTGCACCACTGCACTCCAGCTTGGGCTACAGAGCAAGACTCTGTCCTCTGTCTAGCAAAAAAAAAAAAAAAAAAAAAAAAAAGAAAAATTCTCACCAAAGTATTAATGAAACAGTCTCCAGTGTACAAGCTACAAAAATGACCACTGAAGGAATTATAATGCTGAGGAGACATGTTTCCTTATGAAGTCAAGAGTTTTTTAAGAAGTACTTGAGTCATCTTAGAATTGTGATGACTTTTCTTAGATGTGAAAACAACTTTTTAATGACCTATATAAATTTAAATTACTCTTGGAGGATAGATAAATTCAGCTTTAGTATCCTAATCTTAATTCAATCCAATAACCTTAAACTATTTTAGGTAGAGAAAAAAAGAATTCATAAAAACAATTTGCCTAGTTATTAATACATTCATCTGCCTAAGGAATCATGGGATAATTTTGTTGACAGGGCAAAAGCTTGACATCAGACAGATACATGTTCCAAATTTGCTTATTAGTTGTAAGATCTTAAAATTATTCAATTATTTTTGAGACAAGGTAAGTATAATTAAATAATGCATTCTAGCTTGTATAACTTTATTATCTTTAATTTATTCAAGTAAACAATGGTGATAGAAAAAGCCGACCACACAGAGTTGCTAAGGAAAAATAAAACAAAAATAAACACTTGTCTGACCACATCAGAGGAAATCAATATGTTGCTTTTTTTTTAGCTGCTCATTCAGTTAGCATCTCTTTTCCATTATCAGTTTAACCTCCCATCTAGAAGTGCCTCCCCAAATTACAAGGATACTTTTCCTCTTGTCTGATACCTCATTAAGTGGAGTGGATGTTTTGTTTTGTCTTATTTTTATCTTACTTGAAGGCTTTTTCTCCCCTAGTAGACATAGACTGGATATAATGCTGTAAAACAAAAATAAAATTCTAAGCCCCCCAGCTGACTGAATGGATCCTCCCTATTGGCCAAGGGGATCTGAAAGAAAACCCAAAAACTAGTGCAGGCCATGACAGGAAGAGAGGTTGTATATAGCCTCTTATACTCTCCTCCTTTTGGAATTTAGGCACAGCTGGCCAGTATTAACATTAAAATAGAGATCATAAGACTGACAAAACAGACTCTTTGTAGCAATAAGATGATAGCAAATTCCAACCTGAGTTTAGTATAGTATCACATGACAGATGGTAGCCCTGAAGGAAATCTGAATATTTTATCCTCAGATATGTTTTATTTTGCATATTTTGAAATGGCCCTGCAAAGCTGTCCCTTGAGGAAGAAGTTTACACTCTGTAGAGAATCTTCATTCCTTATCAATTTAATATTCTATCCGGAACTTCCTTTTCCAGAGAGTCTGACACATTTTTAGGCCTGATAAGAGATATTAATCATCTATTTGATCCAAAGCCTGTTACCTGGAGGCTTCATCTAAATAACAAGAATCTTGGCTTCCAGAACTTGCCTTATCTTAACTCAAGTATTTATACTGACTTCAATTCTTCAGGCATAGCTTAACTCTTTCAACCAATTGTCAATCAGAAAATAATTCACTCATGACCTGGCTGGGAGCCCCACTACTCAAGATGTCCCACCTTTCCTGACCAAACCAATGTATATTTTATACGCATGGATTTATGTCTTTGCCTGTAATTTCTGTCTCTCTAAAATTTATAAAACCAAACTGTAGCCCAACCACCTTGGGCACATGTTCTCAGGGCCTCCTGAGTCTGTGTCAAGGGCCATGATCCTCAAATTTGGCTCAGCATAAACCTTTTCAAATATTTTCTGAGTTTGGCTTTTTTCATCAACAATAGCAACATTCTATTATTAAGGTGGGCTAAAAATAAATAATGAAAAAGATGTAGGTTGAGTATTTGTCTGTTATTGTTCAAATATTTTTTCTGAGAATAAGACATTATAATAATCATTGTACACTGAAGGCCAAAAGAGATAACTTCTTTACGTTTCTTTTTACTCATGGAAGAGACAAGCTGTAGAATTTTGTTTAATATAAAATAGTAACATTTGCTCAGTAGACAATTACTTCACAGTGAATTACAAAGGAAAAATGAGAACTGGCTTCAACACAGGCATACTTAGGAGATATGGTGAGTTTGGTTCCAGACCACCAGAATGAATTGAGTATTGCAATATGGTAAGTCACACATTTTTTTTTGTTTCCCAGTGCATATAAAAATTATATTTACACCATACTATAGACCATTATGGAGTAAACAAGGGAGATACGAAAATCTGATTTCACAGAGTTGCTAAGGTAAAGACATACCTCACAGGTATTTCTTTATAGTACTGTGAGAACAGACTAATAGCAGAAAAGTTACGTTGCTAACACTTGACTCCGTAATGTTAAGTGTGCATTAACATTATGCCTAAGAAGTTTATATACCTCAACTATTGCTAGAAAAGCTGAAGATCATCTGAGCCTTCAGTGAGGCATAATCTTTTTGCTCCTAGAGAGTCTTGGCTTGATATTGACGGCTGCTGACTGATCAAGGTGGTTGTTGCTGAAGGTTGAGGTGGCTGTGGGTATTTCTTAAAGTAAGACCACAATTAAGTTTTCTGCATTTATTTACTCTTCTTTCACAAAATATTTCTCTGTTGCACATGATGCTGTTTGATAGCAAACAGCAAAGCTTTTTGAATGTCCCCAACCCAAATCTCATGTTCAGTTTTAATTCCCAAAGTTGGAGGTGGGGCCTGGTGAGAGGTGATTGGAACAGACGGGTGGATTTTTCCCAGGGTGCCGTTCTGGTGATAATGAGAGAGTTGTCATAAGATCTGATTGTTTAAAAGTGTGTGGCATCTCTCCCAACTTTCCTCCTGTTCCAGTCATGACAGATGACTTGCTCATCTTTGCCTTTCGCCATGATTGGAAACTTCCTAAGGCCTCCTCAGAAGCAGAAGCCACTATGCCTCCTGTACAGCCTGTGGGACCATGAGCCAATGAAACTCTTTCCTCTATAAAGTACCCAGCCTCAGGTATCTCTTTATAGCAGAGCAAGAACAGACTAATACAAAGTCAATCCTCTCGAATCCTACCACTGCTTTACTAACTAAGTTTATGTAATATTCTAAAGCCTTTGTTGTCATTTCAACAGCTTTCACTACATCTTCACAAAGAATAACTTCTGTCTCAAGAAACAACTTTCTTTGCTCATTCGTAAGAAGCAACTTCTCATTCATTAAAATTTTATCATGATATTGCAGCATTTCAATCACATCTTCAGGCTCACTTTCAGTTACAATTCTTTTGCTATTTCTACCACATTGCAGTAACTTCCTCCTGAAGTTACTGAAATCTTGAACCCTGCAGAGTCATCCACAAGGGTTGGAATCAATTTCTTCCAAACCCCTGCTAATGTTGATATTTTGACCTTCTCTCATGAATCAGGAATGTTCTTAATAAAGTTTGGAATGGTGAATCCTTTCTAGGAGGTTTTTAGCTTACTTTGCCCAGATCCATCAGTGGAATCACTATCTATGGAAACTACAGTTTTATGAAATGTATTTCTTAAATAATAAGACTTGAAAGCCAAAATTACTCCTTGATCCATAGGCAGTAGAATAGATGTTGTTTTAGGAAGCAAGAAAACAACATTAATCTCCTTGTATATCTCTGTCAGAACTCTTGGGTGACCAGGTGCATTGCCAATTAGCAGTAAAATTTAAAAACAAATCTTTTTTGAGCAGTAGGTCTCAATACTGGGCTTAAAATATGGAGTAAACCATGCTATAAACAGACATGCAATTATCCAGGCTTTGTTGTTTCATTTCTAGAGCATGAGCAGGGCAGATTTAGCATAATTCTTAAGGGCCCTAAGATTTCTGAAATGACAGGCAAGCATTGGCTTAACTTAAAGTAATCAGGTGCCTTAGCCCCTAATAAGTGAGTTAGCCAGTCCTTTGAAGATTTGAAGCCAGACATTGGATTTTTCTCTGTAGCTATGAAAGTCCTAGATGACATCTTCTTCCAATAAAAGGCTGTTTCATTTACACTGAAAATCTGCTAGACATAGCTGCTTTCACTATTATTTTAGCAAGTTCTTCTGGATAACTTGCTGCAGTTTCTACATCAGCACTTGATGCTTCACCTTGCACTTTTATGTCATGGAGATGGCCTATTTTCTTAAACTTTATGAGCCTATCTCTGCTAGCTTTCATATCTTCTGTAGCTTCCTCACCTTTCTCAGCCTCCTTAGAATAGACAAGAGTTAGGACCTTGGTTTGGATTACGCTTTGGCTTAAGGGAAGGTTGTAGATGGTTTAATCTATGTAGACCACTCAAACTTTCCCCATATTGGTGTAAGCTGTCTGGCTTTCTTAGCATTCATGTGTTTATTGAAATTACACATTTAATTTCCATCAAAAACTTTTATTTTGCATTTATAACTTTGCTAACTGGTGCAAGAGGTCTAGTTTTCAGCCAATCTTAACTTTTAACATATCTTAATCATTTCTAGCTTTTTAAAAATTTACTTTTTAATTTAATTATTATTTATTTAGAGACAGTGTCTTGCTTTTTCACCCAGGCCAGAGTGCAGTGGCAAAGTCTTGGCTCACTGCAGCCTTGACCTCCTGTGGTCAAGTGATCCTCCAACCTCAGACTCTAGAGTAGCTAGGATGAAAGGCGTGCATCACCATGCCAGCTATTTTTTGTTTTTTTTCTAAAGACAGAGTCTGGCTATATTGCCCAGGCTGATATCAAACTTTTGGCCTCAAGTGATACTCCTGCTTTGGTGTCCCAAAATGCTGGAATTACAGGTATGGGCCACCATGCTGAGCCCATTTCTAGCTTTTGATTTAAGGTGAGACAAATGTGACTCTTCCTTTCACTTGAACACTTGGAAGCCACTGTACAATTCTTAGTTTCCCAGATTTCAATATTGTTGTGTCTCAGGGAATAGAGAGGCCTGAGGAGAGACTTGATTTGGGAGGGTTAATTTCATTAGGCCACTCATGTTACATTCATTAGGTCCTGAACTAATGGCTGCTATTGTAGCCTAGTTCCTATACTAGACCTGTGCCATTTTATCTGTCACACTGAACCATATGAAATTTCTAAGGTTTTACTCCTTTTGATTTTAGCCACTGTATTAATTTTCACATTGGCATTCCTTCCCTTATCCAACAAATATTTATTAAGAGCCTGCCATTTGCAAGACATGGCACCATGGATTTGGGTTACACTATTGGATCTATTGGATAGAACAGCCAATATAATTACCCTAATCAAATTAATAGTCTAGTAGATGACATACAAAAATAAATAAATAAAACATATATATAGTATTATAATGGGAACTAAGTGCTAAGGACAAAAGTCTGTAGCAAGAAAGGAAGATATTTTGTGAATGAGTAGGGTTGTCATTTTAAAGCTGGTTTTCTGGAAGGATTAAAAAAACAAGTCTGGAAGAAGGGGAAAGACAAGTCATGTGATTTCCTGTAGAAAAGCACATCTAGCAGAGGAAAAAGCAAGCATGAACATCTGGAGGCAGGAGAATCCCTGGTTTGAGGAGGAGGTCAATGTTGATAGAACAGGTGATCCAGAGAGAGAGAGACAGAGAGAGAGAGAGAGAGAGAGAGAGAAGGAGGAGGAAGAGGAGGAGAGACAATAAGAAAAGGTAATGGTGGCACCAGGTGAAGTAGGTTCTTTTGAATCAGCATGAGAACTTAACCTTTTACTCCAACTGAGATTGAAAACCTTGAAAATTCCTGAACAAAGAAGTGACATTACCTTATTTATTTTGTAACAGACTCAGTCTGTCAGGTGAATGGGTAATAGATTTAGGAGCAGGATCAGAAACAAGAAGACACATAGCAAAACTAATGTAATTATGCCAGTGAGACATGACTTACTTAGACCACAGTAAAGTGCCAGGTAGAGGATGGAATAATATATTTTAAAGATGTTACTAAAATAAATAATATGAATGCGGGTGAAAGAGAGGCATCAAGGATGACTCCAAGATGTTTGGCTTGAATAAAAGGAAGAAAAATGTTGCTTTTAATGTGCTGGAGAACATGAGAAAAGCAAGTTTGTGGTAGAAGTAATATCAGGAATTCAGTTGTGAATGTGCTACATTTGAGAGGCCAAGTAGGCATCGAGTAACATGTAGCACATCCATTAGGATTTAATCAAGGAAGCAGGACCGCTAGGAATGATATGGTAGAAGGGACTTATTACAGATTAGACCTTCCGAAATCGTTGGAACTGGTGAAGATTTCTTTGGAAGGCTATTATGTTTGCATCTGGTGGTGATCTTGAAATCACTCTTAGACAGCAGGACTGGCAGCTGGAAAGAAGAAAGACAGTGAACACAGAGTTAGCAATAGAAAATGAATCCACAAAAACAATACGGAATAACCTACCATGGCAAAGTGGAACTTTTTCTCTTATTCCCTCTACACTCAATGATAAGGACTGGCCTGCTGAAGAAGCCAAATTGTTTTGCCACAGATATACAGTGTACCTGGCCCTAAACCAGAGAAGCTGAAAGAGAACATGCAATGGCAGCCAGAGAGACTGAATACTGTGACCTTCCTCATTAGCAAGGTGAGCCAGCAGATTAGTGAAAATGTGTGTGAACTGCAGCAGCCTCTGGCACCCTGCATCAACATTCCCTGCTTAACGACCCCTGCTTTGTTTCCGAATCTCAATTTTTTTGTGTGATCAACCATAACTTGGCAGTGCACGGGGAAGAGAATCATGGGAAATCATATCCCAGCTTAGCCAAGTTGACACAGTACAAAATCACGAAAACTAGGTAGTTGTATAGCATGTGTAGAATCCAGGGAGGAAGAATGGGCTTAAAGTACACATCTGCATTTATTAGCTTAAGGGCGATACTCCAAGCAATTGGATTATACCATCAAAGGTATTAATGTACCTAAAAGAGAGAAAAGTGTCCAGGAATTAAGCTCTGGGCCACTCCAATTTTTAGATATCAAGGATATGAGGAGGAACTAGCCAAGGACACTTTGAAGAAACAGGCAGAAGTATAAGATGGAAATCTAGTGATGATCAGATCCAGGAACTCAAGCAAAGACATAGTGATTAAATGGGGGGAAAAATGGTTTTTTTTTTTTTTTTGCCCCACAATTGAATTTCCTTCCTGGGAAAGCAGGCTTCAGGTTTTCACCCAAAATATCGATAGAGACATAATTAAAAATGACAGGACAGTGCCAGTCCTTTCAGTATTGCTAGATAACAGAATCATCTGAAATAGATTTTATTTTTACAAGTGAGAAAAATGTTAATAAGGAAATAATTTAACAGCTCTCTCTTAGCAGAATTTTATAGACTAGAGCACTACCTGGAGCAATTACAGTTTGATTCATTAACACACTGTTATTCCACAACTGAGAAGTTGCTGGAGTTTGTGACATGCCAAGATAAATATGTTATTAACAATTACTAATTGTTTAGTGAGTATTTCGATAATCTTTTGAGTAGCACCTCCTCTCAGGAATCAATAGTGTGTTTCTCAACAGCTCCATTTTTACAAAATCTGTGACTAGAGAATCTATATTCCTGAAGGAAACCAGTAAAACAAGACTTTCACTTTCCTAAATTTTCTTCAACTTGATAGTTAGATATCCATGGACATCTATATTGTTGCATATAAAATCTATCACTAGTCCATAATATTAAGTACAATACTATTTCATTATCTGCCGTGCCCATGCTGGAAAAGATTTTATTCCCGTTAATTGTATCCAAACCATATTCTTCAGTAAAGGATTCACATCTTCAGACTCTAAGAAATGAAGAATTGCTACAGAGTAATTTTAATTCTTTCTTTGCAATGTCATTGGTCACCTGGTCTATGGACTGCAGCATTTTGTTGGCATGATTTATTCACAGGGGAAACATATTAATTTGCTTTCACACAGTAAATATTTTGTGTATTTATATATTTTTTCCAGTTGGCAATTGTGTCAGAAATTGTTCTTGAATAGGTAAATTTCCTTGACCTTCCTTGGCCACAAATTCCTTTAAGGCATAAGCCAAAACCCCAAAGGATGAAGTCTGTTTGCTGATATTTATTCAGAAATTATTATTAAATATATCTTAAATATTGTTTGGTATCTAAGTAGTATTTATTGCCATGTTCATATTTTAATAGTTTCTTGCCATGTTCATATTTATTTATTTATTTATTTATTGCCATGTTCATATTTTAATAGTTTCTTCAGAATTCTTTTCATCTTCTGAAGTCCTATTTGTACTATTTAGAATCTTTTGTATAATCAAATCTCTGAAGTGCTCTTTTTCTTCATACATTTTAGATATTCACCCATTTGTTTTACTACTCTACTGTACTAAATATTTAGCTGTGATCACAATCTTTGGGGTATGGCTATGGTTTTTTTAACATATGATCTAAAATATAAGACTGAAATATTCTCTCAGCTCAGAAAACAATTTATCCAGTCACAGATCTTGAATACACTATCTGGGTAAAATTCTATTATTGTGTATTCTTTTAAAATGATCCTTCTATGGCCAACTGGTCTATATGTCTTAAAGTTTAAAAGAGGGATTTGAGAATTCCTGAGGACATCAGGAAGCATCGTAATGTACTTTCAGGAAGCCAAATCGCAACCACAGTGGTGAAAATACAGGAAAACAAAAGATCACTGTTTGGAAGGTTTTCTGGACTTTTCCACAAAGGTTGTAGAGGCATCTTTAATTATAAGAATTCCATGGTAACTCAAGCTCAGTTCTTGTGATACTGCTCGTTTGAAGGAAAAAGTAATGTATCCACCACCTTCTGTGCTGACCTGATTTTCATCAATAATGGTAAATGAATCAATACCTGTTAATACTAAGATTTTAAGAATTTCATTTGCTGTGGCTGCTACATTTATTAGGCAAACATGAGCAGATTCTAAATAAAACCTCTCGCCCATGATCATTCTACAGCTTCAGCTTCTGTTCCTTGGGCAGCTTCCCTGGCTGTACTATGGCTATCCTCTACCCACACAGCAGCAGGCCCCTCAGAGTATCCCCACTACCCCAGGAAATACATTTTTAATATCATTATATTTTAATGTAGTGGAGGATGAAATTAGTATAAAAACTAAATTTCAACATGAACATTTCTCTTCAGATGCTATGGTTGTTTTATTGGTATTTAATGTTATCTTGATATATTTGTTTGCTGAACCCGACAGTTAAGTGAGGAAGGTGACAGGAAAATAAGAATAAACTATCTTGAAAAAAAGAGCTTTTCTATTGAAATTTATCCTAGCCCCATTGTATACTAATAAGTGTAAATTATATAACTGGTGTAAACTCTGAGGGTTCTTCAGACTCCACCCTCTCATGAAGTCATTGGGCAGTTGCTCGTGCGACAGAGCTAACCCCACAGGCAGAGTGTCTCCAGGTGGGTCATTTAATTTCTTGTTACTTTTAAAATAGGATTTTTTTTTTTTTAGTCTACCTCAAAGAGATTACATGACTATTGATGAGATTATTTCTGTGAAACAATTTGATTATCTCACCAAAGTAGTTTCCAAATGATTTTAAAACTACCTATTGGATTTTTCCAGTCTGAAGAACAAATCCAAGAAATTGAATTACTCCTGCAGAATTACCTGGGTTCAGAGTGAAGAGAGATTTTTTCCATGCAGAAAGAAATCAAGTGATGTATGGTTGTCAGTGATAGCCTGTCTGACTCAGAGAACTCTCTGATGACTAACTGAAGCTGTCATAAATGTGTACTAGACACATGCCACTTTGCTTTCTCTACTACCAGAAGAACTACTCACTCCTTTTTTTTTGTGCCAGTCTTTTATATTCTGTTCATAATCTTATATGATAGCACTTCCACATGATTGGTATTATATAGCTATCTTGCCCATTTGACTATGAACCTTTCATAAAGCTAGGGCCTAGATTTTATTTTTCAATTCTTAGTTTATTGGTTATAGAACATGACATTTGATAGATGGCTAATAAATCTATTAAATATATGAATAAAAATTAGAGTCAAGTTGGCTTTGTCAGAAAACCGTCTCTGGGAAGTGCAGTAGGAACTATTGCTCTCGAACTCTGGAGACTGGACTCCAAGAGCCCGATGGGATAATTGTTTTCCTCAGACATTTTAATGCTCTCTTCCCCAGTATTATAGATGAATATTCAATAGAGAAGAGTCCATTTGCTTTCAGTTTTACCTTTGGGGAAATTTCTCTCCCTCTTCTTTTATTGACCTAAAAAGCTAAAATGATTTCTTCAGCTAAAAATCTCAGATATCTTTTGGTAGTTACAGCTCAGCACTCTCAATAGGAGAGATTTATATTAAAATATATCAGATTTTTCACACTGTTCTCATAGCTACAATTTTGGGAGCACATTAATGATTATTCAGCAGTATTTTCTGAACCAAACTGATTTCATAATGAGAATAGAAGAGTAAAACTTTTGTTTTTAATACTTTAATTTAGATTGGAAACATCATATTTTCACGATTAGATCACAAAATATAAATTTCCCTTTAAAATGACAATATTAGTGATCTCTATTTTTATCATTTCATTACAAAATCAATTCTATCAATTCAAATAAAAGAATTATAAATAGACATCAATATTTAGTTCTCACAGCCAATGTTAATTTTTTTCTGAAAACATTTTCTTTACTATCATTTCTGTATTTTGAAAGAAATTCAAAAATTATCTTAGATAATGATAATAAAATGATTTAATCATGAGTTTTGCTTTAGGCATTTGGAAGAAAATAGAATTGGATTTCTTACCATCTTCATTTGAATTTAGTGTGTATGTCTGACAAGTCATCTTTATTATTTGCTTCACGATATACACTGCGCAATACAAGTTATCAAGGGCATAACCAATTATTTTACAGGACATTTTCTCTGATGGTTTCTAGGAGATTACTGCTTTTTGCAGATTAGCTTTGAGCAAGTTAAAACAACTCTCCTAAGTCACGGACATACAGGTTTGTCTTCAGTCTCCAGACAGTTCAATCTCCACTTGGCCCACAATCATCAAAATTGCTATTTAATAAATTTCAATGTGCATTTTCAAATAGGTTGGCAAAATAGGGAAGAGAAAGTAATACATCAGTTTCAGTCCTAGGTTGAGTATTAAACAGAACCAGGAAATAGATGAGTTTATATAAGTTTTTTTTAATAACTAAGTGCTGTAATATAACCTATATAAAAAGCAGAAATTTGTTTCTTGTAAACAGGATGATAAACATGCTGAGCTCTGTATTCCAAAATGGCATTCAATTTGTGCTGATATATTTGTCTATCCCCCACAGTCTGTGTAATAATGATGAAATACAATTATGGACCTTATTTTGCCATCACCAACTGGCTCATAGTTGATAAATTACTTAAATTTTCTGAGCCTTGATTAACAGATATTTAAATTTCTTATTCACTTAGCCAGTAGATTTTCTGTGAAGATTAAATTTGTGAAGCCCCTAGCATCATACACAACCCATAGTAAATAAAATCCAAATGATAATTATAATTATTGGAACAAACCATTATATTATCTGCAGTTTTACTTATTATGGTGATTGAACCTCTTTAAGTCAAGGTTATTGTTCAGCATCTTAACATTCTTTATCTCTGTGACAGCGACTCCTTTAAGATGTGAAGATTCTGCTACTGAATAGTTAATGAAATAGAAAATGTTTTTAAACCAATTATAATATATTTTAAAAGATGTGAATTATCTAGTCATGTTTAATCCCAAAAAATAGAACTTGAAGAAAATGTAGCAGTATTTACAGTATATTTTTTTATCTCATTTAATTCTGTGTGTGTGTGTAATTAAAAATATTCTTAAGAGGGGATGGGGTCAAGATGGTAGACTAAAAGCAGCTCATGTGTTCTCACAGAGAGGAAGCAAAGGGGAGAGTAAACACAGACCCTAAACGCTGATCATCTAAGAAACCACATCAGGGCCTATCCAGGCAACAAGGGGACATGGACAGCAGGCAGGAGTGAAGCAGGGCACCAAGGCTTATCTGGGATAAACACGGAGCCAGGAGAAGCTCCTCAATATGGGAAAGGGTGAATGAGTGAGAGCCTTCAGGGGCATTCACAGTCTCCTCAGTGACCTGTGCAAGACTGGGAACAAGAGAATCCTCCTCCTCCCTCACACTGTCACTGCATGTCCACACTGAGGCAGAGAGCCCCTTGGACATATTTTGGAGGTAACTCTCAAGTCCAAGGGGACTTCTGCAAACCTTGGACCCCAGAACAGACCAGCACCAGTATGATAGCCCCAGTAGAGGCCACAGTCACGATAACTGGGAGCAGTAAGATTGATCCAACCCCCTCACTAGACAAGGCTCAGTGCCAGCTTTTGGCCCAAATATCCAGCTTCTATCTGAACTCAGCCGGTGGTCACAGTCCCCTATAGTCTTGGAAAACACCCAGATGGCAGGGTGAGTAACCTCACACACACCTGCCACTGGTAGCCTGATGTTCAGTGACTGCTGGAGATTCTGACCCAGTGGTCGCACTCTGTCTAAACTCAGTCAGCAGCCACAGCCTCCTGTTGTCCCGGGCAACACCCAGATAGCAGAGTGGGCGACCTCACCCACCCTCACCACTGGAAGCCAGGTGGGCAATGCCTGCTGGAGCTTACAGCCCAGCGTCCCATTTCTGTCTGAACTCTGTGGGCAGGTGCAAGCCAGTGTTTCCCCAGGAAGCACCCGGACAGCAAGTTGGTGACCCCATCTGTGCACGCACATCCTAGCTGGGTGGAACTTGCTGGCTTGGGCAGTGGCCAAGCAGGGAGGAGATCTCACTCTCGGATCAATACCTATTACAATGTAATAATAAACATAAAGTGTGCAATAAATGTAATGCACTTAAATCATCCTGAAACCATTCCCCCACCCTCCCATTCATGGAAAAAATAACCTTCCATCAAAGCATGTGCCTGTGGGTTCTGAGAAGATATTCAGGTAATTCCTTTTAGCATAATATAGGAGGTCCTGTCCAAACAAAGGGTTGCATTTTCTGGGTAAGTCAGAAATGTCTTGCACATATGTGCATAACTGAAGAAAAAGAGCATACAATAAACATTAAACCTATGCTGTCATCAGTTTGACTCCATTCTTACTTTATCTTTGGTCTCTAGCAAACCTCGCATTATCAGAGCAACCCTTTACTAGAAGATGGCTCCCTAGCCTCATTGCTTATGATACACAATACAGTAAGCCCTTTGTATTCTTGAGTTCTACATCCATGGATTCAACCAACTGCAGATGGAAAATATTTGGGATAAAAAGGCAACAAAAATAATACAAATAAAAAATACAGCACAGCATTTACATTGTAAATTTATATAGCATTTACATAGTATTAGGTATTATAAGTAATCTAGAGATGATTTAAAGTATACAGAGAATATGCATAGATTATATGCAAACACTATGACATTGTATATGAGGTACTTGAGCATCCACAGATTTTGATATTTGGAACAAATTCCCGGTGGCAAATACCAAGAGAGTGCTGAACACTGGTGTGTCCACTGAATGACTTGCTGCTAATAAAATCAAAAGATGCTTGAAGTTGAGACTTAAATTGCCTTTTTTGTAATGTATTCCCTTTTGTATGTTGCCCTAAGGGAATTTGTTGATGTCATTTGGACCTCAGAGATGTGTCTTATACAAAGTAGAAAAATTCAGAAACATACAGAAGTACAGGGTCAGGCATTTCATTTTTGCTTGATATTTCATTTATG
Source organism: Homo sapiens (assembly GCF_000001405.40). Lineage (NCBI taxonomy): Eukaryota > Metazoa > Chordata > Mammalia > Primates > Hominidae > Homo > Homo sapiens. The sequence continues at coordinate 26,041,214 of NC_000011.10, read as the reverse complement.
GAAAACATGTTACATTTAGAGAAAATAGTGTCAAAATAAAAAAGAATTTTGGCTGAATTCTCTTAGAGAAATAAAACATTTAAATACTGCCATTTATCTGTGCTTGTATTTACCTTAAGTTTACTGAATTAGACTTGCCGAAGAAAGCTAGGAAGTGAGAGATGGGTAATTTTTCAATTCGGTAGCATATGGTACATATCTTTGTCTTCAGCAAAGTTAAGACATGACAGCTTTGTCTAACTGAAGACTGAAATGCAGTAAAAACCATTGTTCTGAAAAGGAAATTAGCGATTACTTTGCAGTTTATCTGGTTATTTATTATATTCCAAAATGACTACTCTTCATACACTGCACAATATCTTCAAGTAATATGAACATACCTTCCAGGTCATTTTTGCAAATAAAAATAATAAAATTAATTTTTTTTGTTCTAGAAGATTATATATATTTTTGGTTCTAGATTTACTGAATGGTACTTTAACAAATTTCAGGCATGGGCCAGGTTGTAATCAAATAAAATCATTTGACACTAGGCTAGATAATTCCTCATGCACTTTCTGTGACTGTATTTCAGTTATATTCAATAGTTTTTGATAAATTTTCCTCAAGAGATTGACAGAAGAAAGCTACCTGTCAGTGGGAAAATTTTCAAAAAATCATGAGACAGATGACAAGATGGATGATCAATCGTGCAAGTGAGCGAGATTCATGTTCTTTATGTCTAGTAAGCAGACACCACAAGTGGTTTGCTATCAGATAGGTGCAGAAGGAAGAATTTCTTTTGTTTTTATGAGAAGTAGTAATTCCGCAGATACTTACTGTGTCAACTAGATACCATGCTTTGTTAAACAGTGAGCTACAGTGAGTGGCTGTCTATCTGGTCTTTCTATGAATTACTGCTACTTTCTCTTCAGACTTCAAATGAAGCATTCTTTCCACAGAGAAGACTTTCAAGAGTGGGCCTTATACTCAGTTTGGTCTACTTGACATACATTCCTTTATTTACCTTATGAATTGATCATAAATGTTATTTTCATTGCTCACTTATAATTGTCTTTCCAAATAGTAAGATTCCAGAGATCATGTACCATATCTGTACTTTTTATCAACCCATCTCTATCTAGTGACTATTATGATTGTCACATAACAGTTGCTCAATAGTTTTGATATATTCATGATACCTAAATGCAAATAATAATATATAAAATGAAGATTTTCTAAAAGAGACAATGTAATCCGATGACTTAAATAAATCCTGGTGTCTGGAAATGTCAGGGAAAATTTTCACTGGGAGTAAACAATATGATAAAACTTACTCTTATGGGAAGTTAACGAAGGCTAAGCAGGTGGAACAGAAAAAAAGTGTATAACCACAGCATGTTACCAAAACTTCAAATTAGACTGTGAGGTAGAGATAATCAGGAAATGAATCCAGGGGAGAAAAGTTATCTAGTGGTCCAAGATTTCTTAAGCAGCCGTGCTGACTACAGCTGCTACATCAGCACCGAAGCTTCCATGTATTTTTCCAGTAAGGAAACAGTGAGCCAATGGATTTCAGCAGCTTAATATTCACAACTCAGCATGCAGTATGAGCTTCATGTTCCTATCAATTTCCTTTATTCCCAAGTCCCATAGAGATGATATGAAGCAGGCCCAGGTGAATAATGCATACAGTAGATCTATGACATAGCTGAGGAGCTTGAACTCAGGAAAGCCCCAATCTAACAAAAAGAAAATCTGCCCAAACTTTTGCCAACAGAGAGGCATTACCTTTATTATCCTGGAAACGGAACATGTCTATATTCTGCCCTTGAGGGAAACACCATCTCTAGTTTTCAAGGCTGTTTGCTATGTAATATCTTTGTGAACAGACTCTATCAGAAGACTGCAGAAGTGCCTTAGAGAGTTTCCTCCCAACGGTGATGGGAACATATTTTGAAAAGCCTTCCTTACTACCTAAGGTATTTATATTTATATATTTGTTGTTAATGGAGAAAAAGAGGAATTGTATGCAGGCGACTAATAGGGCCATATTTTTATATGAAGGGGTGAAAAATCACGCTCCTGTCAAAACTGATAGAGCAGCTGCTTCTTGCCTCCAACATCCAAACACTATATGCCTAGGACATCTAAACAGCTTAGTCACTTAGATATCTCTTTGGAGATATATGCATGAAATTCCTTATATGAAAGTAAATTTATACTCAGAGATTAAAACTTTTCTGAGTTTCTTTGATATTTTATCCTTGTCAATTTACAATGTTGAATTACCCTTTACATTTCATAACACAGTAAAGCCTTTATGGCATATAATATGATTCTATCATTAATCTGATTCATCTCACTTTCCTATAGCCAGATTTTCTTTTTTTACTTTTATTTTCTTGCAATGACTTATTTTGGAATGGTAACTTTTTATGAAACCACATGCCTATTATATGCCTCTTATGAAGTTAAGTTTCAGAGTTGCTTTATACTTACGTCTGTAGTGAAAATGTACCCACAATGGAGACTTTCTCTTTGAAACATGAATAAAGCTGAGAAGGGAATATTAAGCACAGAAAATGAGCACTGTGTTTATTTTCTTTTCTGAATAAATATTAAATTAAAATTATAAATTTAATTTGTTGGAGAGGGTGGATATTTGAATGAGAATGAGAATAATCTAATTTACTCATTTGATATTTGTTGAGTGTTTTACGTGTCCTAGGTTTTCTCTTATGTTTTTGTGGAATCACAAATAACACCTGGCATATACCCTCAATGACCTTTTGGCTTAGTGAGAGAAACAAAGGGAAGTCACCTTTATAATAAAGCATTGAAACTGTTGTAATAGACAAGTCAGAGTGTCATGAAAGTGCTCTTCCTATGCAGTTCATGCTAAGTTGCATCAGGAAAGCACTATTACAGCTTGGTTTTGAGTAGTAAAATTGAGTCTGAAGTGATTTGAAGAATGGTGTGTCACATTAAGAGAAATAAGTAGGAAGAAAGTGAAAATACATGTTGCATTAAGGAAAACCTTGAGTGTATGGTTGGGGTAAAGCTCAGATTACAAGGTTGGGGAGTCACAGAAAAGGAACAGAGTATGGAACTACAGAGTTAAGTTGGAGCCATGGGTTGGATCACAAAGGAACTTGAATGCCTTGTAACAATAAAGCTTTTATTTCTTGGAGGTGATGTAAAACAAGAAAATGTTTACACCTGTTCTACAAAGCTAATTCAACATTCATGTGAGAATGTATTGAGAGTATGCACAGTTTAATGCATGGTATGACTAAAAACATAATTAAGGCATTAAAAGTGAACGCTGGAAAAAGGAACTGAGATGTCAGAGCATCTCAATTTCCAAATCGATAGCAATGGGTTGGTTGGCTGTGGGAATGAAAATTGAAAACAAGAAAGACCTTGAGGTTTGGAACTCAAACTGGAAATGTATTATTATATTTGGAAGGTCAGATGTGAATTGGAGTATGAAGTAATATAATATGAAAAAAGAGGTTAGGGATTATCAGGTTGTCATGCAGATGGAATCATGTAGTCCATGAAGTAGGGGATTTTGTTAAAGTTGAATGAGTAACAGTAAATTCAGTGGAAGATCTGAACCTAGAAAATAGATATGGGCAATCTGATTCATCTTCCCATTTCTCTTAATTAATGAATTTCAAGTCAACAAATTGGAGTACTAAAAAGACTTGGCAGTCTTCCTAATAGCATTGTGAGGCTAATTATTGTCAAAATCAGTGTATCATGTATCAGAAATATATATTCTATCTTGAAACTTTGAAAAGTGAAAACAGCAAACAAAACATATGTATGTTTCTTCCCTTCTGGAGCAGGAAATTGTTTTGATCAATGAAATTCATCTTTCATGTTAATAATCAATATTCCTTTTGAAATGTGGTACTTCCTACTGTATATCTTTTCCAGAGCTGAAGTAGTGCCTGGAAAATAATTGTTCCTTAATAAATATTTGCATGCATGCTTGTATGACAGAAAAAATTCAGTTTTCCAAATGTTATCTGCAGGCTGTAACATGTCAATAGTATTTTAAATTCAATACATTCTTGAACTGTAAAAAGGTTTAAACAGTTCAAGAATGTGTAAACCTTTAGTAGTTCAAGATGTCCTTGTGTGAACTATTTTATGAACATCATAAACTTTAAGATGATGTCAAGCTTGTATCAAATAAAAGTCTCAAAAGTCCTCCCTAAGTTTTTGTTGGAGGCCATGTTTTCCACTAGTTGAACCCAGCTCTATCCCAGGAGATTCAAGGATCATCATAGTTTAGTGTGCCAGTGAAGAGGCATGTGTCCCCTTGTTAGTTTGGTACTGTCTAACCTGGGTTGCAAATTAACAGGGTTTACAGAGAACTTGTCTTTCTTGCCCAAGCTCAATCTACCCATATGATGTGCCTCTACTTTAAATATGAAAATTTGCAGTAATTCCTCATACCTGAAAGGCTGGGCTTGTCCTACACAGACAAAACGATTTAATCTTTGGACAGTATGATTTAGGATGAGGGAAGACCCATAACCTGGAGTTAGTTAGGAGGTCATGATATAGAGAATAAAGATGGGGGGCTTTGTCTCCAGAAGAACTGAGTTTATATGCAGCCTGGTTCTGCTACTTACTTATTATTTGACTTTGAGTAAACTGTTGTTCAAGCTGTTTGTTTGATCATTTGAAAATAATGACTGAATGCATATTATGTGTCAAGTATTGTCCTTGAATCTGATGATACAGAAGTAAACAAGAAAAATACATTTTGTATTCTCAAGAAGCTTGCATTCTTATGGTAGAGGCAGACTATAAAAAGAAAATAAAGGACTTGCATGATGGAGATTGATGGAAGTGTTGGCACTGATGTATAAGACAATTGGGAAAGACATTTTCAAGGAGATGCCTTCTAAGCTGGAAACCTGAATGATGAGGTTCCAGTCAAGTAACCACTCGGTTTGTGTTTCTACCTCTGTATAGTTGAAACTATGATATCTACTTTATAAAGTTATACTAATAATTTTTTAAAAGCTTACATAGGCCAAGTGAATAATAAATGAATATTTGTAAGCAGGCAAACAAGGTCAGGTCAATAGCTTGTTTGATATTGTGACCCTATTTTCTTGAGATTACCACTCTGTAAACATAAACAATCAATAGTTTATAATAAAACTGCTTTCATAGCTTGTACGACCACAGATTTTGCTAGTCCTATTAAATAGAATTTGTGTTATAGACTTGCCCTTCTGTAGCTAGACACTAACTGTTCGCTCCCTGACTTTCTTGGAAACAGATTTCCAAAAAATCTGTTCGCTCATAATGCATCTGTTTCGCTGTGAGCGAAAAAAACTGTTCGCTCCCTGACTTTCTTGGAAACAGATTTTCAAAAAAATATTTTCTTCTAATGTACCTATAATGTCTTTCTTTTATCATGTGCATCATACCCTTCAGTTTGCAAAAGGCAATCTAGTGAGAAGAGAGAGTACATGTTTTGAGGGTGACTTGAAAGTACAATAAGAGGTGAATTGTTAAGAAATAGATGAGAACTATGGTTGGGATGCAGGGAAGTATAGCAGAGAGCAATGTTTCCAAACCATTTTTACCGCACGAGAAAGATGGTAAATAGTAAAATTGTATGTAAGTCACCTTATAAAAGTATTCTAATAGGATAAAATTTGTATGAGTTAATATTTATAGGAAGAGTGGAATATATATTTTGGGGTTAATACTTACCTAAGTTCACATCCTGGTTTTATCATCAATGAATTTTGTGTTCTTTGGCAGTTTACCCAATCCCTATCTTCTTTGTTTAGGGAATGCGTGATTGGCTCTAGAATGTTAGATCTTAATAATAATGCAGAAATGTCTTTCATTCTCTTCCATCCCTTCTGATGACATTTTAGGTACTTAAGACCCAAGAGATATGTCTAATCCAGCAGTGTTGTCTTGTCATCAATGACAACATTCACTCAATGGGTCCAGAGTCACTACTACTGTCTACTTTCGCAACCGTTATTCCTCAGTGATTGAAATTAATTCTATGGCAGTACTCCTCCATGTTACCTCTCCTTCCCTTTGTAAACTAAACCTCTAAGCACAAGCAAGACATTTTTCTTCACACCTCTACATTTAGCTGACAGATGTTTGCAATAATCATAATTAATGTTCCAATCATAATTATTATTTGCCACTAAGCAAGCTTTGTAAAATCCCTTTTTTAGTGAGGGAAGATTGCTAGCAAGTGTTTTCCCTCAGTTATGGAAGAGAAATGGCATCATTCATCCTTTATCAAATATTTGAATGGGCTAAGCTTTGAGTAAGTGTGGCACTATTCTAGAGATGAGGATATAATAGTGAAGAAGACAGGTAATATTCTGTAAATGTGCATAGGTTTCTATGTAACAAGGATTTGTAGCTGTAGATAAAAATGCATTACATGGAATATATGTCACGTATATTATACTTTATATGGTAGGTAGAATAACGTCCCAGCAAAGATGTTCATGGCCTAACCTCCAGAGCCTGTGAATGTTACCTTGCAGGGTAAAAGGTACTTTGCAGATGTAACTTATGTAAGACTCTTGAGAGAAGGGAACCATCCTGAATTACCTAGGTAGAGCCAATGTGATCACAAGTGTCCTTAAAAGAGGAACACCTTACAGGCAATGTCAGAGAGACAGTGATGTGATGACAATAGCAAAAGGGAAAGGTGACATGTGGGGAGGTCCTTAAAAGATGGATAAGAGAGGAAAGAGATTCTTCCCAGATTCTCCAGAAGAAAACAGTTCTACTGACACCTTGATTCTAGGACTGCTAATATCTAGAAATGTAAGACAGTTTTCAAAAGAAGACACACAAATGGTCAATAAGCATATGGAAAAATGTTCAACATCACCAATCATCAGAGGGATGCACATAATGAGATATCATCTTCCACCAGTCAGAGTGGCTATTATTTAAAAAGTCCAAAAATATCAGATGTTGGCAAGGATGCAGAGAAAAGGAAACATTAATACACTGTTGGTAGGAGTGTAAATTAGCACAACCTCTATGGGAAACAGTATGGAGATTTTAAAAATAACTAAAAATAGAATTACCATTAGCTACAGTAATGCCACTACTGGGTATCTATCCAAAGGGAAAGAAATTAGGCCAGGCATGGTGGTCCATGCCTGTAATCCCAGTGCTTTGAGAGGCGCAGTGGGAGGATAACTTGAGGCCAGGAGTTCAAGAGTAGCCTGGGTGACATAATGAGAACCTGTCTCTAAATATTTTTTATTCATTTTTATTTTTATTTATTTATGTTTTGGAGATGGTTGCCCAGGCTGGAGTGCAGTGGCGTGATCTTGGCTTGCCGCAAACTCCGCTTCCAGGGTCAAGCGATTCTCCTACCTCAGCCTCCCTAGTAGCTGGGATTACAGGTGCACGCCACCATGGCTGGATAATTTTTGTATTTTTAGAACAGATGGGGTTCTACCATGCTGGTCAGGCTGGTCTCGAACTCCTGACCTCATGATCCACCCGTCTCGGCCTCCCAAAGTACTGGGGTTACAGGGCATGAGCCACCGTGCCCACCCGAACTTTTTTAAATCATTATATTAAAAACATATCTGCACTTGTATGCTTATCACACACTATTCACAATAGCAAAGAAACCTAAGTTCCTTCAATAGATGATTGGATAAAGAAAATGTAGTGTGTATGTACAATGAAAGAGTACTTAGCCATAAAAAATGAATGAAATCATGTCTTTTGCAACCATGTAGATAAAACTGGAGGCCATTATCTTAAATGAAATAACTCAGAAACAGAAAGTCCAGTATCACATGTTCTCACTTACAAGTGGGAGCTAAATAATGTGTACACATGGACATAGAGTGTGGAATAATTGACATTGGCAACTCAGAAGGGTGAGAGGGTGGGAGGAAGGAGAAGAATGAGAAATTGGTGGTGGGTGCAATGTATATTATTCAGGTGATGGATACCCTAAAAGCTCAGAATTCATGATTGTGGAATATATCCGTGTAGCAAAACTGCACTTGTAACACTTAAATTTATACAAATAAAAATTTAAATTATTTTGTTCTAAGAAACTAATATTGTGGCACCTGTTACAGTAGCAATAGAAAACTAGTACACTATAAAATATACATTATACACATGTACATATACATATCATGTTATGTTTATACACGTCTGAGTATATATGTAATATATACTATACCAGCTATATAATATATGCCAGCTATACAATACACACTCTATAATACACATTATATATTTATAACATGTATGTATAGTGTACATACAAAACACCTATATATTATATTACAATCAGTGGAATTCAAGTTAAAATTATATTAAGACTGTCTCACACACATAGCAGAATAAGAAAAGACAAATATTTAAAGTGATGGATATCCCAAGAACACTGAGTTGATTTTTTACAAATTATATGAATGCCTTATAACATATGCCAAAAATTCTGTTATGCACCAATAAAAAAAATAGTGATTATATCAAATGCTGGTGAGAATATGGAGAAAGTGTATCCCTCATACATTTTGCTGGAAATGTAAAATAGTAGTTTCAGTTTCTTAGAACTACTAGAAAATAGCAGTTACTAGTTTCTTATAAAACTAAACATGGAGCTACCGTGTTACTTTGAAATACACTCTTGGTTATTTGAGAAAAATAAAAACTTCTGTTTACACAAACACAAACATGAAATTGTTTGTAGGAAATGTATTTGTAATAGCTATAAACTGGAAATAACACAGATGTCCTTCAATGGGTAAATAGTTAAACAAACTGTAGTACATCCACACCATGAAATACTGCTCAGCAATAAAATATATGAACTATTTAAACATGTAAAAATCTGGATGAAACTTCAAGGAATTAAGCTGAGTGAAAAAAAGCCAACCCCCAAAATCCAGATACTTTATGTATACGGAATTTTTTAAATGACAAAATTATAGAAGTGAAGAACATCTTTGAGGTTGACGAAAGGTCAGGAATGAGGTAGGAAAGGGTGGTGGATGTGGCTTTATCAGGGCAATATGAGTTATCTTGTGATGGAAATGTTCTCCAGCTTGACTGTATCAATGCTAATATGTTGGCTGCAATATTGTATTACAGTTTAAAAAGATGTTATCAGTGAAGTAAACTGTTCTGCAGTATATGGGACTCTATAATTGCATATGAATTTACAATTATTTGTAATTTTTTAAAAAGTTTAAACAGAAAAAAATATGAACATACCAGATACTCAGTAAAGTTTAGATGTCTTTCCTGAAAAAAAAAAAAAGTTGGGTTGAACAGCCCCTGTTTCCATTTACTATGATGAAGAAAAAAATGCGGATATTGTTACTTGAAAAACATATTATGTTAGAGAAAGATCCCTGGAATCTAGAATTTAGAAGACCAGAGTTATCTCTGTTGCTCTGTTACTAATGAACAGTGATCCAATAAATGAGCCACTTAATTCTTTAACTTCACTTCTCTTATGTGAAATGCATGTGAATTTGTTCAGATGATTATAAAGTTTGCTTCTAATTTATGAAATGATGATTATTGAATAAATTCAAGTAGATTTCCTCCAAAAGCACTCAATATAGTCATTTTACATAAATGTCTCTTGCTGTTTAAAATTACATATTCTTATTTTCCAAAACATGAGGTATATGCTTTCCTTAAATCTCACTGTGTTTGTATGCCATCCATGTATTATTGAGGAGTTAATCATTATCAATTCTTAATTTTTAATATTAGCAAACTATTACAATTATACATTGTCTTATATTTTAATATCATAACAAAAATATGTATTATGTTCTCCATATCGTCATAAAAATTTGAGCTTAATCTTTCATTTATGTTGTACCCAATAAAAAAGATAAATTTGATATCTGAACATTTCATGCACATAACTGTGAATGCATGCATAAGCACATAAAACGTATACACACATCAAGGCAAAATATTTTTATCCATTTTATTTAGAATAAGAAGTCATCTAACTTTTTTATGTTAAAACAAATTCTAAATGTGTATTCTAAGTTTAAAAGACATGCTGAAACTTACATAAGAAAGATATTAAACATAAAAATATTCCTATGGAGGTTTATTAAGTAGGCCAAAACAGGTAGGACGGTTATGTTCCCATTATATTTCTACTAAGGGCAACAACTCATGGGATTATGTGTGTGGCTCAAAATAAGTAAATTTTCCTTAGAAACATTTTGATAAATACATAAGTATCCCAAAAATGTAAGTCCAAGAAGTCTGTATCCTTTCTTTCTCTCCTCCAAGTTTAAAAAAAAAAAAAAGAAGTCTATATCCTTCTTCAGAGCCTTTGAACACATCTCTCCCTTATAGAGGCACTGTCCTTGACATTGAACTTGGAAATAATAGACTATGAAATTACATTAATGTCCTCCAAAAATAAAAGAAAAATCAAAATGATGTAAGCATGAGGTCATTTATTTTTCTATAGGGTGACTAGAATAGCATATTTAAGTAACATTAGGATTTTCTTTGAGAATTGTTTCAATTGCTGAGAAATTAAACCACTTTTTTTTTTTCTTCTAATGCTTCTTCTTCTTCTTACGTCATAGAAAGTCCCCAGGCTGGTCCCAAATGTTTTCATTTTTTTTTTTTTTTTGGAGCAACAAGGCTGTTTATTAACTTGGTGCAAGTGGGCTGAGTCCGAAAAGAGAGTCAGCGAATGGTGATGGGGAAGGGGTTGCTTTATAGGAGTTGGGTAGGTAATGGAAAATTACAGTAAAAGGTGGTTATCTATTAGCAGAGGAGGGGGTCACAAGGTACATGGTGGGGAGACCATAAGACTTATTGTCCAGAAGAAGAATGTCACAAGGTCGATTGATCAGTTAAGGTAGGGCAGGGACAAGTCACAATGGAGGAATGTTGTAATGTTGGTTAATCAATTAAGGCAGGAAGTGGCTGTTTTATTTCCTTTGTGGTTTTTCGGCTGCCCCAGACTTCTTGGCTCCTGCAGGCCATCTGGACATATATGTGCAGGTCACAGGGGTTACAATGGCTGAGCTTCGGCTCAGAGGCCTGACACCACCACCCAAGCCTTCCCTATCTCAGTAAATGGTACTTCTGTCTTTTCAGTTACTCAAACATAAAACTAGGCTGCTACTTTAATGTCTTCATTTTTCTCTATTCTATATCTAATTCTTTTTATTATTATTATTATTATGCTTTAAGTTTTAGGGTACGTGTGCACAATGTGCAGGTTAGTTACATATGTATACATGTGCCATGCTGGTGTGCTGCACCCATTAACTTGTCATTTAGCATTAGGTATATCTCCTAATGCTATCCCTCCCCCCTCCCCCAACCCCACAACAGTCCCCGGAGTGTGATGTTCCCCTTCCTGTGTCCATGTGTTCTCACTGTTCAGTTCCCACCTATGAGTGAGAATATGCGGTGTTTGGTTTTTTGTCCTTGTGATAGTTTGCTGAGAATGATGATTTCCAATTTCATCCATGTCCCTACAAAGGACATGAACTCCTCATTTTTTATGGCTGCATAGTATTCCATGGTGTATATGTGCCATATTTTCTTAATCCAGTCTATCACTGTTGGACATTTGGGTTGGTTCCAAGTCTTTGCTATTGTGAATAGTGCCGCAATAAACATACGTGTGCATGTGTCTTTATAGCAGCATGATTTATAGTCCTTTGGGTATATACCCAGTAATGGGATGGCTGGGTCAAATGGAATTTCTAGTTCTAGATCCCTGAGGAATCGCCACACTGACTTCCACAATGGTTGAAATGTTTTCATTTTAGGTGGAAGCATTATTGAACTCTATGTCACTTGCACGATTAACTGGAAAATTAGTCCCGATCGCTAATACGACCAAAGCCATTTTTAAAAAAATTTGAACTGTCGTTTGTAGGGAGTAATTTAAGAACTCTCTGATCTTCTTTAGATCCCCTTAAGCTTGTGTAACTGAATTTTCAAGTCTGATACTGTATAATCATAGTTTTACGGATCCTGATCTGTGATAATAATTGTACCTCTTTGGGATCCAGGAGTGGCTTAAAGAAGACAGACACCAAGTTGAATGCTAATAATTTTGAAAATTTTGTTGTCCTTTTGCATTCAAAAGCCACATAGAAAAATAAGCTCTGTGATATTTCCAATCTTCCTCTGAGTAGTAAATTATTAACCAAGGCCTTTACAGACCACCACCACCAACTTTTTTCCTGTTACAACAATATTCAACTTTTTATTTCTTTTTACCCAATTTAAGTCACCTTCCAAACAATGCAAAAACTATGCAGATGAATGGTATCATGCCAGCAACATTACTAAGAAAAACACAATATATCATCTTGTCATGACAATATTTGTACTTTATCCTGAAGATCTGTTTCTGCGTTCCTGTTATCTTGTGACATATAGTCTTTAGCATCTGAAAGAGGCAGGGATGGCTTCATAGCTATGTTTTGTTGAGATGGTTTACTGTCAGTTGTTTACACAGTGACTCACCCTAAGGATCTTGCACTTGGGGTTTTAATGCTCTGCAGTTGTCGTTTTGTAATTGTTAGTAATTTGTTTGAATTTATGTTTTGAAAGTGAAATTTGACAGGTCAGTGAACCATGAATAGGAGGCTTGGAGATTGAGCTCCCATATTGTTCTACCTACATCTGTATCTGTTTGAATGAGTTCTGGGCTGCTCACAGCCCCACACTTTAGCACCCTGAGCCAAGGTGAGCCCTGCCACCTTCTGCTCCTGGTAAGGTCCTTGAAGTAAACTTGAGAGGTGTCAGGTTTGATGCCTGTGTCACACCATATCTCAGGCTGGACATGGAGAGGGACATCTTTGCCCTGCGTTGAAAGCACCAAGGCATATATGGTAGGTGACCAGCCTGAGGCTGCCTGTTGGTGGTGGTGAGTTTCTCTTCCATCCCTGATTTAGGTATTGAGTATCTCCTGGCACAGAGGTTTAAAAAACTTTGAAGGATACCCACCTATCATGAGTTATGGTATTGGGTCCATTGATAAAAGAGACACATGGCTTCCCCAGTCAGGACATGAAAAAAATTTTGGCAGGTGGCTGAATGATTGACCCAGAGCCCTCAGTCTTGTGGCAGAGCAAAGCCCTCTGGTGTCTGAGTGTCTGAACTGAGTGTGACTGTGTTTGTTGCTTTGGACAGTTCTTGTCCCCTGGCAAGACACAAAATAGGAATTGTGTAGTTTTACTGATTCCACATGCAGGTTAAATATTCTGAGCATTGGCATTTAAAACTGGCCCTGCAAAATTTAGATGAGTGGTAAAAATTTATGCTAATAATTTACAATTTAATTCTTTTTGAAATATTAAATAGCAAATAAAAACACCATGATACATTGAGAGACAGACCATGAAGAAAGGCAGTTCCTGATCGAATGGCACTTTTCCACTGCTTTTTGAACAGTGGAAAAGTGGTCCCACATTTTTATTTTGTACTAGGTCCTCTGAATTATGTAGCCAGCATTGGATGAGTCTGAGATTTTGCTGTAGATATTCATTGGTCTCTATACGCTGATAAAATGCCCTACCTATAAAACTATGAAATACTGAAAGTCCTTCTAAAACAATTAAATATTATGCCTTTTGAACAAGTGATCCTCTTTAGTACTTCAGTAATAACAGAGGAATAAAGTCTTGTTTAGGGAGTAAATATTTATAAATAAATAAAATACTGCTTATGGAAGCTGACATACTGTCTCATCTTGGCACAGTTAAGATGCTTATGTGAGGAGCCCTGAAGACGCTGATAGTACCGTTAAAGTCATATGGAGATTCCAGAGCACATGGATTATTCTGTTAAAAATTACAATAGCTTTGTTTTTTAAGTAAAATGAAGAGATGATTGATAAAAATATCCAATGAAAAATAAACTGGAGGGGAAAGAGTGTATAGTCTTGTGTGACTTGTAAAACAAGAACATATGATACAGAATAATACAGAATGTTGGGTGACAAATTTCTAAATTTATGTTATGTAACATATTCAGGTCAGACATGTTGTACTTGTATTATATAACTGTCCACGAGTCTAAATTTGCTCAGGAAAGAGAATTATTTGCCAAAGTATAGTGGGTTTTTCCTTGTTGGTTGTTTTTTGAGGAGTGAGGTAGATAACTACCTTCTGACATCAATATTTCTCAGTTTTATTTATAGACTACTCTCAGGGAGTCTATAAGAAAATGATAAAAATTATCACACTAATATATATTGAACATTTACTATGTTTTATGCTCTGTTGTAGGCACTGATTAAAAAAACATGGAGAAGATAAATTTTCTCTCAGGGAGCTTACATTCTAAAAGAGAAGTCAGATATTAAGTATATAAACATACATATGATTACCACAGAGAGAAAGCTACATGGTGTGAGAACTCTAATTGAAATATTTAATTAATCCCAGAAGGTCACTGACTACTACCCTTAGAAGTCAAAGTTTTACCTAATACATAGAATAGAATTAAAAGTTTGCTAGGTAAAGCAAGAAATAAAAGTAAGGTATTTTCAGAAACAAAGAACAGCACATACAATAGCATTTTGGGCAAAAAGAAAGACGATAGTGGCTGGTACAGAAAGAGAAGGGGAGCGTCTGGTGCAACTTGAGGTGGAAGAGACAAGCGGAGACTAGATAGTTGGAAGGTCTTATGGGTCATAGCATAAACTCTGTCTCTGAATCAGCAATCTGAGAATGGTGTCTGGGATGCTGCGTTTATAACAGATATTCCAATAGTTCTTATTTACATTAATTAAACTTTGAGAAATCTGGCCTCAAAATCCTATGAGCATTTCTTACATTATTCTGTAACTGTTATTAGAGACACAGGCTTTGTACCTAACCCATTAATATTAGGGACAATTGAAGAGGGATACATATGAGTGATGATGACCACATTCCAGACCATAAAGGTGATTTATCTCTTAGACTGTGGCTTGTTCCAGAAGCCTGAGCCCACAGCAATGCTTTTTATTTTTTTTTCTTGATTTCTTCCTGAAGATAGCATTTGTTGTCTATCTCCTGAGAATACATACAATTGAAATTATTGATGAATTTTTTCTGATCAAGACTTCCTACAGTGAGATCCTGCTGTAGGTAGCTTTAGATTATTTATAAAAATTACTTTTATGAGTTAGACTTTTATAGATTTTACATATAATTGTGCTCATGTAGTATTTGTCTCTGTGTCTGGCTTATTTCATTTGGCATAATGTCCTTCATGTTTCTGCATGTTGTTGCAAATGGCAGGATTTCCTTCTTTTTTGGCTGAATATTATTCATATATACGCACGTGTATCATATTTTCTGTATTATTCATCCATCAACACTTAGGTTGTTTCCATATCTTGGCTATTATGAGTAATGCTGCAATGGACAAGGGAGTGCAGATCTCTTTGGGATGTGGATTTAATGTCCTTTGGATTTACACCCAGAAATGGGATTACTGGATCATATAGTAGTTTTCTTTTTTAATTTCTTGAAGAACTTCTATACTGTTTTCCATATGGTTGTTCCTATATGGTTGTTCCCACCAACAGTGTTCCCTTTTTCATTCACATCTTCACCAACACTTGGTACCTTTTGACATTTTGGTAGTAGCCATTCTAACAGGTATGAGGTGATAGCTCACCTTGTATTGGATTTGCATTTACCTGATGATCAGTGATAATGAGCACATTTTAATATACCTGTTGGCTATTTGTGTGTCTTCTTTGGAATATGTCTATTCAGGCTCTTTGCTTATTTTTTAAATCAAGCTATTTGTGTTTATTTGTGTTACTGAGTTGTGTAAGTTTCCTACATATTTTGAATAGTAATCCCTTATTGCATGTATAGTTTACAAGTATTTTCTCCCATTCTCTAGGTTGCCTTTTTTATTGCCTCTTTCCTTTGTTGTGTAGAAACTTTTTAGTTTGATGTAGTCCTACTTATTTTTTATTTTGTTGCCTGTGCTTTTGATGTTATATCTAAAAATTCATTGCCAAGACAGTTGTCATGGAACATTTCTCCCATATTTTCTTCTAGGAATTTTGTGATTTCAGGTTTAAGTCTGGAATCCATTTGAGTTGATTTTTTTATTTTTTATTTATTTTTTTTTTTTGAGACGGAGTCTCACTCTGTCACCCAGGCTGGAGTGCAGTGGCACAATCTCAGCTCACTGCAAGCTCCGCCTCCGGGTTCACGCCATTCTTCTGCCTCAGCCTCCCAAGTAGCTGGGACCACAGGCGCGCCCGCCACCATGCCTGGCTAATTTTTTTGTATTTTTAGTAGAGACGGGTTTCACCGTATCAGCCAGGATGGTCTTGAGTTCCTGACCTCGTGATCCGCCCGCCTCGGCCTCCCAAAGTGCTGAGATTACAGGCGTGAGCCACTGAGCCCGGCTGAGTTGATTTTTGTGTATGACATAAGGATTCTGTTTTACTTTTTTGCATATGAATATTCAGTTTTTCTAATACAATTTGTTAAAGAGACTATTCTTTTCCCATTATATATTCTTGGTGCCTTTGTCAAAGATTAATTGATTATATACATGTGAGTTTATTTCTGAGTCTTCTATTTTGTTCCGTTGGCCTGTGTGTCTGTTTTTATGTCAGACCTCATAGAATGTTACCGGGGCCCAGGGTAGGGGAAATGGGCAAGATGCTTGTCAAAAGGTACAAACTGTCAGTTATAAGATGAATAAGTTCTGAAGACCCAATGTACAGCATGGTGACTACAGTTAATAGTAATGCATTATATACTTGAAATTTGCTAAGAGAGTGGATTCTAAGTACTCTTACAACAAAGAATAAGAAAAGGTAATTACGTGAAATGATAAATATGTTAACTAGCTTGATTGTGGAAATCATTTCACAACATATACGTATACCAATGCATCACACTGTACACCTCAAATATATATAAATTTTATTTGTCCATTTTACTCAGTAATGCTGAAAAAAATGTTATAAAATATTGGCTGTATATAAAATCACCTTTACAGTCCTATTGAAATAATAACAATTTCTACGTATAAAGTTTCAGAGCAGAAAAACACTCTCATAATAAAGCAGCTACTTAATATCTGGGCAAAAAAAATAATAATTATTGGTATCTCAGCTTTTGATCTGCTGTTCAGTAGGTGCTTTTCACAATTACCATACTTGTAGCAGAAAAACATGTCTCCTAATGTTAACTTGTCTGGCTTAGTGGATGGGCGAATTTTTATCAGCTTCTGAGTGATGGGTCATAACCTCGGTGAAAAACAGAGCAAAATTCAAAACTCCGGTGTGTCAGTATCAGCCCAGCATTTATTTCCCATAAGCCACAGGTGGAGGGGAGGTAGCTGCTCAGGGCTCTTTAAGTTAGGCTCGAAAAACCATGGACAGACATCTGGGTCAAAGGGGCCAGAGAGAAAAATCAATTTGTTCTTTTCTTATTTTAGTTTACCATGTGCATTTTAAAAAATTAGATTTATTAACATTCTATTCCACAAAAATAGAAAAAACAGAGAGGTAGCCATGCCTGAGAGGTATGTTTCAAAGAGCAAACAAATAAGAAGTAACAAAGGAATAGTAACAGTAACGACTAAAGGAGATTGAAATAAGAAATATGCTTTGGCTCAAGAATTCTGGATGCTGAAAGAGATTTGATAAACTTTTTGGAGAGAAAGGGAGTTGTGAGTTTTTAGACAATATTCGATTATTTTATTTGAATCGAGTTGGTCCTGATGGCTGACTTTGAACAGATAAAATTACCTGATGTACTAGGTGGCTGCTGTTTAAGCAACCTGGAGTTAATAGCTGACACCAGCTTCTTTAAACCAATTTATGCTTATTGTTCCATTATTGGAATGCTAAGCATGTGGGAGTTATTTATATCCTACTACTCAAGGTCATTGCCAAGGTCTGGCTGCAAAAATTCAAAAAATTGCAACCTCAGGCAAAAATGGGTTAAGATTAGTTTCTGGATAGCTAATACTTGCATAAAATATTGGGTATTTTTCACTAACGCATGTCCTGGTTTCTGTTTTAGATAATGATGTTTTTACGGGAAACAGGGAAATCATCATGTTTAAAAGAATGGTTTCAAAAACCCAGTAAAATAGTTGATAAACAAGAAAGCAGGAGAAAAAGAAAAAAATGAATTGTAGAAGGACTACTGGAACTTTCTTCCAAATGGCAAATAATTCAAATATACAAAATCTCTAAGGAAAAAAATAACTTTGTAATACATTAAAGAGTAAAACTTTCATAATTGTTATAATTGGCAATATATTTATGAGATATATAAATTCATGTTGTAATCAACATGCATTTCTCAATGCAAAACAATGAATTCAGAATTAACTACTTTGTATTCATACTTTTTAACCAACTTTCTTCACAGAAATTTTATTGATAGCACCCCTTCACACTTTGAAGTTGAATTTCCTTCTTATATATTTGCATTGTTCCTGTAGTTCTCCTAGATTACAATAGAAAACTTACTGTTTATAATCCCTGTTTGGGCCACAACCATGACTATTTTGTCACTGTATCTTGATGATTTGGTACAATCATGGATATATAGAAAATACATGGAAAACATTTAATAAATAATAATAAGCATTATGGAATGTGTATTGTATGCCAGATACAGTAACTCTGCTTGCATTACATTACTTTTCACAATAATTTTATAAATTAGGTAAAATTTGTTGCCCCTTTTAGGGATGAAGAAACTAGAGTTTAGTAACATGCCCAGAATCTCATGTCTTACAAGGCAGAAAAATCCAGATAAATTGGATCTAAAAATGGCAGGAGATTCATGTAAACAATGAATTCTGTAGGTATCATTCAGGAGAATAATTAAACTCTTAACTGCTGAAGAAACTTTGAAATATCCTCAAATTCTTGCTTGAAAATAACACGAGACGCTTTCCATCTAGGGGTATTGTGAATAAAGGTATGATAAACATAACACATACCTTGACCCCCCCAAAAATTACATATATATTGTATCAGATCTTCATGATTCCAGATGTTTTTCAAGTAACCAAATGACTACCTTTTAAGATAAAACATAATGCAGAATTTGAGAATAGCAGGCAAGCCTATAAACAGAACTCATTTAGTTCTATGGAAGAAACTGAATTTATTACTGTATATCCTTTATTACACATCCTTTCAAAAAGCCTGCACATCCTTTCAATAAGCCCACAGAAATAACTGAAATTATTCTCTCACTTTCTCTTTTGTACAACACTCATAAAATTTATTGTTTTTCTATTGTAAAATGTACACAGCATAAAATTTACCATTGCAGCCACATTTAAGTGTATTGCTCAGTGGCATTAAATACATTTACATTGTTGGGCAGCTATCACATAAGCTTTATTTTAGGTGTAGCTGCATCACATTTTCAGATTTTGTGTGTGTTTAAATACATATGGAAAAGTCCTTATGGAATAAGCATATAGCTTGATAATTCTTCTTCGACTGCACACAGCCATGTAAGCAGGACTCACATCAAATAACCATGCATTACCAGCACCCCAGATTTCCACCCCAACATACACACACTAAATAAATATTTGTTGAACGTATCAATAAATAAGTGGGCAAAATATGTATATCTCTGCCCCTGAGGAACTTTAACTTCAAGACATATAAGATATTAAAGCAAAGAGAGATCAAATTTCTCTTAGGGAATATCACCGTTAGTAGGAAATCCCCACTAAAGTCTTTGGGGTAATGAGAGCACTTAAGCTATTCGTTAAAAAAAAAAACACTTTCTTGGTATGATTCTTGTAACTACTTCTATATGTTTGAAATTGTTTAAAGAAGAAGAGAAAAAAAGGTCTTCAAAAGCCTTTGATATGTCCAAAAAAGGCAGGTAGAATGAAAATTCCTCAGTGTTTTACATTACCCTTCCTTCTACTTAATTTACACCTGTATAATGTATGAGTCATTGTTCTCCCACGTCAGTTACAGAATGTAGAGCTGTTGTAATCCTGATACTTTTTATTCATAGTCCTGATCATTATCTCTTAATATCTGATTTTTGTCCTCATTCCATGTGTCATTTATTATTGATGGTCTTTTAACAGCTGTCTCAGTGTTCAGACAATCCATGAATACAAATTTGCTCTATGCTGTGTTTCATTTGTTCAGTTTTTAAAGTACATATCTATTTTCCTCTCCTTTTCTACTTCCATGCCTACATTTTCTTATATATAGTATGAATTTCTGGTAGTTTGTTTCCAAATTTTTATCTCTATGCCTGTGTATGTGTACACTAAGTAAGCGTAGAACACACAAATTGTCAGATAATTTTTTATTAAGTAATACTTCTAAAATGAATTTTTGGTTTTGACAACATAAACCACTGGGATGATTCTAGACTTACTTGGACAGGAGATAATTATTCAAGAACACGAGGATATAGTTTAAGGACTGGGTAAATAGAACACAACATATACCATCAAATTTGTATTCATAGATTATCTAAACCCTGGGATGGCTTTGAAAAAAAAAAAAAGACAATCAATAACGAATGACACATGAAATAAGGGCAAAAAAATTGGATGTTAAGACATAATGATCATCAGGGCTAGGAATAAAAAGTATTAGGATGACAACAGCTCCATAATCTTTAACTGACATGTGGGGAAACAATTATTTAAATGGAGGAATCTGTCCACCTAGAAACACACAGTCTTATTTCATAGAGAATGGACACAAGCCTTGAAGAAAGAAAAATCAAATTTTGAATCTCAGATTTGCCACCTACAAAATATGACTTTGAGCGTTGTTCTAACTTTCATAATCTTAGTGTTCCCATCTGTAAAATGGATTTATCTTGTGAGTTGTCATAACACTAAATGGCTTTGAGTATTGGATTTCACAATAAGATGAGCTCAATATACTCCAATTCTCTTCATTGCTCCCCATTTTACTATTGCGATTTCAAATTATCGGAGTGTTTGTGTTTTTTATAATACCTCTGTGCATGGTTACTTAATTTCTTTCTGATGAAGAAACTAAACTCCAGATATATTTGCATGTTATTTATGGAAAATTACAAAAATAAGAGCTAGTATTTATTAAGCACACATGTGTCAGGCACTACAGTAAATCCTTTATGTACCACAACCCTATGTGTTATATGTTTCTTATTTAACATCCAACCAAACTCAGACTTGGAAGAAAATGTATGTGCATTCCCCAAGATTATATTACCAATATCTAGTAAAGCTAACACAATCCCAGAATTATGTGATGCCCCCACTCCTCAAGTTAAAAGTGTTTTTGCTATTATTACTAATGACAATAACTCTATTACTGTACAGAACTTTTACCAAGTGTTTTTACATAAGATGCATTTTATTCCTACAAAACTGTCAGGTATGCATGACATATTATTATATGGCTTGGGTTATTATAACATTTTATTTTTAACAAATAAGGAAATAGTGATCCAGACAAGTAAAGCCATTGTCCAAGATAATTGATTAGCTGAGACAAAGCTTGCATAAGTTAGAACTGGTTTCATACCGCAGCTGAGAGCCATTTATGCACATTGCTTCTCAAACCTGCATTTAGCGATGTCATTTGGGAAGCTTTAAATCAGCTATAGTTAGAATATTTACATCAGGGAAATTTGCAAATACTGCAGATAAGTGTTTCCTCTCTCCCAGTAGCTGGTTTATCAGCACACTCACCATGGACATTGACATAGCCACCTGAGAATGGCAACATGAACAAACAAACATAAGGCAGAGAGAACAATCTCTTTCCAACGCACTTTTTTGGCCTTTTCTTCTTCTCTTTAAATGTGGAAAGAACGTTCAAGATGAGATCTCCTCTCATGACAAATTTTTAAGGACATAATATATTTTTGTCGACCATTGGTACAATATTACATAGCAGGTCTCTAGAGCATATTTATCTGGCTTAACTGAAACTTGTAGTATTACTTTGTTGAAGTTAACACTATGTGTAATTTTTTGTGTGTGTGTTCATGGTTTAGTGTCTGTACCCATCTACACACACTCCTCACCAGACTTTACAGTCCAAGAAAATACGAATTATTTTCAACTTACCAACAGATGTGAACTTCCTATTTTAGTCCCTAACTCATAGTAGGTATTTTAGCGAATACATTTTGAAAGAATGTGTAACATATTTAATTGGCAACTGATATAATTATTTATAGATTTACAGTACAACAGTTTTGAAATTCTTTACTCACTGATTCCATACTATAATTTCCTTTTTTTAACTTTTGGTTCAAATAAAATGAGAATCATAGCTTCTGGAAGAGGTTCTGTGACAATATGAAAGCATCAATTCACAAATCTAGAAATTTAGCTGTCTACTTTTGCATGTCTCTCTAGCTAAAAATTGCTTTCATATTTTTAAATGGTTTGAAGAAATCAGAAGAATGATATGTTGTGATGCATGAAAATTATATGAAACTCAGATTTCAGTGCCCATAAATAAAGTTTCATTGAAATAGTCACATTCATTCATTTATGGCTTGCCTATGGCTGCTTTTACACTGTAACTACATAGTGAAGTTGTTGTGACAGAGATAGTCTGTAAAACATAAAATAAATACTATCTATCTCTTTACAGAGAAAGCTTGCCAACTCCTTCTGTAGAACATACTCTTACTGAACTGCTTCCAATGTTGAGTTTACTTTTGAATGAAGTGTTCCTTCTATGGTGAAACAGCTAAATTATAATAAACACTTCCCTTATATTGAGAAAAATATTACCACCTGCATATTTTATTAACAAGGCCATAGATTATATTGGAGTGAGAGCTTGATCTCTTTAGCCAAATTGATTTAGGTGGAATCCTGGCACTTCTCTGTTCCAACTGTGTGTTGGAGCAGAACAAGCTAGTTTAACTTTCTGTGTCTCATAAAGCTACACCTTAAAATTGTGACTGTTAAACCAATGTTAATATTTACATATTCATTTTTATCCTTACATGATAGTTTCTACAGATAGGAACACATAATTTTTTTTTTCTCCTAGAGAGAGGACCTATAACTGCTACTGAACCTAATGTGGGCCTGCCTGCTCAATGCAGCAAAACCACACACTGTCATCGAGATTTGCACTGAGAGAAAGTGAGGCATGTCTTGCAGGCATCAAGCAAGAATTGAGTAGCTAATGCTTGAGACTCTAACCTCCCCCCCTCCACCCCCCGATGGCTTAAATGTAAAGATTTTTAAAGGATGGGAGGCAGAGGTTATGGGCAAAGTTATAAATCAATACATGAAGGCTATGTATGGGTTTGACCTAAAAATATGGGACATCTTGAAGCAGAACCTCACAGGTAATAGGAAGATATAAAGATTCTCTGATTTATAATTGGTTAAGGAAGTAAAGCTTTGTCTAAAAACTTGGAGTCAGCAGAAAGAATGTTAAGTTCTGGCTTATGGATATGACTTCCTCCAGCTCCCTCAGGAAGAAATTTATAACATTGGGTCAGCAGATGACATTTTCCTTTTGGAGGGGGCCCAGGTCTCTGAAAATTCAGGAACATATGTGACGATGTTATCTTTGGTTTCTACAAGGAAACAAACATTTTGTGTCTCTAACTTCCTTGGCAATTGTTTTAAGTGGTTATTACCTTCTTGCTTATCAGGCTTCTTATTTACTTTTCAAAGCTACACAGGTGCCTCAAATCTTTCTTGAAGGAAATCAAGATTTTCCTTTATTTCCATGCTTGGCTGGGCCCAGTCTACCTCTAAGAGGAGTCCCTGCTATATCTCATAACTTTTTTCATACTCATGAAAGTGTCTTGGATTCTCAAAAACTAGAATTCTTGCCTATTAAAAGTGTACCTGTAATGGAGCAAAATCTTCCATACCCCTTGTACCCAGTAGAGATTAAAAGTTTGACTTCAACAAATACTCTGAGGATCCCTTCTCCTGAGATCTCCTGAGATCTGCTGAGCATATTTTAAAGAACCCATTCTTAGAGAATCATCCACTTTCTTTCTGAAACTGAATTTTGCAATCCAAACATTATCCCATTCCCAAAATGTAAAACCAAGTTCATTCTTCTGCCTTACCCCTTCCTCTTCAGAAATTATAGCCATTATATTGAGAGACGGTATTACTCTCTAAAGGTAAAATTCTTCCTGTCAGGGACCACAGTCATTTCCGAGGTGACCCAAGTAATGTGCAGGGACAGAGTTACTCTCTTTTCTTTTTTCTCACTGGTTGTGGTGGGGGAATGGGCAGGTAGGGTGAGGGGGAAGTTTTCTGAACAGATAATATCATCATACTTAGGGAAAATATGATGTGAAATAATGTCACCTTGATTCTTATAGCTACGTCTGTTGGCTATCTCAAAAACAGTTTGAAAATTAAAAGGACTGTTACCAAATGAAAAGTAATTTTTTTTGTGGGGTGGGGGGAGGGGGGAGGGATAGCATTAGGAGATATACCTAATGCTAAATGATGAGTTAATGGGGGCAGCACACCAACATGGCACATGTATACCTATGTAACTAACCTGCACGTTGTGCACATGTACCCTAAAACTTAAAGTATAATAATAATAAATAAATAAATAAAAAAGAAAAAAAAAAGTACTTTTAAGACCTGTATTGAATTCAAAACTATTGCTACACCCTAGCATTCCATATCACAATAAGACTTAGAACCACATAGTTCTTCACATAAGAGGATGGCCCAAGCAAAGAGGATAATGTGTAGTTTGTGTGGTAGATGAGCCAACACTGTTTGATGGAAGGCAAAGAGGAGATACAAACAAGTAAAGAATTTTTAAAAATATATCTTCCAACATTGCCTAAATCAGTGTCTGTAACCCTACCGATGAAGGATTTTTTGCTCCTTAGTTCAGCTAAATCTGGGTTCTTGTCTCATGATTGGGAAAAATTAGGCATACAGTCACATTTCAGGGTGAGGAAGGTGAAATTTATTAAGCAAAAGGAAAGCTCTCAGCAAAGAGAGGGGTCCTGCAAACAGGTTTCCACCTCACAATTGAATACCCGGGCTCCCACACATGAGCTGAAGAGGCTAGGATCCTCCTGAGCACAAGGCACAAATTACTGGTGGCTGCACCCCAGTTCCCCAGTGTGCATGTGGGCTTAGTCTGAGCCACTCCACATTGATTTATTTCCATTGCTGCCCATGTGTTAAGGGACAGAATTTTTCACCATGGGCATGTTTAGGCAAGCTCCCTGTGGACAAAGACCTGGACAGGTCAGAGGTTCTTCAGGGACCCTTTCCTATCCGCCTAGGCATTTGGCTGTTGCCTGCCTCTATCACTACCTTTCTACTTTTGGGCTTTATTCCTTGACTTGTCCCATCCCAATTTTGAAATGCAAGTATCTGTATTGAAAGATAAGACACATTTACCAGTGATTCATCAGAACTGCAGAACTCAATCACTTTTCTTTGGCTTGTTAAAGACTTCTCAGAACCTCGATCCTCCATATCTAATTCTACCCTCAACTTTTAAATGAATCAGACTCCCCTTTGTCTGGAATACAGTCAATCCAAATGAGCCCAAGGCACTCTGGTCCTGATCAACCAATCACTGCTTATTGATGCCCATCACACTTATGTCCCCCATCCCCTAACTTACTTTGATTTCACATGAACTCATTGCCTTTTTCTTTCTAGTTTATGACCCTTATGGGAAAAACATATGTACATACATGAAACAGATAACCAACCACTTAATGCTTTAAGCTTACTCAGCAATAGGAAAACATGAAAATAAAAGAAACCAAGTACATTGAGGCCTAGGTTAGTATTAGTATTCCATAAAGATGGGAACACTTTGAGTTTAATAAAATGACATCTAATTCCTTGCTTGTTTGTTTTGTGGATGATTTATATAGACCTTCATTACAGCACTGATTGTATTTCATCATCTATGTGACTTTTCCTATACTTTCTGTATCCTTTTCTCAGCTGTCCAGGCTGCCAGTTTAGTAGTTTTGTGAGTAGAAATGTGTTCCTCTTATATTTTTTTTACCACCTATTCATCTCTCATAGTGCTTGACACAGAGTAGGTGCACAAAATAAAAGTTTATTTTTAATCAAAACATGTGCATACTTGGACTGGGCAAATGGAAGAGAGAATTTCTCATGTTCTAAGTTTCCACTGCTGACAACTAGAAAGAATTTAAGTGCACATATAGAAGAAGACAGCATTTTATTTCGAGGCTTCTCACAGTAGGCACATGGGAAGCTTTCCCTCTGATTCATTGTAATACCTCATCTTTATTCATTCACTGTCAGTGTTGACATTCATCCTGTGCCGAAACGTTATCCGCAGTTTCTCTTGATTAAACAGTTGTCTTAGTTGTCCTCTGTCATTTTTCTAGCAGGGATACTTGTTTGAAACAATGAATCCTGAAACTCTAATTCTCTTCCTCTCCATGTAACCCCACCACTTGGGAATTTTTGTGGCCAATTCTACTCTTTTCAGGCCAATTGCATTTTTCCCTGCTGCCCAGGATTTAGTAGAGAGAAATGTTGTAAAGCAGGAATTGGGCTTCAGTGATGGGTGTTGGCTCATCCTCTCCAGCCTGGAGCAATGGGTTGTTGATAAACTTTCAGAGATGAGGATAAGGTTGTTTCTTTGATAGTTTTCATTTACATATTCCTAAACTCTTGTTCTGTAGTGGAACAGAGACATTTTTACAATCCGGTTGATAAAAAATCGGGAATATGCAGGAAAACTTCATGTGTTTACAGAAGAGTGGTTATAAGTAAGGGTTTGTATGTCAGAACAATCCGAGTTTGAATCTCAGTCTGTCACATACTAAATACTTCTGTGACTTCAAAACATGTAGGTTAACCATTTTAAGGTAACCTTGCAAATAAAATGAGGCTAAGTACTTGAAAAGTGTTTTTTAGTATTCAGTGGGATTTTTGATGATGTTATTACTATTACTTTAGTTTCATTTTCTATAAAATGAGGATGATGTTATCTGCCTTAAATATTTGTAATTGTATTTTATTAATCTTATTTATAATTATTGGCTGGGCACAGTTGCTCATGCTTGTAATCCCAGTACTTTGGGAGGCCGAGGAGGGCGAATTGCTTGAATCCAGGAGTTTGAGACGAGGCTGGGCAACATGGTGAAACCCCATTTCTACAAAAATACAAAACATTAGCCAGGTGTGATATATTTATATATAATATATATTTATATATGTTTACATATATTTTATATATATTTATATATTATATGTATTTGTATATTATATAGTTATACATAATATGTATATTTATATATTATATATTATTTATATTTATATAATATATTATATATAATATATTTATATCATATAAAATAATATATATTTATATATTTTTATTTATATATTTATATATATCTCGTACCTTTATTGTGGTATGATTAATATATAAAAACTTGCACATATTTCATGTATACAATTTGATGAAATTGGATAAATGCATATATCCATGATATCATCACCACAATCAAGATAACAAACATATCTATCACCTCTAAAAATTTTCTTGTGCTTCTTTGATTTTAATATTTTTACTATAGCAATGTTTAACATGAGATCTTCCCTCAACACATTTTAAAATGCACAACACTCTATTGTTAACTATAAGCACTATATTATATAGCAGGTATCTAAAACTTATTCATCTTGTATAACTGCAACTTCATATTAATTGAATAACATATTGCCATTTTCTCCTCCCCTATCTCCTGGCAACCACCATTCCATTTTCTTCTGTAATTTACACTATTTTAGATATCTCTTATACCTGGAATCATGTAGCATTTGTCCTTCTGTGTCTGGCTTATTTTACTTAGCATAATGTCTTCTAGGTTCATCCATGTTTTCACATATGATAGTATTTCCTTCTATTTTAGATTGTGTGTGATGTCTGGACATGGTAAATATTTAATAAATAGGCCCAATTTCATATTAAAGTCTACTTTATTTCTAGTTTTCTGTTTTTCCAATTCTTATTATTTTAATTATCATAAATGACTCATCCATGAAAACAGGTGATATAGGAATACCAAGTATAAACTTTAGCATTTTCCATCAGGAATCACCCAAGGCCATCTACCATTTGTTCTTGTAGTGTTAATCAAATTAGCTAAGATAGAGAAATAAACTGTGTTTGTTAATGGATGAATAGATAAAGGAACTACGATACATACATATCAATTTCAGTCCTTAAAATGAATGAGATCTTTAAAAAAATTTGTCATTAAACACTTTTTAAATTGTCATGAACATTCCTTTGTCCATTTCCCTCCGCATCTGTCTTCATAATATTGTAACTAAGGAGCTCAGCACAGTACCTCGCTCACAGGTAGAATTGAATAATACCATGGGGATAATTCTCTAACTATACCATTAGGGAGAAAAGTAAAACATATTTTTATTGTAGACCACAGTGACTATTTTTATATTACCCTGGGCATGAAAATCAGACTGGAATTAAATTTTCTAAACAGTAACTTCTAGGAGTTTCTTTCAGAAGCAAAGTATCATTTTCCAGATTGAATGAATCATTTGGTGACATAAAACCACCTTTTCCTGGTGGAAAAATGTTTATTGCATACAGTTGTATGCGAACAACTATGTTAGTTGCTACAAGAAAAAGAAAAAATATTAGATATTATCCTACCTAAAAATATACTGCAATATATTGGGTTAGATAGATTTGCCTGTAGACATAATAGTTGCCGTGATAAAACTGACAAATTGTGCTCTTGGGAGAAGAAACTTCTAATATGTACTTGGAAATTTGGAAAGATCTCACAAAATGTTAGCATTTTACCTAGGCATGGAACATTTCATAAGATTTCACTCCATGAAGGAAAGGATATGAGAAAAATAGCATCAGTATGATCACAAGGTTTGAAAATTGGTCTGAATAATTAGCAAATTAGAATGCCATTGTGAGTTAAGTTTGATGAGAGCTGAGTCTAGAGATAGACTGAAGCCAGCCAAGCAGCATGACGGTCATGATGAGCTGTACTTGTGCTACTGAATCTATCGATTTAGACCTTAAAGCATTTTCCCAGAAAAGTAGAGCACTGATAAAAGCTGAGTGATGTAACTTGGCTTCAAAAATTCTTTTGAAAAGTTAGAAGGCACTCCAATTAAAGGACAGATAATAAATTATGGAATAAAGTCTTTATTAATTTTTGCCAGTTTTTAAATTAATGATAGAACATTTCTACTGAAGGAAGGAGAAAGGCTTCATTTATAAAGAGTATCCTCTTGTGTTCTTATCTAAAAATAATGAGACTCTAGAGAGTAAGGCATTTTTGGTCTGGGGTTCCAGGGATATACGAGGAATAAAGAGCATTTATAATTTTTTTGTATGTTATTTCTTATGGTATCATTAAAACAATTGAAATGTTTTCTCATAGTTCTGGAGGCTAGAAGTCTGAAATCAAGATGCTGGTAGGGCCATGCTCCCTCTGAAGTCTCTATGAAAAAACACTTCCTTACTTCTTTCCAGTGATTACCTAGAATTCTTGGCATTCCTTGGCTCCTGGAAACAACATTTCACTCTCCCCACCTGTCCACATAGCAACCATCTCTGGATGTCTGTATCTGTCTCTACTCCTCTCCTTACAAGGACACCAGTTATAATGGATTATGGCTCACCTTCATCTTAACTTGATTAGATCTGCAAACACCCTACTTCCAAAAAAGTTCACATAAACAGATAAAGAATAGAACATGGACATATTTTTCTTAGGGGGACCACAATTTAACCCATAAAACTTGGTTACTAAACAACATACTTCTAAGTAATCCAGAGAGGTAACAGGAAGTCTCAAAGTAAGTGTAAGCTATATTTAACTGAAGGAAAGTTAAGATTCAGCATATTTAAAATTACAGGACACAGCTAAAGTAGTTCTGATAAATAAATTTATGGCACTAAATGCTTAGAAAGGAGAAAAACTCTTGAAACATCAATTAGGCTCCAACTTCAAAAACCTAGAGAAAAAAAATCAAAGTAAGCAAAAGGAAGGAAATTATAAAAATAAAAGCAGAAATTAATAAATTTGAAAACAGAAAAGCAATAAAGAAAATTATTCAAACAAAAATCTGGTTATTTGTAAAGTTATTTATAATTGACAAAACTTTTACTAGACTTGTTAATTTAAAAAGAAAGAAGGTGCAAATTAATGAAATGAGGGAAGTCATACAGACCCTGCAGATGTCAAAAGAATAATAAGGAATACTGCAAACAAGTTTAATCATATAAATTTGATAACTTTATGAAATGAATCAATTTCTTAAAAAACCAGTCATCCAACATGATATTCAGTAGCCTTAAAACTCTAAAAAATCAAACTTAGAATTTAAAATCTACCAAAAATGAAACCTCTAAGCTGAGATGGTATCAATTGAGAATTCTACCTGTCATTTAATGACAAATTAAGATTGATTTTACACAATCACTTCCAGAAAATGAATACGCAAAAAAACTTCTAATTCATTTTTTGAAGCTAATAGTAACCTATTACCAAAACCAAAGACAAAACTAAAAGAAAACTATAAGAAAATATCATTTATGAATATAGAGAAAAAAAATCCTTAACTATTAGGAAATAGAATTCAGTAATATAATAATGATATGCCATTATCAACTGAAGTATATTTTAGGAATGTAAGACTGGTTCAATATTTGAAAATCAGTGTGATCTCTGGCTAACACGGTGAAACCCCATCTCTACGAAAAAATACAAAAAATTAGCTGGGCATGGTGGCGGGTGCCTGTAGTCCCAGCGACTCGGGAGGCAGAAGAATGGCGTGAACCCGGAAGGCGAAGCTTGCAGTGAGCCAAGATGGTGCCACTGCACTCTAGCCTGGGCGACAGAGGGAGACTCCACCTCAAAAAAAAAAAAAAAGAAAAAAGAAAATCAGTGTAATCTGACTAAAAGTCAGAAACTAAAAGTTTCATCATCATATCAATATAAGCAAAAAAGCGTATTCAAAATTCAACACACAAGCATAAATATTTCAGAAAAACTGGAATTAAAAAGATTTTTTCATCTTGAAAAAGAGTATCTTAAACACTGATATTTAAAATTATACTGAATGATGAAAGACTGAATGCTTTTCTTATATGATTAAAAATAAGGCTAGGATATCTGCCTTTAGCTTTCTTATTAAATATAGTGTTGGAATTTCTAGATGGTACAGTAAGACAGGAAATAAATGGCATACAGTTTGGAAAGAGAAAAAATATGTTTATTTTCAGATGACAAAACTGTCTACATAGATAATCCCCGCAAATCCATAAATAGTAAAACAAAACACAAGAGTAAACCACCCAGTACTAGTGAGTTTAGCAAGGTTGCAGGATACAAATTAAACATACAAAAATCAATTTATTTTCTAAATACTGGCAATAAACACATGGCCACTAAAAATTTAAAATATAATACCACTTATAGTTTCTTAATAAGAATGAAATATTTAGGTATAAATCTAACAAAACATGCAAAAGACATAATTTAAAAATTACAAAATGCGACCAAAAGAGATATAAGTTGTAAATAAAAGAGGTATATTCACAGATTGGGAAAGTTAGCATAATAAAGATGTCACTTCTTTTCAGATTGATATACATGATTAACACAACTTCTATCAAAGTCTCAGCAACATATTTTACAAATATAGACAAGATTATTCTAAAATCTCTATGGAAAGGCAAAAACTAAAATAGCTAAAACAATTATGAAACAAAGAATAAAATAGGAAGGAAGCAACAGCTATCTGATTTCAAGACTTTTCATATAGCTACAAAAATAAAAAGTGTGATTTTTGTACACAGAGATCAATGAAAAAATATACAGAACATTGAAACAGAACTCTGCAAATATGTCCACCTGATATTTAACAAAGGTGCAAAAGCAACTCAGTGGAGGAAAGACAGCCTTGTAAACAAACAGTGCTAGAGCAATTGGACATTTATAAGTAAGATTTGGCCTAAGGCTTTCATCTTATAGAAATGTTAACTCAAAATGGATCATTGATTTAAATGAAAAGTGAAACTATAAAAGTGGTAGAAAACACACAGGAGAAAATAACTGGAGTCTAGGGCTAGGCAAAGAGTTCTTAGACTTGATACCATAGCACAATCCATAAAAGGAAATATTGATAAATTGGACTTGATCAAAATTAAAAACAAAATAAAACAATAACATTAGGTCTGCAAAAGAGTCTTTTGGGGGATGAAAAGCTACAATGTGAGAAGAAGTATTTGTGAAACACATATCCGTAAAGAATGCAAAGAATCTGAAATATATAAATAACACTTAAAATTCAATAATAAATAAATTTGAAAATGGGCAAAAGATATGAAAAGATATTTCACTAAAGACATACAAATGACAAAAGCATGCATGAAACAACCAATAGCCATTTAGGAGATGTAAATTAGAAGCACAATATAATATCATTACTCTATCACAATGACTAACATTTTTACAAAAGGACAGTGACAATACCAGATGCTGGAAAAGATGCAGAGAACCTGGATTATTCATACAATCCTGAGATGTATGGGGACATGCAATGGAAAATGGTACATCTGCTCTGGAAATCACTTTGGCCACTTCTTAACAATCTAGATGTTTAAATTTCATATGACCTAACAATTGCACTCCTGGGCATTATCCCAAAGAAACAAAAACTTATGTTCATGCAAAACACTGTACATTAATGTTTAAGGAAGTTGTATTTGTAATGGTCCCAATGGGGAAACTACTCAGGTGTTCTTCAACAGATGAATGAATGAATGAATGAATGAAGTGCGGTACATTTATACTACCATGGAAAACAACTCAGCAATAAAAAAGGAACAAAACTATCTGAAAATAACAATCTGGATGCATTTCCAGAGACTTACACTGAGTGAAAAAGAAGTGAATACTGAAAGATCACATTCTGTATGATTTCATTTATCTTACCTCCTTTATTTGCATTGTTCAACTAGCTCAAGATTATAGGACCCCTCTCCTGAGTTCTCCAGTATCTCAGGCTCTCATAATTTTTTTAATGTTCTTGGTTTAATTTGCCTGGAAATGTCTCCATATTGCTCTTGTTCTTGAATGACGGTTTAGTCAAAATCACAGTTCAAAGCTGGCTATTACTTCTTTACAAAATGTAGAAGATATTTTATATTAGACATTACTGCAGTGGTGTCATTTTTTTGTAACTCCATTATAGATGATCCTTCCTTTCTACCTCTGGCTATATACAATTTTATGTTTTTCTATGGCAATGCTGTAATGCATTTGATTTAGGTAAAGACCTGCCCCATTCACAAGCAAAGCCATTGCTAAATGAGAATCTCAGAGAGGTAGGTCAATCAGTAAATGAAAAGAGGAGAAAATAAATCCAGTCTATGATACATTTGGTGCTTCTAACAAAAACAGTGTTTATAAGAAATGTTTAAGAAGCCCTTGGGAAAACTGGGGGAGTCTATATCTGGAATATAGTGTCTGGATCTAACAAGTTTCCTGTTTCCTTTGCTGGTGCTAGAATACCTTCTGCTTCAGTGGTTTCCAGAGGCTACTGGATTTTACTGTGGCTTTTATTGTAATAGTCGGTCAATGGAGGTCCAATCCAGACAGGAACAGGCTCCAAGGCTGTGCTATGACTCCCTGAATTTACTCACGGCCATGTCTCTAGAGAGGAGTTCTGCAGATAAATTTGAAATACTATCTATCTGAAATTATATCTGCTATATATAAACAGTATATAGCAGATAAAATGTATATGCATATATTCTGTTTATAGCAGATTATATATATATTCATACACACTAAATTTTATATATATATATATATATATACACACACACACACACACACTAAATAGTAGGTAGTGGTTTTAGCTTTACCATTTTTTAAAAATTTCTTTGCACACCTTTCTTCTCTATCCCACTCCCTTTGACTGTTTTTTTTCTTCAAACTGTTTTATTGCATTCTTGCATTGCAAGCTTAATTCCTCTATTTCTCTCTCTTAACAGTTTAACATAGTTCTCTGAAGTCCTTTGCAGATTTCCTTGTTAACTATGAGTTCCACGTTGTAGCTTCTCATTTGTGGCTTTTGTGTACTCTCTACTAGAGGCATGTATATTCCTAATCTGTAGGTAATTTTTTGTTACATGTTCAGCAGTAATTGTTTTCTGTGTGTCCACACATGGGCCCTTAGCTGTGAAAGTTTCTTCGTGGGTCAGTTTAGTATTTCCTCTGCTAGTGTCCTAATGCTTCGCTGCTATTTTAATTTTTTAAAGTTGATATATAATAATTAAACATATTTATGGAGTACATGTGATATTTTGATACATACATGCAGTGTGTAATAATTCAGGGTATTTAGGATGCACACCCCCTCAAATATTTATCGTTTTATGTGTCCTCATACATCTTTAAAGAAAAATTTTTACTAGAATACAAAAATGTTGCACCACCATAGGTACTATTTTGGATGCAAGAGTAGCAACTGTAGAATAAATTGAAAACCTCTTCATGAGGGCTGATGTGCTTTAGTGCCACCTGTTTGCTGGAGCTCCTCCAAGTCTACTTGGCATCTTTCTGCCACCTTGTCCTGTTGCCTTCACGTTCTCCTAAAGTATATTCATTCTTTTCTTTTCATATTATGTATAAAATATTACCTAACTGAAGATTTCTACCTGATGTGATGAAGTGAATAAAGGAGCAGAAATAATAATAACAAAGGTCAATACAAAACACTATAGGGGGATAGCAAAGGTTGGTTAAACAAAAAGTACAGCTAGATAGGAAGATTACATTCTAGGTGTTCTATAGCACTATAGGGTGAATATAACTAACAATAACCTTTTGTGTATTTCAAATAGCTAGAAGTACAGATTTAGAATATTTCTAACACAAAGAAATGATAAATGTTCGAGGTGATGGGTATGCTAATTATCCTGATTTGATCACTACACACTGTATAAATATACCAGTATTGAAATGTCACACTGTACCCCATGAAGTCTAATTATTATGTGCCAATTAATAATAAAGCAAAAACTACACTATTTAAACATGCTTTATCTCATCAATTTATTTAAATGACATAAAATTATATACAGTAATATGCACAACAATGTATTATTGAGTATGTATGACAATAATTGCCAAAAAAGGAGGTAAGAGACAATAGAGCTCTACAGGAGTAACATTTCTACATCTTTTAATATTTAGTATAAATCTGAGGTAGATTCCAGTAAGCTAAGAAGTATATGATAAGCACAATGGGAAGCATTCAAAAAACCTCAAATGTAACACAAAAAATTTTAATACATTAGAAATATTAATACAAATAAAGCAGTAAAAGAGGAAAAGAGATAAACAGATAGGAAGCATATAGAAAATTAAATGTGAAACGGCAGACCTAAATCAATTTATATCAATTACAATGTTACTGGCAGGTCTTTGTTCTTAGAGCTCTTAAGATGGTGGCAGGCCGTTCCCAGGACGGTGAGATTACTTCCTCTACGTGTTTTTCTCTTGCCTGATCTTGAACTCAGCCCCCATCAGTCATACCAGTATGGGTGAAGTAAGTCCAACAGACAGTGGCTCCAAGCCCTGCAGCACAATTAGGATTAATTATTTTTTCCTGTCCAATAAGAAGTATTTGCATGCATGCAAAGAGTGTCAGAGTTATAGCTGTTGCATGGCATAAGGGCGTGGGTGGTGAAAGTGGGGTTTCCTTTAGAAAAACTCCATACGATGGGGCATCAATATTTCTGGGAAGCCACATTCTCCATAGAAGCTCTTGGTAAGGGGAGCTACTGGTAGTACAGTGGCATGGAGGAGGTGCAGTGAGAGTGAAAGGGGTAAGAGAACAGTAAAAAGAAAAATATGACAAGGGAAGGCCATGGGGATCTATGATTCTAGTTATTTTCCTCATGGTTGTTGCTTGAAGAGCGGGCACAGATCCTCTAGAGGTTCATAGGAATAGCTAGCATTGTCTCCTGGATTTTCAGGCTCCTTTGGCGGTATCCAGGGTTTGACTCAAGTGTGATGTGTCCAAGACTCCACTCCAGCCCCTTTAACCACAGTTGGGGTAGATAAAATGACTGGATAGGGTCCTTCCCAGGATGTGTCTAGGGATGGGGAATTAAAGGGAAGGGACTTGACTAATACAATATGTCACCAGGGTGGAATAATTCCTTTCCCTCCTCTCGGGGACAAGTTGCCTACAATGTTTTAAGAACTTGTTGATATTTGGCTAAGGAGGTGATGTCTGCAACTAAGTTGGCTGTCTCTCGGTCAAGAACAAGGTCATTGGTTAGGAAGGGCCATCCATACAGCATTTTGTATGGGCTAAGTCCTGCTTTATGGGGATAGTTTTGGATTCTTAGTAAGGCTATAGGCAACAGAGCAGGC
Organism: Homo sapiens; assembly: GCF_000001405.40. NCBI lineage: Eukaryota > Metazoa > Chordata > Mammalia > Primates > Hominidae > Homo > Homo sapiens. The sequence continues at coordinate 26,004,753 of NC_000011.10, read as the reverse complement.
TGTGCAAGGTGGGTTTCTTGGGTTAGCATTTTTAGATGTTGCTTGAGTGTTTGGTTTATTTTCTCAACTTTTCCTGAGGATTGTGGCCTCCAGGTGCAGTATAAGTGATATTGTATGCCTAATTTCTGGGATACTCCCTGGGTTACTGCAGCCTTGAAAGCGGGGCCATTGTCACTCTGTAAGCCTCGGGGAAGTACGAATCTGGGAATTATTTCACGAATTAGTGCCTTTATTACCTCTTGGGACTTTTCTGTCCTACAAGGGAAGGCCTCTGCCCAACCAGTGAAAGTATCTACCCAAACTAGTAGATACTGAAATCCCTGAGATTTGGGCATGTGGGTAAAATCTAGTTGCCAGTCTTCTCCTGGGTAGTGGCCTGTTCTTTGTTCTCCTGAAGGAGCTTGGCGATAAGGCAGGGGATTATTTCTTTGGCACACTTCACAGGCCCTGACTATCTGCTTGATAGTTTTGAAAAGGCCTAGTCCAGTAAATAATGTTTTGGCCATCTGATGGGTGCTATCAATGCCTAAGTGAAAGGTTTGGTGAAGGGTTTTAAGTAATTTCTGTTGGTTAGCTGCAGGCAAAAGTATTTTTCCTTCTTAATGGGCTAGCCATCCTGAGGGGAGGAAACTATGTCCTCGTGAGTTTCCCCATTGTATTTCTCTTGCTGAGTACTGGGGCTTGGTTTCCCAGGGGGGATTACACCATACTAGGGGTCCTTCTATAAGCATTTCTAATGGAGCGTCCTGCCTTACAGTTCTTTTGTCTTCAATATCTGCTTGGTGGTTCCCTTCTATTTCCCTTTCCTTTCCTTTCTGATGACCCCAGCAGTGTAAGACTGCCACCTCTTTAGAAGTTAGGAATTCCCTTTCTCTCTATATTGCTGAGTGGGCATGGAGGACTAGGTAAGCATACTTGGAGTCTGTATATATATTTACCCTTTTTCCTTCTCCTAATTCTAGTGTATAATGGCCCCTGCTTTTGCTAGCATGTCTCTCCCTAACAAAGGAGTGGGGCTTTCAGGCATAATTAGAAAGGCATGTGAAAAGAGTACAGTTCCCCACTCACAACTTAGTGTCTGGGAGAAGTATCTAGTGATTGCCTGTCCTAGGACCCCTCGGATAGTGACAGATCTGGAGGACAGATGTCCAGGACAGGCCAGTAAGACTGAGAAGGCCACGCCAGTGTCCAGGAGACAGTTAACCTCCTGGCCTTCAATGGTCAAGCATACCCGGGGCTCTTTGAGGGTGATGGCATGGGCTGGCGCTTGCCCCGGGCACCCTCAGTCCTGCTGCTGGATCATCTCAAAGGTTAGTGGCTTCTGACTCAGAGGACCTTCATTCCCTGGGGGAAGTGGGCCTCCCAGTGATTCCCTTCACATAAGGGGCATGGACGAGGGGGTGGCTTATTTCTATTCAGACAATCTTTTTTAAAGTGTCCATGTAGACTGCACTGGAAGCAAGCCCTATTAGGCATTCAATTTGGCCAGCCTTTCCCTTTTCCAGAGCCTCCAAAGTCTGCTTGCTTGAGGACCATGACTAAAGTGGTGACCTTTTTTTTTTTTTAATCCCGTTTGCCCTGTTCCACCTGCTCCTTCTGATCTCTATTATAAAAAAGCTGAGGTTGCCAAGTTCAATAGGGCTTCTAAGTTTTGCTCTGGGCCTAAGGTGGAGTTTTGAAGTTTTTTTCTAATGTCTGCAGCTGACTGAGTGATAAACTTATCTTTTAAGATTAGTTGCCCTTCAATAGAGACAGGTGACAGGTATGCTTCCACAATGCCTCCTTTAGTGTCTCCAGAAAGACGGTAGGATTTTCTTCCTTTCCCTGTGTTAGAGTGGACATCATTGAATAATTCAAAGGCTTCTTCCTAGTTTTCCTTAGTCCTTCTAGCATGCCAGTTAGCAAATGTTTGTGGCACCAATCTCCATGTTCTGATTTTGTATCCCATTGAGGATCTACACTGGGAACTGCCTGCTGGCCTATGGGGAATTGTTCTCCTTCCTCTGTTGTCATCCTATCATTGACCTGACTGAGATACCAGAGATCACCAAACTCTCGGGCTGCAGTTATGGCGGCACTTCTCTCATTTGGGGTTAGTGTCTGATTTAGCAGTAACATTATATCTCTCCATGTCAGATCAAAGGATTGCCCTAACCCTTGTAAAACTTCAATATAGCCATCAAGGTTATCTGAGAATTTACCTAGGTCTATTTTAATTTGCTTCAAGTCTGAGAGGGAAAAAGGTACATGCACTCTGACTGGGCCAAATTCTCCTCCTCCCACCGCTTGGAGGGGGAATAATCGGGGAATATTGGCACTCTTGGGTTCATTGTTTACCCCTTTGTCTATCTCTTTTTGGACTGTTTGGGTTGAAGGGGGGTCCTTATTAGTTGGGAAAGGAGCTGGGGGAACACCGGGGCAGGGAAGTGTAGACTCTGAGGGCTTCCTGTAGGGCATAAATTACACTTTTTACATAATTGCGAGTTGTCTCTTAATGAAAAGAAAGTTTGCACATATGGCACTTCACTCCATTTGCCCTCCTTTCTACAAAATAGGTCTAGCTGTAAGATGGTGTTATAATGTATACTTCCCTCAGGAGGCCAGGTTTCTCCCCCTTGGAGAGGATATTGTGGCCAGGTGGGACTGCAGAAGAATATAAGTCATTTCTTTCATAGCATCTGAGGGTCAAATTGGTCCCAGTTCTCCAGAATACATCTTAGGGGCATTTTTGCCTTGTGGGGAATGTTTCCCATCTGAAAAAAGAACATAATTATGCCAGCACCCCTAGTCATTTTCTAATGATCATTAGTCCTAGAGCATCCTCTCTGGTCCTAATGCTTATTCCTTTCCACGGTGCGTAACCACCCATGGACCTCCGCTTATCAGATTAGTTACGCTCACTAATGTAGCAGTCCTGCACCCCTTTTCCCGCCTTTCTTGACTGCAAAGAAAGGGGTCTGGGCTGCTGGATTCTAGTGGTCCTTTACCAGCGTGCCCAACATTGCCTTTGTGCTCAGGGTTGAGTTCTAGAGCTGGGCTGGATTCCTGAGTATTTCATAACCACCCAGTTGCCCCATCAAGGTGCATTCCCATAAAGAACATCCTAGCAAATTCATTTCAGAGAGGGTGTAGGTAATTTTTTGAGTCAGGATTGAGATAGAGTTTTTGCCTACTAGGGCCTTTGTCCTTCTTTTCCTTTGTAGGAATATGCCCTAATTTTCAATCTTATACTTTTTGTTGCCCCAGATTAAGTCCTTTTGGGTACAAAATATGAGCGATGGATCCTGTTTATCCTGTGTGCCTTTTACCTATGAGAAGGAGAGCGAGGAGAAAAAGATGGACTTGCTGGTTTTTATGTGCTGAAAAAAGAACATAATGATGCCAGCACCCCTAGTCATTTTCCAATGATCATTAGTCCTAGAGCATCCTCTCTGGTCCTAATGCTTATTCCTTTCCATGGTGTGTAACCACCCATGGACCTCCGCTTATCGGATTAGTTACGCTCACCAATGTAGCAGTCCTGCACCCCTTTTCCCGCCTTTCTTGACTGCAAAGAAAGGGGTCTGGGCTGCTGGATTCTAGTGGTCCTTTACCAGCGTGCCCAACATTGCCTTTGTGCTCAGGGTTGAGTGCTAAAGTCCAGTTAATAAACTGTTGGGTGCTATGTTGTCCTTCCGCTAGTATTGACTTACATAGGCTCACTAGGCAAAGCTGTGAGACAGACAATCCTTCTGCTATGTGCAGTATGGGGACTTGGTCCCCTGTGTCCAAACCACTCCAGCCATGACTAAAAGGGGCCAAGATACAGCTTGGGCTGTGGCTTCAAAAGGTGCAAGCCCCAAGCCTTGGCAGCTTCCATCTAGTGTTGAGCCTGAGGGAGCACAAACGTCAAGAATTGAGGTTTAGGACCTTCCACCTAGATTTCAGAAGATGTATGGAAATGCCCAGATGTCTAGGCAGAAACTTGCTATGGGGGCAGAGTGCTCATGGAGAACCTCTGTTAGAGCAGCGCCAAAAGGAAATGTGGGATCCAAACCCCAACACAGAGTCCCTACTGAGGCACTGCTTAGCGGAGCTGTGAGAAGAGGGCCACCGCCCTCCAGACCCTAGAATGATAGATCCATCAACAGCTTGCATCATGGGCCTGGAAAAGCTGCAGACACTCAATGCCAGCCCATAAAAGCAGCCAGGAATGGGGCTGTACCCTGCAAAGTCACAGGGTCAGAGCTTCACAAGGCCACAGGAGCCCACCTCTTGCATCAGCGTGACCCAGATGTGAGACATGGAGTCAAAGGAGATCATTTTGGAGCTTTAAGATTTGACGGCCCTGCTGGATTTTGTATTTGCACAAGGCCTGTAGCCCCTTTGTTTTGGCCGTTTCTCCCATTTGGAGCAGTTGTATTTACCCAATGTCTGTACACCCATTGTATCTAGGAAGTAACTAACTTGCTTTTCATTTTACAGGCTCAGAGGCAGAAGGGACATACCCTGTCTCAGATAAGACTTTGGGTTGTGGACTTTTGAGTTAATGCTGAAATGAGTTAAGACTTTGGGAGACATGATTGGTTTTGAAATGTGAGGGCATGAGATTCGGGAGTGGCCAGGGGCAGAATGCTATGGTTTGGCTCTGTGTCCCCACCCTAATCTCATTTTGAGTTGTATCCCATAATTCCCATGTGTTGTAGGAGGGACACAGTGGGAGATAATTGAACCATGGGGGCAGTTTCTGCCATACTGTTCTAGTGGTAGTAAATATTTCTCACGAGAGCTGATTGTTTTATAAGGGGTTTCTGCTTTCGGTCTCTCTCATTCTCTCTCTTGCCACCACCATGTGAGAAGTGGCTTTTGTCTTGTGCCATGATTGTGAGGCCTCCCTAGCCATTTGGACTGTAAGTCCATTAAACCTGTTTCTTTTGTAACCCAGTCTCAGGTATGACTTTAGCAGCAGCGTGAAAATGGACCAATACACACACAAATTCAAATGTAGTTAGAAATAAAGAAAAACATTTTATAGTAATTAAAAGGACAATTTTTAACACAATGTAACAGTTTTTAAGTATATATAACTAAACACAAAACACTAGAATAAGTAAAACAAACTGAATATAATTGAATAAATAGAAAATAATTGGAGATTAAAATATTATTTTATTAATAGACTGAACAACTATGAAGATCAGCAAGGAAGTAAGAGACTTGAACAAATTATAAACCATCTATACCTAACAGACATCCGTAGGATACTCAATCTAACGGTAATAAGATAGAATTTTTTTCTCAAATGCACATGAAACCCTATTAAATATAAAACAAAAAACTTTAACAAATTTAAAATAATTGAATGAAATAGCTTATTCAACAACAATGGAGCAAAATTATAAACAAAGAAGACAATTTGGAAATTCACAAATATGTGAAAATTAAAACACTACTAAATAACCAATAAGCCAACAAAAAACAAAAATTAGAGAAAATATCAAGATGAATAAAAATGAAGGTACAATAACCCCAAACTTTGGGGCTGCCATGAAAGCAGTGATGAGATATAAATTTACAGATGAAAAGGATTAAATTATAAAAGAAGAAATATCTTAATCTAACTTTTATGTTAAGACGCTGGGGGAAAATCACAGTAAACCAGAATTAAACAGAAAAGATAAATAATAAGAAATAGAGTGAGAATTAATCAAATGGAAAAGAGAAAATCAATAGGAAGAATTAATTAAACCAAAAGTTGTTTATTTGAAAGATCCACAGCATTGACAAACTTTTAGCTAGACTGACCAGTGTAAGAAGAGGGGATTACAAATCAGGAATGAAGTAACATTACCACGAACTTTACAGAAATAAAAAGGATTATAAGGTAATATTTTTAACAAATGTATGTTGAAAAATTGGATATCATAGGTGAAACTGACAATTCCTAGAAAAGAACTGAAGCTGCCTTAGAAATACGAAATCTAAACAGTCCTGTAACAAGTAAAGAGATTGAGGTAGTAACTACCACACACAAAAAAAGCACATACTCAAAAGAATTTACTGGTAAAATTTACCAAACTTCTAAAAAAGATTTTTTTATAATTTTTTTTCACAGACTCTTCCAGAAAACAGAAAAAAGAAAAATTCTCATCTCATTTTATGGGTCTAGTATTATCCTAATACAATAGCCAGAAAAAAATGTAAGAAAAGAAAACCATAAATATCTTACTAATATAGACACATAAATCATTAACAAAATGCTAGAAAACTGAACTCAGCAATATATAAAAAGATTATGTCCCATAACAAGGTGGGTTTTATCCTCAGACTTCAAATTTGGTTTGACATCCAAAAATCAATTAATGTAGTACACCATACTTATAAAACCAAAAAGTCACTTGAATGTCTCAATAGATAAAGAAAAATCGCTATACAAAATTCAACTACTACTCTTCCTGATAAATATACTCAACAAGCTAGGAATAAAACAGAGCTTCCTCAGCCTGCTAAAGAATATCTGTTAAAAATACACGGCTAAATTTATGCCTAATGTTGGGTATAAGATCAGCAACAAGTCAGGGATGTTGGCTTTCATAATTTCTACTCAAAATTGTAGTGGTGGTAGGCAACCACAGGGAAAAAAAAAAAGACTTTTATATAGGAAAGGAGAAAGTAAAATTGTATCTATTCACAGATGACAAGTGCCGGACAGGATGTGGAAAAATGGAAATCTCCATACATCGCTAATCAGAATCTAAAATTGTTCATCTACTTTGGAAAACAGTTTGCAGTTCCTCAAAAAGTGAAATTTATAGATACCATAGGACATAACATTTCTGTTCCCGTGTACATACCTAAAATAAATGAAAACATGCTCACACAGAAAATTTTTGATGAATGTTCATAGCAGCATTATTTATTAAAGTAAAAAAAGTAAAAACCACACAAATGTTGATGAACTGATGAAAGGATAGAAATATGGTATATGTATAGAATAGAATATTATTTGACAATTAAAATGAATAAATTATTGGCACATAGTACAACACAGTTAAACCTTGAGAACATTATGCTAATTGAAAGAAACAAGTCAGAGAGATGAAATATTGCATGACTTCATTTATATGAAATGTTCAAAACAGGCAAATTTATGGAGATAGAAATACATTAGTGATTGTCTAGGATTCGGGGCGGGAAAGAATGGGAAGTGATTGCCAATGGTGTGGAATTCTTTTTTGGGGTAATGAAAATATTCTAAAATTGATCATGGTGATGTGTGCACGATTTTGAATTAATTTTACACATTAGATGTGTGAATTATAGGGCGCATGAATTGTATCTCCATAAAATGTGTTATTTAAAATTCTATGGAGTACAGACAGTGAAAATACATTCACTGGCATGCCTGTGTCTGGAACAAAGCAAAATGTACTAACAAGCATAATAATAAATTGAAAGGAAATTGGAGGAGTTTATATCAAATTTTAAGAGACAAAGTAGTGTAAACACTCTAGTGTAATTGTACTTATGTGTACAATTGTATAATTTCTATTAAACCAATTGTATAATTGTGTAATTTGTACTTACAAATCATTTGTAAATACATCAATTATACATCAAAATAAATCAATCACATAATTTGTATTTAACTAAATTGAGCAGGTGTGTAAAAAGCCACTAACATTCTCTTTATTCAGTATGCCTTATTATATTTATTTATTTCAGTAGCCAAAGATTTTGGGGTATTTATAATTTCATTTGTGGCTTCAGTTCCACAGTCAATTTACTCAATAAGTTCTTCATTTTCTTAACTATTAATCTACTTCCTCGAGAATTTTCCGTTTTACCTCTTGCAGTTTAAGAAATCATAGAAATGTAAGTGGTTTGATTGTAATCAATACAATTTTGTTTTGTCTTATGTAACCACAGGATTACACATGAATTTTATATGTGAGAATTTTTTTATACCAAAGGTAAGATACTCAAGGTCAGATAGCTTACCTTATTCCTCCCTGTTTTCTTAATACATGGTTCGCAGACATATTCAATGAAATTTTGAGGAATGAGCAAATAAATGGCTCCATAAACAAAAATTATAATTACAACACATGAAGGTAAACTTGGGTATGACTTTCACACATCATAAGTGGCTGCCAAAGAATGAAAAAAGTACATATATATTGGAGAAACTACAAAAGACTGAATTAAAATAAAAAACAAAATGTGGCCTGGTCTTTAAAGAATTAGTTTTACTTAGTCTAGAAAGGCAATTATTATTTTATGAAGACATCAAACTCTGTGTCACAGAATATAGGATGAATGAAGAGTTGTTCCTCTTCTCCTTGGCCATATCTGGCCCATTCTCCTTCCAAATTCCTGTTCCTTTTGTGTGCTAGACCGGAAGATCAGAGACCATTTAGGGGAGATTAGAAAGGCAAACTCACAGAAGCCGAGTAGAGGAGTGGTTGCCAGGGGATAGGGGGTTGGGAGAAATGGGGAGATGTTAGTCACAGGGTACAAATTTTTAGTTATTAGCTGAATAAATTATAGGAATCTAATATACAACATGGTGACTGTGGTTAATAATACTTTATTTACTGGAAATTTGCTATGATAGTAGATCTTAAGTGACTTCACACACACACACAATTGTAACGATGTGTGATTATTAATATCTGAATATAATGTAATCATTACACAATGGATTCATGTACAGAATCATCACATTGCACGTTTTGAATATATTCAATTTTTATATGCCAATTATGCCTCAGTGAAGCTGGAAGAATGAAAAAAAAATAATGAAAAAAGTGTCTAGTTTGAAATTTTGAAATCACAGCTCTTTCATTGAGTGCTCTCGTGCAAATTTCATGACCTCTTTACAATTTTCAGTAAATGGAAATGATAAAGGAACCTATTTCACAGAGTTCATTGAAGAGTTAGGTGAATTAATAAATGAAAATCACTTAGTACAAGGCCAAACACTTGGAAAGCACTCAGCATACTTAGTAGTTATTTTTAGTGAACAAGATTATAGCGACTACATCTCTGCTATAGCAATTTCTTCTGTAACCTCAAAAGCTTGCCACTCAATTTGATATAGTAAAATGTAAAATTATGTCACTTAACAGTTTGCAGATTCCAACAAAGCTCTTATGATAAATATGAAGCTTATAAACCTCAGCCATAAATTTGGGGAGAAATGCTGGACTCACTTCAAAATGGATGGAAACTATAGTTTAATGCAATGACTACTAACCTTTCTCCATTATTTTTATATGAGGTTTTTACTGTCTTCAGGTATCTGTCTCCTAAGAATTATACATCTGAGCTCAAATGTTCTTAAGTATCTCATAAATAACACAAAACTACATGAGCTGTTTCTTGACATGTACATAATCTGAAAATTTCAGTTAACAGTGCTAATAAAAACAATAATCTCAATATCTAAGATTCGAGTTTATAGCACAGTTATTAAGCAGCCCACATTTAATAAATTATAGTTAATCTTCACTACAGCAACAATAAAACTACTTTATGTTGTAGAAATTTGGATTAACTCAGAGGTCTCCAAGGGAATAAGGATTCATTACATTTGTCTGGAACTTTGTACTTAAAAGAAAAAAATTATATATCAACATAACCACTCATCAGAAAATGTTTGTATTATTACATTTAAAAATGATGAATCTAATATGTAAAGATAGCACTTAAGTTAATGAAAGAATAACTATACACATCTTGATGAAACTGAGAAGAGATATAGGAATTTAGTAGAAACACTGAATGAAAAATTGTACCAATTTACCAGGCTGCATACAGCCGGTTCCATGGCAGAGATGAAATGAGGAAAAATGCTTTTGATCAAAGCCTTCTATAGTCTTTGTAAGGCCAGTGGCTGATATCATACCCAGATCTTTTTTAGGACTTCACAAACTTATTTGAATACATAAAGGCAAACATGGATCATATTATATGTGAACTTTCAGTTGGCAGACAGTGAGAAATTAGAGTCATTGTTGTCTTTGAAAAGTTTGTTGTATTCTTATGAAGTCACACTCTTTCCCCCAGACAAATGCATTTTCTACAATGAGGATTCATAAAATAAAAAAAAATTTTAATTGTCTAAATCTTCTCCAGCATAAATTTATCACCATTTTAAGCAATTTTATTTATCCTCATCAGTGAATTTTGAATTATGGTTTACACAATAAAATGATGAGTGTATTATACAATATAAGGGGCCTACCTTAATTTAGATTAATAATTTGCTTATATCATCAAGCAAAAAGGATGTAATAAGAACAAAGTCGGCCAGGCGCGGTGGCTCACGCCTGCAATCCCAGCACTTTGGGAGGCTGAGGTGGGTGATCACCTCAGGTCAGGAGTTTGAGACCAGCCTGACCAACATGGAGAAACCCCATCTCTACTAAAAATACTAAATTAGCCGGGCATGATGGCACATGCCTGTAATCCCAGCTACTCTGGAGGCTGAGGCAGGAGAATCACTTGAACCCCGGAGGTGGAGGTTGTGGTGAGCCAAGATCACGCCATTGAACTCCAGCCTGGGCAACAAGAGCAAAATTCTGTCTCAAAAAAAAAAAAAAATAAATATAAAATAAAAAGAACAAAGTCATTAAAAACTCATTTAAGTAACCCCCATCTCTTTTATGTGGTTTGCCTTCTTTATTAATTAAATCAATAAATATTTCATGACAATCTTCTATTTTCCAGTCACCTTCATAATGGGTGATAACACAGAGAACAAGACATAAAATGTACTGCTCTTAAATAAGTTATATTTAAATGAGGGAAAATGTATAATAAAAACATGAATGCATAATTAAGATAATTTGAAATGATAATTAATAGTACAAAGGACAAAACACTGGGAAATGTTGTGGACAGAAACTTTAAGGATGAAGCTTGGCTGGAAAGGTGACCCAGTTGTGTGTTTCCAAGGTGATATGTGAGCTGAGACATAAATGGTAAGCAGAATACTTCAAAGAGGAACACGGCAGGCAAAAGGAAGAGCAAGTGAGGAGACTCTAAATTGGGAATAAGCTTAGGATGTTAGAAGAGCTGTATATAAAGGGCAGTGTAACTAAAACACAATGGGTGAGCAGTGAGGAGGCAATTCTAAAAGATAAGATCTGAGAGGTATACAGGAACCTGAGTACCTCAGAGTCTTCTAGGCCTGGAGTTTGCATTTTATTTTGGCATCATGTGGCAAAGCAGTTGAGAAAAATGAGTTGATGAAAAGGGAGGGGGAAGAAGATGTACAAGGCAAGGCCGACCTTGGAATGGGAGTGAGTTGTAAGATCCAGGGAAAAATAATGCTTATAGGGTTTACATCACATTTATTAGGTAAAATCTGGTCCAGTGAACTTCAGGGTGAATAGTGTGGTCAGTTGGTTGAGAACAGATTGGACCAAACTGTACAAATGGAAATATAATGATGTTGTATAAATTATTGTCCAGGGTCCGCTAATGGGACTGAGTCAAAGCCAAGCCTAAGTAGCATCTGTAAATGTCTCTATCCAATTGCAGGGGAATTATACGGGTTGGGAGGGGAGCTGGCTGAGCTAGGACAGAGTACATTTAGGGTAATCTGAGGCTGTGGGTGAGGGTGAGAGTGGGAGGTGGATGGGGAGTGTGCATAGATAGAGAGCTTGGAGAGATCTGCAATGTAGTTTGGGAGTAGAGCCAAAGTCAAAGATGGGTGCTACAGCTCAGATATGGAGTTGAAAGTGCAATTAAGTTAGAGTCAAAAGGCTTAAGAGGTTGAAATGAAGAACAAATAGCTCATACCTGTGGCCATGAATGGTAAGAAGATGCTGCATGTTGCAGACTCCATGGCTTTGGGGTAATCCTGGCAATTGCAACAGACCCATGGGATTAGACAATTACAAAAATGTTCAGATAATTAAAAATTGGAAATTTTGTCTTGCCTGTTTAGTGCCTGCTAAACACATAGCTTAAAACCATTAATATAGGTGTTGCAATCCATTTGATTCAGCATCTCATTCCTATGTTTAAGAAATGTACTTAATTAAGATAAGAACATTAGCTCAACTTATGCCTTTAATCTTTACAGACACATTTTTTGATATGAATTTCAGTAAGAGGAGCCAGCATATGAATAGAGAGAGCATGTGGTCTTCCACCCAAGAAATAATGATCATCACTGTTTCCTGCCCAATCTAATCGGAGCATTTCAAATCTATATTTCAAAGCCAGATAGGCTTTGGGTCCTGGCCAAGGCACTCCAGACACTGTCACATTGGCTTTCTTCCCATTGGCCCACTGTAATATGCAAAGGACGGATCATGTTTAAATTTTTTAGTGCCAACTGGCTGATTTCACTCACAACACAGTATTCAACGCCAAGACCTCCTGTTCTGTGGTAACAAAGAAAGGAAAGGTCAGCCAAGATTATTGCAAATTAACCATATAAAGAGCCAATGTATCTATACTCTTTTTAAAAAATGTAATTTATTATAACTGTCTTACACTTCCATCCTAGGAAGAAATTCATTTTGTATTAGATAAGTTTCATTTATTCAAAAAATTATCGAGTGCTGGGGACGGTGCTAAATGCTGTGTATACAGTATGCATTGATACGTGAACATATTGACATTAAAATCAATAATAACTTACATGAAGGAAACCATCAAGGTTCAATGATAAAAAATATTGGGGTGACAAAGTTGGAGGAACCAAGGACTTAGGCAAGCAAATCCAAAGCAACCAATTTGAAGAAAAATAATGTGTAGGTGTCTGCAGACATATCATTGCCTATGTTTTATATGTTCAGCATATTCCTTCCCATGTTCCACCACCTTCTACCCAAATTCTTTCAGATTCTTGTTCTGGCTTAGGTGTCTTGAAAAAGGAAGTCAACAGGCAGAAATAGGATGTCTTTCTTATTTCTAACACACCTTCAGTGACTGTAGTAACTGCTTTCATCACAACTGGTCTTTTATTAAGGTCACAAAATGTAAGATTTCATAAAGAGCTATTCTAATATAGACAAGTTCATCTCAATGTCAAGTATTAGCACCTGTCATATTTGACTAGAAGGAATACTGCTAGGTACTCTGCAGGATCTAATTATGGTACTTACCATCAAATTTATGACCATTTACAAGAAAGCTTTTAAAGCAACGGTAGAGGAAGCTTTTAAAAGTATATTTCTGGTGTATGCTATAAAAGGTAGTGGTTTTGCTGGCTGTATATTATTTTGTCAGACAAAAGGTACATGAGCTTTTGCTTCATTGATCCAATGGTCGCTTGAAGCATATCTTCTTAGTGTTCCCAGCCTTGTCCACAGGCCTTACAGGAAGTAAAGAACCTCCTCTACGTCTCGGTTGGCCTCAAGGCAACATCTCCATATATAATTGCTAACATCTCCAAATGGATGTTAATGTACTGTCTTCTTATTAGGCTCTGTATTTATGCCCCCAAATTGACCTCATTCTGTCAAAGTATCATTCCATGTATCTTTCTGTAAGATTTTATGTTCCTACTTCATTTTGAAAACGGTAGATACACCCATTTTTCATTTAAGCTTAGCTTTGTATCAATGTTTTGTTCCATTTTTCAGCATTTCTAAATTATTAGCATTATGTGGGAAATAGAGCTAGCTGGAGGGTGTTTACATTTGCTTAGGATATCTTGTTGCTTAAAACAGAAATCCATGTGAGATCTTTGAATCTTGATTTTCTCCAAGGTCTTAACAATGCAGGTTTCACAAAGTTTGAAAATATAATATAAATTTGTGTATATAAAAATTCACAGGGTATTTTAATACTTATGATAATTTGAGGTTTTGTCAATATTATTCACTATCACATTAGATTAGCTAATGTCATTTCATATGAGTCAGAGGAAATAAGAGATAAGAAAATAGTTTGATCAGAGACCAAAAAGAAAAATCCAGTGCAGGGAAATTGAGTGGAATACAGGTTGATATGAGTAGTGTGAAGGGGAGATATTCTGAATAAAAGAGACTGGTGCTCGTAGAAAGATCTCAGGATTCTAAGGGGAAATTTTTCCACTTCAGAGCGATGTTAAACTATCCCCTTTCATGTAAACTATTGCAGTCAAAACCTTTATATCAATACACGAGAAACAAGTAAACTATTTCCCTGCCAACTGGATGTTCCAAATTCAGAACTTCAAGGAAATTATCACACTGCAGAAACAGACTGAATATAGAATACAGTGTTACTTCCTTTAATGTATAAAATAGTTATGTTGAAAGCCAATATATTGCTATGTGGGGAGTGAGGAGGAATATGGGAAAATGGAGGCTGAAAGATAAATAATAACAAAAGCTACTTGTAAAGAACTTGGTGTCTTTTTGTTTGATTTTTGTTTTGTTTTGTTTTGCTTTGCTTTTTTAAAAAAATTAAAGCTCTGAAGGAGACTGTACAAGTTTACTTGACATTATTTTTCATGATCGACATCCCTATCACATTAATCTATTTCAGACATTACTTTCATCCAGTAAAACCAGCTCTGGTGGTCCAGATGCAATGGCAAACAGCAAGGTACATGTTATTCTTGCTTAGAAAAATCAAATAAAGTAATGTGCTTGGACAGTTTGCCCTATATATTTATCACAGTGGAACACAGAGGATTTCATGTTCATTGAAAGATTAGAAAAACTATGGAAGATAATTGTAACCCAGTTTGTAAAGTCTCCATAGTTACTTGGAGAATGTTGGAAGGCAGCTTTCCTTTTCTAGTGAACCTGCAGGCTCGCTTAGGCAGGGCCATGTAAGTGCTAAAAATTGAATTATAGAAATATTAAAGAAAAAATATTTTATGGCATTTGAATATATTCTGTATACTTGAGATGAAATAATACTTTTTCCTTAGATAGTTAAATGTTGTCCTTACATGTGTACTACCTTTATTTGTTTACCTATGCCAGCGATTCTCAATCTTTCTGCGCATTAGAATCACCCTCAAATAGAGAATTCTGGTATCTCCCTTTCCTCACAGATATGTTAAATTAGAATCCTTAGAGTTGTACTGTGAGCATCCATGTTTTTTTTTTAATTTTATTATTACTATACTTTAAGTTTTAGGGTACATGTGCACAACGTGAAGGTTTGTTACATATGTATACATGTGCCATGTTGGTGTGCTGCACCCATTACCTCGTCATTTAGCATTAGGTATATCTCCTAATGCTATCCCTCCCACTTCCCCCCACCCCAAAACAGTCCCCGGTGTGTGATGTTCCCCTTCTTGTGTCCATGTGTTCTCATTGTTCAATTCCCACCTATGAGTGAGAACAAGAGCATCCATGTTTTAAAATAACCCCCAGAATGACTTTTCATAGATAAAAGTCTGAGGACAATTGAAATAAGCAAAGCTTTCTCCCTAATCCCACCACTGTCCTATCTACAAAGGGGAATTTCAGTGCTTCTGTTGTTTGAATCAACTGAAACTTCAATTTTTAAAGTCCAAATTCAAAAATGCTTTAAATGCGTTATTACAACATAAAATACTCGTAAGAGAAATTGCTTTGATTTTCAACGATGTTTCTTAAAGATGTCTAATAAACTAACATAGAATCATTGGTATGTAAGATTGAAATGATTTACACAGACCAATGCAAGCTCTAAATTAAAAAAAAAAAATAGAGTTTGGACCAGGAATATCTGAGTACTAGTGGTACACATTATTTCCATCGTTTCTGTGTTAGAAAAACTGGGAATGAGGAGAATAATGTATATTATGGAGATATCATCTTAAAGACAAAATGTCAAACATCAGTTAAACTAAAAGCTTCTCATATTCTTCTTTAGATACGTAATGTCACCACAGTCTTGAAAAATCTTGCTCTGGGAATAAACTTTTCAAACACAAGCTGGTGCCATTTTATCTTATTACTGTTAGGTTTTGTTACCCTCTGAAAGACATTTAAAAAGTAAATGTCTTTAAACTAAATGATATTCAGAACCAGTGTTTGAAATGTAGACTCTTTTTATTTCTTCATTTCTGAAATTGTCTTTTAGTTTTTGTAAAATTGTCTTTAAAACTATGTAACTATCATCTAAGAAGTAAACTTCCACTAAAGAATAATTAGTGAACAGCTCTGAAATGTATTCCTCATCCATTCATACAACATATATTTCCTTGATTCCGGCTCATAAATCTATATACTCAATGTGTTAAGTCCTGAGATTACCATGGGAAATAAAACAGACAAAGTCTCTAACAATTTTCATAAGATTTTTTAAAAGGGAAAACAGAATAGTGATACAACTTTAATATGGAATTTGAAGAAAAAGAAACATGTTAGGATAGAAACATCTGTCTGGGGGCCAAAGCAATTTCGTCTTGGATACTAATCCACTATGCTGGCAGGTGATCAACCCCAGTTCCGGGAAGGCCTGTAAGAATTCCAGCTTACATATTGTTCCTTGTTTCTTACCATAAATTCTGTCATTAGGTAAAACAACCTTGATGTTATGATACCTCAATTGTTCTACACATCCCTTCTGGACCACCCTCTCCCTATGGCATATAAACCCTGGGTCTAAGGGGCAATGGCACAGGGATTCACCACCTTGTCTTGCCACCACCTGAGACCCATCTGTGGCTTGCTTCAATGTTTCTTTGAGAAATTGGATTTGTCAGCCCCTTTCTTTGGCCTCTCATCTTCCTCGGACTTTGGGGTAGGTTTGCATGGTTCATGGTAAGAATGGCTCATGGACAGGGTAGCAAACAATGGCATAACCCTTCTTAGAGTTTATGTGTGATGTGTTCTTACTATTGATTTTGAAATAAAAAGATCTTCATTGACCTATAAGGGAACTGTTTTTAGGAGACTTATACTCTGGGATCACATTTTTGAAAGGCAAAATATTATTTGCCCAATTAACAATACCAATTCAGGAATATTTATTTACCACTTCTACAAACTGATGATAGTGTAGTGCATTTTGATGTTTGGGATTTAAAAATTTCTGAAGATAATATATAGTTAAATATAATTGAAAATATTCAACCCTGTATCAAGTCAAGTACATGTTTCCCACTCAATGAAACAGCTAATCTTTCCCCAAAACAGCTCCTCTGACAGTCTTCCCCATCAGTGAAGAATCCATCCTTCTAGTTATTTAGGCTAAACACATTAAAGTTAGACTAGACTGTTCTCTTTTTATGTTTTGCTTATATACTTGTGTATGTTTTCTATTTTTCTTCTTTAGAATGTAAACTCCATAAAAGCAATAATTTTCGAGTGTTTAGCTCAATACTTTAATCCTGTCAATGCATAACACGGGGTAAGCATTCAGTAACTACCTAATTTCAGTGAATAAAATTGCTTCTAAAAAGCAATTAAGAAAGCATATGAAACATCATATTAGGCCAGGCATGGTGGCTCACGTCTGTAATCCCAGCACTTTGGGATGCCCAGTAGGGCGGATCACCTGAGGTCAGGAGTTTGAGACCAGCCTGGCCAAAATGGTGAAACCCTGTCTCTACTAAAAATACAAAAATTAGCCAGGCATGGTGGCAGGCACCTGTAATCCCAGCTACTCGGGAGGCTGAGGCAGGAGGATAGCTTGAAACCGGGAGGTGGAGGTTGCAGTGAGCTGAGATCCTGCCATTGCACTCCAGCCTGGGCACCAGAGTGAGACTCTGTTTCAAAACAAAACAAAACAAAATTATATTGATGCGGTGGCTTTCTCAGATATCAAGCTTTCTAAATAAGAGTTTAATTATGCTAATATATATGAAGATGCCAAAAAACAGGCTTTGATTAGCACTGGGAAGTAAAGTAGAATTGAGGAAAGTGGTGTCGACCACTATAAAATCACTCTTCCCAAAATTCTCTGTTCAGTTATTTTAGTACAGATGACAATGCACTCTGTTTTCTCTGAAGCCTCAATGCCTTTACATGGAAGAAAATAGAGTTGAATAACTCCTTGTTTCTGGAGAATCTGTGTAGAATGCTATCCATCTCTATTTAGACTTCGGAAGATCCTTGAAACTAGGGGTTGTGTCTTTTTGTTTTGTTTTGTTTTGTTTTACTTTAATTAGGACTAGTCAAAGGTTTGCCTAAAAGTATTGGCAAATTTACCAACTCAGTAAATAATTGGTAGTAAAACAATTTAATTGCACTACAAAGACTTACAACTTTATAAAAATAATTAGGTAATCAAATTGAGAGAACTCTGAAGACAGAGATAAGTGACAGAACTTTTTTTCTTTGTCTCAGCCAGTTCAACTTGAAGCCTCTGGTCTCTGGCCAAAAGACTGTTTTCACCAGCCCCTTGTCTACCAGGTCTGGGAGAGTTTTTAGGCTGTGATGTGCAAATAAACCTGTATTTTTATTAAAAATGTAGATTCACGGGCCAAAAGCCATATCTACCGAATCAGAATCTAGGGCCCAAAAACTTACAGTTTTAATAAATATCCCAGATTATCATTTAATCCTAAAAATTGAGAACCATGTTGCTTAGAGATTATAGCCAAGTGCTGAGATTTACCCATTTTATTTCCTTCAAACGGTATGGTATATATTTCTATTTATTGTTTCTTGCCATCAAAAGTTATAATCTAATCCTGTTAACCAAAAACCTTTTTAAATAAACAATGGGCTATAATTTCATTAAAAGTTTGATCCTGGCTGCTAAATCATTTCTTTTAACCCAGCCACACACTGATAGTCCTGTTACTGTCTTAATGTCCATTTTGCACCTAGCATGACTACTATAGTAGAAGACAACCCTGTGTTTTAAGGTGACAAACGTTCCTAGACCACAATAATGGTGATTCAAACTAGAGTCATGTTGTGAATTTAATCATTTCTGAAATATTAATAGCTGCACCCAAATGAACTTGGGGCAATCTGATAATATGATCAAATGGTTCTTCTGACTGCTGGCAGGGAGAAGAGGCAAAGTTAGCTTTTAGCCGAACTTATGATATAAGGAGAAGTGTGGGATCAGCTTCTGACATTTGCAGAATGTTGAGTTTGCAAGCACACTAGGAACTAGGCACATAGCAAAGAGTTGAGATTCAAAAAATCACTCAAGATACTTGGGTTCTAGGAAAATGATGAATTTGTGTCGGCTGAATAACTTCATGTTGATCTTTTCTGGTTTCCAGAGGCACATTTAATAGAACAAAGAACAAATCAGATGGATGCGTCACACTGGGCACTACAAATATATTTAAATGATTATTTAAGCAAAAGCAAGTACATTGAAACTCTGCTCTTTAACTAGCTTTATTGATTGTTAGGTAAAACCTAACATAGGAAACAAGCAAAATGAATTTAGAAAGCAAAAGAAACAACAATAAACCCACAAAAGACAAAAACAAAACAAAGAACTTTATAGACCTGTTTTTAACTTTGTACATAGCAGTGCTATGAAACTATTAGTGTAGCATCACTAAACAGTGTAATAATAATTTGTCAAAAGTGGTTTCTAATACATTTTTAAACTTGAATCTTATAGAGGAAAAATCTTATAGTATGAGAGCTTTAGGAAATAGATCTGGGCTATCTTATGCCAAAGTGAGTTTCTGAAATTTAGAACTGATGATTTTACTCTCCTTTTCGCTGGTTCCCTCCTGCTTCCTCTCTGAAAATACCGAAAACTCTGAGAATACTTAATCTGTACAACAGTGTTTTACTTTAAGCAAGCTCAAACAATTTTTTCATAATACATTTTCAGTTAATGAAAAATAATGGATGAGCACTATAGGATTGGTCATTAGTAAAATGCAATTCATGAAACTGAGTCAAAAAGAGGAGCAAAGTTTCAGCTTAATTCATTCAGGTAATTTTGAGTGAAGCAGCTTTACAATTCTGTGGACATGCATCCAACCCAAAGTAGAACTGGTTAGATCTATCATTACTTTATTTTATTTTGTTTTATTTATTTTTTGGTGAACCTGAATACATGGGGATTTCCTAATTTCTAGGTTTGAGTGATTTACTGTTAATAAATGCATGCCATTAGTTGAAATAAAAATTAATATTTAATATTTTTCTTGGCACATCACAGAATAATGTAGGACACATTTAAATGGACTTGTTAATGAAATTTCTCATTTTTCAAAAACAATACCAGAAAAGTTCAATTGTTTATGATAAAATTCAATCAATGTAGGTCAATGTGCCCTAGGCATCTTCTTTTATATGTTAGTATTAAAGTTTGATTCGGCTTCTGTTGTGCCTATATTTTTTAATTTTTCAATACTAGCAAAAATATATATAAACTTGGGTTTTAATCCCTCTGTAGGTGTTTTACAAATAATATCAGCAATAATCTGAATAGTGTAAGTGAATGAAGAAAGGCAACCAAACAAAATGTTTCTCTACATACAAGAAGGAACTGCTTAAAAAAAAAAACAGCTAATATTTATTGAGTATATATCATGCACCAGGCCTTGAGTTAGATGCTTTACATCCTCTGTTCCAGTTGGATAAGTGAAAAACAGAGGACCAACCAGTAAAATCACAGAGCCATTAAGCACAGAGCTAGAATCTCAACCAATGTCACTTTGTCTTCAAGTGACATTGGGGACAATGTCCCCAAGCACAATATTCCAAGGCATTATGCTACCCTGATTTGCTCAAATGCCAGTTGACTCACCCAGAACATATGAATTATGTTAGAACAAAGTTCACTAGGAATATAACCACCCAAAAAGAGGAAGAAAAGAGTAGAAGAGACAGTGATGTCATGGCGTCTAGGTCCAGGGAAATGACAACCAGAGAGCGCAGCTTTTGCTATGAGCTCCTTAGAAGTCAGGGCAAGAAGGGAAAGAGAGTACACATAGCCTTTATCACCTGGAGGAGGGAGAAGAGCAGTTTACAGAGTAAATAGGCTCGGTCGCATTTCAGAGTGAAGAGTCAAATAGAGTGATGGACTATAGAGTAGAGCATTCCCTCCAGGGAAGAAAGTCCCTACTGAGGCCTCAGTAGATTCAAGGTATCAGTTCTCAGGCCTGGTTTTGAAGTTCTGCATTGAAAGTCTGAAAACCTGGTGATTTCGTGAATTGACAATGGATTTGAAGTTCATGTTCAGAGAAAGCATGACTGGTCTAATGTGGGGCAAATACACAATTTATGATATTACTGACTGTGATAATCGACTTTAGGTGTCAACATGCCTGGACCATGATGCCAAGCTATTTGGTCAAACAGTATTATGGGTGTTTTTGTGATTGTTTTTTGTTTTTTGGATAAGATTCACATTTAAATCGGTGGATTTTGAGCAAAGCAAATCACCCTCCATAATGTGGGTGGGCCTCATCCAATCAGTTGCAGGCCCGAATTGAACAAAAGGCTGACCACCTCTGAGCAAGAGAAATTCTCCAGCAGATAGCCTTTGGAGCTTCATCTGTAACATGGGCTCTTCTGGTAAGGACCTGCTTTAAGTAAGATCTTTCAGCTGGTAACTCATCAGAGTTAGATAATTATAACAACAGTGATATAATATGCTTGATTGATTGAGCACAGTGACAAAATCACTTCTTTAATTGCTTGCTTTCTGTGCCTCACCTTTCTTAGTACCTTTCTCATGATGTTTTTGTGAACATTCAATAAAAATAATAATTATTCATATGTTAATTCAGAGAAAATATTTTGTTTTATTTCTATCCTAAGTGTCATTCCTATTTTAGACCGGTTTTTGAAGAGTATATTTTGAAACCTGAAAATCGTTCTAAATAAGCAATCTTCAGCCCTTGTCTGAAAAGCAACAAAATATCTTATCTTCCTCTTGAAATGTATCACTTCTCATTTTAGAAAAGTCTATTTAAAAAATGCTGGTTAGATTTACTTTATTCCAGAACATTGTGTAACATAGTATTTTTTTTGAAATTTCTATGGGTTTTTAATTATCATAAGTACTTAATAAATGTTATCAAATAACTATCTCATTAAACATTTTATAGATTCTAAACTGGGAATTTCAGCATGAAGAAAAAATTTTGAACAGCATATAAAGCCATCATGGGTTAGAAATTTTGTAGCTTCTTCATTTTATCACATGTAATTACTCAGAGATAAGCCAGAAAATGCTTAAAAATAATATTTAGGACTATCAGAGCCCCTATACAATTAACGTGATAAAAGCAGAAATGGGATAGGTGAGGTCTAATGAAACCAAATCTCATCACAAAATCAACTGAGAAAGCCATTCCAGTGAGCAGAGACCATTTTATTCCCCCACCTGCAGCCAACAATCTCTTCTCATGGGTGGTCACCCTGATAAAGAATATGTGTTTTTGCAGCAGAGATCCCAATACTTGAAATGCAGTAAATAGTATTTCAGTGCCTAATTTCGAGCCGTTTGTCATAGAGCTGATAATTTCTAGAGTAATTCCCTCCCTCCTTCCTTCCCTCCCTCCCTTCCTTCTTTCCTTTTTTGCTATATTTCTTCCTTCACATATTTAATACATTACATGGAACACTGTTAAAGTCTTTCCAAAACCATAAGGCTGGTAAACAGCTTAAAGATTATCTAGCCCAAAACCGTGTCTTCCTATGAGGCGTATGAGGGTCAATTGACTTGACTGTGGAAACACTGCCACTTTGTGGCTGAAACTGAGAATGTATTTTTTTCACTTAAACATTCCTTTCACCTCATCTGTCCAGCTGTTCTGTGTCGGCACTGGTACAGCTGCGTGAAAAAAAAAAAAATGCTGGCTAGACTTGCAAACATCAAATGACCCTCAACACTGCATAATAGTCCTATTACACTTCACTGATATTGAGACTTTCCTAATCTCTAAAATGACTAGTGCATACCTGTTCATTTTTGTCAAATTTCCACTCCAGCTACCCTATTCTATGACCACCACCGTTTCAACTGACAAACTCCACTTACATTCATTATGGAAATAGAAATGATCATTTATGTACTCTTTCAAGAACGTACACAAAATTCTCCCTATTACTGCCGGTGAATTTTCTTTTCTGTAGGGTCAACCCGTGCATTCCCCAGCTTCTGATCTAGACATGATCCCTTACAATGTCATCAAGAACTTCAATCCTGAAATTATTCTGAATTACCTTAGAATATCATCTCTCCCATTTACTGGTTTATCCCTATCACACTACAAAAATTCTCCCACATAACATTTTAGAAATAAAAAGCTGATATGGTTGGGCCGGGTGAAGTGGCTCATGCCTGTATCCCCAGCACTTTGGGAGGCGGAGGTGGTGGATTGCTTGAGCTCAGGAGTTTGAGACCAGCCTGGGTAACATGGTGAGACCCTGTCTCTACCAAAAATCAAAAAAAAAAAAAAAAAAAAAAAAAAGCTGGGCATGGTGGTGCAGACCTGTGGTCCTGGCTAATTGAGATGCTGTGCTGAGAGGATAATTTGAGCTTGGGAGATGGAGGTTGCAGTGAGCCGAGATTGCACTACCACAGTCTAGCCTGGGCCACAGAGACAGACTCTGTCTCAAAACAAACAGACAAATAAGCGAAAGAAAGAAAGACATCTAGCTAGCTGATATGGTTTGGCTGTGTCCCCAACCAAATCTCGTCTCAAAATGCAATCCAAATTGTAACCCTTACATATTGAGAGAGGGACCTGGCAGAAGGTGATTGGATCATGGGACAGTTTACTCTGTGCTGTTCTTGTGATAGTGAGTGAGTTCTCAAGAGATCTGGTTGTTTGATAAGTGTCTCCTGCTTCCCCCCACCTCCACCCCGCAGCCTTGTGAAGAAGGTACTTTGTTCTCCTTTGTATTCAGCCATGATTGTAAGCTTCCTGAGGCTCCCCAGCCATGTGGAACTGAGTCAATTAAACCTCTTTCCTTTAAAAGTTACCAAGTCTCAGGTAGTATCTTTATAGCAGTGTGAAAACAGACTAATAGAAAAATAATTCAAAAAATAATTTATTTGTTCATGTCCTCTTCAAGTATCACCAGTTTGTCCATTTATCTGCTTCTTTTCATAGCAATATATATACTGTTTCATTTTCCTCTCTATCTCTCCCTTGCAGCCAAATTTTGATACTCCCATCCAGCACAACTCCACAAATTATTATTTTATTAACGTCATTAATAATTTTCATGTGGTCGAATATTAGGTTCACGTCTCTGTTCTTGTTTTTATCAACCACTCAGCAATAGAAAACACAGATGAAACAACCCTTCTTGAGATATTTTCTTGTCTTTGTTTTGTGACATTACATATGCTCGTTTTCTTTCTACTCTGATATTGCAAAAAACTCAAGAGCTGCACTCTGTTATTCTTTATTCTTCCTCTTAAGTGATCCTCTTTAGTATCACAGAGATGATTATGACAGAGGAAACGATGGGCAACTGTGTTAATATTGTGGGGCAGAAAGATTTGCTCCAAGTACTTTTTCTGAAAATTGGCTTATTTCTCCATCAGAGAAGGAATAAGATCTCTTCCAGGATTCAAATCTCCTCAATGTAGAAACACATTCAGAAACTACAGCCATATGCCCACCCCCTTACATATTCAAGTTAAGATGTAAATAGTGAACACATGGCTTACTACACTTTACACGGAGAATGATAGCTTATCAAGGATTAGCGTACGTTTTATCATTTTGATTAGGCCTTCATTTGCATTATTGGCAGTGCTTAGCCAGCTTCAATTTCTGCTCAAACTGAGAAGAAAAAATGATACACTAATGAGTCAAAAACCATAGATATGCATTTCTTCTTTCATGTTATTTCATTCTTGCAAATATAACTGGGCTAGCAGCCTAACCATTGTACATAGTCATTGTATATCATTGGGCTTGAAAAATACAAATTCAATTATGCACACACATAAACACATACACACAGATTCATCATGAACCTCTAGCAATATATACATTAAAATAATAAATTTTAAAAGCTCCCTGACATGCTGACTACCCCAAATGTAATCAATATGTCTACTGTTTCCATTATTTTCTGTCCAAATCAACTATGGCAATCCCAGGAAGAGTTGCCAGATTTAGAAAATAAAAGTACAGAACTTCCAGTTATATTTGAATATCAGATAAATAATGAATAATTTGGGGTCATACTTATACGAAAATGTCGTTCATTGTTTATCTGAATTCAAATGTAAGTAGGAGTCCTGTATTTTATAAGGCAACCTTCTTCCCATGGGCTCCTAAAAGTTTAATAGTCTGTAGTGAACTTGGCTCACACTGGAAATATGATCACCTCATTACATGAAACTTAGCAATAATTGGAATACCTCCATTTACATATTCAGATTTTTACAAACAGAGTTTTGGGGAGTTTTTGCCCAAATATACATGTAAGATCAAAGAATCCCAATGGAATTGGTCTGAAGTTTTTAGGAGGGAAAAGGCTTATTTGTAATCACCTTGGATGTGGTACTAATTTAACAGGGAAGAGAAGCAGGGCCTGAGTGGAGGTCTAAATTCTCCATTCAATTCTGAAGAGAGGCTTTCAGAGGGACTAAGAGAAACATGCATAGATCTTACTTTCCTTCTCATCAAAATGTTTGTACAGAGTATTACAAATATTCTCACCATAAATAACTTCAAGGCTTTTTTTTAGTTTTATTGCAGTGTAATGAATGAACAATAAACTATGTATATGTTGTCTAATTTAAGACTTTGATATATGTAAATACCTATGCTATCATCATTGTAAGTTACTAATTAATATGTTTGTCATCCTCACAATTTTCCTCATGTCTTTTATAAACTTTCTTCCCTACCCTCTTCGGTATCCTCATAGTAGCTGAACTCTTTTTTCTTTTCTCTCACTACAGATTAGTTTATAATTTGCTAGAACTGTGTATAAATGACTGTATAGATAAACGTATTATTTTTTGTCTCCCTTTTCTTAGCATTACTCATCTGAGATTCATTCATGTTCACACACACACACACACACACACACACACACACACACACACACAGAGAGAGAGAAAGAGAGAGAGGAGAGACTGAGTGAATTTATTTGTAATGCTGAAGAGTATTCCATTGTATGTATATACCATAAATTTGTTTATCTATTCAACTGCTGATACACATTTGAGTTATTTCTAGTTTTTAACTATTAGAAATAATGCTGCTATGAACATTCATGTACAAGCTTCTATACAGACATTAATTTTATTTCTCTTGGGTAAATATTTAGAAGCAGAATGATGGAGTCATTGCTAAGTGTACATATAATTTTCTTAAGAAATTGTGAAAATGTCTTCCAGTGATTGCACCATTTAACATTTCTAGCATCAGTGTTTGAGATTTTTAATACTCTAGTGGATATATATGTAGGTGAAAAAAATTATATGAGCCGAGAACCCAAGACGGTTCTACAAGTAAACACAAATACTTTTGTACATTTTAATATAAGCTGTATTTCCTGGGAGTGGGATTACTATCTGAATCAGCACTTAGTCTTGTAACTTTATCAAGAGTTTTTTCTTTTTTCATTTCTGAAAATCTTGTTGTTGATGGCAATGATCTTTGTTTTGTATTACCAGTACAATATGTCTATATCAGTGGCATTATTGCCATTACTTCCATTGTATTCATATATTTCAGTGGAAGTATCTGATGGCCTCATTATGTTTCCAGTGCAGTTGTTCTCAAGCATTGACATACTAAAATACATATAATTTTATTATAAATCACTTTTATTACAGTTAGGCAACTTTTTATATTTTAAAAATTATGAGTAAAGGTAAATTTTATTTTAAACTAATTACATTTTACAATAGTTGTGGTAGGCTGAATAACAGTCCCCAAATATGCCCATGTGTTAAGCCAAGAACTTGTGGATATGTTACTGTACACAGTAAATAAGACTTTGCAAATATGATTAAGTTAAGAATCTTGAAATGAGTCTATTTTTCTGAATTATCAAGTGGGCCAAATGAAACCACAGAGACCCTTATAAGAGGAAGATAGGAGTCAATATTAGGAGGAATGAAATGGGAGTGATGTGAGGAAGGGACCATGAGCCAAAGACTGCAGGTGGCCCCTAAAGGAAGCTAAAAAAGACCCTGAGACAATGTTTTTTTTCCTCAGAGCCACCAGTAAGAACAAACCACAGCAACACTTCAGCACAGTGTACCTGGTTTGAGACTTCTGACCTGCAGAATTTGAAGATAATAAATTTGTATTGTTTGAAGATACTAGGTTTATGGAAATTTATTACAGTAGCAATAGAAATCTAATGCTGTGGTAATGGGGACATTTAGAACTATGAAACATCAAGTCTTCAGAGGGATTAAGAATTATTGCTTTAGGTTGTAGAGACCTATGATGGTATATGAAGTGTGTAGAAATGTGTTTTAGAATGGGATCACATTGATGATCTTGTGAATGTTCAACTGGAAGGTGAGGGTAAGTCTGGAGGAAGACACTAGTTGAGAGTGTGTTTGAATGATACAGACAGGTTATTACAGCAACATGACAGTTGGTAGGAATAACCAGCAAGGAAGAGGTTCCTACTAGATTTGATAGGTAGAATTGTGGGGCTTAGGAAACTTTAGAGGTCAAGGTTACGAAGTTGAGTAATGGTGGGGAAAGAAGCTAAATGGGAGCCAGGAATTTAACAATGATCTTAGAGGATAACTTTTCCATTGTATCAATAAAATATCTGAGAGTCAGAGACATTAAATCACTTGACAGAGATTATACAAATAGTAAACGAAGCAACTGGGATTTGAATTTCAGTGTCTACAAAATGTGAGTTCTTTTCTCTATGCCTCAGTGTCTTCCTTATATTGAGTCACCTGTGCCAACACTTAAGTGGTAAGGACTGACAGAAAATCAATGGCAACAAATACGTCTGCTGTACTTCAGCTTTCAGTTGCAAATGAAGGGGCAGCTGTCAAGTAAAAATATAGAAGAGTTGCAAAGTGAGAATTTGAAACTACAATATACAAACTCTATCAACGTGTTAATCATGCTTGTTATTAACTCTAGGGTCAGCCACTGACAAATATATTGAGGAAACCTCTTCTACAAATCAAGTAATGAGACTTCTTTTTACTCCCTCCCCTCTTTTTTCCCTTCTCTTTCTGCTTCTCCTCTTCCCCCTTTTCCTCTTTCTCCTCCTCCTCTTTTTCATCTTCCTCCTCCTCCTCATATTGATGTTTGTTATTAAGAGAATATTTAATGCTATAAATGGATAAAAGTAAGATTTGAAAAGGTTTGAGTTGCAGAAAACAAAAACCAATCTGGGTTAAACATAAACTATTCTGATGAGACAGGTAAATAAACAGGAAATATACTATTGAAAAGGATGTAGAGTTGTATTTCTTCTAGGTTCCGTAGAGTCCCATTACAATATAAATAACCATCTTTAGGAATGAGTTGAACAATAAATAAAACACCATCTCCTACTCTTCTTTGTGTCTAATAACTCCTTATTCTGAATGGGAAAAAAAGTATATCATTTGTTTATCTTCAACAAATTGTTACTTTACATTCACATCTCTGTTTCCACAAAATAAGGAAGAAAGGTAAGGTTATCTGCATTTCAGTAGCTCAGAGTCAAATCCAGTAGAAAAAGCACAAAATGTGTTCTTGTAGTGTGAATTCTGAAAGAGAAAAAAAAAATCAGAAACATTTGTAAGTAGAGAATTTATACTCCCACAAAGATGGGATAATTGTCTATAGACATGGTCACTGGGGAATATTCTAGACTAAGGAGACATCTCTGTTTAAATATTTTTAGTATTTTCTTCTTCATTGCCCACTAATCCTCAGCCCCACAGGGCTGTTATTCCTAAACAGGCTTAGACGCATCACAGATCAAATAATCTCAGCCAGGCAAAGCCTATTAGAAGCTGATTATCAGAGAGTCTATAAGGATATAACTTTTTTCTTCAATTTTCTCTTCTCTCCCTCTCAGTTTTGTAAGTGTGTATATATATATATATGCATTTGTTTTAGAAGGCTGCAATGTGAGCCTCATTGGAAAAAGAGGGGCGTGAACTAAATGTCTCTTTAGCATCTTTTTATCTCTTTTCAGTTATTTACATCCACTATTCTGAAAAGATTTAATATAAAATATCCAGCCATATTTTTAATATCATTTTTCTGCTAAGGAAAATAAAATTGCATTATGCTTATAGTTTTATTGCCATCATTTTCTCCAGGTTGTTTCTAGGCCATGATGATTTTTACCATTCCTAGTCTGATTTTGAAAATACCATTTATCCCAACAAATATGTTTTTGAAAAATCTAGGTGTATACCTTTTTTTGGTAAAACTAGTAATACTCTAGGCCATTGGGAAAATAGAAAATGCTTCTTTCCCTACAATTCTTTTCATCTCCTATTCCATCCCCTCCCTCAGTTATCTATTGACCCTCAACTAACTTTTTGAGAAGGGGGGGTGTGCTGTACTCTAGCTGTGTGGTAGACCACAGGAGGAGACGTAGGTAGTGTAATAAAAGCAGGTGAGACAGGAGCTGTTCTCTCCTGTTCAAGAAAATAGAAATGATATCCTGGTAAACATTCAGAAATGTACTCTCAAATTCAAGCTAAGTTATCAATGTGTGCGAGGTATGTTAACAAACAAATCCATGCCACTTACTCATTATTATTTACATAATAAGAAAGGAAGCCTGGGTTAAAGAGCTAGCAGCTCTAAGTATATATCTATATATACAAATATATATATAGGTATTTATTTGTTAATTCTTACACATATTTGTTATATATATATTTGTTGATTCTTATACATATTCATCTAGAATAGGAGGGGAGAAATGATTGATATTTCCACTTTTGTATAAACTCTGAACTGAATCTTGGATATATGAAAGATTGTGAATGTTACAAATATGGAATACATATAAAACCATGTTATAAGTTGACACAAATGTCTTGGCTATGAACTGCTACAGGTTTTGATGCAGCTAGTCCCTCCCCTCAGTTATTTGGAAAGGCATTTCTTTCAAAGTCATAGCCAAAAGGCTTACAAATTCTAAAATATGATATGGCTTTCCAGAAACTTTTCTTGAAATGTAAATATGAGTATAAATATATAAAGCTTTGTCTCTATGTATACATTCGGAATATTTGGATCAAATATTTTTGTGGGGTAGAGGTTGTGGAGGAGGGATGTGATTCTAAATGACCAAGATGGCTTATTCACTTATTCATGCTTGAACTTAAATCAGAAAGAGCCATGAGACACATAAATGATTTCCTTTGATCCCCAGCAGGAAAAGGCTATGCTACGATTTTTTTTCTTTCATACCACTAGCAATTAAATTCAGAAAAAATATTGATCACTGGCCATCAGTTATCTCTTTTGCTTACTAATCAGCAGCTCACATGTTATGAGGTATCAAATTCTCTTAAATCTAAAACTTCGAACTTTTGGGTAGTAAATCACAATATACATTTTTCAGAATATTAATAGTGATACTTCACAATTTGATAGAGCTTTTCATAAAAAGATTTCAATAAAGCTTAAAGGTACTAATTAAACCTATTTGTGGTTTAATTTTCTTTTAAATATCTGTAGGGTCTTTCATGATATTACAAATCATTAGATATTAGAGATACTCCAATGATTTTTTTTAAATTGTTACTTGCTCTTTTACGTAATTTAGAAAATAATTGAGAGATACGTATATTACTTTTCCAGTAAAGGTTTTATACATATAATTCAAACATTTTAAGACTTCATCCAAAGTAAATACCCATTGTTCTTCATAGAGTGAAAAATAACCATTTTAAGCTTCAACTTCCAGGTACGTCTACCCTTTCCATCTCCATACTTACCTCCACTATAAGCCTTTTTAGAGTATTTTAATCTACCTTGGGTTATAAATTTTTATTATTTCTTACTCAGATATTACTTGCTATATATGAAGTATATGGGAAATATTTTCCATGATCATTATTTGGCAATGTTCAACTTTGAGAATGCCTACATGCTAATTTTCCCAAACTTTACTAACTCTATTAAAAAAAAAATTCAGGTTCACAGGTAGATAAGCCCAAGCATTTTGGGATTAGTTAACTTTAATTTAAATCTCTTCACTGCAGTTTACTAGTGGTTTGACATCTGAGTTGACTCAGTCTCAGTCTTTAAGTTAAGCCAGTTTCTCATTTCTAAAGTAGGTGACATTGTAACTGCCCAACGGGTTCATCTTGCCCACTGCCTAGACAGAGCTGATTTATCAAGACAGGGGAATTGCAATAGAGAAAGAGTAATTCACACAAAGCTAGCTATGTGGGAGACTGGAGTTTTAGTATTACTCAAATCAGTCTCCGTGAAAAATCAGGAGTCAGAGATTTTAAGGATAATTTGGTAGGTAAGGGGCCATTGAGTTGGGAGTGCTGATTCGCTGGGTCAGAGGTGAAATCATAGGAAGTTGAAACTGTCCTCTTGTGCTGAGTCAGTTCCTGGGTCGGAACCCCAAGAACAGATGAGCCAGGTTATTGATCTGAGTGATGCCAGCTCATCTACTGAGTGCAGGGTCTGCAAAATATCTCAAACACTAATCTTAGGTTTTACCATAGTAATGTTATCCCCCAGAAGCAATTTGGGGAGATTTAAAATCTTGCACCCTCCAGCTGCATGACTCCTAAACCATAAATTCTAATCTTGTGGCTAATTTGTTAGTCCTGCAAAGGCAGTCTAGGCCCCAGGCAGGAAGGAGATTTGTTTTGGAAAAGGGCGGTTATCATTTTTGTTTCAAAGCTAAATTATAAACTAATTTCCTCTTAAAGTTAGTTAGGCCTAAGCCCAGGAATAAACAAGCACAGCTTGAGGGTTTAATGCAAGATGGAGCTGGTTAAGCCAGATCTTTCTAAGTCGGTTATAATTTTGCAATGGCAGTTTCAACACAATAGAAGCTTGAGAGCATCATCCTGTAAACCAAAATAATAATAATAATAATAATAATAATAATAATAATAATTCTAAGTCCTTCAACCAACTGAATAGATCCCTCTTCTTGGCCAAGGGCATTCTAAAGTAAACCTGAAATACGAGTTTAGGCAATGATGGAAATGGGTGGTCAGACATGCCTCATTAAACCTTCCTCCCATTGGAATTCAGGCACAGCTGACCAAAATTAACATTCAAACAGAGACCTTAGGACCGACAGAACAGACTCTTTAAGTCTGATAAGAAATGTTTATTATCTATTCTCTCTGAAGCTTACTACCTGGAGACTTCATCTGTATAATGAGAACTGTGGTCTCCACATCCCTGTATCTTTAGATAAACTCTTTCAACCAATTGCCAATCAGAAAATATCATTGAATCTACCTATGACCCGAAGAGCCTCCCCTGCTTCCCCCACCCCCATCCTGCCTTTCTGGACCAAACATTTTACATATGTTGATTGATGTCATAAATCCAGGCTGTAGCCTGACCACCTTGGGCACATGTTGTCAGGACTTTCTGAGGTTGTGCCATGGGCATGTCTGTAACTTTGGCAAAATAAGCTTCTAAATTGATTGGCACTTGTCTCAGATTCTTTTTGGTTTACAAGCCCAACCAAACAATTAAGTTCATCTGCTCATTTGCTGGTAGTAATAGTATATCAGTGGAACCTATCTCTCTATTTTACACCAATATTAGGGTTGTTGACACTTCTGAGATTTAACAATGATGCTATAATACATTAAATACATTATAGTTGATGAGTTCATTTGGAACCACAAACTCTTTGAGGGAAAAATGTCTTCATTATTTTAGTGCCTTCAGTGTTTATCAGGAAACAGAGTACAAAATGATAAATATATGATGAGCAAAAAAATAAAAACTAATTAAAAAGCTAAGTGAATGAAGGAGGAAATGGTTCTACCATGGTCCACTTCTGTGTACACATAAATGACTTTATATTTTTCAATGAGTTTACCCTATCCTTAAAGGTATTCTATGAAGGGATCATATTTATTGTCATGACAGCTATGACTTTTCTTACGAAATTCATATTCTCTCATTTTACCAATGGCCACATGTATGCTGTGAATTTTAGCCCCCATCATAGTAAGTACTTAGATATTCCCTTTACAGTTAGACTTATTTTATATATGAGAAAAGTGAACTTGGAAGTACTGGCCATTTATTCTGCATTAGGACATGTGAACATATCTGCATGTTTTATATACATTTAATATAATATGTTTTATATACATATTTAATACAAAATATACAAACAAAAAACAAAACCTAAAAACAAAATGTTCTCTCATGAATAATGATACATTATTGTACTCAAGTTATCTATAACTACCCAACTAATTTTTGATCCTATACTCTTGGTCCAGACATTGACAAGGAATTTGTCTCTCTCTGTCTCTCACTTTGTTCAAGTATCTCATGGCTAAGTTTACCACTGGGTATAACTTTTATACACTGAGCCATTTTCTTTCTGAATCAAACATGATAAATGTAGAATGTATATCATGATCCTCCTCCCCTCCACCTGGGGGCTTTGATACCAAAAGATCTACCTAACTGGGAGTTTCACTGTATGCCTATTTAGCCACAAGGGGCAGGATTCCTTACCTGCTTTCTCCCCATAATTTTGATCATCTGTAGTGCCAGATATGTCCTTATTTTTATAGATTAGTATTTAAGTTTATTATTAGGGGTTGGGTTCATTATTCAACATCCATTTGCTTCCCTGAGCACTTGAGAAAACTTATCTAACACATTTTTAGTCCTCTTCCTTAGGGAAAATAGAATATCCTCTCCTTTATTTTCTATCTCTTCCTGAGTTTAAAAATCAGCTGAAATAACAGTGATGCTCACTGACTTCTACTATTTCTGGATGCCTGTAATGCCGTGTTCATCCCTGCCTGATTCGATCTCCTTTCTCCCAACTTCCTCACACAGTTGCTCAAACATGCTTAAACTTGCTGCACACACTAGACACTGTAAACACTGAATCACCAGATAGCACAATTCTTTACAACTGTGATACAAGTTCTATCCACCATACCTCAGTCCTTACTTTCTTCTCAGCCTTTTTGTTCATTGTTACCAAGGCCCAGCAATGGTCCATTTAAATCCCAAATTTAATTACAACACTACTGAGAAGGTCATATATATGACACCATTTTCCTTACTTGAACCGTATAGAAAATCAGACCCGCCCCAGTTTCTTCATACCTTTAATATATTGTTGGTTCAATATAGAGAATACAGTTTAAATTTCAACCTTAAAATGGACTGAAATACATACATTGTTACTATTTCTTTAACTCCTAGGCTTTTCCATTTAAGACAGATTTCATGTTTTTAACATTTATTTTACAGCAACAATAATTTGTTTTATGTTCCTGCTTATAAGACATAACCATTGAACATATTATAAAAGTAATATTTTTTATGGAGATTTTTACAAGATTATAGAAGTAATGCAAAAACAGATGCTATTTACTGATTTCTTAGGACCTGCCTTACAAAATGCTATCCACATGAACTTATTTCATCCTCTCAAAACCTGTATATAAGAAGCTGCAATTCTTTTATCCTCTCAAAATTTATGTATAATAAAATATCTTCATTTTCACATGATGTTATAAGAAAATATTATTTTTTCATTTCCACTCTTGTAAACCGAAGTTCATAGAAATTAAATAATTTGCAGAGATTATACAGCTGGTTAGCATTTCAAGGGAAATAAATCTCATTGACATTTATTTTAGATATAATTTTTAAAATTCCATATTTACATAGGTATATTATACTTGATTTAGGATTGTCCCTATTTCTAAATAATTTTTCATATTTTTTCTATTTGATAAAAATTGAACTAACATTATAGATACAAATAGGACCTCTGCTCCTACTAAATGAGTTTCTTGATGAAATAAACCCTGTTTGGTTCATCCATTTAGTCTTCCTGTCTTCCTAATTGATCTCTTTTAATCAATAGCATTTAATATAGTGCCTTAAACACACATTGTGAGTAATCAATAATTGTTTGCTGAATGATTACCCATTACTTTGTTGAGTTTAGGGCTTTGTCAGGCACACATTTGAAGCTGACATTAAGGGGTTTGTTAAAGTAATTTCTGAGGTTTCTTGTTGCTACCAGAGGCACAATTGTGAGCAGAGTTAGGCCTTGATCTGGTTCACGTGACACGGTGTACATTTTTAAACAACTCTTCAAGGTTTTTCATCCTGAAATTTGTTTTTCTACAATATTATTTAAAGCCTCATTGCCTTTTTGAGTATCTACAGATTCCAGCTGTGTTAACTACCATCCATGCACTACAGCAATCCATTCAACAAGGTTTCGAGAACTTTTGAGAATCCAGTGCGTTTTTCTGATGACTTGTGTATTTTTAAACATAAATGAATGAATAATGTAAAAGTAGAAATAGTTTCACAGTAGACTTAATAAGATGTATACCAAAAAAAGTGAAATAAAAAACTAAGTTTTATTTTGGAGAGGCATTCACAAATTTCTCAGTCCCTCTGCTTTTTCTAATACTACCAAAGCAATTTTCTGAGCTATTATCAAAAGGAATTTGTTAGAAACATCTCTATTTGTTTACCATTTCACAATAAAGTATGATTACTCATCTCGTCATTTTTAATTGAAAAAAAATTCTTCCGTAATTTTTAGCTATTCCTATTTTCAGGTGATACATTTATTGAAGGTAAATATAAGGGTTTTAGAAGAGAGAACTCTATTCTTCTCTGCTTAAATAATCTTTCTTTATTGCAGACCAATGTAGTTCCGTTATGTCATCCTTGGTAAATACTTGTTTTATTTTATCTCAAGAGTTATGTTCAAGGCACTGGTGTATACAGCAACATAGATTCTGTTATTATCAAACATATCAGCTTTGCTTCAACAGTAAATCACTCACAAACATTATATTTCAACTTTTCAGTTTCTCTCCCCATGTATATTAATTTTTAAGAATTTGACCTCATAGATTTTTTTTGAAGCCTTTTATATCACTGAGATATATCACGGAGTTCCCTCAAGTAGATAATTTTTCTTCAGTTCTTTTTCTTAATACCTTCTCAAATTATTTTCAGCCTAAGCTTTACTGCCTATGCTACATAAAATGGTAAATGAATTTAATATTTTTTGAAATAAAAACTCTGTGTCTTGCTTACTATTTTTGAAATAAAAAGCTTTATTTCTGGATGTACTATTTTTTTTTAATTTTTTCATTCTGAAATATTATTTGTAGAGTTTGATGATAGAGAAATTTTGCAAATTAGCAACAAAATGTTTAGTGGAAAAAACAACATGTTAGACTGAAACTCAGAGCTCCCGGATTGTAGCTCCAGTTCTTCTATCAACTGACTGCCCTTTTGCAATTCACTTTCTATATCTGTGAGTCTTTATTGCTATTTGTAAAAGTTTTATAATAATAATATGAAGGTAGTGAAACAACAGTGAAAACGCTTGAAAAATATCTTACAGAGGAAGTATTGAAAGTAAGAACCATATGATATTTGATATTTGTGCCCCTGGTGAGTGGAATAGTACATGCATCTAATAAATACTTGTTAAGGTTACATACATATACAATCATGTTTTTTATATATATATATATATATAGAATAAATTTCATATTTCATATTGTGTGGATTTTATGCAGTATTTTTTGTATGTGTATAAAATGAAAACATTTACACAACTGCATTTAATTTAGACTGGAAAGGTAAAAGTTACCAAGAAACTCCATGCCCTTTATGAAAAAGCATTGCACTGAGCTATATTTTCTCTATATTTCTTTTAAAGTAACATAAATGTAAATAAGTTAAAATTGTAACAGGAGTGTTTGAGATTAGGCACTTGGATCAATTTATCTTTAAATTTTCCATCCTCGTTATTTTGAAATATAGTCACCAGGCTGTGCAATACAGCTCAGAACCAATTCCTTCTCTCTCTCCTGAAACTGTGTACCCTTCAAGCAGCACCTCTCTCTTTCCTTCCTTCCTACCCTTGCCCCAGCCTATTGTAAGCATCATTCTACTTTCTAATTTTATGAGTTCAATTTTTTTTTTTTACTTAAGTGAGATCATGCAGTATTTGTATTTCTGTGTCTGGCCTATTTTACTGAAGTCATCCAGGCTCATCCACATTGTGGCAAATGACAAGATTCCCTTCTTTTTCATGGCCAAATAGTATTCCATTGTGCACTTACACCTAATTTTCTTTATCCATTCATGTGTGGATGGGCACTTAGGTTGATTTCATATCTTATCTATTGTGAGTAATGCTGCAATAAACAGAGTGCAGGTATCTCTTTGGGATAGTAATTTTATTTTCTTTGGATGTATACCCAGAAATGGGCTTGCTGGATCATATTTATAGTTTTAGTTTTTTGAGGAACCTGTACACGAGTTTTCATAATGGCTGTATTAGTTTACATTCTCACCAAAAATTTACAAGTTTTTCTTTCTCCACATCTTCACCAACATTTACTATCTTTCATATTTTTGAGATCAGTCATTCTAACAGGTTTGAGGTGACATCTCTCTGTGGTTTTAATCTGTGTTCTGTAACAATTTGTGATGTTACACATTTTTTTCATATTCCTGTTTGACGTATGTTTGTCTTCTTTTGAGAAATGTTAGTTCAGGTTTTTAGCCCATTTTTATATCAGATTATGTGTTTTCTTGCTATTGAGCAATAAAAATTCATTAAAGCTTGGGCAATTATAAGCCATTTTTCCTGTGGAGATGAATTGTTACAATGTTTCCTGGAGGTTCTATATAATCTAATATGAATAATTTAAAAATTCACTTAAATATAAATTTTTTCCTGTTTAATTTTTGAAAACTCGCATACTTGGGATTCAGTGTTGCCAGGGGTAAAGAAAGTAGATGGTAGAGTGACCACTATTGAGAGACAGGACTAGCTGGATTTCCCAGGCCGACTAAGAATCCCTAAACCTAGCTGGGAATGTGCCTGCATCCACCTTTAAACACAGGGCTTCCAACTTAGCTCACACCTGACCAATCGGGTAGTAAAGAGAACTCACTAAAACGCTAATTTGGCTAAAACAGGAGGTAAAGAAATTGCCGATCATCTATTGCCTGAGAGCACAGCGGTAGAGACAATGATCGGGATATAAACCCAGGCATTCGAGCCGGCAACAGCTACCCTCTTTTGGTCCCCTCCCTTTGTATGGGAGCTCTGTTTTCACTCTGTTAAATCTTGTAACTGCACTCTCTTCTGGTCCATGTTTGATACCGCTCGAGCTGAGCTTTGGCTCGCTGTCCACCACTGCTGTTTGCCACCGTCGTAGCAGACCTGCCACTGACTTCCATCCCTCAGGATCCAGCAGGGTGTCTGCTGTGCTCCTGATCCAGCAAGGTGCCCATTGCCACTCCCGATCAGGCTAAAGGCTTGTCATTGTTCCTGCACGGCTAAGTGCCCGGGTTTGTCCTAATTGAGCTGAACACTAGTCACTGGGTTCCACGGTTCCCTTCCGTGACCCATGGCTTCTAATAGAGCTATAACACTCACCGCATGGCCCAAGATTCCATTCCTTGGAATCCGTGAGACCAAGAACCCCAGGTCAGAGAACACGAGGCTTGCCACCATCTTGGAAGCTGACTGCCGCCATCTTGGAAGTGGCCCACCACCATCTTGGGAGCTCTGGGAGCAAGGACCCCCTGGTAACACTATCATGTATTTGCTGTGTAACTTTTGGCAAATTTCTTAACCTCTCTGAGCCAATATGCTTATCTTTAATTTGTGATGGCTTTAGTTGTTGTGATGTAATGTATAGCAATGTATATGATGCAGCTACATTTTCCTAGCACGTAGTAAGAACTCTTAAATAGCAAATAATATTATAATACTCATCATTCTCCCTCGAAAACAAAACTGTTTGTGTTGATCTATATCTTTAAATTGGTAAAAATCATTTCCCCCCATTAAACCTCTTTTCCAACTTTTAAACACACTTACTTGGTCCCTCTTTGAATGCTGTTTGCAGTTGAAACTCTTTCTGCATATCAGATGTAAGATTATTAAAAAATCTTTAAAGTATTTAAAGAATTTAAAATTACAAACAATTTAGTTACAAGCCGTGGATTTAGGTGTAATTTCTCAAACTTATTCTGATGTAAACAAGGATTTATTTCACATTGAAATAATAACAAATACCTGTTGCGTAGGAATTAGTTATTCAATTTAGCAAAGGAATATTTGTCTGCAAAATACTTTTGTATTAATTTCCTATTTCTAATGGTTAATATGGGCTCATTCTCTTCTTGAATAGATATTATTTACATTACTTTTATCTCATAATGTATTAACACTTTTAGACACTTCTGCAATGGAGTTTGAAACACCTATGAAGGCTTATTTTATGAATTTTTCAGCTATTGTTTTAATGCTATATGAAATTTTAACAGAATTGTTTGACAATGACTGAAATTTTAAATAGTAACTCTATGAATAATTATTTGTGAGACTCAGGTGAAACTTAAAAAGTACTCTTTAGATACCAACTTTTCTTCTCCAGTGTCTAAACGATAAAGTTGAAATTCCTCTGCCTGGAGATGAAACTGTCATCAACTTAATACAACATAGCCTTCAACTATTGAAGCTTTCTCCCTAGAGTAATACACACACTACTTTCCATGCTTCCCGACCTCCATTCTGTTACCTCTTTCCATTTGATGTCATTTAAGACTATTTGATGTCATTTAAGACTAATTGCTCTTCCTCAAGTAGTCTTTTATTCTCCAGGTCAAAATCCCATTCATCTTATAAGATAGACCCAGTTTCTAGACTTCTCACCTCCTTTATCAAGTATGTCAATACTCTTCCAAAAGGAATAAATTTCTTATTTAAACACAACTTTTCATCATTATTGTGCCCACTTTTTAAAATTGTAAAAAACTATCAACCTCATTTCAGAAATAGAAACAAAAAAATACTCTAAAAGAGTATTAACATTCTCCTCAGTTTGATTCAACTTCAAACAGACTTCTTCCTGAATATAGGATCATCACTTGTGTTTTCTTAGAGCATTAACTCTAGAAAATATTCAACTGTAAATTCTTTATCTGCCTGCTTTGAAATGTAAATCTTTCTGTAGCTCAGGCTGGAGTGCAGTGGCTCCATCTCAGCTCACTGCAACCCCCGCCTCCCAGGTTCAAAGGATTCTTGTGCCTCAGCTTCCCAAGTAGCTGGGATTACAGGTGCATGCCACCAGCCCAGCTAATTTTTGTATTTTTAGTAGAGATGGGGTTTTGCCATGTTGGCCAGGCTGGTCTCCAGCTCCTGATCTCTGTTGATCCACCCACCTCGGCCTTCCAAATTTCTGGGATTACAGGTGTGAGCCACCTCGTCCGGCTTCAGCTCTGTTTTCTGTTTCAAATTTTCTTCTTTTAGCTTTATAATCACATACCTTTAACCCTCTTTTATTTTACCTTGTACTTTTTAAGTAGTATACTTCAGATGCTTAGCATGTTATTTTACTCTTTTTCTTTTTTGAATATAAAAACTTTGAGGCCATGTATCTTACTCTGTAAGTTACTGTTGTAGGACTCTTTCTTTAGTTCAGCTAAAGATGGGGGTCCTTTTCACACGGACATGAAAAACTAGGCTTGCAGACAATCTGAAGGGTGAGGAGGGCAGGGTTTACTGGGTGAAAAGGAAAAAAGGGGAACAGGGACTCTCCGCAAGGTCAGAGATCTGTTCCTGCATTTGCCTCCTCACAGAATGAATCCCAGGTTCCACCCAGGAAGAGGAGGGACCAGGCTCCTCCCCACTGTAAACAGCATGACTTCTGTGGCGCTCTTCCCAGTGCCCAGGTCGGCTGGAGTTTCTCTGGGGACCCCTTCCCACCTTGCTGTCTCATTATTAGAGATGCGGTTGGAAAATCTGAAACGTAGCATTTTCATTATAAGTTCTAAGAATTACCAAAAAATTTACTTAATTTTCTCTTGGTTACATGATTTTTTTAGGTGTATTTTAATTAATTTATTTTTTAGTTGACAAATAATTTTGTTTCATTATGGAGTATAATGTGATGTTTTGACCTATGTATACATTACAGAATACTTCAATCAAGCTAATTAACGTATTAATCATCTCACAAACATCTTTTTTTGTGGTGAGAATGTAAAACATCTATTGGTTAAATTTAGAAGTATATGGGGGATAGTTCTATTTCTAATTTAATTTTATTTGGTTATAGAATATGAGTTTTAGAATATAAATTTTTTTTTAAAGTTGAGTCTTCTTTTATGACCCATATTGCTAAAATTCCATGTATACTAGAGGAGAATGTATATTACCTAATTTATGTGTAGGATTTTACATATGTTAATAAATTTAAATTTTTATTAGTGATTTATTGTCTTCAACTATTCTAAACACTTATCAATTTTTTAGCTATTTATATTTAAGAGTCAATTACTGACATTGTTCCACAAAATGCCGTATTTGTACATTTCTTTCTGCACGTCTGTCAAATTTTAAGCACACATATGTTAGAATTTATATATCATCCTGGTAATTAGCCTTTTATCCATATATTGTAACTCTCCTGAAACAAATGTTTTATCGCAGTATATGTTATCTAATATTGATAAAGCTGTATTGGTATTCTCTGGTTAGTATTTTGTCTATATTTTCCTCTCTACTTCACGTCTATCCTTGTATATATCTCTAAGATATATTGTTAAAATGTACTTATTCTATTCAATTAGACAAACACTGACTTTTACCTAGCATGTTTAAGTAATATATATTTGTTGTGGGTACGGACGTATTTGGACTTTTTTTTTATTGAGACAGGATCTTGCTCTGTCATCTGGACTGGAGTGAAGTGCAGTAGCATGGTCACAGAAGACTGCTGCCTCTACCTCCCAGGTATACATCATCATGCCAGGCTATTAAAAAAAATCATGCCTGTAATCCCAGCTACTCGGGAGGCTGAGGCAGGAGAATTGCTTGAACCTGGGAGGTAGAGGTTACGGTGAGCCGAGATCGCGCCATAGCACTCCAGTCTGGGCAACAAGGGCGAAACTCAGTCTCAAAAAAAAAAAAAAAAACATTGTACGTAGACAGGTCCCACTTTTTTGCCCAGGCTGGTCTCAAACTCCTAGGCTCAAGTGATGCTCCCACTTCAGCCTCCCAAAGTGCTGAGATTACAGGTGTGAGCCACTGTGCCAGACCTAGACTTCTATCTACTTACCCCAAGTACAATGTCGGCATTGCTTCATTTTTTACCTTTTTGTTAATGAGTTGATATTTTGTGTGTTTGTTTTCTATTTCATTTTATCCTCTATTTTGTAGGGCCATTTGAAGGTTTTCCATGAATATTTATAGTTTAAAAATCATAATATTTTTGTATTTCTGACATAGCACTGACTTTTTGCTAACATTGTTTTTCTACATTTTATTTCCTCCACTAGATTTGGAACAATTTGAAAAGGGCAGGATTTATGTCTAATCTAACATTTTATATCACACAGTGTTAATGTCTTATGCATAGTAAGAGCTCAATTTTTATTTTCAGGCTTGCATTTAATTGTTTGAATGGTGAAAATAAGTTTAATAAACCAGTAGGGGTCTTTTAACACTACTGAAACATGTATTTGCTTATTTTTTTCTTAGCAATAACAGGAGAATAAATTATTTTAATTTCTGCAAAGCCTTTCTTTATATTATTCTTATAAACGGCATGAAAAATAAAATGTTCTTTATCACGATCTTCTGTGACATGCATGAAGCATTTTGTGTGTGGGGAGAGGACTATAATTTGATAAATATTTTGACACACATAGGTAAAAGGAGCAGTGGCCTCCAACCTGAAATCAGGTTAATGAAAACTATGGTTATGTGACCCCATTGTGCTGATTAGGACCCAAGATTTTTGCAGGCGTAATTTGTCAGACCAAAGCCAAGGAAACTATGAGAGGATAAGTCAAGCTATGTGGGCTAATGCAACTCTGATTTTTTTTTTCCTTTTTGGTATCATCGCCTAAATGGCAAACTGTCTAAAATGGTTAAAAATTCTAAGATTACATGTTCCTATTCTAGAACTACAGGGTTCTTTTCTATCGCTCTGCTCAACAGTGCAAACACTTTGCTAAAAGCCAGATGGCAGTAGTTTTTTTCTGAATGCTATACGCAGACATCATGCATTTTCACTGCTAGGAGTTACTGCGAAAAGAAGTGTTATATATCTGATCATATATATCTGATCATAATTTTTCCTTGTTTTAAAGTACAAAATATTTTTAAACAGTAAAAATATATACATTTAAAAAATATTTTATATTTTAGTTAGAATATTTTAAAATACATTATGTACTCTATACCCATCTCTATTAGTCTTAAACCCTGTCTATAAATGCTACCAGTCCCAGAGTATAAATTAGGAAAGAAAAATGAACAGAGGCTAGGTAACTAGAGTAGATATTAGTTGAGCTGGCAGTTTAACACAGGTCTTACCCTTCCCAAAGTTCATCCGTTTTGCACTAGACCAACCAAGCAATTTTTCTTAGAATAATGACATGTAATGTA
The DNA here is from genome assembly GCF_000001405.40 of Homo sapiens. Taxonomy (NCBI): domain Eukaryota; kingdom Metazoa; phylum Chordata; class Mammalia; order Primates; family Hominidae; genus Homo; species Homo sapiens. Next base: position 25,961,308 of record NC_000011.10, on the reverse strand, counting down.
AAATAATCTCTAGTTCACTTACAATTGATATTTAGTTCAATTCTCCATTTTTGTCTTGCTATTTTTTTTGTCAATTAAACAAGGACAATTTTTTTCATTTTCTTTTGTTTTTCAATTTTATAATGTTTTCATGTCAAATGTCAGAGAAACATGAATAGTATTGTGCTGGATATGTGGTGGTTTCTAGGATTCTTATAGGGGTTTACCTATTTTTATTGTCCCATCTACCATGCACCCAATCACAAAATGCTGTATTTACTTCCACGTATGTGCTATTTCCTATCTTTGCTTTACACATGTTGCAACATTTTCCTTGAACTTACCTCCAATCTCCATCTACCAGTCACTTGTCCTGCTGGCAGTCCTGCTGAACTCTCCTTCTCTGTAGCTCTGTGCATCTAAAGTGGACCAATCTTTCCTCAGCCTATCTTTATTTTTGCAATTAATAGAAGATGCTAATATCACATCTTTCATATCTTCTGCTGATAGTAAACAGTGAACATTCAAGTCAAAGCTAAGTTGTTTATCACTTTGTGTCTAATGCTTGGTGTCATCCCTCAAACAAGGTAGACTCTATGTCTGAATGAGTGCCTGAACAAATGGAGCAAAGTGGAAAAGACACCTCTTGAGCCTGGATCCTGTTTCACAAGATTTTGTCAGAATTAAATAAAATATTATATATAAAACACTTATCAATATTCTAGGGATATGAGAAGAGGTATATTGTAGATATATAAGTGCTATAACATACATTAATACATGGAAAATCAAGGAGACCATAATCAGAGCTGATATTCCAGCTTAGCCATCCTCATCCACCTTCATAGCTGATACTCTTCTGTGACCTTTCTGTGACCTAGGATTCTTGCCTTTCCTTTTCTTTTTTTTCTTCTTTAATGAAAATATTACTTAATAATAAAATACTTCAGAAATCATGTATTACAATAATTCATTATACAAAATGTATGTATAAAATTTCAACTATATATAGATATTATATATTGATATATAATTATACATCAATATATAATTTTTATATATAGATATATAATTATACATCAATATATAATTTATATATAGAGATATATAATTATATCAATATAATTATATATAATATCTATATAATCATATATATTATATATATAATTGATATATAATTATATATTGATATAGATATTATATATATAGCCAAGTTTTCCCAAGAAGTTAGAAAAATCCAAAATTAACAATCTAACTTTGTACCTAAAGGAGCTAGAAAAATAAAGAACAAAGGGATAGATATATATCTATATATACCAAGTTTCTTTATCCAGTCCACCATTGATAGGCACCTGAGCTGATTCCATGTCTATATTTTATATATATAGATATATAATCAGAATTATATATATAGTTGAGATATGTAATGTAATTATATATCTCATTATACAAAATGTGTTATTTATACATACGTATATCACATTTTGTATAATATTTAATTTCATTCTGCTCCATTTTTGTCTTGCAAATTTTTTTCTCAAATAAGCGAAGACAGTATTTGTTTTCATTTTCTCTTATTTTTAAATTTTAAAATGTTTTCATGTTAAATGTCATGGAAACATAGTATAGTATTGGAGGTGTGGTACATTATGCATTATGTAAATATATATATACATTTTATATAATGAGATATATAATTTTATATATATATATATGAAATGGAAGCAAAACCACTTATATATGTGCCCTGTATACCACTGAAGTGAATGGAAAAATGGGTTAATAGAAACTATACATCCTGGAAATTCTGATTTACAGGAAACATATTATTTACTCTAGTTTCTTATGTTTATGACATGCTGATTTTTTTAAATTGAGGCCTTCAAAATGCTTATTTTGGCTTCTTCGTCATATGTAGTATATTAAGCAGTTCTTGAATTGCTGTAAAGAAATGCCTGAGACTGAGTAATTTATAAGAGGTTTAATTGGCTCATCGTTCTGCTGGCTGGACAGGCAGTATAGTGGCATCTGCTTCTGGAGAGGCCTCTGGAAGGTTACAGTCATGGTGGGAGGCAAAGCAGAAGCTTGCATGTCACATGGCAAAAGCAGGAGAGAGAGAGGTAGAGAGGGGGGTACCATACACTTTTCAGTGACCACATCTCGAGACAACTCACCGTTGCAAAGATACAGCACCAGGAGGGTGGTACTAAACCATTCATGAGAACTCTGCCCCTGTGATCTGATCATCTCCTACAAGGCCTCACCTCCAACATTGAGGATGACATTTCACCATGGGATTTGGGCTGTGACAATATCTGAAATATACCATAAAGGTTTTGGCTCCACGTTTTTTGTTTGTTTGTTTGTTTTTACTGGAAAGACAAGTGAAAGTTATAACCAGTGTATTAGGGAACATTCCATAATGTAATCTTAAACAGTCACTGAAGTATATTTAAGAGCTAGAAAATGAGTCTCTAACATATTTCTAAATTACCATAAAGAGGAGTGAATCCTTTTTGGATACAAGCTCTCCCAGAGCAAGATAGAAATCATTAGGAAAACAATCAATTTTCAAGAAACATCTGCCATGGATATGTTGTCTATTAGGGGTCTAGTACTTTACGTTTATTTTCTTTATTCCTAACAAAAACCCTTGGATGTAAGTGTTCATGGTGTGAGCCATTTGATATAGTAGGAAATTGAAACTCTGAGAAGCGACATGAATTAAGTGGGATCCCACTATTCTCTGTTAAGCTGGGATCAGTAGTCAGGTTTTTCTGACTTCAAAGTCCAGTCACCTTCCTCAGGGTTAGGTCTCATTCTGGAATTAATTCTTCAGACTAAATAAGGTTTATTTTCAGACAATGCAAAGCTATTTTCAGAAAAAGACTATTTGGTGGTTACGTTTATGTTAAATACATGCAGCCCTTCAACAAATATGTTTTAAAGTTTATAATTTTTTTATGCTTTATTGCTCACATCTGTTTAGTGATGTTTAATTTCTTCTTATTGTTAGAAGTAGTTCATGCATAGACTTTCTTTTAAAATAAAATGAGGTGAGATAACTCATAATTAACATAAGCTGACAAGTTAGGAACTCCAGCTGTTTAATAGATAAGCTCTAAAAAAGTTTCAGCAAACTTCTGGAGGAAGGAAATTTTCAATGTCATTTGTTTTCTCCTGTTCTTTGTGCACCTAAATAATAAATTCAGGCCCTATTACCACCCGCCTTTCTAAGTAGCAAGAGCTCGTTTTACCGTTTCACACACAAAACTCTCTGAACAAAGGACCTTGTGTTCTGAGTGTATCCCTTGTCTCTGACTTTCCAATAAAAAAGGGATCATTTTCAAAATTGCATATTTTTTCATGAGAAAGTAGAATAAATATTTAAGTGGGGAATGACCTAGGAATTAGATATGCCAATTATAACTATACATATTTAAAATGTATGTGTGTGTGTGTGTGTGATTAGCACATATTTGTAAGTGGATCTCCCGTCCTTCTATCTTGGTGAGACTGTAGTTACTCTTTGAGCTTCCCAGCTGTGTCAGTTATACCCCTGGTTGTTTCCCAGTGTCAATTGTTATCCCACCACTTGTGCTGTCTTCTCAATTTCTATTATTAGTTTCATCCATGCCTCTCTTGTTACAAGAAACACTGACTTTGGCCACCTTGAAAACAGGAGTAGTTTATTGGCAGAACAACAGGAGCTCATAATAGGAAAGAGGCAATGAGAGGGAAAAAAGCCTGGCACTGGATTAGGAAAGAGCAAGCTCACAAGCCTAGAAACCATGCAGATAACACTAGTTTTGTAGCAGAGAACCCAATGTGAAATGAACCCAGATGTTTGTAGTCATTCTATACTTTTTTAAAAATTTTATTATACTTTCAGTTTTAGGGTACATGTGCACAATGTGCAGGTTTGTTACATATGTATACATGTGCCATGTTGGTGTGCTGCACTCATTAACTCGTCATTTAGCATTAGGTATATCTCCTAATGCTATCCCTCCCCACTCCCCCAACCCCACAACAGTCCCCGGAGTGTGATGTTCCCCTTCCTGTGTCCATGTGTTCTCATTGTTCAATTCCCACCTATAAATGAGAACATGCAGTGTTTGGTTTTTTGTCCTTGCAATAGTTTGCTGAGAATGATGGTTTCCAGTTTCATGCATGTCCCTACAAAGGACATGGACTCATCATTTTTATGGCTGCATAGTATTCCATGGTGTATACGTGCCACATTTTCTTAATCCAGTCTATCGTTGTTGGACCTTTGGGTTGGTTCCAAGTCTTTCCTATTGTGAACAGTGCCACAATAAACAACATGTGCATGTGTCTTTATAGCAGCATGAGTTATAATCCTTTGGGTATATACCCAGTAATGGGATGGCTGGGTCAAATGGTATTTCTAGTTCTAGATCCCTGAGGAATCGCCACACTGACTTCCACAATGGTTGAACTAGTTTACAGTCCCACCAACAGTGTAAAAGTGTTCCTATTTCTCTACATCCTCTCCAGCACCTGTTGTTTCCTGACTTTTTAATGATCGCCATTCTAACTGGTGTGAGATGGTATCTCATTGTGATTTTGATTTGCATTTCTCTGATAGCCAGTGAGCATGAGCATTTTTTCATGTGCTTTTTGGCTGCATAAATATCTTCTTTTGAGAAGTGTCTGTTTATATCCTTTGCCCACTTTTTGATGGGGTTTTTTTTTCTTGTAAATACGTTTGAGTTCATGAATGAATGTAGTCATTCTATACTTAAAGATTAAAATTCCAGGGAGGGAGACTCCAATTGACATAGCTTGGGTCACCTGTCTATAACTTGGGCAGGGCATGGGATGATTTAACTTTACATGGTATATAGGATTCCCCAGAGGGACAAAACTAATAGGAGATATATATATATATATATACACACACACACATTATATATATATATATGTATATATGTGTATACATATATTTACAAATATGTTTTTATATATTGTGAGACTTCACCTTGTGATTGTGTGAGACAATTCTCCTTAATAAACCCTTTTCATATATATATATATGAAAAGCCTTTCATATATATGATAGGCCATCTGCAAGCTGAGGTTATCAATACATATACATATGTATATATATGTTTGTATATATTGTGAGTCTTCACTTTGTGATCGTGTGAGTCAATTCTCCTTAATAAACCCTTTTCATATATATGAGAAAAGCCTTTCATATACATGATAGGCCGTCTGCAAGCTGAGGAGGTAGGAAGCCAGTAAGGGCTCAGTCTGAATCCAAAAGCCTCAAAAGTAAGGAAGACAACAGTGCATCCTTAAGTCTGTGGCCAAAGGCCTGAGAGTCCTTGGCAAACCACTGGTGTAAGTCCAAGAGTCCAAAGGCTGAAGACCCTGGAGTCTGATGTCCAAGGGCAGAAAACATGAAGATGAAGGTTGGAAGACTCAGCAAGCCAGCTCAACCCACCTTCTTCCATCTGCTTTGTTCCAGCTGTACTGGCAGCTGACTGGATGATGCCCACCCACATTGAGGTTTGGTTTTCCTTTCCCTGTCCACTGACTCAAATGTTAATCTCCTCTGGCAACACCCTCACAGACACACCCAGGAACAATACTTTATCAGCTATCTAGGCATTCTTCAATTCAATCAGTTTGACACCTACTATTAACCATCACACATGGGATGCTTTATTCTGTATCCCCTGGGGAGGAGGCTACCCTCTAGAAAGAAATTAGTTCAAGAAGGGAGAAGGAATGGTGACAAGGAATATCCATTAACTGTTTGTGTGAGCTTCTTGAGCTCAACAATCATATTTGTCTGTTTGTTGGTTTTTGTCTTTGATCTCAGGTTCTTAGCATAATGCTGTCACAGAGTGGAGTCTTAATAAATGTTTGTTGACTCTCAGTGCTAGAATAAATAATATTAACACATTTTGACAGCATAATTATAAACATAAATGCATCAATTTCTTTAGTAATGACTTTTCATTCTCCTCTTTATTCTAAGAAGTGTATCCTAAAAATGACCAAAAGAAAAAAAAAAAGCAATTCATTAAAACATTATTGGGCTCAAATATGCACTATATTTAGCAGGTACAATAATGAAAAAGGCAAAATGTCTTCCCTGTAGAAGTTTCTGGCATACCAGAGTCATGTGTCTAGGTCAGTGATACAAGTTGTCTAGAGAGGCTGGTACCAAGAGTGATCATCATTACAACATTAAGTAAAATAAACACAATTTAAAATAGACTAAACCTCCCATCACAGCTGAATGAAGTATATAAATGTTTTCAAGTGCACTCAAGAGATTGCTATTCAGACACTAAAAACACATGAATGAGAAGTCTATGTGACAACCTGAAACGCATTTAAAAACAAAATATTAAATGGCATGATTGGTTAACTATGAAAATATGAATTTACATGAATGTGGAAAAGACTTAGGGATGAAAAAAATTATTGTCAGAAAGATAGTTTTATTTTTCAATTTTCTTTAATGCTATTATACTATGGTTATATAATAAATATAATTTATAGAGATAAGTTGGGAATATTTATTTAGTTTTATCATTATTCAACAACAACCAAATACTCTAAAATTGCTCCCTTACCTGTTAATGGGACGTAATTTCATTCTTTAACTTACAGCTAGGGCTTCTGTTCTGAATGCCTGGGGAGACTGCATTTTTATGTTAGTTTTTATTTATTCCTCATGAATTCTTGTTGGTTTTGCTCGCTGGGAGCACCCGTACTTTAGGGGCTATGAGAAAAAAATGTGTAGGTGTTCAATAGAGTTAGTTAGAATAAATGGCTGTTTATGATTCTTGCTAATGTATGTTTTATTATTTTTTTATTGCTCTACATTGATACATCTCTGTAGAAGTTCCAAGAGCTTTAAATCCTCTTTATCTAAATTGAAAACATCATCTTGAATCAATATCTTCTCTTTCTCCTGGTTACTGTGTTTCTGTGGAATTCTCCAAAGTATTCAGTATACACTTTCTCCAAATGTAAGATTAGTAACCAATTTCTGTAGATTTAAATATCACCATCATAGACAAATTAGTTTAGCCCTTGATTATCACATACCTGATCATTTTAGTAGTGCCTTACCGCTTTTCTCAGTCAGCGCACCCCTGCTACATCATGCTGACAGAGGCCAAATAACAGCACACATCTGTTTTAAAACTTCTCAAAGGCTCTCATGCATTAGTCAGCTGAAGTACAAATGCTGTAACTCAAACACCTACCTACTTTTGTAGCATTATCATCCATGATTACCTTGCTCCTACCCTGTAAATTAACTAAACTGGCCGACTTCCTGTTCCTGCATTGCATCAATGACTCCCACTTCCCTGTCATTGTTCATGTAATCTTTTCTCGAAATGTCCTTCCCCATCTTTGCCGTAATCATTCAAATTTCTATCTATTCTATCCTTAAAGAAATATTCAAACAATTACACATTCTATTTTTTTTATTTTTCCAAATAGATATGATTTCCTTCCCTTCAATCCTAATATGCTCCCTTTTACAATATTTAATCTGTGTTATTCTAATGTAAATAGTGGTTAGACTATGCATAGTTTGAGCACAAGTGCCTCTGAATACACATATAATAACTTTGTCACCCTGGCCTCCATTTGCTGTACCCAGCGCAGAGGTTAGCTTGTTCTTTTGTTTTGATTAAAGAATGACTCCAAAATTGTTGCAGATAATTTCTAAGATGATTGAGTATACATTTCACCTCCAGTTCAATTATTTTTCTGATTCAGAGGAAAGATACAAAGAGGGAATCCAAAAGCAGGAGTCTTACAAAAGGATTGAAAGAACAGAAAGATGAATGAGACAAGGGAAAATAATAAGCACCTTCTAAGACTTGAAGACTAAGTTAAACTTGAATGAGTTTAGAGAAAGAGTAATGCATTATATTGTGTGTGTGGTGGATGTGGTGTTGATATGTGTACTCCACACAAAGCAGTTTGGGTGTGTTACTTTAGGAAACATATTAGTGAGAGGTAGTGCTTTATTGTGTCTTCTGTCTCTGCACATCTTGATTAATTAATGATTTACGCATTGCAAGTGAGTTTTATGGTTAATTTTTGTGTCAACTTGACTAGGTTAAAGGATAGCCAGATAGCTGGTAAAACATTACTTCCGGATGTGTCTGTAAAAGTGTTTCTGAAAGGAATTAGCATTTGAACCCGTACACTGGGAAAGAAAATTCCTGCTGCCATCCTTCTTTACATATTTCACTCTGTAGATGAGTGAGTGAACTGATGCCATAGATAAAAGCCAAATCAAAGATTATGCAAGCCATAGACTAACAGATCAGGAGGAAACCTGAGGGAGGCCTATTTAACCTCTGAAATGCTTAAAAATACCTAGAATTATCTATGAATGAAGATCCAGAGAATTGGCAGGGTTAGTGGATTGACTGAGTACACACAGTGTATTGTTTGTTGGCAGTGCCAGTTTTGTTTCTGTTGTTGTTGTTTTTTGTTTTTAATTTTTTGAGATGGAGTTTTGCTCTTGTTGCCCATGCTGGAGTGCAATGGCGTGATCTTGGCTCACTGCAACCTCTGCCTCCTGGGTTCAAGTGATTCTCCTGCCCCAGCCTCCCAACTAGCTGGGAATACAGGCATGTGTCACCACGCCTGGCTAATTTTGTATTTTTTAAGTAGAGACGGGGTTTCTCCATGTTGGTCAGGCTGGTCTGGAACTCCCGACCTCAGGTGATCCGCTCACCTCAGCCTCCCAAAGTGCTGGGATTACAGGCCTGAGCCACCATGCCCAGCAGGCAGTGCCAGTTTTAAAATCCAGGGGCTCTGAGCCTCAAACCAGTGCCTCCTGCACTTAGTGCCATGAGCTGCTCCTGAGTAAATCTCCAGCAAAGGGCAAGCTAAAAGAAAGTTTAGAAGCAGCTAGTTGAACAGAGTCCCCAGAAAAAAAGGCTGTATAGGCTAAATATTTGAGACTTGAGATTTGGTTTGGCTCTGACCTGTATGCCATTTTGTACAGATTTTTCAATCATTATTCTTTGATAATAAGAAAGGGGAGTGCAGAGAAAACAATTTTACAGACAATAGCAGTAACATGGCTGGTCTTTCAGATTCGTCACTGTTGAGCTACAGCTTAAGTAGAAAACAAACCTTAGTATTAAAAAATAGTTTATTTTCTCTCTTTAGAGAGAAATAAACCTCTAGAATCAGAAATATCTAAACTCGTATCTTTTTTGTGTCCCCCATTTCACTCTTTTATTTCTTAAAGTCTTGAATTTTGAGATTAGCCATGGCTAAAAGAACGTTAGTAATTTTACAGTGTTCCATTAAAATAAATAAATAAAATTTACTGGAGAGACATGATTCTGGAATTTTCTTTTGGAATCTCTAATTTTTTGGGAGTTATTGTAAATTAGTATCTTTGTATACATTTCTGAGGGATCTTGAAGTTCTCCCCAATTATTTATGCATTTTCTTGTAGGTGCATTTGCTGGTCATCTAATACATTGTTGTGTGTATAAAATATATTAGGTTGTCCATGATCTCCCAAAGTAAAAAAGAAAAAAATATGAAAACACTAATTGAAGGAGAATATCATGTTATTAATCTAAACATGAAAATATGTTTATACACCAGAATATTCAATGTATATGCACCAGAATATTCCATGAGACTAGCACATTCGTTTGTGGAAGGAAAACCTGTATGCAGTGGTTCTTAACCTTTTTGGCACCAGGGACCGGTTTCCTGGAACACATTTTTTCCACAGACAAAGCAGGAGGAGAGATGGTTTCGGGCTGAAACTGCTGCATCCCAGATCATCAGGCATTAGATTCTCATAAGGAGTATGCAACCTAGATTCCACACATGCATAGTTCACCATAGAGTTTGCGTCCCTTTGAGAATCTAATGCCATGGCTGATCTGACAGGAGGCAAAGCTCAGGCAGTTATACTCTCCCACAGCTCACCTCGTGCTGTGAGGCCAGGTTCCTAACAGGCCATGGACCAGTACCATTTCCATGGCCTAGGGGTTGGGGGTCCCTGTTGCATTGTTTACATGTTTGGCTTCATGAGCACGGAAGTAGAGCAAACAATGTTGAGTAATCACAATGGCTTGTTTCAAGCTGCAATCGCTTGAAACATAATATGTTTATAATAAGACCAAGAGACTGGAGATATTATTATCTGTTAATCATGATGTAGTCTTACCTAGGCAAAGCTGGAGAATTATTTCTTTGATGATGATGATGATGATGATGATGATGATGATTTTATAATTAGTATTCTTAAAAGATGCATTTTTAATAATATTTTGTGTTCTCTGGAGGAGATCCTTATAGGTGGTGCAAGTCTCAGGATGAAATGTACACTTATAAAAGATTTCATGGCACAATGTTCAATGTCTCTGATATATATAAAATTTTACTTTCATTTCTTTATTGTTTGCAATGTAACAATTTTGTTTTATATTAACCACAAAATCTATTTGTCGTATCTATTTGTATTATTTTCATTAAAATAAAATTTTTTCAACTTTTATTTTAGATGCAGGGGGTACATGTGCAGGTTTGTTACATAAGTATATTGCTCTCAGGTAGTGAGCAATGTACCCAATAGGTAGTTTTTTAACCCATTCCCCCCCAACCTCTAGCAGTTTTCAGTATCTATTGTTCCCATGTTTATGCCTGTGGGTGCTCAATATTTAGTCCTACTTATAAGTAGAAACACATGGTGTTGGGTTTTCGGTTCCTGTGTTAATTTGCTTAGGATTATGGTCTCCAGTTTCATCCATATTTCTGCAAAAGACATGATTTCATTGTATGGCTGTATAGTATTCCATGGTGTATATATAGCAAGTTTTTTAAAGCCAGTTCACCATTGGTGGGCACCTGAGTTTATTCCATGTCTTTGCTATCATGAATAGTGCAAAGATAAACATATGACTCTGTGTCTTTTTAGTATAATGATCTATTTTCCTTTGGGTATATACCCAGTAATGAGATAGCTGGGTCAAATGGTATATCTACTTTTACTTCTTGGAGTAATCTGCAAACTGCTTTCCACAGTGGCTGAACGAATTTACATTCCCACCAACAATGTGTAGTGGTCCCTTTTCTCTGAAGACTCACCAGCATCTGTTGTTTTTTGATCTTTTATTAGCCACTCTGACTGGTGTGAGATTGTAACTCATTGTGGTTTGGATTTGCATTTCTCTGATGATTAGTGATGAGCATTTTTTCATGTTTGTTTGCCATTTCTATGTCTTGAGAAGAGTCTGTTCCTGTCCTTTGCCCATTTTAATGGTATTGTTTGTTTCTTGCTTGTTGATTTGCTTAATTCCTTATACATTCTGGACATTAGACCTTTGTCGGATTCATAGCAAATATTTTCTCCCATTCTGTAAGTTGTCTGTTTACTCTGTTGACAGTTTATTTTTCTATGCAGAAGCTCTTTAGTTCAATTAGTTTTCAGTTGTCAATTTTTGTTTTTGTTGAAATTACCTTTGGGCATTTCACCATCAATTCTTTCCCAAGGCTGATGTCAAGAATGGTGTTTCCTAGGTTTCTTCTGGGATTTTTATAGTTTGAGATCTTACATTTAAATATTGAATCTATCTTAAGTTAATTTTTGTATATGGTGAAAGATAGAAATCCAGTTTCATTATTTTGCATATAGCTACCCAGTTACCACAGCATCATTTATTAAATAGGGAATCCTTTCTCTGTTGCTTATTTTTGTTGTCCTTGTTGAAGATCAGATGGTTATAAGTGTGAGGATTCATTGCTGTGTTTTATATTCTGTTCCATTGGTCTATGTATCTGTTTTTGTATCAGTACCATGCTGTTTTGGTTACTATAGCCTTATAGTTTAGTTTGAAGTTGGATAGTGTGATGCCTCTGACTTTGTTCTTTTTGCATTAGAATTGCTTTGGCTCTTCAGGCTCTTTTTTGTTTACACATGAATTTCAGAATAGTTTTTTCTAGTTCTGTGAGGAATGGCATTGGTGGTTTGATAGGAATAGCATTGAATCTGTAAATTGTTTTGGGCAATATGACCATTTTAATGATATTGATTCTTCTAATCCACGAGCATGAGATGTTTTTCCATTTGTTTGTGTCACCTCTGATTACTCTTAGCAGTGTTTTGTAGTTCTCCTTGTGGAGATCTTTCACCTCCTGGGTTAACTCTATTCCCAGATATTTTCTTTCCTTTGTGGCTATTGTAAATGGGATTGTGATGTTGATTTGACTCTCAGCCTCATTGTTATTGATGTATAGAAATGCCATTTATTTTTGTACATTGATTTTGTATCCTGAAAATTTACTAAAAATGTTAATCAGTTCTAGTAGCCCTTTGGCGGAGTCTTTAGACTTTTCTAGGCGTAGAATCACATTGCCAGTGAAGAGAGAGTTTGACTTCTTTTTTCCATTTGAATGCCTTTCATTTCTTTCTCTTGCCTGATTGCTCTGGCTAGGACTTCCAGTAATATGTTGAACAGGAGTGGTGAGAGCAGAAATCTTTGTCTTGTTTCAGTTCTCAACAGGAATAATTCCAGCTTTTTCTCATTCAGTATGAAGTTGGCTGTGGGTTTGTCATACATCACTCTTCCTCCTTTGAGGTATAGTCCTTCGATGCCCAGTTCATTGAGGGTTTTTGTAATTATGGCTGTTGGATTTTATTAAAAGCTTTTTCTATATTGAGTGAGATAATTATAAGTTTTTGTATTTAATTGTTCATGTGCTCAAGGACATTTATTGATTTGCATATATTAAACCAGTTTTGCATCCGATGAATAAAGCCTACTGGGTCATGGTGTACTAACTTTTACATGTGCTGCTGGATTCAGTTTGCTACTATTTTGTTGAGGATTTTTGTGTCTATCTTCATCAAAGGTATTGGCCTGGAGTTTTTTTGTATGTGTGTCTTTGTCAGATTTTGGTATCAGGATGATGCCAGCATCCAACAATGAATTAGGGAGGTGCCCCTCCACCTCCATTTTTTGGAATAACTTCAGTAGGATTAGTACCAGTTCTTATTTCTATGCCTGATAGAATTGAGCTGTGAATGCCCCTGGTCCAGGGCTTTCTTTTGGTTAGCAGGTTTTTGTTTGTTTGTTTGTTTTCTGTTTTGTTTTTGTGTTTGTTTTATTACTGATTAAATTTCAGAGCTTGATATTGGTCTGTCCAGGGTTTCAATGTCTTCCTGATTCAATCGTGAGAGATTGTGTTTTTTCAAGAATTTATCTGTTTCCTCTAGACTTTCTAATTTGTGTGCATAGGATTGTTTATGGTATTCTCTGAGGATCTTTTGTGTTTCTGTGGGATCAATTGTAATGTTATCTTTAACATTTCTGTTTGTACTCATTTGGATCTTCACTTTTTTCTTCTTTGTTAATCTAGCTAATGATCTGTCAATCTTGTTTGTTTGTTCAAAGAACCAACACTTGGTTTCATTGATATTTTGTATGGATTGATATATCTCAATTTTATTAGGTTCTCTAATTTTAGTTTTTTCCTTTCTTCTGGTGGCTTGAGAAATGATTTGTTATTGATTATTCTAGTTCCTTTAGGTGTAATTTTAGATGGTTAATTTGAAATTTTTCTAATTTCTTGAGAAAGGCATTTAGCACTATAACCTTTCCTCATAACACTGCTTTGAGATTTTGGTGGGTTGTTTCTCTATTTTCATTAATTTCAAAGAATATTTTTTATTTTTGTCCTAATTTCAGTTATCACTCCTGAGTTGCTCAGAAGAAAGTTGTTTAATTTTCATGAATTTGTGTAGTTTTGAGAGATCTTCTTGATAGTGATTTCTATTTTTATTTTACTGTGATCTGAGTGTGTTTGTAGTATGATTTTATTTTTTTAATTTATTAAGATTTGCATTATGACCAAGCATGTGGTTGATCTTACAATATGTTCCATATGTAGATGAGAAGAATGTATATCCTATGGTTACTCAGTAGACTGTTCTGTCTATGTCTATTTGGTTCAATTAGTCAAGTCTCGAGTTTATGTTCAGAATTTTTTTGTTAGTTTCATGCCTTGATAATCTGTATAACAATGTCAGTGTGGTGTTGAAGTCTCTCACTATTATTGTGTGGTTCTCTAAGTCTTTTCTTAGGCCAAGAACTTATTTTATGAATCTAGGTACTCAAATGTTGGGCATATATATATTTAGGATTCTTAAGTTCTCTTGTTGGATTGAACCCTTTATCATTATGTAATGTCTTTCTTCGTCCTTCTTAATTTTTATTGGTTTAAAATTTGTTTCATTGATATAAGAATGGCAACTCCTGCTCTTTTATGTTTTCCATTTGCATGGTAGCTCTTACTCCATCCCTTTACTTTGAGCCTGTTTGTTTTGTTACATGTGAGAAGGCTCTCTTAAAGACAGCATGTGGTTAGGTTTTGTCAGCTTGCCACTTTGTCTCTTTTAAGTGGGATGTTGAGCCCATTTGCATTCTGAGTTAGTAGTGATACATAAGATTTTGATCCTATTATCATGTTACTAGGTGGTTCTTCTATAAACTTCATTTTGTGACTTCTTTTTAGTGTCTGTGAGCTATGTGCTTAAGTATATTTTTGGTAGCAGGTGTCATTCTTTTGGTTCCATGTTTAGCACTCCCTTAAGGACCTCTTGTAAGGTAGTCTACTTAACATGCATTCCCTTAGTGTTTGCTTGTCTGAGATGGATTTTACTTCTCCTTCACTTATAAAGCTTAGTTTCTCAGAATATGAAATTCTTATTTGGAATGTCTTTTATTTGACAATGCTGAAAATATGCCCTCAATCTTTTCTGATTTGTAAGATTTCTGCTGAGAGGTCTCCTGCTAGCCTGATGAAATTCCCTCTGTATGAGACTTGACCCTTCTCTCTAGATGCCTTTAAGAGTTTTTTTGGGTGGGTTCAGTGTCTCATGCCTGTAATCCCAGCATTTTGGGAGGCTGAGGCGGATGGATCATGAGGTTGAGATCGAGATCATCCTGGCCAACATGGTGAAACCCCATCTCTACTAAAAATACAAAAATTAGTCAGGGGTGGTGGCATGCATCCCAGCTACTTGGGAGCCTGAGGCAGGAGAATTGCTTGAATCCAGGAGGCAGAGGCTGCAGTGAGCCAAGATCGTGCCACTGCACTCCAGCCTGCCAAGAGAGTGAGACTCAGTCTCAAAAGAAAAAAAAAGAGATTTTTTTTTGTTGTTGTTGTTTGTGTATGTGTGTGTGTGTGTGTGTGTGTGTGCGTGCGTGCGCGCGCGCGGACGTACCTTGGGGATGGTTGTCTTGTACAGTATTTCACTGGGGTTTTCTGTATTTTTTGGATTTGTATCTCAAGCTCTTTGGCAAGATTTGAGAAATTTTCATGAGCTATATTCTCAAATATATTCCAAGTTGTTTATTTTCTCTCCTTCTCTCTCAGGTAACGCTACTGAGGCACAGATTTGTTATTTTTATATAATCCTATATCTCTTGGAAATTTTGTTCATTTTTTAAAACTCTCTTTTATTTTTGTTTGACTGAGTTGATTTGAAGAACCAGCATTCAAGCTCAGAGATTCTTTCCTCAGCTTGGTATATTCTGCTGTTAATAGTTCTCATTTTAGTAGGAAATTCCTGTAGTAGATTTTTAGCTCTAGAAGATAAGTTTTGTTGTTTCTTAAAATGGCTATCTTGTGGGCAGCAATGGCAGGTACTGCTGCAGTGGCAGTGGCTGAGGGGTCCTCAGTTGCCTCTGAGAGCGCCATGCCAGAGAAACACAGAGCTGCTGCAATCAGGATGATCAGCTCTGGGTGGTGGCAGCTGTACTGGTGAAGCCCAAGCCAGAGGGCCCTGCCTGGTGAAAAGCAGAGGAGGTTCAGGGAGGGAGAAGGGGCAGCACAGTGAAGACAGTCTGGCCTCCTTTCCTTAGGGAGGCTGTGGTGTTTTTCAAGAGGTGCAAGAAAAGCAATCAAGGTCTTTGTTCCTTCCCTAGCCTGTGGAAGGCAGGGGTAGGTACTGCTGAGGTGGCAATGCCGGAGGGCCTATTGATTGTCTCTGGGAGCTCCACCCCAGGTAAATGCAAAGCGGCCATCAACTGAAGTGATCAGGCAGGGGTAGGGCAGCTGTGCTGGGGGTCCAGGCTGGGAGGCCCTGCCCAGTAAGGAGTAGTAGGGCCAAGAACCCATGTGGAAAACAGTCTGGCTGCCTTTCCATACAGCACCTGTGACGTGCTGGAGGCCTACAACAGTTCTTGGGTTCTTGGCTCCCTCCCTTGCCTCAGAGCAGCAGGGGCAAGGGCCACAGCAGTGGGAAATGCTGCAAGCCTGTTACTTCTGGGAGCTCTGCCTCAGAGAAATGTAGAGTTGTGACCAGCTAGAGTGCTCAGACCCAGGATAAGTGGCTGCCCTGGAGTCCTAGACCTGTTGACTTTGTCTGGCCTGGTGCAGCAGAGGTGAGTCCTGCCGTCCATCCACTCCTTAGCACTGTGGATGCGGTCCCTATCCTGGGGGCATGTGGGAAAGCATGGCCTCACACACCCCCAGGATAGGATGGGGCTACAGCTGCTGGTGCCAAGGTGCTCAGGGATCCAAGGTCCATGAGGCTCTGCATAGGCCTAAGTGGGTGCTCTGACCAGAATCCATGCCACTCTATGTTTCAGTCTGGAAGCTCTGGGGCGGGGTGTGGGGGGTGGGGGAGTAGGGAAAATCTCCTGTGCCCAGAATTGCGAAGGTCCATGTCAATGATGGCAGTGGCTGCTGCTATCATTCTGGCTGCAGCAGGGAAGCATGGCTGGGACTGCACACTCCATGGAGCCAGTGAGAGCCCTGCTCCTTCTCAGTTGGGTAGGGAGCTCTCCCTGCTGCTGCAGCCCTGCCCAAACCACAGCTGCTGACACACGCCTGCTCCTCAGAGCAGGCAGGACTCCTGCCCTCCTGAGCGGGACTACAGCTGCCCAAACTGCAGCAGTGGATCCCAGCCTCCCTGTAGGAGCCGGGAACAGGCAGGATCTACCCTCCTGGTGCAGCTGCAGCTGGAGGGCGGGGTCCTGCCTTCTCTGTAGAGCAGGTCTGTGTCTGCAGCTGTGGCAGCGTCTGCAGACCTGGGCCTCCCACTCCAGGAAGCAGGCAGGAGTGGTGACAAACAGGAGCCCTGCCTCTTCTGTGTTGGCAAGGCCGGAGCTCTGGGGTGCAACTGCCGCTGCCCTCCCAGGCACAGGACCGGGTCGTCTCTGCAGCCTGTACCCTCAGTTTCCCCAGAAAGTACCCTGGTCCCTGCAGGCTCAAGTGTGTCTGCTCCCACTGCCTGGCCTTTCTCTACTCCCAGGGCCCACTCTGAAGTCTGAGCATGGTTGGGGGCAAGCCCCGGGGCTATGAATGGCGGCAGGAGGCAGACAGAGTCCTGGACGGAAGTGGGCGGGGTCCCCAGTAAGGCCCCACCCTCAGGCCAGGGAGGGCCTGAAGGCTGGGGGTGGGCCTGTCAGTCCCGCAGACTGGAGTGGGGACTCCTGGTGCCTCTTTCAGCCTGCCCATGGCTGCCCATGGACCAGTGGGCACGCGCTTCCTCCCCTCTGAGGTCCATAAAAGCCCTGGGCTCAGCTAGATCAGGGCAGAGGACAGCCAGAAGAGGAAGATGGCAGAGAGACACTGGGAATGGAAGACCAGCTGCAGAGAGGAGTACCCTCTCTGCTTAGAGCTGCAGAGACAACCAGTGAGAAGAAAGGAGCTATCCTCTCTACTGAGAGCTTCAGAGACCTGCAGAACTGTCCCCACAACCTCCCTGCAGAGAGGGGCTCTCCTCTCCAGGGTCTCCTCTCTGCAGAGAGCTGAAAACTCCACAGGACGACCTGCCTACAGAGGGGAGCTACCCACTCCTCTGAGCTGTTCTAACATTAAATAAAACTATTGTGTATTCAAGGGCCAATAAGTATCTCTCAAGAGGGAAGGCACATTTATAAAGGACTGAATAACACAATGTAAAAACAGATGTAAGTATTTTAAAAATGTTAATGCCACTATGAGACTTCCTGTTTGTACGAAATATCCATTATCTGAACATTCCACCTTCCAAGTGTGCAAAAGCAAATATTCTTTGGTTATGACTACGGAGGTTCCACTGAAGAGCACTAACCGCTTTTTCAGAGCTTTGCGAAGGTGAGCTCTTAGAGAGATAAGTAGGTGACCAGCAGGCTCAGCAACCTGCCCATTATCACAGCTATGGCATAGAAAGCTGTTAAAATATGAAAAAGCGTGGACGGGATTCTATATTATTCTCTCTAGTAATAAAACCAGCAATATAGAGATGTTATACTAAAGAAAGAGAAAGTTATGCTTTGAAATGAAAAAAGAATTTTTTATAATATGAAACTTTGCTCTGTGTTTTTGAACCATATTTCTTTTTCTTTTGTTGAGAAGAAGTCTCACTCTATTGCCCAGGCTGGAGTGCAGTGGTGCGATCTTGGCTCACTGCAACCTCGGCCTCCTGGGTTAAAGCTGTTCTCCTGCCTCAGCCTCTGGAGTAGGTGGGATTACAGCGCCCATCACCATGCCTGGCTAATTTTTGTATTTTTAGTAAAGACGAGTTTTCGCCATGTTGGCCAGGCTGGTTTCAAACTTCTGACCTCAGGTGATCTGCCCTCCTCGGCCTCACAAAGTGCTGGGATTACAGGCATGAGCCACCGTGCCAAGCCGGTGTTTTTGAAAAATTGAACACATGAATTTTAAATTCAAGGACTTTGTCAGAATATTTTGGATCTTTCCTGCCTAGCTATGAGAAAGAACATTGGATAAATTCAAAACCAGGTCTTTAATGCAGGTGACAAATTTGGAAGAGTGCTAAGAAAGTTGCTGTTTGAAAAGAAATCAGGCTGCAGCTAAAAGATATATGACAGGATATAAAAACAATTTAATTATTTCAGACTGTTTCTTGTTCTAGTTGCCAAAGGGGATGGGGGAAAATAGAATTACCAAGAAATACTGCCTTTATTTTATTAGATATTTAAACATGTGCACAGATAATGCAAGGTAGAACATAATACAGTTAAAAAGAAATCGAAATAAGTGCTCCACAGTTTCAGAGGCTGGTAGATTTCTTTCCAAGAGGAGAGAAATACAAAGTCATCAAGTCACCAAGTAGGATTTCACATTTGATTTGTATTTTGAAAAATAAGCACATCATTGTCAGTGTGAGCAAATGTGCAGAGCCAGGAAATTTAAGACGTAGAAAGAATGAACTCAATATAGCTTAGAATATTGGATACATCAGGGAGCATGATGGGATGGGATTCTGGGAAGAGAGATTGATGCTATGTTGTGGAGGCATTGGATGGCAAGCTATAAGGAGTCTATATTTAGGACGACAATGTGAGGTTGTTCATGTTTGACTTTAGGGAGAATATGTTGGCTTTAAGGCCTGTCTTTCTGGAATTTTTTGAAAGAAATATCACCAACTATGTTTCCTAACAGAAAATACTTGAAAAGTTTTGTTTTCTGCCATTGATTGAAGTGACTTAAAGTGTTTGCTTTTCTTGTAGAAAGTAAGACTCACTATAAATCATGAAGTTGTTTATTTATGTATTTATATTTATAGTTTCAAGTCATTCAATTTTCTCTTTTGTCTGGTGTCCTTTCCCCTCTCTGGTATTTTACTCATCAGTAATTTCCACAAAAGCAGTCTGGATCATTTTAGTAACCTTCACTAATTGGAAGCTTTCTCTCTGACTACTCCCTTCTGGTAAAAGCTTATAGTGTCTGTGTCTCTACTTTCAACATGCTGTACTCTTCAGCACAGGTCATGTTCTAAGTTGAGAGGGTACAATGTCAAATATATTCCAGGACCAAGTGTGTAATGCAAATGATCAAAATGAGTCAGGTTGCAAGGTCTACATTAGTAGTTTTTATTTGTGGCTGAAGAGTTATGTTACCTGAGGAGGTTTTAAAGTCATTGAGACGTTCATATGCAGATAAGATTAAATACCAGTGTAAATCAATGTTCTCAAATGTATGTAAGCAGAAGGATGTTTTTTTCCCTAATGAATTTTCTCAAACATTGACAGAATTATAAATGAATATAAGAATTATGTGGATCCCAGAAATTTTTATTTTTAACAAAGAATATCCCCTACAAACACACACATGATGATTAAGAGTCAGGATGTTTGTGGACCACAATTTGAGACCTATAAAGGACCAAATATATTTTAGTATAATAATCATTAGGAAGTGCTTTCTTTTTTCCAAGATATTTTACATTTTAAAGGGGGAAAAACCTTAATTACACTCCTTAACTGAGGGTTTTCTGGTGAAGATTATAGACTTTGTTAAACATTTTGATTATGGGTGGGTGGGAGTCATCCCTGAAACCCTTGTCTAGTATGTTACTACCACATGCATGGCCATTTATGTAATAAGGTTGTACATTTTTTCAAAATGTATATATGAAGGCTGGGTGTGATGGCTCATGCCTGTAACCCAGCACTTTGGGAGGCCGAGGCAGGCAGATTATTTGAGGTCAGGAGTTCAAAACCAGTCCGGGCAACATGGTGAAACCCTATCTCTACTAAAAATACAAATACCCAGGAATGGTGGCGAGTGCCTGTAGTCCTAGCTATTCAGGAGGCTGAGGCAGGAGAATTGCTTGAGCCTGGGAGGTGGAGATTGCAGTGAGCAGAGATCGCACTACTGCACCCCAGCCTAGGAGGCAGAGCAACACTCCAGCTCAAATAAATAAATAAATAAATAAATAAGTATACATGAAGAAAATACTGTTTTTATGCTTTACCATAAGAGACGTTATTTTTCAATGGACTTGTTATGTGAGAAACAAAATCAAATTGTTAATGAGGGTGGTACTTCCAATGTAAGAGTCTCAGCTATCCTTGTTTTGTATAATGCCCAGCACAGCACCATATTCATATGGGTCTTTAATTCATAACAAGTATATTTAAAAAGAATAAGCCACATGACATTTGAGATGGGGGAAAATATCTAGCATGTGTTAAATGTCTCTATATTCCCAAGCACTTCACTGGATAAGTCACAGAGTGCTCTTTATTATTAGGCGAATTCTAAAAATATTATGTTAATTTTACATGCAAGGAAACTCACATTCAACAAGATTGAGCAATGTGCTCAAGGTCAAATGTCTGATATTATCTATTTATATGTAACAATTCTCTTTAAAATTAGAGGCTTAAAACAATACACATTTATTATCTCTAAGCTTTTATGGGTGAAGAATCTGGGAACAGATGTAGCTTATGTGTGTCATTTTGGCTCTGAGTATTGCCTATAGCTTCAAATAGGGTGTCCACTGATGTGCAATAATTTTAAGCTTGACTAGGTCTGGAGAACCCACTTTCAGGCTCACTTCATGGCTAATAGCAGGAGATTTTATTTCTTTGGCACATGGGTCTGATAGTATGTCTTGTCCTGGAGTGAGAGGTCCATGGGAGAAAGAGAACAACCAAGATCGTATTCATAGTCTTTTTATAGCCTAATCTTGGAAGGAACATACATTCTATTCTACCGTATTCTATTCCTTAAAAGAGAGCTCAGTTCATATTCAAGAGAGGGGATTTAAAGATCCACTTCTTAAAAGGAAGAGTATCAAAGAATGTGTGGATATATGTCAAAAAGATGAAATTATTAACATAAAGAAACAATATAACTTAATATCATTTTATGCACTGGGCATGCATTGTAAAATAAATGGCCCACTGTTCCTTCAAAAATAACACAAGAATGATAAAAATCTAACAATTTTCTTATTAGCTGGAAAATAGAAGCATTTCGTGGGTTACTAATTAGCAGTGGACACAATTCGTTCAACATAATTGGTTGGAATTATGTATCATTAATAGTGCTGAGTTTTGGGATACAGTGTAGCAGAGGAGATGAATGTAAAAAGAGTTCAGTGCAATAGCAATACTATGACAGGAATGGTCAGAGCACACAGGGAAGTACAGGAGAATTGCTCAGTGTTATAGGTTGGGGAAATGTGCAGGATGGAAAGTCATCCTATTAGAGCTAATACTCAAACCAAGTATTAAAATATGAGAAATTGTATGCAGAATGCATTTTAGTGCAAATGCATTTAGTGCAAATTCTGTCCCAAAGGAGACAGAAGGGGAGAGAGAGAGAAGAAAGTTCCAAACAATGAGCCGGCATTCCAAAGGACTCAGCTTACACAAAAGCCTCAGATAAATGAGAAAGAAATAAATGGTCTGGCAGGTTCAGGAAACTCCTAGAGGTATGTTAAGCTTGTAGAATGTAGGGGACAGGGAATGGGGTCCTAAAAAATGTAATGCCAGAAGGATAGTGAACTGGATGGAAAATCTTCTCCACTGAGGAGTTTGGACTTTATTCTAGAACAATGTTTTTCTATTTTAGTCAGGTACATCCCACCATCACAATTTTTGCCAAGTCTTGTACTGTCTGTACTGTAATTTATGTAACATTTTAAAACAGTCTCATTTTTACATAAATTTATTTTAAAATAGAACATAATATTGAGTTGGATATATTTTATTTTTTATACTATGCATTAAATATAAAACCTGCATTGACTATTAAGAGGAATGGAAGAGTGATATTGAAGGGTTTTAAGCAAATGAACAGTATGACAAGATTTGTGTTTCATAGTAGTCACCTGGAGAGCTGTGTGGAGGGTACATAGGAGGGGCACAAACAGGACACAACTTTCCAATTGCATGTGCATTGAACAGTGCTGACCTGTGACTAAGTGTTTTCTGGATGCAGAGTCCTGCTTGCTTAACCAAATTTCCATCTACTTAATAAGGACCATCATTATCCCAAGCTCTGCTGCCCAGGGTATGGATAATCTTAGCAGAGAAAACCCTCCTGTTCTCTTCCCAATAGAAAGAGACAAATTCTGCTTTCTTCATCTGGCCCATAGAAAGAAAATGAAAAAAACTGTTTGGAATTATGGAAACTGTTCCTTCTTGATTTGTCTAAATTTGCCCAGATTACTCTAATTTTTGATAAATTAGAATGTAGCAAGTATGTTAACTTATTCAATACATTATGGTCATTATTAGTTATTGGCTTCATTTCAAAACAAATGTGCTTGGCATGAGCCATGTGAAGGTTTCTGGGTTGGTATTAGCAACAAGTTTAGTCTTAGTTACATTCATGAATTCCACATAATATGTGTATATGGAATTGGAAGCCTGGCAGGGCCATTTAGAATATGTTCTTAACTATGATTCTCTTTAATAGTTGGAGAAAACTTTAAATGCCTCAACAAAAACTTAAAGGAATGTTCAATTTTTCACTTTCAGATATGTTCAAATTACTTAAAATGGGTGGATAGTTGTGGCAATATTGTTTAAATGATAACATTGAAGTTACATAGAGAAAAATAAAAGAATGTGCCTGCTGCAACCCATTTTTGCTCTGCTCATAAATGCATTTCATATTGTTTAATAGTGTAGCAAGAATTAAACGAAGGGATTGAAACTTAATGTTCAATTTAAATGGGTTTTTGCAATGTTTCCAACACTTAGAGGTAAAAACATTTAGTTTTTTTAATGTACTGAGGAAAATGAAAAGCAACAATAGCATTTAATTAGCACTGGGACTTCATGCTCAGTTTCCTGTGTTATACTTGCTTACACATTTCTTACCAGAGGGAATTAATTTAACAGTCTGGCATTGTCTAGGGACAATAAGAGGAGAGAATGAGTAGGAAAATATGTCCAAAGGCAGACAAAATAAACTTTTGCTAAGCTTTTTTTTCACATTACAATTGGATTTGGCAATAATTTATGAAATACTTGTCTGCTATTATTCCATCTTCGTTGTGTGGCGTTTTCAGGCTCAGATGAATTGTTGGCAAATATTTGATTTTTCAGAAATATACTAAGACATTTATTTTCTGCTATATTTGTCACAGGGACCACATAGCATCATGACTCTGGGCTAAAATATATCAATGGCCTCAGACAGTCTGAAAATATTGGCTTCGTATACAACACTTTAGCTTCTGTGGTTTGTTTTAAGAAGAGGCAATATCACCTCCACATATTACAGACTTGATAGTTTCTGAGGTCTTTAGACCAAGTGGCTGTTTTTCTCATCAAGTACTAATCCTCACGTTTACCATCCTGTAATATATAAAGATCAATGATATGATTGTGTTTATGATCTTAGTAGAAATCTTATGCATATCTTAAGAATAGTTTTTTATTTAGAGAAATAAAAGTGGAGCAAAAAGTAGGCAGTATTTAAGGTAATTTTGAAATGCGCAAATGTGCAAATACATAGATTAATCTGATTCACAAGACATATATTGGCTCCTTCCCCTCTGACCCCATGGTACGTGATTTATTCAAGTATTAGAGCTGGTATCATCATCTATTTTGTTCATTTCTGTGAGGATTTATTTACTCAACTGCTTGTATGAGATTTCTCTACTTGAAGTAGATTAAAGAAATTTGAGAACATGGCTACAAGAATCTGCGTATTCACTTCAGCACCTACCAATAAATGCCCTTACCTTAGCACTCAGTGATATTTATTGGATAAAATTACATCATTTTCAAGCTATAAAGACCTGATATTTCAACAAACTGATCTCACTTTACAAATAAGAGAATTCAGGGAGAGACTGTCAGTTTCCTGGAGTCACATGGTCAGTCAATGAAGAATTTTTATCAGAACCCATATGTACTACCCCCTGGTCTAATACTCATACTTTGGCTCCATTAACTGGCATCAGCATTATTGTTATAGTTCAGCATCTTATATTTCATATTGTAACTTCTTTCTTTCTCAGTATTATCTTTTATTTATGACTTTTTCTTAATAGTTATATAGTAATAAAGCAGTGATTTTGTATTAGCTCATTTTCACACTGCTATAAAGATACTACCTGAGATTGAGTAATTTATAAAGGAAAGAGGTTTAATTGACTTATAGTTCTGCAGGGCTGGGGAGGCCTTAGAAAACTTACAATCATGGCTGAAGGCAAAGGGGAAGCAAGGCATGTCTTCACAAGGTGGCAGGAGAGAGAGAGAGAATAAAGAGGAAACTGCAACTTTTAAACCATCAGATCTTGTGAGAACGCCTTCACTATCATGAGAACAGCATAGGGGAAACAGCCACCATGATCCCATCGCCTCCCACCAGGCTCCTCCCTTGACATGAAGGGGTTGCAATTTGAGATGAGATTTGGGTAGGGACACAGAGTCAAACCGTAGCAACTTTTAAAGAAATGTGTAAATGTTAGCATTGTTAAAATACCAGTTCAACATGCAAATGTGTTTATAAGGAATATGGTTCTTAACTCCACTTCAATTTTTTCCCTTCGAAATAAATTGTGCTTATTTTTTTTTCACTTTCACCCCCTATTCCATCTCTCAAATGAGCAAGGTGAACTGGAGAGTTTTTGCTTTGCTTTTTTCTGTTTTGTTTTTTAATGTGTTACAGATAGTTCTCACTGTTAACATTTCTGGCTTTCTGATTATGCATTTGATTTAAGTATGCAGAATTTTCAAAACTGGTTTTTCTTGCCATGTAGAACACAATGATTAATAGCACTAATGTGGTTAGGGCAAAAGGCTGAGAGCAAAGACTCAAAGTCCAACAGAAGGTGGCAATGAATAACCATTAAACCACTCCATCTACTTTGTTTTTAAAAGTTACTAATTCGGTAACAGGGCCTTTGATACAGGTCCTTTTAATTACAAATTGTATTTTGATGAAATGATTTCTGTTAAAGACAAAAATGTACTACACCTTTTAGTTGATTTTATTCAAGCTATCACAGTATGGAGGGCACCTCAGGTCTGCAGATGGCTGTGTCTCAGCAGAATGGTTCGCCTTAGACTTTTACAGAGATGGTTAAGTAAGTTACAGGTAGGGTGATTTTATAGGTGTGATTGTTTTACTACCAGAGGACATCTCATTCAGTTAATAAATGGGCAATGTTTATCTCTGTGTAAACTACTTTCAAGAGGACAACGTTTTCACTTTAGATAATTGCTCATGAGACAAAGAATGGAAAGTTGGCAAGTGGTGAAAAGGAAAGGGTCTGTGTGCAATCTTTTCATTTCTTAATGTTTGTGTTGAAGACAAATATATGCATGAATCATGAAAATGTTTAAGCCTTCTTGTGTAAAGTTTCCTTTAAGAAAGATTTATTATCCTTTTACATTTCCACCCACTTCTTAAGACACAAACATCAGAGCAGCCCACACAATCACCTTAAGAAAGCTATATTAGTTTTCTGTGGCTGCTGTAACAAATTTATGCAAATTAGATGACTTCAAACAGTGGAATTTTATTTTTGCGTAGCTTTGGAGGCCAGAAGTCTGAAATCAGTATCACTAGGCCAAACTCAAGGTGTAGACAGGGTTCCCTTTCCTTGGGAGGCTGCAGGTGAGAACGTGTCCCTTATATGTTCAACTCTGGCAGTTTCCAGCATTTCTTAGTTTGTAGCCACTTCCTTCCAGTCTTCAAGGTGAGCATCTTCAAATCTCTCTGTGTGTCATCTTCACATTGTCTTTTCTGTGTGTATGTGAAAGATCCCTCTAACACTTGAAAACATTTGTAATTGTATTTACAGCCCACCTGGATAATCCAAAATAATCTCCACATAGCAAGATTCTTGACCGAATCACATCTTCAAAGACCCAATCTCATCTTCAATGACCATTTTTTCCATTAGAGATGGCATTTATAGGTTTCAGGTATTAGGGCCTTATATCTTTGGAGGTCATTATTTAGTCTATTACAGACTTATGCATTTATTTTCCCAAATTTATACAGCAAATAAGTGGTAAAGGAATTCTATCCTGGGATATGCTCTTTGCTTTTTTCTATAATTGTGTTAATTCAAGAAAGGGGATAAGAGATTAATTCACATTTTTGAGCACCTGCTATATTCTTTCTAGAGTGTGTTACGTTCATTATCTCATTTCATTTCAGTGTCAATATTGAGAGAGCAACTGGCAGTATTTCTATTTTACCAGTGAAGGGTGAAAAAAAAAAAAGCAATTTTGTCTGTGCTATACAAACATTGATTTACAGGTAACAGATTCACCAGTAGGTAAATGCTGCTTGTGGTCAAGTTTTCAACAGTACAGAGATGTAGAAAAATAACACAGAAAAATAAAATAATTCCATGTTAGTGCCATTGCTAAGAATCAATTTCTTTCATCCCATCTCTTCCTCTCTTTGAAGAATGCTCATTTATTATTAAATTGGACCTTTCCAATATTTTGTATGTTAAAATGCCCTTTCCAAAAATAGTGTAAACATATAGTAGTTGTTCTGTTTGTTGGTTTGTTTTAACATCAAAATTTAATGTTTACAGTCAAGATTTATGTAATTTACTGCCTAATTTACTCTTTTATAAAATAGCACAGTCCAGGAAACTTGATGGACCTTAATTTACTACACTATCGCAGCTAGTATGTGGTGGCATTGTGATTTAAGTTAATCATGACTCCAAAGCCTGTTTTCTCTCCACTAAATAGGAGTCCTACTGATTATTGGAGAGAAGATAGTATGATTTCCACTTGCTTCTCTGCCACCTGTTGTCATGTGTTGTTTTAATGCAGAGATAAGTAATTAACAGCATGTAACTAGTCTGCAATTGTGTTGTTTCCTTGCATGTGTTATGTAATATTATCATATTTTGGCAGATGGCCATTTATTGTCAAAAGAACAGAAATACACTGATTATTCCAGTGGTGTTGGTGGAGATTTGCATGTAAGGGAGAGGATGTGTAATCATTTCAATAAAGATGCATTTGTGGTTCATCTCATTTCATAATTTACAGACATGCTGAGCTCCTCTTTAGGTCTTTTGTATAATTGAATGGATGAGCTGCATATTAAAGTGGCTGAATTTGTGTATGCTTTCCTGATCAAACCACATATTTCATTATTTGAATTTTCAGAGACTGGTAGTTTGCTCATGAAGTTGAATTTTTAAGTAAATGAGATGATGGAAATGGTTTGAAGAACTGTGCCTACTACTTACTAATTGCACTCTTTTGCACAATTCTCAAGCTTAAGTATTTTAACTGTTTGCTTCTTTTATGACAGAATGCAATTTCTCTGTATAATCATTCAGTATACCTCATTATATTTATATTCATGCTTTACAAAGTAAAATTACATTGTTTATCTTATATGAATGAGGAAAAGTGGGATCTGAAAGTTTTCTTTAGTAAATTGAATTTGGGTTTCAATTTGGCAAAGGATATAGAAGGAGCCTATATTTCTAGGTATTGTTTCAGATGAAACATTACATTTAGGAATATGTAAGAATTTGTGCATCCTTCTATAGGCCAACTCTGTAATGATAAGTTGTTACTTTAAAGCTAGACATTTCTTTTGGGGAAGTGATAGACCAGTCCTATTCCCACTAAAAATTGAAAGAAATAGATGGAGAGGGTACTAGTTTATGTTATTTCAAATATAGTTGAAATGTCAAAAAAAAAAAAAAGAAGGGGGTATAGAGAGGGAAGGGAAGAAAAGAGGGAGAAAATGGGCTGAACTGTTATGCTATTAAATGTCTAACACTTCGTTCTGCTTATATAATTGTATAAAAATAATAAAAGCTAAATAATGTTATTGTGATTTTTATTGGTCATAAAACTGAAATCCAAAGCAGTTAAGTAGTTTCTCTAAGGTCATACATAAAGTAAGGGGTGGGCCAGAAATTTTAACCCATGGCTGTCTGGTGCTGTATTAGTCCATTTTCATGCTGCTGATAAAGACATACCCAAGACTGTGCAATTTACAAAAGAAAGAAGTTTAATGGACTTACAGTTCCATGTGGCTCACAGTGGTGGTGGGAGGTGAAAGGCATGTCTTACATGGCAGCGGCAGGAGAGAGAACTTGTGCAGGGAAACTCCAGTTTTTAAAACCATCAGATCCCATGAGACTTATTCACTGTCATGAGAACAGCACAGGAAAGACCTGGCCCCATGAATCAGTTATCTCCCACTTGGTCCCTCCCACAACATGTGGAAATTATGAAAGCTACAAGATGAGATTTGGGTGGGGACACAGAGCCAAATCATATCAGGTATGAAGCCCATATTTCACTTCCAGATCTACTCCTCATGGGCTGACTTTTTCTAAGAAGTATGATGCTATAAAAACAAGCATTTTTCAGGATGGAAATAATATACTCTTTGGAGTGAGATAATATTCAAATCATTATTGGGTATTGATATGGTACAATCATTTTACACATTCTGAAACATTTGCTCCATTTAAGCATTCTAATCCTCCTCTGTTCAGTGGGGAAAAGGGATGGAAGAGAGCGAAGTTAGAGAGCATAAGGACAAGATGAATATGAGGTCTACTAACTGGAGAACAAATAACTGTAATGGTGTTAATGGGCCACATGTAGGGGAACACCCCCCCAAATTTAAATGTTGAAGTCCTAACCCCCAGTACCTCAGAAAGTGACTATAGTTGGAGATATTCTTTTTAAAGAGAGAATTAAGGTTAAATGAGGTCATATGTGTGGGTCCTAGGCCAATATGACTGGTGTCCTCAGAAGAAGAGGAGCTTAGGACACAGACATGCACAGAGGGAAGATCATGTGATGATAAAGAGGAGAAGATGACCATCTACAAGCCAAGGAGAGAAGCTAAAGAAGAAACAAACCTGCTGACATCTTGATGTGGGATTTCCAGTCTTTGCAACTGTGAAAAAATAAATTTTGGTTGTTTAAGCCACCCAGTCTGTGGTATTTTGTTTTGGTAACCCTAACAAACTAATACCAATAGTTTACTATTATTAAACTATTTGCTGAATTTATGATCATAATGAATATATATGGATTGCTGCAAATTTAGAAAATACTAAAAGCAAGAAAATAAGCTACCACCCAGAGATACCTGTTATTACATCATTAACAGATTGATGCATTTTCTTCTAGTCCCTGTCTCTTGTGTCTTTCTTGCCTTCTCAATTCCCTACATTATATACATCAAGAAGATTTATTTTCTGTGATTTTTGGTGTTTAATGAGTGATCAAAAAGCAAATGTTGAGAGTAGATATTGTCAGAAAAGGGTAATTCCTGTGCCTTTTGATGAGTTCATGCTAAGCAGAGCTCCCACATGACTTCTATAGCATCTATACATGTGTCTCGTCCCCGGGTGTTCAGAAACCTGATATTTAGTACTTAAAGGATGCATAATTGTGAACTTGTAATCATAGCTATCAGAATTGATGCCTGATAATCTCAGGAATTGCCATAAAAAATGAAAAGCAGGGCTTTCTGCCTACTATTATCTGTAATCCCACTTCTTAAACAATCATATTAATAGCTTTAGATGTTTATTTTCATATTTATGTGAATAGATATATAAACATATATTCCATGTTTATAATAATATTTATTTTTTTGTATTATATACTTTTAGAATGAGCATTTTCATATCATTAAATGTTAATAGTCATTACATTTTTGGCTACAAAATATTTCATCCTACTATTGTATCATTATAACTAGTCAAAACATTTTTTGTTTCACCATTAATTTCTTTAAATTTTTTGCTTTGGTTATATAAATCACTATAATAAACACTTTTGAGTGCAAAGTTATTTTTTATTGAAGATTACTTCAGAGAGAAAATATCTCAATAAAATTATTAGATCATAAACATATTTATGAAACTTTATCTCTTTTTAAAAATTAGTTTCTAATGTTTGCATATGAGTTTATTTTCACACCAGCATCAGAATAGAGAGAGAGAGGGAAAGAGAAAGAGCGTGCACATTTGTGTTTTACTGTAGCCAGGGGTAAGCATTTTAATTGTTTTTGTTTGCTTGCTTAACAGGAAAAACATGTTTAGTCCTTGTTTTAATGATGATTACTGTATTTTTCCTAGAGTTAGATTAAGAGAGGATGGCATTGACCTAAAACTGTGGTTTGCCAGAACTATGTTTGTTTGCTTCTGAATCTTAGGTCTTACTTTTGTCTTACGCTTCAGATACGTTTTCTTTAGATGGTCTTTTCCTCTCCCCTCTGTCACTTCAGGATTCTGCTATTACTTGTTATTTAAAGTTGTTATCTTGATAGTAAGTAGTAATTGAAGGAGGTTAAGGCTTTGCTATTTGAGCAAGTTTCAGCCTCAATCATAAACCATGCCCCTGTTCTTGGGATTGTAGCCTTTGAGGATTTCCTGGCTTTACTCCGGCTGCAGTTGTTTTCTCAGTATTAATTTTGCCTCTCCCTCAGGAGTAAGGTTTCTCTATAAGATGGTGCAAATTCTCCCAATGACTGTGGCCCTAAGGGCTTTTAAACTGTCCTGACAGCCCATACTCACCCTTCACAAATTGTCAGCAATTGTAAGGAGCTCTAGTTGTAGCTGCCGCTTCAGGTCTACCCCAGGTGATACCTGTTTATGTTTTCTCTTTCTCTCAAGGCGCTGTTGATCTTTGGCTTTTCAGGCAGTTGTTTGCTCTGACCTCAACTCTCTAAAGAATGTTTAAAAAGTCCTGCATGTATGGTCCAATTTTTCATTGCAAAGGTGAGAGTGACTCTCCTCCTTCCTTTCTACATCCCCGACAAATGGCAACAGTTTCCGTGGTGGATTTTTATAAAGTGTTTTACAAAACTCTGGAAGAGAGAAGGTGGGGAGAGAGGAGAGTCCCTGAGATTTTATTAAGTGAAGATTAATTATGTTATTGAGTGAGTCACATTCAAAATGTGTTTCTATTCCGTGCTGGGAATTCTTCACATCGAAAGAGAAATTCCCTCAAGGTCTAGTGAGAAGTTTTTAATTTTCACGCTTTTCCAGCTCATACTTGTTCTTGCTTCTTACTCAACGACTGTGAATATTAGTGATTATAACCATTAACATTTGTTGTATGAATTGTACTATTGCAAAGTAAAACTCTAAAGGAAAATGACATTTTGTTCACATTGTTTATGTTTATGGAAAATCCAGAATCCTGTGTGGTAAGGGATTAATGAGAGTAATGACTATCACAATTATAACCTGATTACTGCCAAACAACTTCAAATAAACTAAGCAGGCAAAAGTATTAGTCTTTCATATGGATCTTGCTTTTAGTGGGAAAGTAGACCACACTGGAAAGAAGGAGTGTATATATGCGTCTGTTAATTTAATGGGAGTTGATGCTGGGAGATTAATCTAGGGTAATACGGGATACAAAAGTAAAACTTTGCTTTCTTCTGTAAAGAAGACAGGAATCTTTTTTCTTAAAAGGCTTCATCTCCTTAGCACCCTAGAGGCTTCCATTACTGATATTGGGGATGGATAAAGGGTTGTGATATTTGAAGGTATTTGTGAGAGGAACCTGGACTGCTGGTTTAAGCATCACTTGGGTCTTCCAAAGCCTTGGCAAACTTAACACTGTACAAATTATATGGCTTAGAGAAACTTGTAAATAGCCTGTAATTCACTTTTGTCCCTATAGATTTGTGGGTGGGTATATTGGTCTAAAAAATTGTAAGGCCATATAGTTTGAAGGTATACTAGTTGGAATATAGAAATTATTGGTTCTTCACAATTCCCTCTCAGTAGGCATTTCAAATGGTTTGTAGAACGTACGCTTTTTTGCATGTACTTTTTCAATTTACACAATTAGCATAAAATACTCTATTGTAGTCTTTGGTATATCAGAATAAGATTGCTCCTCTGCTTTTTGCTATTTTTCATGTTTTTTTCCCAATAATTCAGTTAATATATTCTCATTTCATAAGTGTTTTTATTTAAATTTGAAAATAACTACTCTTTTTCGTAGCACAAGTAAATAGGAGATTCTTGATTCTTGAAATGGCTACTTAAAGTTAATTCATGTGTTCAAACATTTACTTTTCTTTCTAGAAATTTTGAAGAAAATGTGTTTATTTTTCCCAGTATATTTTTTAATAAAAAAGTAAAATGAGTACTTTTATGAATTTCTATGCCCAGTGGGAAGGACAAGAATAGCAAAGAGATTACAAACTGTTTTTTCTTATATCTGGGAGAAGGTCAGAAAAGAAAAGTAACCCGGTCAGATCTCCTCATAAACATGCTAATAATAGATATGACAAAACACTAAGGATGTTTACTACTGGGAGAGTTCCTTATTTGGAATGCTTTTAGCAGGCTATTCATGATCTGTCCAGGATTGCTTATGGTAAATAAATCTGGACTCTATGAACTCACAGCCATTGCTTACTTTTGTTGAAAATATACTTTTATTAGAGACTGAACATTTTTAATATGGACAATATACTTTGTAATGTTAAAAAAAAACGAAGACAGGGAGCTATCATTAGAGGACTAGACTTTTCCCTATTTTAATTGTTGCTTTCATCTTTTAGTTACAGTAAACTTTAATACTAAGTAAAAATATTTGATTCTTGTGAATCTTATTTGACAATCTGATTTTACTTTCACAAAGGTATAAATAAGTGATTCTTAACAGCAATGATCACACAAGCTAAGAAACCTTAAGTTGTCTTTGATATCTTCTCTTGCATCCCCATATCTAATCAAATATATTCTGTCAGTTTTAGTTCTACACGTCTTGAATGTGTTTTTCTTTCACATTGCTATCACTGCAGGCAGGCTAAGCCACTATCATCTCGTCTGTGGTTTTTGCAATAGCCTCCTTACATGTTTCCTGTCCCTGTTGGTATTCTTCTCCAATACATTTTCTACACCACTGATTCTCTCTTTAGAGGCTTTCAGGAATTTCCTATGGCTTTTCTTCTAAAGGCCAAAACCTTTAACACTGCTTCACAGGCCCCCGCCCACCCTGAATTCTCTATTAATCCAATCACAACAGTATTATTTCTGCTTCCAAGCTTCTTCCTACCTCAAGGTCTTAACACATGTTTTTTTTTCCCTGCCTGAAGCACTCTTCCTCAGCTAATGGGCTTGTCATAGATTAATAAATTTCATGTCCTCTTTGAAGACCCCTTGATCTTCAATGCTAGAAGGAGAATTTATTGTATAATCTTGCTGCTGCTTCTACTTCTTTATAGGATTTATCCAAGTTGGAACTAACTAATTGGCACTTTTAAATTTATCTGTCTTATTTCTGTAGTCCCATCTTCTCTTCAAGCTTTGTAAGTCTCTTTTGTTTACTGTGCTATCACAATGGAAAAACAGCATCTAGCAAGTAGAAAGCATTCCAAAAAATAAGCAAATTAACATAGTAAGGAATTTCCAGGTGATAAAAGAACAATGAGTGGGTGCTGTGTATTGTTCGATGTTTAAGGTGGAATTAGCCCTGGCTCTTTCCTCCTGAATCTGTGCTTTGATAAATGTTGTATAGATACAATTCTCCTTTATAACTAAACACTTACTGCAGAGAAATAAGCAGGGTGATCTGTCAAGATTAGCACATTGCTTTATTACACACAGGCAACTTCTTTGAAGTGCTTAGTGTTTAGTGAAGGCATTGCTTGAGAATGAAGCAGGTAAAATATCTTCTCTAATGAAAAGAATATCAAGTGTTCGTAAAGAATAATGGGGAAATATCTCCCATAAAGTTACAAGCTTATGAATAAATAATAGGACAGACATTCTAGATTTCAGATTTTTATGGAAGCTAAACTTGTCGAGCAAAATATATGCATTCAGAAGAAAGTTCACAATTCTCTTCAATTTGCTTTCAGTATAGTTGTTTTTTCGCTCTCATTCTGTTTCTGTTCTGTACACAGGTAGAGTTTAGGTTTTTATGTCAAAGCTTCAGACTCTCATTTATCAGCATGCCAATGGGGGAGAACTGTGAAGAAATTGACACAATGGTCATTAAATTTCTGTAGAAGACGTGAACATCTGATTGTTCTCAGAGATGCTTCTGGCTTTTAACAAATAAGGCAGAACATAAACAGCTCCAGGCAAGACAGAAAACATCAGTCATCTGATTCCAGCATCTGTGTTATTGCCAGTAAGGGTGAGTGGGTTTTAATTTTTATATATCACCTATATCACTACTGGAACCATCTCAGTGGTTTGGCAGATTGCCTTACTAAATACTAAATCTCTTAGAAATTCTTTGGTCCAGTGGTCGAATATAGTCACATCAATTACATATGTCACTGAGTACTGGCTTTTTCCTTCAACAGATTGGTATATTGTTGTATACAGGTGATATAATGAGAGGTCTTGAACTCTATAGAAAATTTATGGTAATAAGATTGCAACCATAGTTTTTTTGTTATAGGTTCTCCATTATGAAGAATGATCTGAGAAGAGTCTTAGTCCATTTAAGTGGCTAAAACATAATGCCATAGACTTGAGGGCTTATAAACAACAGAAATTTATTTCTCACAGTTCTAAATGTTAAGAAGTCCAAGATTAAGGTGCTTATATTTGGCGTCTGGTGAAACCCTGCCTCTTAATTAATAGATGGCATTCTCCTTCTGTGTCCTCAAATGGAGAAAAGGAACAGAGGAGCTTTCTTTTTTATGAGGGCACTTATTGCATTCATAGGGACTCCATCCTCATAACCTAATCATCTCCCAAAGTCTCCACTCCCTAATACTCTTGCATGGAGGATTAGATTTCAACATATGGATTTTGGGGAAACATAAAGATCCAGTGTCTATAGCAAGAAGTTTATATTTTCATAGAACAAAGGAAATAAATTATTATTTTTATGGAATGATCTAGTATAATGTCTCCTAATCTGCCAATTTCACACAATGTGTTTAATGTTTTATATACTTTTTGTGTGTGTGTGTACTTCTAGGAAATGATAAGCTAATCTGTATTACACAACTGTTTATGAGGTATTACAGACCTGCACAGAATCAGAGTGTATAAATACTATATGGAGAGAAGACTTTGGTTTTATACTGGCGGTTTACGACATAAAAGAGCAATAAGGACAGAGTTCTGTTTTGCAAATTTTGCCAGTAATAACCATGTGTACAGGTAGATATGCATTTGTACCTTCTCCATATACTTAATTTTACAGTGAGTTAAAAATGCCAAAGATGAATTTTCTTTTATCCTTGTTTATTTCAAGAGGTGGAACATTTCCTCCATAGTTATCCTTGAGATGTTGCTGATAGTTTAGGTTAGATTAGCAGGAATTTAACTAGAAAACAGGGAAGGTCTAGCTAAGAAGGTTTTCAAAAAGACATGGACCATTTAAAGGAATAAATGCTGTATATGTAGTTTTGAATAATGTTTTGCTCAATACTCATAAATAATGATATTTCACAAGTATGAGTTGGAGGAAGTATGAGTTTAATTAAAAAGAAGTGAAAAGAGAGTCTCTTGGCTACAGAGAGCATGACTTCAATGTAGCAAAATATGTCAATACTTCTTTTAAAGTTGCTGTGTTTAAAATATCCTATATTTTAGTAGTACATGATTGCAATTGCTTTATTATGGTTACAAATTATGTGAATTTGGAAATTAGGGTGTACAGAATAGGAGTGGCATTTTAGAACTTTACCATATCTGCTACCTCAGTTGAGATCTCTTAAACAGCTGGAGATACCTCTAGAAGCCGGGGGCTGGGACAACTAAGACTGGAGAAAACATTTCCAATATTAACTCTACCCACAGTCTGCTTTTCGGGGTGTGGTGGCTCAAGGACAGTCTCAACTGGGACTCTAGTACTTTGAACCTACACGGGCCCTCTCTGTGAGGCTTGGAATTCTCGCAGCATGGTGGCTAGATTCTGGGAGGGAATGTACAAGAATGAAAGCTCCAGGAAGGAGAATTATGCAAAAATGATTTTTGTGTAATTTAAAAAAATTATGCAAAATCTGCAAGACCTTTTATAATCTAGATTTAGAAGTCACATAACATCACTTGAAACTTGCAGTATTGAATGAAGAAGTCAAAAGCCCACTCAAATTCAAAGGGAAACTCATAGACCTTACTTCTTAATGAGAGGAGTGCAAAGGATTCTGAGGCCACATTTTAAAAGTCATATTTTTTATTCCATGGATTATTTACATTCTTCCCCATGAAAAATACATACTCAACCTCCCAATACCCCACATAAGATTGTATCATGTTACTGAATCAGGCCAGAACCTTGTCATGTAAATCAGGTCCAAGTGCACGTGAGACCTCTTGAGTTCAGTACCTCATGTTCTGCTCCTCTCAATCTGAAGACCTGTGAATTAAAGAAATACATTTAATTCAGGAACCAAAAGTCAAATACTGAACGTTCTCACTTATAAGAAGGAGCTAGGCTAGGCGCAGTGGCTCACGCCTGTAATCCCAGCGCTTTGGGAGGCCGAGATGGGTGGATCACTTGAGGTCAGGAGTTCAAGACCACCCTGACCAACATGGTGAAACCCTGTCTGTACTAAAAATACAAAAATTAGCCAGGCGTGATAGTGCATGCCTGTAATCCCAGCTACCTGGGAGGCTGAGGCAGGAGAACCACTTTATCCCAGGAGGTGGAGGTTGCAGTCAGTCGAGATCACACCACTGCACTCCAGCCTGGGTGACAGAGTGAGAGACTCCCTCTTAAAAAAAAAAAAAAAAAAAAAAAAAAAAAGAGGGAGCTAAACATTGAGCACACATGGCCATAAAGATGAGACCAATAGACAAAGCAGACTACCAGAGGGGGAAGGGAGGGAGGGGTGTGTGGGTTGAAGAACAACCTATTGGATACTATGCTCACTACCTGGGTGATGGGATCCGAACCCCACACCTCAGCATCATGGAATATCTCCGTGATGTTATCCATGATAACAAACCCACACATGTACTCCCTGTATCTAAAAGTTGAAATTGTTTAAAAAAAGAAACACTTTATATGCCCGCACATTCAGCCAACAGTAATTAGACAGGTATTCAATAAACTTAAATGCACCTTGGCTTATTTAAGATGAGGAAAAAATGACACATAAAATTGTTACTGGTCCAGAACATTTCTGATCCAGCTAGCATGTGTTGTCACTTCTGTGATTCAAGCTCATATTGTTGCCTGGAGTTAATTCTTCATATCTCTTGTCTTTGTCCTTTGACTTATCTTACTATCCTCCATAGGAAATAGAACATGAAGATAGATAATTATTTTTTGTTTGTGTAAATGGAAGTTCAGTGATACGAAGTCTTGTTTTATATTTCTCTACTTCTTCCCTTTTCCATTTGAGTGGTATTACTTCTCCCAGTATATTTTGTTCTCAAAAAGATTGTGGATATTTAAAAAATATCATTGAGATTTATTCAATTAGATTCAGATTGATATGGTTTGGCTATGTCCCAACCCAAATCTCATCTTGAATTCCCATGTGATTTGGGAGGGATCCAGTGGGAGGTAATTGAATCATGGGGGCAAGTCTTTCCCATGCTTTTCTTGTGATAGTGAATAAGTCTCATGAGATCTGATGGTTTTAAAAGGAGGAGTTCCCCTGAACAAGCTCTCTCTCTTTGCCTGCTGCTATCCAGGTAAGACCTGACTTGCTCTTTCTTGCCTTCTGCCATGAATGTGAGGCTTCCCTAGCCATATGGAACTGTAAGTCCAATTAAACTTCTTCCTTTTGTAAATTGCCCCTTCTTGGGCATATCTTTATCAGCAGTGTAAAAATGGACTAATACAGTCAATTGGTACCAGTAGAGTGGCGTGTTGCAGAAAAGATACCCAAAAATGTGGAAGCGACTTTGGAACTAGGTAACAGGCAGAGGATGGAACAGTTTGGGGGGCGAAGAAGAAGACAGGAAAATGTGGGAAAGTTTGGAACTTCATAGAGACTTGTTGAATGGCTTTGACAAAAATGCTGGTAGTGATATAAACAATAAGGTCCAGGTTGAGGTGGTCTCAGGTAGAGATGAGGAACTTGTTGGGAATTGGAAGAAAGGTGACTCTTGTCATGTTTTAGCAAAGAGACTGGTGGTATTTTGCCCCTGCCCTAGAGATTTGTGGAACTTTGAACTTGAGAGAGATGATTTAAGGTATCTAGTGGAATAAATTTCTAAGCAGCAAAGCATTCAAGAGGTGACTTGGTTGCTGTTATAAGGGAATCAAGTCCCTTATATAAGGGAAGCAGAGCATAGAATTTCAGAAAATTTGCAGCCTGACAATGTGATGGAAATGAAATCCCATTTTCTGAGGAAAAATTCAAGCTGGCTGCAGAAATTTGCATAAGTAATGAGGAGCCAAATATTAATCCCCAAGACAACAGAGGAAATGTCTCCAGGACATGTCAGAGGTCTTTACAGCAGCCCCTCCCATCACAGGCCCAGAGGCCTAGGAGGAAAATGTGGTTTTGTGGGTTGGGCCCGGGATCTCTGTGCTTTGTGCAGCCTAGGGACTCGGTGGCCTGCGTCCCAGCCACTCTAGCCATGGTTGTAAGGGGCCAACATAGAGCTTGGGCTGTGGCTGAAAGAGGCCTATGTAGAGCTCAGGCCATGGCTTCAGAGGGTGCAAGCCTGCAGCTTCTACATGATGTTGAGCCTGCAAGTACACAGAAGTCAAGAACTGAGGTTTTAGAACCTCTGCCTAGATTTCAGAAGATGTATGGAAATGTCTGGATGTCCAGGCAGAAGTTTGCTGCAGGGGTGGGGCTCTCATGGAGAACCTCTGCTAGGGCAGTGTTGAAAGGCAATGTGGGGTCAGAGCACCCACACAGAGTCCCTAATGGGGCACTGCCTAGTGGAACTTTGAGAAGAGAGCCACCATCCTCCAGACCTCAGAATGGTAGATCCACCAACAGCTTACACTCTGCATCTGGAAAAGCTGCAGACACTCAACGCCAGCCCATGAAAGTAGCTGGGAGGGAGGCTGTACCCTGCAAAACCACAGGGGCAGAGCTGCCCGAGACCATAGGAACCCAACTCTTGTATCAGTATGACCTAGGTATGAGACATGGAGTCAAAAGACATTATTTTGGAGCTTTAAGGTTTTACTGCCTCACTGGAGCTCAGACTTGCATGGGGGCTGTATCCCCTTTTTTTGGCCAATTTCTCCCATTTGGAATGGCTGTATTTACCCATTGCCTGTACACCCATTGTATCTAGGAAGTAACTAATCTGCTTTTGATTTTACAGGATCATAGGTGGAAGAGACTTACCTTGTCTCAGATGAGACTTTGGACTGTGGACTTTTGAATTAATGCTGAAATGAGTTAAGACTTTGAGGGACTGTTGAGAAGGCATGATTGGGAGAGGATGAGAAATTTGGGAGGGGTCAGGCTGGAATTATATGGTTTAGCTGTGTCTCTACCCCAATCTCATCTTGAATTCCCATGTGTTGTGGGAGGTACCCAGTGGGAGGTAATTGAATCATGGGGTCAAGTCTTTCCCGTGCTGTTCTTGTGAGAGTGAATAAGTCTCACGAGATCTGATGGTTTTTAAAAAGAGGAGTTCCCCTTCACAAGCTCTCTCTGTTTGCCTGCTGCCATCCAGGTAAGACGTGAGTTGCTCTTTTTTGCCTTTCGCCATTAATGTGAGGCTTTCCCAGCCACATGGAACTGTAAGTCCAATTAAACCTCTTTCTGTTGTAAATTGCCCAGTCTAAGGCATGTCTTTATCAGCAGCACGAAAACGGACTAATACATACTCACATCTTTTTGAGATAAACCCTTGTCTGTACTGGGCCCCCTATGAGTCTGTTTTGAGAGTTTTAGAAGCCCTATTGTTTAATAGAGAGGACTTGCTAAACAAGACCCTAAGACCCTTAGAAGGGCTTTTGTCTGTCTGCATGGGTCTATGAGGCACCAACTTATCTCTTTCTGAGGTCTTATTAAAGGGTTTTTAAGTCATACCCTTAGCATTATCTTCAACTCCAGTCCACATTTTCCTATTAGCACACTAGCTTTGACATTACCCTATGGTCCTTTCTTACTCTGAGAAGCCCCAGCTGGCGGGCATTACTGGCCTAAGCTCTTTATATTTCTTCCCAATTCTACTCAAAGTTAAACAATGTACTTTAAGTTAATTTGACTTTATCTCTCTGCTCCCTCATAGATATCTAGAAGAAGCCAGAAAATATATTTAACAATTCTCCTTAGCATGATTATCAAATTTATTAGTTACTTTATTTTCCCTTTACTGCAGCTTCCAGTATTATTGTCCTCATGTTCTGTTGGGCTCTGAAAAACAGCCTTCATGAGGCTTATCAGGATTCTGCTCACCAACTCCTCCATTAACCAATATTGCATATTTTTAGGTTTTTGTTCCACCAGTATTAACTCCCAGTTACCAAAATCTGTTTCAGTAATTTTTGCACCATAAAAAGAAAACTCCAAAATATAGTAATTTTAAACAATAAAAACAGATTATTATGCTCCAAGTTTCTATCCATCAGAAATCTGAATATGGTACAGAGGAGATGACTCTGTAATTTCTATGGCTTCTTCTGGGTTGAACCAAGGGCTACTGGAGTGAGACAAGATTTAAATGGCAGGGAGCTAGAATGCTGGGGATGGAGGATGTGATCTCAGATGACTCCTTCACTTATCTGTTTTCACCAAGGCTGGATAGGCTGAAGTTCAAGCTCAACTAGGCCTTCCCAGTCTACTAGTTATGCATGGCATCTCCATATGGTTTAAGCTTATGATAGCATAGTGATTGGGTTCCAAAAGGTGGATGTAGCAAGGGAGAGTTCTAAGATTTAACATCCTAGGAGAACCACATAGATGCTACCTTTAAGTAACATTTTATGATGTAGGCAGAAGTCACACAGAGTCACCTATATTTACTTTTTTGGCCAAGTATTCATATGCCTTGCTACATTCTAGGAGAAAAATTACAGATTCCACATCTCAGTGAGGAGGCTGTTAAAATTTTTGAAGTGATTTTTTAAACTATCAAAGACACTAATGTTCACTTTAGATTTAATGATCCTTTCATGATTAACATTTTTTATTGGTTCTACAATAGGTTCTTAATCATGCAATATACCAAGTACTATATTGGCTAATGAACTTGGTCTTTATCTCCAGATAACAGAACTGAGTCGTAAAAATAAATTCTGATACAAATAAATAATTATTTAAAAAGTGGTAGTTTTAGTAAAAGGATTGTATATAAAGTGATGCGGAGGCATATTGGGAAAAGTAAACATACCTGAGGAAAGTATACAAATGAAAGTGGCTTCTTGCACTGAGCCTGATTTATCCAAACAAAGAATAACAATAAACTATTTTAGGAAAGGAAAACAAGTACATGCATAAGCATAGATGCATGTTTATAAGCTCCCATAAAATAATAGAAGTTCCCAATATATGGCAGATAATATTAGGGCCAGTTCAAGAAGGATTATGATTATTATTTTTTTGTCATCTTTAGAAACTCATGTCAATCCACCGGTAATGGCAACATCGAACATCATAGGTAGGTAAGCTATTTAGCTCTGTTGTCAGTTACCTTTTGAACAGTGGAGCTGCAACTAAATGTATAAAGGGATGCAGATTACAGGATACAATTGTAGGAGACGATGAGAAAGTGAAAGAAAGAGCTGGAGTATATGAGAATCCTGAAAGAACTGCAGGCGTGTACAATTTGATGTACAGGGAAATCTGAGAAATCCAACATGTCTATCTGGCAAAGTGGGATCCTCAGGAGAAGCCCATAGATAGATCTGGGGGAATTTGTTTTCTCTGTATAGCTACTACTCTATGGATCTGCAGCCAAGCATCTGGTGTTGGGATGAGGGCTCCTGCTTTTGATCAGGGCTGGCAGTTAGGAAGAAGACAAGCTGGATGTGGAGCCGAGGAGAGTGATGACAAGCTGAGACCCACTGAGTACCTCTGTATTTGACCATTTTTCATCTGGCCTTAAAGACTTCCTGAGAGGAATGGCTGCTGCTGCCATATGCCTTCCAAACCTCATTAAGCATTTATCTTTGGCCAATTCTGATTAAAGCCCAGAGAGAAAAGGATTCTGACAAAGGCAGTTGTCAGACTAAATAATCTGACAATGGTATACTTGCCCATATATGCTTCTTAGACTTAGCAGTGTGTATCCCAAATAATATCTGCCTCAGAGTATTAGTCATTAATAGTTAGTTGATAAGATTTGAAGAGAAATAGCCAAATTGTTAAAACATTGAACTATATTTATTATTTAATATTATTGATATTTGCTTTCAAGCACAAGATTTGGCTCAGTCCCATCTTCCTTGACGTTTAATATTCCTTGCATTCTGGAAGGACACCTGGTAATGTGACTCCTGACCCAATAATAACCATGTCTCTGCAAAATATATTCTCAATTCCTAATCCATTAAGTATCTTCTTCTGCAGTTATATTTTTCCTTCATGAAATTGTTCTGGTCAGAGTTAGTTGGATCAGGTATATGTCTTGACCAAAAATGGGCCAGTCATATTCCCCCATCTAAAATATTGGAATGACGACTAAAATCAGGACGAATATCACTTAGAACTATGTAAAGCTACTATTACTGTGATCTGTTAAAACAGGGTCTGTGAGGTGCCATGGTTTTTCCCTTCTTCCAGAGAGCCAAAGAGAATCTATCCAATTTGCAACTGATAAAGAGAAATAAAGGACTGATTTTTTAAGAAATGCAAAGACTAGAGGAAATAACAGCATCAATTGTTGGTTTATTTGTATTTCTAAAACATTCTCTTGAGTTCAGTTTCTTCCCCAGCTTCCACAGAAAATGATCTTTATAAGATATTTCCCCGATTTGACTCAGCTGGCCCGATTTGGTTTCTACTATAAATATTCTAAATAATATATGTCAAAATAAGTGTCTATATATAAGTAATTTAACATATATATAACATATAAATAATATATAATATTTATTTTTATGAGTTTTTTTTAATGAGATGGGGTCTCACTCCATCACCCATGCTGGAATGCAGTGGCATGATCTTGGCTCACTGCAACCTCCGCCTCCCAAGTTCAAGTGATTCTCCTGTCTCAGCCTCCTTAGTAGCTGGGATTACAGTTGCCCACCACCATGCCTGGCTAATTTTTGTATTTTTAGTAGAGACAGGGTTTCACCATTTTGGCCAGTCTGGCTGGTCTTGAACACCTGACCTCAACTGATCTACCCGCCTCGGCCTCCCAAAGTGCTGGGATTACAGGTGTGAGCCACCATGCCCTGACGTAATCTTTTTATATTTTAAATTCTTCAAGTCAGCAATACAACATAGGCAGCAATTGGGAAGTCATTTATCAAGATCTTTCCACTGTAGTAGATAGCAAAGCAGTGTCAACTTCACAAACTACATGTCTATAACACTTTCTTGAAGACGCTAAAGACATTTTATATTTTATTATTATATTTCCAAAGAAAGACTCAAATACTTATGATTTTTTTATGATCTTGGACAATTTATTCTACATATTTGCTCCTTATCTTCCTGTCTTATGTGATCGTTACAAGAATTATGTGTGTTAATACACACAGTATACTTAGAATGTTGTACCATATACAAGTGAACT
Source organism: Homo sapiens (assembly GCF_000001405.40). NCBI lineage: Eukaryota > Metazoa > Chordata > Mammalia > Primates > Hominidae > Homo > Homo sapiens. Next base: position 25,916,997 of record NC_000011.10, on the reverse strand, counting down.
TGTTATAAGCATTAAATGTATTTATTAATTCTGGGGGCTACATCCCTCAATGTGATATGACAGTATAATTTATCTATTTTACAATAAAAATGTAACCAATTTTTCAGGTTAAGAATATTAAACAAAGGAAATATCAGTATGTGTATATATGTATATACATATGTGTAAACATACACTTTTTGAAAAAATTATGAGACAACTTATATATAAACATTGTGTTTTAGACATTATTTTGCAGAAAAGGAGACAAATTAACAGAAACTACCTTCTAAATCCCTTGTATTCAATGTTAGTTATTTCACAGCAGATGTATAATTGCCATTTATAATCACAAATGATTATAAACTTCATCTGTGATTTCAGGTCTCAGTCATGCTGGCACCAATGCCTATGAGAATAAAAGTACCCTAATGATGATTTTCTGTTGGTTCATTAAGGACAACCATTGTTTCTAAAGATTTAATCAAACACGAATGCTCTGCTGGTTATTAGTACTGTGACCAAGGAAATTACAGGCTATGAAACTATACAAGAATCAGTAGCTATTAAGAAAAAGAATAAGAAATGAAGTGAGACAGGAAGGGAAGGGGAGAGAAAAAGGAAGGAAAGATTAAAAACGTATAATCTATAGTATTTTTAAGTATTTAAATTATTTTAAAAATAATATTTCAATTACAACTCAGGTCATTTGATAACCCTTATTTTATTTCCACATTCTATCCTCCAATCAAAACCTGTAATATTTATGAAATCAATGACATGGAAAATTTGTCTGCTTCTGTGAGTTTTTCATAAACTGATATGACTGTAAATAACACAAAGTTTTGTTGAATCACTTAAACAGTTGTTTTTAATATGTATCTATTAAACCTAATTTTTCACTAGTTTTCCTAGTATCATCATTTAAGAAACATCTGATGTGTGAGCCTCTATTCTGCTGCTATGATAAAGCTTGTGCTATTATAACAAGATAATAGGTCATGACCTAGACAACCATAAATCCACTGCCTATCTCTATAGATTTGCCTATTCTGAATATATCATATAAATGGAATCATATAATATGTTGTCTTTTCCTGACTGGTCTTTTTCCCTTAGCACAAAGTTTGCAAGTTTCATCAATATGGGCCATGTATTAGTACTTTGTACTTTTAATTGTTAAAAAATATTTCATTGCAGGAATATACTACATTTTGTTTACTTTTTCATCAGTTGATTTGAATTTTGGGTTCTTTCTATTTTTTTAATATAAGTTTGCTATGAACATTTATGTATAAGTTTTATTGTGGTTATATGTTTTCTTTTCAATTCAGCATATACCCAAGGGCAGAGTTATTGGAGATACACTAACTATATGCTTAATGTTTGATGAACTGTCAAACTATTTTCCAAAGTAGTTGCACCACTTCATATTTCCATCAACTTGCCAGCATGTCAGCATACAAATGATAAATTAGGATCAAATATCTGCCCATTCTCTCCAATAATAATAATAATAATAATAATAATAATAATAATAATTGTCTTTTATAATGTAGCAGTCCTCCTGGCTATGAGGTAGTATCTCATTGTGTTTATAATTTTAATTTCCTTATTAATGATATGTTCAACATCTTTTCATATACTTAATGCTCATTTGAATATCTGATTTGAACAAATGTCTATTGAAATGTTTTTTTAATTAAAATTGAAATTAAAATTAAAAAATTAAATTTTTTTTAAATTTCTTATTTGAACTTTTAGTTTCAGTTATACATGTGCAGGCTTGTTCTATAAATAAATTGTGTGTCATGGGGGTTTGGTGTACAGATTATTTCATCACCCAGGTAAAAAGTATTCTCCCTGACTAGTTTTTTGATCCTCCCTCCCCTCCCATCCACCACCCCCAAGTAGGCCCTGGAGTCTACTGTTCCCTTCTTTTATATCCACACGTACTCAGTGTTGAGCTCTCACTTATAAATGAGAACATGTGGTGTTCGGTTTTCTGTTCCTGCATTAGTTTGCTTAGGCTAATGGCCTCCAGCTTCATCCTTGTTGCTGCAAAAGACATGATCTCATTTTTTATGGCTGCATAGTATTCCATGGCATATATATGTACCACATTTTAATTGTCCAGTCTACTGTTGATGGGTATTTAGGCTTATTCCATGTCTTTGCCATTGTGAAGAGTACTATGATGAACATACACATACATGTGTCTTTATGATAGAATAATTTATAATCCTTTGAGTATATACCCAATAATGAGATTGCTGGGTCAAATGGTAGTTCTATTTTAAGTTGCTTGAGAAATTACCAAATTGCTTTCCACATTGGCTAAACTAGTTTACAGCCTCACCAACAGTGTATAAGCATTCCCTTTTCTCCACAACCTCACCAGCATCTGTTATTTTTTGACTTTTTGATAATAGCCATTCTAACTGTTGTCAGATGGTATCTCATTGTGGTTTTAATTTGCATTTCCCCAAAGATTAATGATGTTGAGCATTCTTTCATATGTTTCTTGGCCATGTATGTATCTTCTTTTGAAACATATCCTTTGCCAACTTTTTAATGAGGTTGTTTTTGGCTTGTTAATATAAGTTTATTATAGATTCTGAATATTAGACCTTTATCAGATGCATAGATTGTAAATATTTTCTTTCATTCTGTGGGTTATATAGTTACTCAGTTGATGGTTTCTTTTGCTGTAAGCTCTTTAGTTTAATTAGATCTCATTCTTCAATTTTGTTTTTCTCACAAGTGCTTTTGACATTTTTGCCAAAAAATCTTTCTGAGGGCGTATGTCTAGAATGGTATTTCCTCAGTTTTCTTCAAGAGTTTTAATAGCTTTATGTTTTATATCTTTAATCCATCTTGAGTTGATTTTTGTGTATAGAGAAAAGGAAGCTCTCAATTCTTGTTGTAGAAATCTTAAGGAATCTCTTCAACAGAAGAGGTAAGATGGGATCAATGATGCCCACTGTCACCACTTGTATTCAAGGTAGTACTGGAAGTCCTAGTCAGAGCAGTCAGGCAAGAGAAAGAAATAAAAGACATCTAAATAGTAAGAGAGGAAGTCAAACTCTCTGTGTTTGCAAATGATATAATTTTATGTCTAGAAAACCCCATTGTCTCTGCCCAAAAGCTCTTAGATCTGTTAAGCAACTTCAGCAAACTTTCTGGATACAAAATCAGTGTACAAAAATCAGTAGAATTTCTGTACACCAATAACATCCAAGCTGAGTGCCAAATCAAAAATGTAATCCAATTCACAATACACACACACACCTAGGAATATAGCTAACTAGGGAGATGAAAGATCCCTGCAACAAGAATTTAGACAAAACACTGCTGAAAGAAATCAGAGTTGACAGAAACAATGGAAAAACATTCCATGCTCATGGATAGGAGGAATCAATATTGTTAACATGGATGTACTGCCCAAAGCAATTTAAAGATTCAATGCTATTCCTATCAAACTACCAACATCACTTTTCATTGTATTAGAAATCTATTCTAAAATGGATATGAAAACAAAAAAGGACCCAAACAGCCAAAGCAATCCTCAGCAAAAGGAACACATCTAGTGGCATCATATTACCCAAACTTCAAAGTATACTACAAGGGTACAGTGACCTGAATGGCATGATACTGGTATGAAAGTAGATACATAGACCAGTGGACCTAAGGTGTCCAGAAACAAAGCAGCACACCTGCAACCATTGGTTCTTTGACAAAGTAGACAAAAAGATACACTGGGGAAAGGACACTCTATTCAATAAATGGTAGTGAAATAACTGGCTACCCTTATGCTGGAGATTAATTTTTTTTATTTCAATAGCTTTAGGGGTACAACTGGTTTTTGGTTATTACATGGATGAATTGTATATAGTGGTGAATTCTGAGATTTTACTGTACCCATTACCTGAATAATGTACATTTTACCCAATAGATAATTTGTCATCCCTCACCCTCTTCCATCCTTCCCACTTTTGAGTCTCCAGTGTCCATTAAACCACTCTGTATGACTTTGTGTACACATAGCTTAGCTCCTACTTAGAAGTGAGAACATGTGGTATTTGGATTTCTATTCCTGAGTTACTTCACTTAGGATAATGGCCTCCAGTTCCACTGAGTTACTGCAAAATATAGTATTTCATTATTTTTTGTGACTGAGTAGTATTCCATAGTATGGATACACACACACGCATACACACACACACACAAACACACACCCATACACAATATTTTCTTTATCCACACATCAACTGATGTACACCTAAGATTGATTCCATATTTTGCAATTGTGAATTGTGCTGCAAAAAAGATACACATGTTGGTGCCTTTTTAATATAAGAACTTATTAGGTGCATAGATATTTATGATTGTTGTCATAATAAATTGACACTTTGCCATCATAAAATTTTCTCCTTTACCTCATTACAATATTGTTTTGATATTTCATCTGATATTAATATGGTCACTGTGACTTTTTAAAATTAGTGTTTTTTTAGTATTCTTTATACATCTATGTATTTAGTTATTTTCACACACTGTTTTCCCATTTAAAGATTGCCTCTTGTAAGAAGTTTAGAGTTGAGTCCTATTTTCATTTTGCTTTCTTTTGTTCTGTCTGATTTAGTCTTAGTCTGACAGTATTGCCTTAAGTTGTGTTATTATTAACTTTATATTTAATGTGATATTTTGGGGTTTGGGGGTAATATTTTATACGTATTTTATTGCCTTCTGGTTTTGTTTTTTTTCTATATTTATTTTGTGTTATTTGTCAATTTTCAAAGTTTAATTTTAATTTTGTCATTGCCTTTAGCTAAATGTATTTTCATGTTTTTCATTGATTGCTCTGAGAGCAATTATATATGCCCTTAACGCTTTACATTTAGTTATAATTAATTTTTTATTACTTTATATAGAAGGCAGAAACATTACCATTATTTGCCTACCACTCATCCTTTAAATGTTTGGTGTTGTAGGCATTAAATTTATCTGTTTTAATTTCCAAAACATAATGTTATAATTATCTTGACTTAAATATATATGTATATATAATAAATTAGGAGGAATAAATAAGCATATATTATATTTAATCTTAGAGTTTTAGTTCCAGTGTTCTTTACTCATTTTTTGACTTTCCATTAGATATTCTTTTTAGCTTGAAGAACATTTTGAAAGTGTTTCTGTAGCAAGTCTGTACAAACAACATGAAAACAACTCTATTCCATAACAAAAGTTCCTTGAAGGTACTAACTACTAAAACTGATTCAAGAAAAAATAAATAATTAAATAGTTTTTAGATCTATTGAAATTTGTTACTTTATACTTAAAACCCCAGGCAAAGATACTTTCATTGGTAAATTATATACAATATTTATGGAATACAATCAGCTCTTCATAATTTTTTCCAGAAATTAGAAGATGAGAGCAAATGTCTCAAGTGATTTTGTATGGTCAACATTAACCTAATACTCAAATCAGACAAAGGCATTAAATGAAACATTACTGCAGACTCATATTCTTCATTAACAGAGATACAAATATTTTCAAAGTACTAGTAAATCTAATCCAATAATTTTTTATATGTAAAATTGATAGTATAACCTAAGCAGTGGAGTTTACGTCAGGAATTCAAGGCCAGTTCAACATTCAAAAACCAATCAATGCAACTCACTTTATTAAGAGACTAAAAAAAAAAGAATCATGATTATTACAGAAAAGCATTCATCTAAAGTTAACATCCATTCCTAATAAAAATTCTTTGCAAACCAAGAATAGAGGCAAACTTCTTAACCTGATGGAGGGCACCTACAAAATCCCTATAACATTCACAGTGTAAAACACTGAGTTTTCCCTCCAAAATCAGGGAAAACGGTAGGGTGTACTCTTTTGTCACTCTACTTTGACTTTGTATTGAGACCCTAAATAGTGTTATAAGACAAGAAAGAAATAAAATGTTTTACAGGTTGAAAAAAGGTAAAACTGTCCTTGTTCACAGTGTTGTCATTGTCAAGACAGAAAACTCAAAGGAATTTACAAAAAATTCCTAGAACTAAAAACGAATTTAGTGAATTCATAGGATATGACATTACCATTTCCAATTCAGTTGTGTTTCTGCATAATGCCAAAGAGCAATTGAAATTTAAAATTAAAAAAATATATTAGTGGCACTTCACCAGTCTTAGTAAAAACTTTCTCATGCTAAGAAAGACCATTAGATATTTTGACATTATTTAAAAATTGAAGCTTCTGAATACAAATTATTTAATTAGATTTATCTTTCTACAATTCCTAGACCCAATATACTTGATAGACCTTTAATATGCACTTTGCTGTGCAGCCTCTTTGCTTGTGAGCATCTAAGGCCTGAGTATTTTTGTAAAGCCTGGATGACCATGTGCTATGGATGGCAGAATAATTTAGCATTTAAGTAAGGGAAGACTACTTAATATATAAGATACTCCTCTGTCATGAAATTTTTCAGTTCAAAGAGTTGCTGAAATTCATGACCCTGGATTTTAAGGGCTATGATTTTTCTTTTGTCTCTTTACATTAAGATGATCATTTTTTTTTCCGTGATGATTGTTATTAGTTTACTAAAGAGTATTTAACCTCTCTATATGTAACTAAGCTCTTGCCTAGACTGATGAATACTAGTGATTAACTGATCTTCAAATGAGCAAACATGAAGGGTGTTAATGTTATGGGGAAGTATGACTGTATCTAAATTGCTTTTGGCATTTATCCCAGAAACCAAGAGATTTACATAAGGTATAGTTTAAAGCCTTATAACACTGTTGATCTGAGCTTTTTTGAAGGCATGATGTTCTACTAAAAGTGTGAGACTGTTTAATTTTATTTTCTACATTATTTTGCTACCATACACATAAGGAAAATTTGCAATCACAGAAGAAATAAACGTTAAAAGTCATTTAATTAATCTTAATATTCTCATGTGAAAATCATGTTCTTGTAGGTGGTAATGAAATGATGCCTGGAAATTGCCTATTGGAGGTGTGCCTTCTCTAAATTTAGGTTCCTGAATCTAATAATAAAGTGCATTCTAAAACTACAGAAGCAGATTCTCCTGGATATGCATATATAAAACCCTTCAAGTATAGTGTTTGGATAAAAGCCCTATGGTCTTTCAGGGGTGTCACAGACAAAATTCCAACATTTCAAATTTGGGGAAAAGTGATTAATCTGAATGATCTCCAAGGGAGCTCCAAGAGTGAAAAATTTCTAATCCACAAATTGTTTACATTTTAATGTTTCTTTTTTGAAAATATATTCTAAACTGATGGGCCTGGAGATTATTTCTTCCTTTAGGTGATTTTTAAATTTATTTATATTACTTTGCTTTGTAAGAATATTGTCATCAGTTCACTAGTAAGTATTCATTAATTGGCTTTTATGTGTAAAATAATCTTACCTAGATTTATAATGATTACCACTGATTAACAATTACCAAAGTTGTGAGATCTACTCTCTGGAAGCAAAGTTGTTTGGGACTTTTCCCAGACCAAAGAGTTTATATATGACAACGTTTAAAGTCGGTTATATTCCTTTGGTTTGCACATTTTGAGACCTAAAAAAATTTACAACCTCCTGCAAGTGAACTTTGTCAGCTTTTAATAGTTGTGTTTATTTGCATGTGTGTTTTACCTTGCAATTAAACACAAGAGGACATTTTTCATTTTATAATAATGAAATAAGTTTCTATATGGGTCAAGTACCATTCTAGGTACTTGGGATACATTAAAAGATAAATCAACATTCTAATAAATTTCCAATCTGAAAGTCGCCTAATCATTTGTCTATCTCTCTCAAAATAATCTGCCAAAATTAAACTTTTTGTTGGTTTAGCAAGTATTTTTATCCAGCTGTTTTTGATATCTTACATAAAAAATAATCTCTTATTTACAAAGACAACTGAGCATCGTTTGAGGGCACTATCTCAATTTAGTAGCTAATGTATAATTAGCTGACAATTGATATAGATTGCACAGAGAAAACTCTGGGAAAACAGACCTTGGTACTGCCAGTTGTGTTCTATGATGGTCATTTTTGTCTGTGTATGTTCAAGTTACCTCATTTAAAGCAGATGAAAATATGTTTTAAAGCAAAATAGAGCAACAAACTCTCAAGAGCTAAAGAATGGACTCTCTGAACTTAGAGTTCATTCCTATCTTGAATATGCATGGATGTGTGTTTTTGTTTTGAGCTTAAACGAGCTTTGCTAATGGAGTTGCTGCAAACCTTATTTTGTTTAAGTCAGTTTGGAAGAATTTTGGGAAAGCTTTTCAAACTTCTTACCCTATTAACCCAGGAAATTAAATTTTAGTTCATTGCTCTTCAAACCCAAACCTGTGTGTGCATGTGTGTATGTGCGTGTGAGTGTGGTGTGTGTATAGGTCTTTTATAAAATATTGAAGACAAATTATAATCCAGTAACATAATCTAAAATAAAAGGAAAGCTTACGACTTCTCAAAGAGTTACATAAACGTTTAAAATGAATCCCATAAAAAATTCTCCCTTCAGTGTCCCGTTTTTATTAAGCTTTTGGATTTATTCTAACTGATCTTCCTATTGTAGGTAAAGGAGTTTGGGATATACTGGCGTATTTTTTTGAAAATTTTAAAGGAAAGGCAGCCCCAAAATATTGAACAAGTTGAGAATTTTAAAAATTAAATTCATAGAGTTATAATTTTAAGTACTAATTGAGAGGAAAATGTATTTAAAAAGCTTTGCACAAATTATGATATGTAAATATATGGTACAGTCATTGGAAGTTAAAAGACAAGGTTTCTATTTGCTTCTGATACTAGCTCAAGGTGTGAGCTTGAGGAAATGATTTAGGGCCCCTGGTTTTATTGTCAATATTTTTCTAATTTCAAAATATTACTAACAAGCTGTTATAATAACCCCCAAAATGAACATATTATTTCTCTCTCTTTTTGCACACAATTTTAAAATCAGTTTCCAGTACAGGATCTAAGTTTGCAAAAAAAAAAAAAATTAGAATGAAAAGTAGTAACTGTTTGATCTAATAGAAACCCAGATTAAATAATATTAGTGATATTTTATTGAGTACTTATTAAGACTAGTCATTTAAAATATATCCCTTTCAATCTTCCATGCAGTAGGCATTGTTGGTCTTAATCACAGACACAAAAACTAGGGTCTTTGTGTAGATATTTTGAGAATGTTCAAGGCATAAAATTGTATAGGAAAATGACACAAAAGGAATAAAGAGGCAAAAGAAGAAGTTTCCTCTATGGATTACAGAAATGGCAATGAACAAATGAACAAACAAGAACATTTTCAAAACAGTCATTTTGTCCTATGAATAGTACAATTTTTTTAAAAAAATTTATTTTAAGTCCAGGGATACAAGTGTAGGTTTGTTTCATAGGTAAACTTGTGTCATGGGGGTTTGTTGTACAGATTATTTCATCACCCAGGTATTAAGCCTAGGCCCATTAGTTGTTTTTCCTGATCCTCTCCCTCCTCCAACCCTCCAGCCTCTGAAAGGGGCCAGTGTGTGTTGTTACCCTCTATGTGTCCATATGTTCTCATTATTTAGCTCCTATTTATAATTGAGAGCATGTGGTATTTGGCTTTCTGTTCCTGTGTTAGTTTGCTAAGGATAAAGGCCTCTCTTTATCCCTCATGGATAAAGACCATGTCCCTGAAAAGGACAAGGTCTCATTCTCGTTTACGGGTGCATAGTATTCCATGGTGTATATGTACCACATCTTCTTCATCCAGTCAATGATTGATGGGCATGTAAGTTGGTTCCATGTCATTGCTATTGTGAGTAGTGCTGCAATGAACATACACGTGCATGTGTCTTCCACAATGGCTGAACTAATTTATACTCCCACCAAGAGTGTATTAACGTTCCCTTTTTCCACAACCTCACCAGCATCTGTTATTTTTTGACTTTTTAGTAATAGCCATTCTGACTGGTGTGAGATGATATCTCATTGTGGTTTGGATTTGCCTATTATAATGATCAGTGATGTTGAGCTTTTTTTCATATGATTCTTGGCCACATGTATGCCTTCTTTTGAGAAGTGTCTGTTTATGTCCTTCGCCCACTTTTTAATGGCCTTATTTTTTTATTGTAAGTGTTTTTGAGTTCTTTATAGATGTTGGATATTAGACCATTGTCAACTGCATAATTTGCAAACATTTTCTTCTTTTCTGTAGGCTCTCTGTTTACAAATAGTTTTGAGGTAGTTTCTTTTTCTGTGCAGAAGTTCTTTAAGCTCTTTAGCTTAATTAGCTACCATTTGTCAATTTTTGCTTTTGTTGCAATTGCCTTTGGCATCTTCTTCATAAAATCTTTGCCCATGCCTATGTCCTAAATGCTGTTGCCTAGAGTCTTCTAGGGTTTTTATAGTTTTGGATTTTACATGTAAGTCTTTAAACCATCTTGAGTTAATTTTTGTATATGATGTATGGAAGGGGGTCCAGTTTCAGCCTTCTGCCTATGGCTAGCCACTTATCCCAGCACCACTTATTGAATAGGGAATCCTTTCCCTGTTGCTTGTTTTTTTTTTCAGGTTTGTAAAAGATCAGATAGTTTTAGATGTGTGGTCTTTTTCTGGGTTCTCTGTTCTGTTCCATTGCTCTATGTATCTGTTCTTGTACCACTACCATGCTGTTTTGGTTGCTATAGCCCTGTAGTATTGTTTGAAGCCAGGTAGCACAATGCCTCCAGCTTTGTTAATTTTGCTTAGTATTGCCTTGGGTATTCAGGCTCTTTTTGGGTTTCAGATTAATTTTAAAATAGTTTTTCTAGTTCTGTAAAAAATGTCAGTGGTAGTTTAATGAGAGCATCATTGAATCTATAAATTGTTTTGGGCAGTGTGGTCATTTTAATGATACTGATTCTTCCTATCTGTGAACATGGAATGTTTTTCCATTTGTTTGTGTCATCTCTGATTTCTTTCAGCAGTGGTTTATAGTTCCTTGTAGAGATCTTTCCCCTCCCTACTTATCTGTATTTCTATGTATTTTATTTTATTTTTATTTTTGGCAATTGTGAATGGGAGTTTATTCCTGATTTGGCTCCTGGCTTGACTGCTGTTGGTATATGAAATGTTAATAATTTTTGCACATTTATTTTGTATGCTGAGAGTTGGCTGAAGTTGTTTATCAGCTTAAGAAGCTTTTGGGCTGACTATGGGATTGTCTAGGTATAGGATCATGTCATCTGCAAACAGGGATAGTTTGACTTTCTTGCTTCCTACCCGAATGCCCTGTAAAGCAAGTTCTTGGAGACTTTCAAAGTGATCTAGAGTCCCACACAATAACAGTGGGAGACTTTAACACCCCACTAATAATATTAGATCATCGAGACAGAAAATTAACAAAAATATTCAGGAACTGAACTCAGCACTGGATCAAATGGAACTCATGGATATCTACAGAACTGTTCACTCAAAAACAACAAAATACACATTCTTCTCATAGGAACATGGCACTTACTCTAAAATTAATCACATAATTGGAAGTAAAACACACCTCAGCAAATGCAAAATAACTGAAATCATAACAAACAGCCTCTTAGCAGCACAATCAAATTCGAAATCAAGACTAAGAAATCATCTCAAAACCATACAGTTACATGGAAATTGAATAAACTGTTCCTGAATGACTTTTAGGTAAATAATGAAATTAAGGCAGAAATCAAGAAGATATTTGAAACTAATGAGAGCAAAGATGCAATATACCAGAATCTCTGGGACACAGCTAAGGCAGTACTAAAGGAAAAATTATAGCACTGAATGCCCAAATCAAAAAGTAGAAAGATGTAAGTTAGCAACCGTACATCACAACTAAAACAACTAGAGAACCAAGATCAAACAAATCCCAAAGCTATCAAAAGTCAAGAAATAACCAAAATCAGAGCAGAACTGAAGGAGATAGACACACACACACACACACACACACACACACACACACACACACACACACAAATTCAAAATATCAATGACTCCAGGAGCTGGCTTTTTGAAAAAAAAATAATAAAATAGACTGCTAGCTAGACTAATAAGAGAAGAAGATTCATATAAACACAATCAGAAACAATAAGATATCATCACTAATCCCACAGAAATACCAACAACCATCAGAGAATATTATGAACACCTCTATGCACATAAACTAGAAAATCTAGAAGAAATGGATACATTCCTGGATATATACACCCTTCCAAGACTGAACCAGGAAGAAATTCAATCCCTGAACAGACCAATAACGAGTTCAAAAATTGAGGCCATAATAAATAGCCTACCAACCAAAAAAAAAAAAAAAAGAAAGAGCCAAGGACCACAGGACAAGATGGATTTACAGCTGAATTCTACCAGATGTACAGAGAGGAGCTGATACATTTCCTACTAAAATTATTCCAAGAAATTGAGGAGGAGGAACTCCTTCCTAACTAATTATATGGAGCCAGCATCACCTTGATACCAAACCTGGCAGAGATACAACTAAAATAGAAAACTTCAGACTAATATTCTTGATGAACATCAATACAAAAATTGTCAACAAAATACTGGCAAACTGTATCCAGAAGCACATCAAAAAGCTTATCCACCATATTCAAGTAAGCTTCATCCCTGGGATGCAAGGTGAATTAAACATATGCAACTCAATAAATATGATTCATCTAACTAAAGACAAAAACCACATGATTATCTCAATAGATGCAGAAAAGGCTTTCTGTAAAATTCAACATTCCTTCATGTCATACAGTCTCAATAAACTAGGTATTGAAGGAATATACCTGAAAAATTAAGAGGCACATACGGCAAACCCACAGCCAACATTATACGGAATGGGTAAAAGTGGGAAGCATTCCCCTTGAAAACCAGCACAAGACAAGGATGCCCTGCAAGGATGCCCTGTCTCACCACTCCTATTCAACATAGTATTGGAAGCTCTGGCCAGGGAAATCAGGCAAGAATAATACTGTTTAGACCAGACAGATCACTGTTCCCAGAGCTCTTATTAATGTATGTTACCATTTTCATTCTAAGGGGACAGCTTAAAATAAAGTGACAACACTAAGCTCTTACCTAATGCACTTTAAACCAAATCTGGTATGTAATGCCATTTAGCTTCTCAGGCAGTTTTCAATTCCTAGTCCATATTTCTCCTTGCCATGATCAGTTATATAGTCTCCAAGATTGAGACTTTCCCTACCACTCATCTCTTATTCTGAACCCTCATAGGAATTGCCCTGGATGGTCTGTTCTTAGCAATCTAAGCTTTTCTAGCACGCACTTCAAAATTGTTCCAGTCTCTACCCATTATCCAGTTCCAAAGCCTTTTCCACATCTTGATGTACTTGTTATAACAACACTGCACTCTTCAGTACCAATTTCTCCTTTAGTCCATTTTTTCTACTATAACAGAATACCACAGACTGGGTAATGTATAAGCCACATAAATTTATTCCTTACAATCCTGGAGGCTGAGAAGTCCAAGATCAAGGTACCGGCAGGTTGTGTGCCTGGTGAGGGCCTTTTCGCTGTGTTACATGGTAGATGATCAGAAGACCTCCAATCCAATTCTTTAAACCCCTTTAGAAAGATGTAAGGCTTTCTAAAGATGAGGCTGTGCCCTCATGATTTAATCATCTCTTAAAGTCTCCACCTCTTAATTCTATCACATTGGTGATAAAGTTTCAATACATGAATTTTGGGGAAAACATTTAGACCACAGCAGCCATCTAACATGGATGAAGTTTGAGGACATTATGCCGCATAAAATAAGCCAGACACTGAAGGGCAAACAGACACTGAAAGGCAAACACTAAATGATGTCCCTTACATGAGGTATCTAAAGTAAACAAACTCATAGAAGTAAAAAGTAGAATGATGGCTGCCAGGGCTGGGAGGACGAAGCAATGGGGAGTTGCTGCTCAATCTGTATGAAGTTTCAGTTATGCAAAATGAGAAAGTTCTAGAGTTCTACGGAACAACACTGTTTATAGTTATAAATACTGTATTATACGCTAAAACATTTAAGAGTATAAATTTCATCTTATATGTATTTTATCACACACACACAGAAGGACATTAAAGAAAAAGAGAATTACAAAGAAGGAAACTGAGTCCATGTAGAGGATCAGATTGTCAAATCAGATTCACATAAACCAGAGATATTACCCAGTTTCAAGCTTTACTAAGGCATCATGGATACAGGCTCAGACAAGTCAGAGTGAGATCTGGGACTCATGGGGTGCTTCCCAGGTTCTTCTTTCACTCATGACACACACACCTCTCGTGTAGAGTACTAGTTCTAAGTGAGGTTTGCTGAGCGACATTACATAGCAATGAACCCTCAAACTATGAAACATCTCCATTATATGTTACCCTAAGGGAGTTATGTATCTTACAAGATATTTTCCTGAGAGTAATGCTTCATAGATTCAGGCTTATTAACTTTACGTAATCCTTAACCAAAGTCTATTTACTTTGGTATTCAGTTGAAGAGGAGAACAGAGAAGATTTTATATATATATATATGTATACACACACACACCCACACACATATCCATATAAGTATATACATATATACATATATGTCTATATGCATACATATATGTGTGTATGCATATATGTACATGTATATATACATATATGTACATGTATATATACATACACGTACATGTATATATGTATATATGTATATGTATATACACGTATATGTATATGTATATGTATGTATATGTATATATGTATATGCATATATGTATATATGTATATGCATATATGTATATATGTATATGCATATATGTATATATGTATATGCATATATGTATATGTATATACATATGTATATGCATGCTATGTATATACATATGTATATGCATGCATATGTATATACATATGTATATGCATGCATATGTATATACATATGTATATGCATGCATATGTACATACATATGTATATGCATGTATATGTATATACATATATATGTACATACATATGTATATGAATGTATATGTATATACATATATATGTACATACATATGTATATGAATGTATATGTATATACATATATATGTACATACATATGTATATGAATGTATATGTATATACATATATATGTACATACATGTATAGGTATACATACATATACATGTATGTATATGTATGTATATGTATACATGTACATGTATACATATATACGTATATGTATATACATACATATACGTATATATGTGTATATGTATATACATATGTATACGTATATATGTGTATATGTATATACGTATACGTATGTATATGTGTATATGTATATACGTATACGTATATATGTGTATATGTATATACATACGTATACGTATATATGTGTATATGTATATACGTATACGTATGTATATGTGTATATATACGTATATATACATGTACGTATATATATAAACATATACATATATATGTGTACGTGTATATATATATATAATATACATATATATGTATACGTATATATATTTTACTTTCTCCCCTAGAAGTCTATCTAATCTACCCTTTGGTAAAGGGAGTAAATATACCTTGAGTCAACTGTATTAACTACTTTATTTCAAGAGAATTCTCTATCAAGAGTATGAAAAAAGATAAAAGCAAGTAAAATATATATGTACTTAGCTGAGTGAGTAATATCATATGCTTGTCAGGTATTTTTGAATGTTGCCCTCAGGGGAAAAATATACATACACACACACACTCACAAACACACACACACACACACAATGGGTAGTTTGGCTGGTATGTGGTCATAGATTGCAGAACAAATTTTTTTGCAAGTTTTTTATGTCATGCTACGGCAGTGCTTTTACAGGAATGTTAGTAACAAATTCCATTTCTTGACTAAGAATTGTTGGAGATTCTTCAATTCTAACATTCTCCCATAACACTAACAATTGAGTAGGCAATGAGTACATAGACAGTTTTTTGAAGACGAGAATGACGTCACCCAAACTATGCTTTAGGAATCCTTTGGCCATATTTAGAACAGTCTAGAGGGGGAGAAATAAGAAAGAGGATGGCCATTTAGAATATCAGGTGTATAGTTAAGGCATAGATTATATTGACCTGAAGTAGAACAGCTATAACGGAAATAGTAGTGCACTGGTATTATATGGTTTGATAATTGAATTAGTGCAAGAATAAAAGATAAAACAAGAATAGTCAATAAAACAAAATATTTAATTTTTTAAATGCTTGAGTTGTTTTCTTGATTCTAAGCTTTACTAGGTATGTGACCATTGATATGGTTTGGCTGTGTCCCCATCCAAATCTCATCTTGAACTGTAGCTCCCATAATCCTCCTGTGTCTTGGGAGGGACCCAGTAGGAGTTAAATGAATAATAGGGGCGGTTTTTTTCTCATGGTGTTCTTGTGATAGTGAATAAGTCCCACAAGACCTGATAGTTTTATAAAAGGCACTTCCCCTGCATACACTCTCTTGCCTGCCACCATGTAAGAAGTGCCTTTGCTTTTTCTTCACCTTTTGCCATGATCGTGAGGCCTTCCCAGCCATGTGGAACTGTGAGTCCATTAAACTTCTTTTCTTTATAAATTACTCAGACTTGGGTATATCTTTATTGGTAGCATGGAAATGAACTAACACTACTATAAATAAGTTATATGCTTTGTTAGACTTCATTTCCTCATCCATAATAAAGAGATGAGATTCTAGGTTTATTATGAAGTTTAAATGCATCACAAGTAAGTCCTAGTAAATGCTTGTGCATGGGTATGTGTGTGTGCTGTGCTATATTATGTAACTATCAATATTTCAATGGGATTACTAATTGCAGGACAGTGCACTTCCCTTTCCCACTAGTAGTTCTCAAGAATAACTATAAAATGTGTTAAGAATGAAATATCCTGAGCTAGGGATAGAGTGTCAGAAACAGCCCAGATCATCCCCCTATCCCTCCTAGAGGATATAACATCTTAGGTTAGAAAATAACTGCTCTGATCAATGCAGGCTTTGTTTCTCTCTGGCGTGAAGCAGGACGTCCTTTGAAGCTTTAGCCCATTGATTCACATGGCCTGTAAGGTTTATAACCAGGTTGAGCTGCTTTACAGAGTCCCTCCAGCTTTGGTGCAATAGGGCTACACACAGCTGAGACTTCTGCCTCAGGCAGCTTTCTTGAGCCCTGAGGGACCAGTTCACAGTGGACCCTAGGTTTTTTTTTTGGTCTCTGCTGTCTGTGTATAAATAATAAGTACACCCAATGTAATTTATTGCCTATGAGTAGTTCTGTCTCACCAGACTATGACGTGGGTAACCAATGCACAGTTAACCTGCTTTACACTAATCATATTTATTTTAAAAATGTGATTAGTTCCAGAATCCTGAGTTTCTGCACAATGCAAAAACAACCGTAAAACAGTGGATCATGAGAGGAAGTCTGCAACTCTTGAAATTCCATGCATTGTACATTCTGTTTCAAATCACAAATACTGAGATTTAGATTTTCAGGCTGTTGATAAGCTAGATTACGCTTGTTAACTTATTAGCACATAATTCTTGGCATTTAAGTATATACTTTGTGCTTACCAAAGCATTCTGGCAAATTGAGACCTCGATTCTTCAATACTTGGCTTATTGAAGATGAAAATAGCTAATCACAGATGAAGATCTAAAAGTGCAGACGCATTCAAAATAACATTGGACATTGCATGTACCAAAAAATGGCACTTGAAATTATTTTGCCCATTAACATGTCCTTGTATTAAGAAAATTGGTCTTTACAGAGGCCATGGATATTTTATTAATCAGCAGCCCTGTGGGAGATCCAATTATGTGAGTTAATAATAAATAACCGTGGTGTATAAATGAATGTGACATTAATGTTCACATGAGCACTACTGAGAATATAATATCTTCAAAATATGATTTTTACTGAGAGAGCCCTGCCTTCTTGGTAAAAATGCTATCCTACATGGGTAGCAAAGCACAATCGACATCAACAAGGTTGCTGATGTTCCCTAGTCTTCAGTTTCTGCATTCAGTGTCACAGGCATAATTTAAATATAATCTTAAACCTTTATTCATACTACTGCATAAATTACTGATAATAACTCCATATTCCTCTTGTTAGTTTACAATTGTGATTATATAATAGTTGATTTTGAGGATGAAGAGTGGATAAAGACACAGATGAAACAGGAATGGCATGAGGCTGATAACTATTGAAGGTGATGGATATTGTACTGACTTTGATATATAGTGATTATATATATACTGCATGTGTGTGTGTGTGTGTGTGTATGTGTGTGTGTATTCCTCACAGACAGCAAGAGGGTGTCTTGAGAGAGGAAACCTTTTATAAGTCATACAGTAACACAATATTGGAGAATGGTGGTTCTTAACTATGCTTAGATAGTGAAATACATTATCCATTTTGTCTTTATAGCAGTGCTTTATAAAGGAATATTATCTTCATTTCATAGACACAGAAATTGAGAGTTACACAGATTGAAATGTGTCCAAGATCACAAGCTAGTCACTGACAAGTCAAGTAAGTAGTATTCATTCTACCTCCTTCTAGGGCCAATACTTTTTTTTTAACTTTTTTCCCAGAAATTTTATATATACACAGTCAATACAATATCCATCACCTTCAGTAGTTATCAACCTCATGACATTCTTCTTTCATCTGTATCTTTATTCCATTCCTCATCTTCAAAATCAACTATTTTATAATCACACTGTTTTACGGTTGTTTTTGCATTGTGCAGAAACTCAGGATTCTGGAACTAATCACATTTTTAAAATAAATATGATTAGTGTAAAGCAGGTTAACTGTGCATTGGTTACCCACGTCATAGTCTGGTGAGACAGAACTACTCATAGGCAATAAATTACATTGGGTGTACTTATTATTTATACACAGGCAGCAGAGACCAAAAAAAAAGCACTTTTTTAACAAGCCAAGTGTCACTGTTCTTACCCTTATTTGTTGAGTTTTGTAATAAAAGGCAAAGCCAAAGTGGAAAAGGGTAAATATCACAACAGTCTTCAAGGAGTGCAAGTGTTGTTTGGTCACTGTGGGCACCAGAATGCTGACACATGGGTGGACAGCAATTTAGATCTCTATATCTTTCAAATACAGAAGACATTGTTTAACATTATGTTACTTAAAATTACTGTGTAAGGATAACTGAATCACACTGTAAAACTACAGGCAGTGCAAACACTTATTTTATGTATGCTCCTCAGGAAGGAGTTGGAACAACTTGCCTTCTCACTCGTCAATTGCTGAAACTGATATGAGACTATGGGCAAAGGCAAATAGCTAAGAAATGTTATCGTGGTTTCTTTCTTCTAAAACTTGTCCTAATTCCCGGCTACCCGTTAATCTTCTGATTCTTATTTCACTTTTCTTTGAAGTGGCTATTTTATGTATTGGAGCTTTAACTCACGATGAATACATGTTAATCTCTTTGTTTACAAGAGCTCATCAGGTATGTATATTGTTTTACTTATTTTGGGTCATATCAGAGGGTGTACAGCTTTATGTGGAGCTGAAATTTAGGCGTTCTCTCCAAAAATTCCTACAGAAGCGGTCTGGAGTGCCTTTTCTGAAATTCCTCAGAGTTAGAGTCATAAAAATGAAAAACTTTGAGCAGGAATTTATCAGGACCTTAAACTGTGCAGAAATAATTTATTCTGTTACTTTATATAAGTGCAATTCCTCTTGCTGCAACAGCCAATGATTCAGTTACATGATACTTTCTTGTACACTCATGTGCAGAATAGTAACTGTAACTTAAAATGATGTTATTGGTTGTTACACTTTCTCCAATTTGTTTTAAAACATTTTTGTATAAGGAGTGTAATATATACATGTATGTTACTTCCAGTCTGCTCTTTGGGCAGCGAGTTAATATTTGAAGCTACCTAACGAGTTACACTTTCTCCAGGATGGCATAGTAAAAGGGCTTTGAATAGAAATACGTGGTCATTACTTTACTACTTTTAACTGCTCAGTGATGTTAGAAGTAAGTTTTCCTCAGGGAAGTATCTGATAATCAAGGTTTGTGGACTGTTTCCTTTGTTTTAATAAATATCTGGAGGCCTTAGCAGACGGTAGCCTCTAATACACAATTATATACTAGTATATTAATACATACTTATATATTAGTATATTACATGTGGATATACACTTATATGACTTGTTAATACTCTTAATTGGTGGACAGTTAACCCCAGTGATATGCTAGTCAGCTAGAATTTAATATAGCCAAGCCTAGTCTAGGAACAAACATTAAAATCAGAGGGCAATTTCCTTATTAGACAATATTAAATAAAAGTAAATTCCTTCTTTTCTCTGAATACATTGAATAAAAATCTTCATTTCCCCTTGACATTTCCTCAGTTTAAAATATTAGAAATAGCACTATTCTCTGCTTGATATTTGCCAATCTAAAATATCTATTTACTGCAAATAACACAGTAAACAGAACCAAAACTTTCACAAATCTCTATTTGGAATCTATTAAGTCTCTAGTTTTGAATGATGCTACAAAGTTTAACAAGATTTCAAAACAAACAAACAAACAAAAAAACAGGGCATAGTCTCTGTTGATTAACACCATAATAAATACAGTAAATATATATAATGAAGGTCAAGGTGGTTCAGCTTACTAGGGAGTGATTTGGAGCCAGAAACTAGTCATTTATACTCTTAACTTTAAACATTTTTTTTGTGATATAATCAGATGATAGAGATAATATCAGGAAAGAAACATAAGGTTTCCAATGTTCTTATATTGGAAGGCTCTTGTGAATAAATTTAGTATTTTGGCTTTTATTTTTTAGGAAATGATATATGATTATCTAAGAATATAAATACAAATCTAATCAATATAATCATTAAAGACAAATGAACAGCAATATTTTGGTATATTCAAGTATTGCCTTCTGATATCTTCATGAAACAAAGAAAATTGTGTTAGATTTTTGTATGTGTTATGCACACGCATACACTTAGTATTCACTAACATATTGAAAGAAGGAAAAACACATCAATGTGTGTATACATGCACTTATACACACAAGCATCTGTATCTATATATATGTGTATATGTGTATTATACCTATTTACTTGTATGTACAAATATATAGAGAGTCATGAATCTTCCCTGTCACTTGTTCTAAAAGTCACCAAATTGTCACATATATGTTAAGATTCTCTGGTTGCAATCTATGAGATAATAATAAAAATAATTGAAAACCACACATATAATTTTCACAGATTGCAGTATTATAATATATTCATACAGTTTTCTGTAAGAAAATTTCCCTCTCTTTATATCTTTTTGTATGCACAATTGCCTTCTGAAAATCTACTTCATTACAGAAGTTGTATATCAATAGATTCTTTTGTTACTTATTGAATTGTTTCACATTTCACAGTTGAAAAAGCACATTTACAGAATGTGACTGAACTGTCTGTCTAAAATATTGCATTATGTTTAAGTTAGTTAAATTTCTTTTTACTCAAACAACTTAATATCAAGAAAACAACCCAATTAAAAAGTAACAAAGGGCCTGAATAGACATTTCTCTCCAAAGAATACATACAAATGGCAAATAGGTAAATGAAAAGGTGCTCAACATCATTAATCATCAGAGAAATGCAAATTAAAACCACAGTGAGATACCACCTCACATCTGTTAGAATGGTTATTATCAAAAAGTCAAAAAGACAAAAATATAACAAATGTTGAAGAGGATATTGAGAAAAGGAAACCTTTTTTCATTGTCAGTGGGAATGTAGATTAGTACAGCCATTATGGGAAACAGATTGGAGGTTCTTCAAAAAATTAAAAGTAGAATCACCATATGTTCCAGCAATCCCACGTCTGAGTATATATCCAAAGGAAATGAAATCAGCATGTAGAAGAGTTATCTACTCTCTCATGTTTGTTGCAGCATTTCTCATGTTCATTGAAGTAAAGATATGAAATCAACTTATATGTCCATCAGTGGATGAGTATATAAGGAAAATGTGGTATGTATACATAATGGAATACAATTCAGCCTTTAAAAAGAAGGAAATTCTGTCATTTGTACCTACACGGAGGGACATGGAGGATATTAGGCTAAGTGAAATAAGCCTAGCATAGAAAGACAAATACTGCATGATCTCATTTATATGTGGCATCTAACAAAGTCAAACTCACAATGATCATTGCCTAGGGCTGGGGGAGAAGGGATAGATGAGGAGATGTTTGCCAAAGGCTACAAAATCTTAGCATGGATAATTTGTGGTGATCTGTTGTATAGCATGGTGACTAGATAATAATAACATATTGTGTGCTTGAAAATTGCTGAGAGAATAGACCTTAATTGTTCTCACCACAGAAATATGCTAAGTATTTGAGGTGATGCATATGTTTACTAGTTTGATTTAATCATTCATTCTACAATGTGTACATATATTAAAACATGTTGTACTTGTAAAAATATATAATTTTTTAAATTAAAATAAAATACATTAAAAAAACAGGGCCCAGTGGCTCACGCCTGTAATCCCAGCACTTTGGGAGGCCAAGGTGGGCAGATCACCTGAGGTCAGATCGAGACCAGCCTGGCCAACATGGTGAAACCCCATCTCTACTAAAAATACACAAAATTAGCTGGGTTTGGTGGTGGGCGCCTGTAGTCCCAGCTACTCGGGAGGCTGAGGCAGGAGAATGGTGTGAACCTGGGAGGCAGAGCTTGCAGTGAGCAGAGATGGTGCCACTGCACTTCAGCCTGGGCAACAGAGCAAGACTCTGTCTCAAAAATAAAAAAAATTACTCGGGCATAGGGGTGCGTACTTGTGGTCCCAGCTACTCAGGAGGCTGAGGCAGGAGAATCGCTTGAACCTGGGAGGTGGAGGTTGCACTGAGCCTAGATCGTACCACTGCACTCCAGCCTGGGCAACAAGAGCGAGACTCTGTCTCAAATAATAATAATAATAAAATATTAAGGAACAAAGAGTAGAAAAAATAAATTAGAACAGAGGCAGACACAGAGTAAAGACCATGTGAAGACATGGGGGAAAGACAGCCATCTGCAAGCCAAGGAGAGAGGCCTCAGAAGAAACCTTACCTGCTGACACATTGCTCATGAATTTCTAGCCTCCAAAATTGTGAGAAAAATAACTTCTGTTGTTTACCTTCTTCCCTCCACCTCAAAATTTAATTTTAACTCTGTGTGTTTTAGTTAAATTTCTCCTTTATATCTAAAATAGGAAAGAAATACTAACATACTCATTAATCACAGTTATGCTAATATTTATTTTGTAAAATTTTATTATACTTTCAGTCTTTGCACTGTTTTTTTCCTAATTAATCTATAAATTATTTTATCTTACATGAAGATATATCACAACAGTTAGAAATAATTTTCCTACAACTAATTTATGTATAACATTTAAAGCAATCAAATATATTGCAGGCCATTTATCGCAGATACCATTAAATTATTTTTTTTCTTTTCCTATTAAACTTTAAAGTATGTGAGGAATTAAATCCATATATCTCTGTTGTATTTTTAATTTTTGCATGATTTTATATTTTTATACTTTCTAATATTTTATATGCAATATATATGCATTAGATGATGCCCAATTCTATCAACAATAAATGGATATTTTTAAATTTTCACCATGAAAAATGTAAAGTGATATTTCATTTTCTAATAATTTTGTGTTCACTGTCTATTGTTTAATTTCAGCATCATTTATTAAGCATATTGGCTGTTTCTATTTCTCTCTATAATCAGGTTATATCCTTTGTTTATTTTTCCATCAACATACATATTGTTTTCTTTTCGCAATTTGAAGTGTTCCTTGATGTTATTGCAATAAGCCATTTTCTCTCTAATAAAATTTGAGACATCTATATCTATCAAAGTCACCAACAATCCTTTTGTGTGTAGATCTTCATTCTTCACAGGGAAAATAATTTAATTCATTTTACATTTGCAGAAGATTTACAATATATGTACCCTATTATTTTATACTACAAAGATTACTAAGGTAATTTCTGCACCCCACTTTCAAAACTCAAGATGGAAGAATATGTCTGCATGAAGAAGATAAATCCAAGCATCAAACTTTCTCACTAATGAAAGACATGGAAGAAGAAAAGAAACAAACAAAAAACAGAAATATCAGAAAAATAAGACACTAGGCTTAATTTTTCTGGATTTTCTGCTTTGTTTGCTCTTATATGACACTTAAAAATGTATTTTGAATGAATGAAAAATTCATTATGAATGTATTCATTAATAAATGGATGAATTAATACCATCTAGGACCAAAGGCATGTGTTTCAAAGTGAAAATACACATCTTGTCAAGCTCAATTACTGTAAAATGGTGTACAATAAGCCACACAATTATAAACTTGCAGGAAATTAGTAATAAACAGAAGTACCTAAGATGACTGATTTACATACAAAAATTGGGAATTTGAATGGCACTGAATTTTTCAACAGCAATATTGAAGCCTGGACTACAATAAAGAAATGTCTTGAACATTTTAGAAAAAAATACTTTGAACCTATAGGCTTATTCTCACCTAAGAAGGATAAATGTAAAATTTTAAAAAGTACTTTTAGACATGAAAAGTTTTATTATTCACTTTCTTGTAGATATTATTTAAAATATTTTTTTTAAAAATAGGGACCTACCAGAGGAAAAATGACAGGAAATATTTCCAATTTAGCTAACAGCAGGTCTAGTGAGCAGGCAATTACATGGGTGAAGAATTCTGGAAGAATTTCTCTATAGGCTTGAGTAATTAATGACATCATCATGAAGAAAATGATGAATCATTTTATTTGAGAAAAGTATAATTTTTTTTAAAAAGGAAGTTTAATTGTAGCACACCATGTGCCTCAGCTGTGAATATAATTTAAGAAATCACAGGCTGGGTGCAGTGGCTTACGCCTGTAATCCCAGCACTTTAGGAGGCCAAGGTGGGTGGATCACCTGAGGTCAGGAGTTCAAGACTGGCTTGGCCAACATGATGAAACCCTGTCTCTACTAAAAATACAAAATTAGCCTAGCCAGGCGTGGTGGCGGAGGCCTATAGTCCCAGCTACTCAGGAGGCTGAGGCAGGAGAATCACTTGAACCTGTGAGGCGGAGGTTGCAGTGAGCTGATATTGCACCACTGCATGCCAGCCTGGGCAACAGAGTGAGAATCTATCTAAAAAAAAAAAAAAAAGAAAGAAATCACAATAGCATACATACTAAATAATGATTTACCCCAAATAAGCTGAGCAAAAAGGGGTAGCAAATGGTGTATAAAGTAAAATTAGAAGAGAACTAAAATTGTGACCTTTATATAAACAATTTAATAGACACTATCAAAATTTAAAAACCAAAACGTCATTAAATCATTTCACTCAGAAATTTAAAATTATTTACTAGGATGAAACGGGAAGAGTTGAAAGTGATTGCTTCTGCCAAATGGAGCAGGAAGAAGATTGATAATTATAGTGATAAGCCATGATCTTTTCATATGCATATACTTACCTAGTTAAAACAACAACAACGACAAAACCTCTAAAAAATCCTTTGGTTTATTTAGTTATTACCTCAGAAGAGGGTGGTTGACTAGAGAGAAGGGGTTTGGGATTCTGGCATTTGTAAATTCTTAAGCTGGAAGTTAGTTTTACAGGAGTTTATTTCATAGTTATTTATTAAACCAAAATTGTCTTATAAATTTTTCTGTATGATTATGTTTTGCAATAAACTGTTTTAGGAGTAAAAGAAATTATTTAGTTGGCCAACACTCAGAAGATGAGTTCCAATTATGGCCACGTTGGCTTCTGTGTTAAACAGTAATCACATTCCTTCCTCTCCACATCATGTTTCCTGCTTCTCCATTATTTCTTCCCTGTTCCCATTGTGTCTGGGTTATAATCTCAAGTAATAACAAACCCAAGCTTTTTTAAATTATTATCTCTTAGTGAATTCTTCTTTTTTTTCTCCTAATTTTGCTTGAACCTATTTTAACTGTCTGACATCTTACCTTTAGTGATCACCTTCGAGATAGAAATCATCTTTTGTCTGTGGGTCATCTTTTATTTCAAGTTTTCTAGTCTTCCAGAGTTTCACACTCCTGTTTTATTAAACAATAATGATTAACTTGACTTGGGAAATCACCACTGTAGTCCTTAACTATATAAATTGCATGATCCTATGCGTCTTGTCTTTTTCTTTTTCTTGTTCTTTTTTCATGAAAGGATTGTGGATGTGGAAATGCTATGACCACTTTATCCAATACAGTATTATAAATTGCTAGACATTTTCCAGGTTTGTAATTTGTATAGCAAAGGCTAGGAAATGGGAGTTTAGTAGGGAGATTATATCAGGCATTGATTAAATCAAGGTTTGCATATTTTAGTGATGATTCCCCAGTTGGAATATTTTATTATTGGTGAACTGAGAAGAGTAGAAAAATACCTGGAAATTCTGGAACTTTTTGACTCATAGATTAACTTAAAAAAATTCATGTAATTGTGAAATAACAAAAATAAAGATGGAGAGTTTCATCTATAACTATTCAGTTTCTTACAATATATTTACTCAATAGGTTCATTCTGTAAACTGTATTCTAAAGAATGTCTTCAGTAAGATTACTTGCAGTCATCACATGAATTGAGGCTGGAAATTTTATTCCTGGGGAGCATTTTAAATATTACGAAGATTCTACATCCTTTTCAGTTAACTATAAAAGAGATCAAGCCTTTGCAGATGTGAATTAAATACGCCCTTTTCTTTGCTTGCCACAACCTCTAACAGTGTCTTTTTTATCTTATCTGCTCAGTGTATTAAGGATTCATAATATTTAGTCTGTAAGATTATTTTTAAGATTCTTAAAATACAAATACCACCTATGGAATGTTTCAATTTTAAACAAGGTGAAATCAATTTTTTTCATATTTATAATTTCTATTTCCATTTTGTTCAAAGAAAGGTATGAATAAGGCAAAACATCACTAAAGTCAGTATTTCCAGGTAATCATAAGTTGTATAACGGATCTTAGTATGAGTATTATAAGAGGGAACATAATCATAGGAAATATGTATAAATAGGTCAATTGAAGAAAAATTATAAAAACAGTATGCTGTCTCCTTTAAACAATAGAAATACATGAAGATACATATTTTTAAGAAAGATTATTCTTGTATACTATATTAAATAGCATATTATTTAGAATTTTATTGAAGTGAGATATAATTTTAAAAACAATTACTAACTTCAGATATGTTCTGTTGAATCCCTTTTCTCTGTTCCTTAAAATATATCAAGTAGAGTCTACAGATCTTCTTCACTCTAGTGTGTTAAAATCCAAAACTTCAATCACATAGCAAATTTAAGTCTCCTCTTTCTAACACTACTCTATAGTCTCAGGGACTTCAAAAGGTGGATGTCCTTTTATTTTTTCTCTCATTCCTACACCTTGGATTGGAACAATAGACATGTGTAGAGTCTGGATCTGAGGTAATGTTTCTCTCCTCCTTGAACCGATTCTCCATGGTTGGTGAAGAAAGAAGAAATAGGAACAAGAGAATGTTTTATGCAATTTATCACATGGTTGTGGTGGGGCTCCAAGACAGGGTCTCCTCTTTTGCTCTAAGTTGTGCTGGTGAGATGGCTGGTCTCTGTGTAGATTGTGGGTATGCTTTTTAGTTTTTAATTAAATTTTTGGGAAGAGGATGGCACTCGAACTTACCCTGCCTTCTGCCATCACTTATGACTCATTTCAAGAAGAGTAGCTGCATTGTACCTTTAGCCCTTCCAGAAATGCAACTTTCCTATCACTTCCAAATGAGATGTTAACACTCTGATTTTCCTCTGAACTTTTTGCTTCCTAATAGGTAGCCATAGAAATTTGAGAATTGTAGAATATAGCTGAGGCATAAAGGAACATCCTTCTCTGTGATACGCCACATTCTTCTTATCATTTTTTGTTGCAATTTATTACCATTCGTCTTCCACTTTCAGAGATCGCTAATGGAAGAGTAAGTCCCAGTCTTTATGTACAATTATAATAATATAACTTGCACACACATCAGGTTCTCCTGAGACCTTTGTCACCATGATCCACACTGCTTCTGATGCCATTACTAGTATGATTCTGCAGGTTAATAACCTCACCAAACAACCAACTAGGGAGTAATCTGACAGCCTCTCCTTCTTGCAGACTTTATTAGCTAGTGTGGTTGTAACAAAAGACCACATAATCTGGGGTCATACTCAGTCTGGGTTATAACAAAGGACAACACTCAGTCGGAGTGAGTGATTTAAACAACAGACATTTATTTTCTCACAGTTATGGAGGCTAAAAGAATGAGACCAAGGTGTTAACATGCAGGGTTAGTTTTTCTGAGGCCTCTCTCCGTGACTTGTAAATGACAACCTTCCCCCTGAATCTTCACATTGTCTTCCCTCTGTAGGTGTCTATGTCCAAATGTTTTCTTCTGATAAGGATACCTGTCATATTTTATTAGGGGTCACCTAAATGACCTCATGTTTACTTAATTATCCCTTTAAAGACGTTATCTCCAAATACAGTTGCATTCTGAGGTACTAGGATTTAGGACTTCAAAATATAAATTTTGGTGGGATACAGTTCAGCCCAAAACACAAACGCTTAATCTCTATGACTAGTTCTTTTTGAGTACATCCTTACCCAAAGGCTTGTGGAGTTGAGGGAACCACAGGGAAAGATGTCTCTGACAGACCTTGATCTCTGCACGGACCATAGACATTGTAAAGTTTCGTTGTTCTTTCATCTCCAGCTTTCTGAAAAAGTCCTGTAAGGCATAAGTGCTGAAATTGAATTGAACATAGGATCACTCATCTATTATGTAAACCTAAAAGGAGATGTGTAACGCCAAATGTTGGCATTAAAATAATTTGGGATTCTTATGAACTGTTTCTCTTCAGATTTTTGTCTTGGTTGTCAATGCCAGGGTAACAAAAAAATCTCCCCTCATTGTCTTAGCACACTAGATGGAAACAAACTCTTGGCAAAACAACTTGTGCAAAAATGGCTTTACTAGAAGAATTTTGAGGTCCAAATATATCAGCAGAAACACTGGACAAATGAACATAAGAAAAATCAGTTTCAGAAACCTAAGAAGCAGAAATTACAAAAATGGTTTCACAGAAGAAATTGTTTGGCTATGTGGCAGAAGCCTGTAATCCCAGCTACTCAGGGAGCTGAGGCAGGAGAATCGCTTGAACCTAGGAGGCAGAGGTTGCAGTGAGCTGAGATCATGCCACTGCACTCCAGCCTGGGCAACAGAGTGAGACTGTCTCAAAAAAAAAAAAAAGAAAGAAAAAAGAAAAAGAAAAATGTATTCCAAATATTTATTTTATCTTTGCTTGGTTCTGCTGCAAGACTTAAATTTCAGGAAAGAAGTACATGATTGTGCATGATTAGGCAGGAGTTAATCCCTTTTCTCTATCAAGATAATAAAATGAAGAAATTGGATCCTTGGCTTATGCAGTGAGTAGCATACCTGCTACCCATCCACCCAAAAAACTATAGAACATGGGTGGGGAGGCAACAATTTCTCCAAATAAAGATAGTAGCAAATGGTTGCGTCAAAAATAGAGGGTATTAAGTACCTACTAGAGATGGATTGGATGAGGGAAAAGCATTTTATGTATTGTTCATATTGAAATCATCCTTCAAATAATGTGTCTTATAGAAACCCATAGTGACACAATTGCCTGGGACAGCAATCCCCAACATGTTGAAATTTCCTTTAGATGGTGTGCTTCTATTTACTTCTATTGCTTTTAGTCTTCCAGTTTCTGAAGTAGTTATTATAGAAATCACAGGCCTCATTAAAAAGATATGATCGTCATTAATATGCCAGCAAGTCAAGATAAAGCAATTAAAAACATCCATCAAAACATGGAAATGCATTTTCCATTTGAAGCACCAAAATATACATTCAAATAAAAAATACCTTTTTAAATAATACATGCCTATTTTACTATTATAAAACTATTTTTGTTGGTAAAGATGATAGTCATAGAATTAGATTTTTAAGAAGTTGGACTGGGCCAGGTGCAGTGGCTCATGCCTATAATCCCAGCACTTTGGGAGGCCGAGGCAGGCAGATCACCTAAAGTCAGGAGTTCGAGACCAGCCTGGCCAACATGTTGAAACCCCATCTCTACAAACATACAAAAATTAGCTGGGCATGGTGGTAGGCATCTGTAATCCCAGCTACTTGAGAGGCTGAGGCAGGAGAATTGTTTGAACCTGGGAGACGGAGGTTGCAGTGAGCTGAGATCACGCCACTTCACTCCAGCCTAGGTGACAGAGCGAGACTCTGTCTCAAAAAAAAAAAAAAAAAAAAAAAAGGAAGAAAAAAAAATTGTACTAAGGGATTGGGGAAGAACAAAGACATGCTTAAACTATTAAATTGCAAAAAGAAAGAATAAAATACCTTGAGGTCTGGGATCATGTGAACTACACTGGCAGTATCTGTTACATAATTTCGCTCTGCTTTAGAGGATATTTCAACATTGCTACAGAGTTTTATTTCAAATAAAATGCAAAAGTTTATTTTGTATTGTTTTAAGGTTTTTTTGCATATTTTGTTATTGTGATGGTGAAGACTTAAATAATCGGTCACTCTCACTACCATATGTATGGGTTCCCAGCAGCTGTTGCCATATGCAAATCGTGATTATTCTCACTGGGTTGGCATGGCCAACTGCTACAGACTTTTGTGGACATGATAAATTATAGTGCTAATAAAACCATGAGTTGGGATTAGTTTCATGAAGAAAATAATTTCTCAAATCATCCTCAAATTTTGGAAGTTATTTCCTACCAGCTTTAGACTGAGAATGTAAAGTGTTCTTTCAACAAAATACAAAATAATTATATCAGGAAAATATTAAATTGAAACATTTCTGAAGAAAAAAAAGCTGCTCTGCTCATTAGCATCTCCACAATGAATTGCCTCACTTCAACTTGGAGGGGACATCACAATGCTTTTGCAGCGTGAAATATAAAGGTCAGAGTTAAAATCTATCTGTGATTTGTGGGAGAACTAATTGGTTGTCATTCAAAGAGTGATCACTCCTGAACATTTCATTCAGTTATCTCCTCTCCTCCAACATATACTAGAACACTGCCACCATTTTAGATTATAGGGGTTGAATTGTGTAATTATTAGTGTCCAGTCCTAATTGGCTTGTTAATGGATTTTTCAGTAAACATATGTTTGGCTGATAAAGGAGTAATTTTGTAAACTTATAATGACCTTGATTTTTAAGTGTATAAACTGCAGAAGCATTGAGAACAGATAGACATCAGCAAACAATTACTTACTAACTAATATGACAGAAAAAGGAACTAATTGAGAACATATCGTGATTGATGATGTCTGCTGCTTAATACACTACTGATGTGACAGAGTGAGACTCCATCTCACAAAAAATAAATAAATAATAAGAGAAATCCGTCTGTGCAGTTCATGCTATGGAACTATACCATAACAATCTGGAAATGGAGAGAAAAGCTATAATTGATATAAAGTGAAGGGGATGATAGTATCACTTTTAAAATGAAAAAGAAAAAAATAAGCATAATTAGCACCTGTCTTTTATAATAATTAAATTGTCACATGATATAAAACATGCCAAATATTGTAATGATTGAATTGTAAAACCAGTTGTCTTTTTTTTTTTTTTTTTTTTTTACTTTTATTTTAGGTACATATGCAGGTTTGTTACGTAGGTATATGTGCAGGTTTGTTATAGAGGTAAACTCACGATACTGGGGTTTATGGTACAGATTATTTGTCACCTAGGTACTAAGTCTGGTATCCGGTAGGTAGTTTTTCTGCTCCTCTCAATCCTCCTACCCTCTACCCTGAAGTAAGCCCCAGGGTCTGTTGCTACCTTCTTTATGTCCAAGAGTTCTCGTCATTTAGCTCCCAATTTTAAGTGAGAATATGCACTATTTGTTTTTCCTTTTCTGCAGTAGTTTGCTAAGGATAATGGCCTTCAGCTCCATCCATGTTGCCACAAAAGACATGATCTGGTTCTTTTTTATGGCTGCATAGTATTCCATGGTGTATATGTAACACATTTTAAAAAATATAATCTATCATTGATGGGCATTTAAGTTGATTCTGTATCTTCATTATTATGAATAGCACTGCAATGAACATTCATGTACATGTGTCTTTATGGTAGAATTATTTATATTTCTCTAGTTATATACCCAGTAATAGGGTTGCTGGGTTAAATGATAGTTCTGTTTTTAGCTCTTTGATGAATCACCACACTGCTTTCCATAGTGATTGAACTAATTTACACTCTCACCTACAGTGTATAATTGCTCCCTTTTCCCTACAACCTCGGCAGCATCTGTTAGTTTTTGACTTTTTAATCATAGTCTTCTTACTGGTGTCAGATGATATCTCATTGTGGTTTTGATTTGCAATTTTCTATTGATCAGTGATAATGAACTTTTGCTCATGTGATTGTTGGCCACATGTATGTCTTCTGTTGAAAAGTACCTGTTCATGTCTTTTGTCTGCTTTTTAATGTTTTTGTTGTTGTTGCTGTTGTTTCTTGTAAATCTGTTTAAGTTACAGGAAGTCTACTTATTGATATATTTTGATGTAGTTGCTAAACCAGTTGTCTTTGCTTGGGGACTCATATTGATGGGATTCATACATTTGACTGTTATGATTCTTTATGCGTGAAGACTTTAAATGATGCTATTCATTGCTTAGAACGTGACTCATGACTCATTTTAGAATCCTCATCAGGTTCATGACATGATTTTGATAAATAGTTCGTGAACTGAGATATGTTATTTTCAAAAGGCCAAGGAATTAACAGGCAAAAGAGGTACAAGTTTACTGGAGTGAGCCAGAATAAAATAAAAAGTATCAACTTGCTTGGTTAACTCTTATCTCCAGTGGCTATTTCTCAGTGGACAACATAAGGTAATTTTTTTTTCAGCAGGTGCTGTAAATCTTCAATTAGTCTAGTTAAATGAGATCTGTTAAAATCAAATAAGGTCTTCTATTCAAATGAAAGTTTTCTTTTTACTCGCAGAATCTTTGGCTTTGATGTGTTTCTTAATATTTTAAACTTAGAAATTTCAGGAGTAAGATAAAATTCTCATTTTTCTATAACAGAGAACCTTTCATTCCCATGTTTTCAATATTCTACTTAAATTGAGTTTTGATATATTGTTTCCTAAAATGCCTGATTTCATTAGTTCGTGGACATGGTATGTGGAGGTTAAAGTGCTATATAAAGGGATTGTATCCAAAATGGAACTAGAAACCTAAATCCCATTTTATTTATTTATAAAAAAATAACCAATTTTATTTCTTTGCCAGAATATTTGTGCTTGCTTGGTTAGCTTTTGCTTTTTTTAAAGAACAAATCATTAATAATAATAGGTACCTCTTTTGGGTGCTCTTGAACCACTGTATTATAATAACCAGTCTACATAGATTATTACTCACAAGTTTAGAGAATATATTACTATTATCCTCATTACACAGATAAACACAGGAGCAAGGAGAGCAATTTTCTTAAGTTTAGGTTGCAAGTGTAAAATAGATGGCACCAGGTTTATCAGGACGAGTTAATGGGTGCAGCACACCAACATGGCACATGTATACATATGTAACAAACCTGCATGTTGTGCACATGTACCCTAAAACTTAAAGTATAATAATAATAAAATTTAAAAAAAGATCTATTACTAGGCAACACTGCATAAAATCAGTCATCACTAATGGTATCAGGAAATCTCAAGTCAATTAGCTATGTATATACTTTTTATTTTTTCCTATCCAGAGTAGATATTTCCCTAGGACATGAAATCTGGTGCATTGTGCAAAGCCAAGAGATAGGCAATTGGATGCTCAGAGATGCCATATTTTACATTTTTAAATGACAATTTGACAATTTTTAAGTTCAGTAATTATAATGTGAGAATTATCATGGGTAATGTATTTGGGTAAGGAGTGGTGTTTCAAGTCTACTTACTGATATATTTTGATTTGGAAAGTATTTATTATTTTTATTGCTAAATTTTATGCCCAAATCATTATTAAAAGGTGTATAGCAAAGAAAAATCGTTAGTGGTCCTGGGGTGAACATTAGTTACATTTTCTTCAGTGATTTATATTTTCTACTTTTCCAGGCATGAGCCAAACTTCCTCATGATTGCATAATGTTTTATTTGTCATATTTATATATTCAAATATAATAGATAACAAAAGGGTACTACTGTTCTGTTAGACACCCTCCTCATTCAAATGACATTAGATGCCAAAACTCTAACTCCTTATATGTTGATTTTTAAGCAATCTGTTACTTTGTCTCTTACAAGCATTTCAATCTGACAATATCCTGAGAAAAATTCCAACATTTGACAACAGAAACAGAAGGATCTTCACTTTAAGTGTCTGACTCTCCTCCCAACTATAGTGCCCTAGATATTTCTAGAAATATAGACAGATAATACACATACACACATACATGTATATGAATATATATGTGTATATATGTATGTGTGTACACATGATTAATCTCAGTATATATTTGCATCTTATCCATTTTAGAAAATCAATTTAAGAAATCATAACTTCCTCTGAACTCTCAGATATCAAGTCTTATGAAGTCTTCATAAGTTAAGATGAAAGAGAAATTTGATAACTTTAAAATAAAATGAATAAATCATGAAAATGAAGAAAGTGAGAAATATCCTCACTTATATTCATAAAAGCTGAGTTTCCTGGAATATTTTAATCACATTTTGGGCATAAAATTTGGCAGTGGAAAATGAAAAATAAAGACTTTCATACCACAACATATTAAATAGATATGAAATACTACTCTTTGCTTACAATCCCATTTGAACATCCTCACTTTATAAATAGATGAACTTTAAAATTCTCAAATTGTTATTTAAAGGTCTAAAATATGGCATATCTGAGCATTCAGTGCCTTATCTCTTAGCTTTGCACAATGCATCAGCTTTGTCCTGGGCTATGAACTGAATGTATTTGGCACATGCATATTCATTACTTCCCCCCAAATCCCATATTTAAGATGAAATCCTATAGAGAACTTTCTTCTAAAATCCTGACACTTGTCTGCATATATTGAACTTAATGGTTTTTGTCACGTTTTGTAGGAATATTTAAATGCTTAATATTTGTTACTAAACCTCTGATATGAAGAAACAAGATAACTGTCTCAGTTTCTTCTCTGCTGTTAGAACACCACAGACTGGATAATTTATAAAGAAAAGAGACTTATTTGGCTCATGGTTCTGGAGGGTGAGAAGTCTAAAAGCATGGTGCTGGCATCTGGCAAGGCCCTTCTTGCTGTGTCCTAACATGGTGAAAGGCAAGAGTGCACATGAGAGAGAGAGGCACCAGGGGCTGGACTTGCTTTTTAACAACCCACTCTCATGCTAACCTACTCCCATCATAATGGCATTAGTCCATTTATGAAGTTTCTGTCGTATTGACCCAATGAGCTCTTATTAGTCCATATCTTCCAACACTGTCACATTGGAGATTAAGTTTCCAACACACGAAATTTCGGGAAACACATTTAAACAATAGCAATAACAAACTTTTTCCTGGGGACTCACTTTTATTTAATACCACAAGAAAAAAATAAATAATCTCACATACATAGTTCTTAAATAATAAAGAATCTAATAAACTTAGATTCTTTAGGTATAAAAGAAAGAAATTTCTAACCAGTTCAGTCATGTTGGAGTAAATTCTCAGTAAATTCAGATTCCAAACTCCTTTTCAGGGTTCTTTTCTATTATCTTAAGAGTTTCTTTGCCCCCTTTTCTTTACCAAAGTTTTAACATAAGCACAGTGGATTATGTACCTTCATAGATGAAGATGTATAGACCTTTAATTGGGCTGCTTTTGCCTGGGCCTTAACATTTTCATAGTAAAGAGCTTGGCATGGCCTGATTCCATGGTCGTGTGCTAGACTCTGCCAAGTTTTGTTTTATCCCATGTATCATTTGGAGCCTTGTGCTAGTTGCAATAAGATGGAGATTATGTTCCTGTCATTAGGTCCTGAAATGCTTGAGTCCTGTGGCCTCTTTCACTACACAGCTGTACCAAGTTAAGTCTTTTCAGCACCTCCATATCTCTTCATCCGTAAGTCATCACAATTTTTTTTTGCATACTGTGAATAGATTATACTTTCATTTTTCAAGACACGGTCTTTTAAATTTGCAGATCTATGAACATTGAACACAGTGGGTAATTGTGTCTAATTGACACAATTTAAAATTCCCTAATTTAAAATTCTCGTCTAATTGACGTCCCCTTTCATAAAAACATAAAGATGGTAGAAAAGTTTCTCTTCAATGTTCCCCAGAAACACCTTGTATCATTCTCTACTTTCACTGCTCCACTGATCATTAAATTCCTTGTACATATCCTCTGTTTCCATACAATGACTTAACAAGCTGTCCACTCTGCTTTTTTCATCTCCTCTCCATCATTCACAACTCATTGAGCCTTGCATTAGATACTCTCTTAGCACATTGTATTTCTTCTCTATACCAATTATCATATTTTGAATTATATATTTACACAGCTATTCAATAATATATATGTATATATATGAATATATACAGTGTATATTCAATACATTGTAAGTTTATAGGGTCAAAGAGTGATGTTTACCTTTTTTTTTTTTTTTAACTGCAGAACCTATCAGTGCTTGGCATAGAGAAGCCGTAGCAAATGTTCAATAAGCTTCTTTTGAAAAGAGTAAGACTTAAATGAATATTCCTATATTCATTTGCAGTTTAAAAAATAGTTGTGAAGTTCCCAAAATGTTATTGTGCCATAGACACTAGAAATATGAACATGTTTCTTATAAGCAAGACTCTAATTTAGAAATACTAATATATAAATATGAACAGTATCTTTCTAGGCTCTTTCAATTTTGGGGCAGTACAATTGGAGTACATGATAATTCCTAGTCAGTTACTTCAAGGCTCAGTAACTCAAAGCATTTTAAAAACGTACATGCTTGATGAGGATGACATTGAATCTATAAATTACCTTGGGCAGTATGGCCGTTTTCATGATATTGATTCTTCCCATCCATGAGCATGGAATGTTCTTCCATTTGTTTGTGTCCTCTTTTATTTTGTTGAGCAGTGGTTTGTAGTTCTCCTTGAAGAGGTCCTTCACATCCCTTGTAAGTTGGATTCCTAGGTATTTGATTCTCTTTGAAGCAATTGTGAATGGGAGTTCACTCATGATTTGGCTCTCTGTTTGTCTGTTATTGCTGTATAGGAATGCTTGTGATTATTGCACATTGATTTTGTATCCTGAGACTTTGCTGAAGTTGCTTATCAGCTTCAGGAGATTTGGGGCTGAGACGATGGGGTTTTCTAAATATACAATCATGTCATCTGCAAACAGGGACAATTTGAATTACTCTTTTATCAGGGAACCTGCCCTGATAGTCACGGAGGTTCTTTTCTATTTTCCCTAAGCGTCGGCCAGCTTGAGAAACAAAGGGACAGAGTACAAAAGACAGCAATTTCAAAGCTGGGCGTCCGGGGGAGACATCACATGTTGGTAGGTTCCGTGATTCAGCATGCCCATTCAGCATGATATTGGCTGTGGGTTTGTCATAAACAGCTCTTATTATTTTGAGATATGTCCCATCAATACCTGATTTATTGAGAGTTTTTAGCATGAAGGGCTGTTGAATTTGGTCAAAGGCCTTTTCTGCATCTATTGAGATAATCATGTGGTATGGTGTCTTTGGTTCTGTTAATATGCTGGATTACGTTTATTGATTTGCATATGTTGAACCAGCCTTGCATCCCAGGGATGAATCCCACTTGATCATGGTAGATAAGCTTTTTGATGTGCTGCTGGATTTGGTTTGCCAGTATTTTATTGAAGATTTTTGTATCAATGTTCATCAGGGATATTGGTCTAAAATTCTCTTTTTTGGTTGTGTCTCTCCCAGGCTTTGGTATCAGGATAATACTGGCCTTATAAAATGAGTTAGAGAGTATTCCCTCTTTTTCTATTGATTGGAATAGTTTCAGAAGGAGTGGTACCAGCTCCTCCTTGTACCTCTGGTAAAATTCAGCTGTGAATCCGTCTGGTCCTGGACTTTTTTTGGTTGGTAGGCTATTGATTATTGCCTCAATTTCAGAGCCTGTTATTGGTATATTCAGGGATTCAACTTCTTCGTTGTTTAGTCTTGGGCGGGTGTATGTGTCCAGGAATTTATCAAGATACCAATGACTTTCTTCACAGAATTGGAAAAAACTACTTTAAAGTTCATATGGAACCAAAAAAGGGCCCACATTGCTAAGACAATCCTAAGCCAAAAGAACAAAGCTGGAGGCATCAGGCTACCTGACTTCAAACTATACTACAAGGCTATAGAAACCAAAACAGCATGGTACTGGTACCAAAACTGAGATATAGACCAATGGAACAGAACAGAGCCCTCAGAAATAATACCACACATCTACAACCCTCTGATCTTTGACAAACCTAACAAAAACAAGAGATACGGAAAGGATTCCCTATTTAATAAATGGTGTTGGGAAAACTGGCTAGCCATATGTAGAAAGCTGAAACTGGATCCCTTCCTTACACCTTATACAATAATTAATGCAAGATGGATTAAAGACTTAAATGTTAGACCTAAAGCCATAAACACCCTAGAAGAAAACCTAGGTAATACCATTCAGGACATAGTCATGGGCAAGGACTTCATGTCTAAAACACAAAAAGCAATGGTAACAAAAGCCAAAATTGACAAATGGGATCTAGTTCTGCAAAGCAAAAGAAACTACCATCAGAGTGAACAAGCAACCTACAGAATGGGAGAAAATTTTTGCAATCTACTCATCTGACAAAGGGCTAATATCCAGAATCTACAAAGAACTCAAACAAATTTATAAGAAAAGAACAACCCCATCAAAAAATGGGCGACGGATATGAACGGACTTCTCAAAAGAAGACATTTATGCAGCCAAAAAACACATGAAAAAATGCTCATCATCACTGGCCATCAGAGAGATGCAAATCAAAACCACAATGAGATACCATCTCACACCAGTTAGAATGGCAATCATTAAAAAGTCAGGAAACAGGTGCTGGAGAGGATGTGGAGAAATAGGAACACTTTTACACTGTTGGTGGGACTGTAAACTAGTTCAACCATGTGGAAGACAGTGTGGTGATTCCTCAAGGATCTAGAACTAGAAATACCATTTGACCCAGCCATCCCATTACTGGGTATATACCCAAAGGACTATAAATCATGCTGCTATAAAGACACATGCACACGTATGTTTATTGCAGCACTATTCACAAGAGCAAAGACTTGGAACCAACCCAAATGTCCATCAATGATAGACTGGATTAAGAAAATGTGGCACATATACACCATGGAATACTGTGCAGCCGTAAAAAGGATGAGTTCATGTCCTTTGTAGGGATATGTATGAAGCTGGAAACCATCATTCTCAGCAAACTGTCTCAAGGACAAAAAACCAAACACCGCGTGTTCTCACTCATAGGTGGGAATTGAACAATGAGAACACATGGACACAGGAAGGGGGAACATCACACACTGGGGCCTGTCATGGGGTGGGGGGAGTGGGGAGGGATAGCATTAGGAGATATACTTAATGTAAATGACGAGTTAATGGGTGCAGCACACCAACATGGCGCATGTATACATATGTAACAAACCTGCACCTTGTGCACATGTACCCTAGAACTTAAAGTATAATAATAAATAAATAAATAAATAATAAATAAATAAATAAATAAAAATGTACATGCTGGATATAGTATTGTAAATTCAGAGAAACAGGCGGAGATGGGAATGTGGTTTGGAAGGAAGAAGTTTATTATATTCAAGAGTCCCAGAGAGGGGCTCACTGCGTGCTCTGCAGGGTGACAAGGAAAAACAGCAAACGTTCAGGAAGCAGAAAACAGGAGCTATGTGGGGAGTATAGGCCACTGCCTTTATTAGGGTTTCCAAGGGAAGGCAAGACAGGGCAGAGTAAACAGTTCAGAATTGGCTAGCTTGAATAACCTGGCAAGCTTTGGGCTGTAAGGATGGTATTTGGTTGTCTGGCACCTGGCCTTGAGAAGGGGAAATATTAGCTTGGAGTGAGTTAGATAAGGAGGTAGTTGGGAGGTATAAACTTGGGATTAGTAGATTTGCATATGAAAAGCATGCTCCTAGGCAAGTTCTTACTTTCTTTAGGAGTTTGCTAACCCTGAGAGGGATAGTGTCTCTTGGTGTCTGTGAGATCCCAAGTGCCAGAGCGTCAAGAATACAGAAAATAAGAAAATAATGTTAATAGGATTGGCTCTTTGACACATATATGCCAAATAGGCAAATACAAAATCCAAGAAAATACAGAACACAAAGCCTTTGTTTTTTCACATTTTCAGAGCTCTGAAAGTCTGACTAAATATTTTCTTTTACTTTTCTCCTCTCCAAGATATCTATTCATTCACAATTAATTAGCTATAATAGACTTATAACAACAGCATAGGCACCATCAAAAGATAAATAGAAATGATATAAACACGTATGACCTATATATTAATTTTTAAAGCACTGATATGTCCCTAATCTTACTTCATTCTCACCAAAATCACTAAAGTAGTATTATCTTCTTTATTATAGACTGAAGAAAAATAATGTTCAGGAAAATAAGTAATTAAATGAAGATAACACAACTAATAAGCGATGGCTCTGGATTTCAAATTCGTATCTTTTGCATTCAAATTACCTGATTTTCCACAATGATAATGTACACATGAGTATCCACTCAGAAATATGCCTTTAGTCCAAAACTGAATTGGGAATAATCCTCCTTGAAGCATTCAAGGACCATTCCCCGTCTCGCCAACCCAACATACCTCACCACAAATATATAATATGGCCTCAGTCTACTTAAGCAACCTTAAAAGTGCCCACTTTTAAACTTTATTAGGACTAGATTTCTTATCATCTCCTTGAAATATGCCCTAATTGTTTTATCTTGTATGTAATCCTTTTGTCAAAGAGGAATAGCTCAATTCAATTCTAATCTTGTATGCACTGCCAACCTCTCCCTCCCTCTCGTATGTACACTTTTACACACATACACTTGCAAATTTCTTCTGAGCAAAGATAAACTTATAGATTAATTGGAGGACTCCCCTTCCAGTGACTTCTCAGACTTCTAATTGTCTGCATTTTTTTTTGTATTGAAGCCATGAAACAATGTAAGTATTCAGTTTCTTACACCAGTCAGAATGGTGATTATTAAAAAGTCAAGAAACAACAGATGCTGGAAAGCCTGTGGAGAAATAGGAATAGTTTTACACTGTTGGTGGGAATGGAAATTAGTTCAACCATTGTGGAAGACAGTGTGGCGATTCTTCAAAGAACTAGAACCAGGAATACCATTTGACCCAGCAATCCCATTATTGAGTATATACCCAAATGAATAGAAATCATTATATTATAAAGATACCTGCACGTGTATGTTCATTGCAGCACTATTCACAATAGCAAAGACTTGGAATCAACCCAAATGCCCATCAATGATAGATTGGATAAAGAAATTTCAATCCAGATCTAACTGGCTTATGAGGGTGATTGAATGAATTAGAATAGTGGGAACACAGAATCACTTTTAAAATTATATTGTTTCTGCTGGAAGCTATTCTAAAGGAGGTAAAACCTGAGATGATCCTGAAAGTCATTTAAAATTTATATTGATGGAGAGAAGGAGGGACAGGAGGAAAAAACAACACCAGTCTAGCCCAGCTTTGGAAAAGTAAATGGATTTCTTCTGCACTTTAGCAGTGATCCGTCTTCCCGTGGCCAATGATTTCAAAGACTGGTGAATAATGTGAGATGAATATTTCACTTAATATTCATTGTTGCTAATCATGTTTTGGAAGGAGAGCAGAATGGATTTGAAAGATATTAAGCTCTCCAGGTTGAACCTGAACAAATCTGAGAAAGCCACAGGATAAACGAAAGAATCTGGGAGACATTTCTTTCTGTATTCTTAATGAATAAATGCAAAAAGAAAAAATAATTTTTCTATTCCAGTGAAATGCAGGGAGCCTCAATTGAAGGACACTAATATTCATCATTCTGTCAGGGCAGCTGCATTTCCACACCTTGCAGCTCATCTCACCCAATTGCAAACAGAAATGTTTGTGGTAAATACTAGAAACAACTCACATTACTGAACAATAAAGTGCCTTGTTCACAAAACATAATTGCAATAAGTGTCAAGAGATGGGTAATACAACAGCTGTGAAAGGCTAGAAGTGATAAAAGTTTGGAGTCCAAATCTTGGCATTCAGTGCATCAATTATTTGTTTCCATTAGTAATAAAATGAAGGAAGCTGCCCACATGGATCTTTCAAGAGGAAAGAAAGCCAGCAACCATCAGGATCTGCCTCAGGTCTGTTTTGTAGCGGTGGATAAATCACTTATGTTTCTATCTCAGAAAATAAACCTGTTTTCAAGGTGGCTACTTGGCATTACCCATGATGGACATCTTACCAAAAAGAACAAAAAGAAATTTTGACAAAGACAAATGCTGTATTTTCGGTTGTTGGTTTTATTTTGTACAGAAAAGAAAA
The DNA here is from genome assembly GCF_000001405.40 of Homo sapiens. Lineage (NCBI taxonomy): Eukaryota > Metazoa > Chordata > Mammalia > Primates > Hominidae > Homo > Homo sapiens. Next base: position 25,874,240 of record NC_000011.10, on the reverse strand, counting down.
ATGTTAAATTGTTCTCTAAACTAAGTCATAAGGTGTAATTCCCTGTGGATGAACACACATACCTTCACATCTTGAGTTCCTCCACAGTGGTGACTCTCCTAATAATTTTCGTAGGATGGTACAATGGTGCTCCACACTGGTAAATATATTTTAAGCACTCACTAAAAATAAGACAAATTAAATTTTTTTCCCAGTGAAGAATGACCTTTGGCATGTTATTTATTTCTCACTTTCTATTTTCTTATCCATAAAATGCAGATAATGATAATCTAGCAAATAGAGATATGAGGAGGATTAAAGGAATTAATATTTGTAAAGTATTTGGTACATATCAGAGGAATCTGAGAACTTCTAGTTTCTTTTCTATTTCACATACTGTTTGTGCTCCACAATAAATAATTACAGTATTGCATAAATGAATCATATCACTGTTTTCCTACCTGTATTTTATTCATGCATAGTTTTTACTTCTGTTTTTTTTCTTTTTTAATTTACCTGTTGCCATCAAGGAAGGTCCTTCTCCCCTTTTCATTAAATGGCTCACTCATCTTTGTTCTTTAACGATAAGCTCAAGAAATTCCTTTCTTTAGAAAAATAAACCGTTGTGCTTAGGCTTATTTATAGCTTCCTTCTTTGCGTCCCCACAGAACTTTGGGGTTACTTCTCCTAAGACCCTCATCACAATGCATATTAATCTGTTGTATGTGTCTTCTGTTTCACCAATCAAAGTGAACATACTGATTTCCAAATAATTAACGATCTTGGCGGGGTCTTCAAATTACTAGCTACTGATTTAAACATAAGAATTTCTTTCTGGTATATTTGGACATAGAAAGTAGAAGAGATTCTGTGGAACGTATATTTAGCTCAAAGCATATATCTATCCGTTATTATTAAAGAAAAAATCTTTGTATTACTATTATTTTAGTAATAATTATTTAGTATTTATATTTATTATTACTGTATTTGATTTTTAAAAAGAAATTTTATTTAGAGATACAAAAACTGAAAAGTTTACTGTTGAAATGATTTTAGAGATTGAATTTATTTAAAAATAAATTGTTACATTATTCACTCCACTTGTGCGTATGTCTAGAATTTTCTATAATAAAAATATACAAATAATTATAACATTTCTCTTAATTTGATTTTTTATATGTCAATTTGTCTCAATTTTAAGTGTGTCCTAAAAGATTAATTGCTTTCAAAGTGAATGGATTTCAATTGTTCCTGTAAGGCTATATGTAGGTTTAAATGTTACTTTAAAAATCACCATTTTTCTAAAAAATATTCTATAAAATCTATAAATAAAAAAGATACTCTATAAATGATGTTTGTGTTACTTTACCTAAAAAAGGACATAGGCATAGATTTCTATCTACTACCATATACAAAAATAAATTCATTGTGAATAAAATCAATAAATACAAATAACAAAAACGTGAAGGTATAATTTTTTAAAAAATCTGAATTTTATATAACTTTTTTAAGAAGCTCAGTTTAGAATTCATAAACGACATCATTAATTTGACCCACATGAATTAAAAACAAAACAAATTCTCAAACTCATTCGGAGATGAAATGACATCATAAACAAGTTTAAAAGAACACTGGCAAACAAGGAAAAGTATTTGAAAAGGGCATCCAAATAGGAAGAGAGGAAGTTAAACTATCCCTGTTTGCACATGACATGCTCTTATATCTAGCAAACCTCATCGTCTCAGCCTAAAAGTTTCTTAAGCTGATTAACAACTTCAGCAAACTCTCAGGATACAGAATCAGTGTGCAAAAATTATTAGCATTCCTATACACCAACAACAGTCAAGCTGAGAGACAAATCATGGACAAAGTTCCATTCACAATTGCAAAAAAATGAATAAAATATCTAGGAATATACCTAAATAGGGTGGCAAAATATATTTACAAGGAGAACTATAAGCCACTGCTTAAAGAAATCAGAGATAACACAAACAAATGGAAAAACATTCCATGCTCATGAATAGAAATAATCAATATTGTTAAAATGCCCAGACTGCCCAAGACAACTTATAGATTCAATGTTATTCCTATTAAACTACCATAGACATTCTTCACAGAACTAGGAAAAAAACTATTTTAAAATTCACATGGAACCAAAACAGAGCCCAAATAGCCAAGGCAATCCTAAGCAAAAGAACAAAGCTGTAGACATCATGCAACCAACTTCAAACTATACTACAGGACTACAGTAACCAAAACATCATGGCACTGGTATGGAAACAATGATTTCCTATTCAATAAGTGGTGCTGGGTGAACTGGCTAGCCATATGCAGAAGATTAAAACTGGACCCCTTCCTAACACCATATACAAAAATTAACTCAAGATGGATTAAAGACTTAAATGTAAAACTCAAAACTATAAAAACTCTGAAGACAACCTAGGCAATATCATTCAGGACATAGACATGGGTAAAGATTTCCTGATGAAGACACCAAAAACAATTACAACAAAGCAAAAATTGACAAATGGGATCTAAAAGAGCTTCTGCACAGCAAAAGAAGCTGTCAACAGAGTAAACAGACAACCTATAGAATGGAAAAAAATTTTTCAGTCTACCTATCTCACAAAGGTCAAATATCCAGCATCTATAAGGAACTTAAACATGTTTGCAAGATAAAAACAACCCCATTAAAAAGTGGGCAAAGGACACGAACAGAAACTTTTCAAAAGTAGACATGCACACAGCCAACAATCAAACAAAGAAAAGCTCAACATCACTGATCATTAGAAAATGCAAATCAAAACCACAACGAGATGCCATCTCACACCAGTCAGAATGGCTATTATTTAAAAGTCAAAAAATAACAGATGCTGGCGAGGTTGTAGAGAAAAAGAATTGCTTATACACTGTTGATGAGAGTGTAAATTAGTTCAGCCATTGTGGAAGACAGGGTGATGATTGCTCAGAGAACTAAAGACAGAAATACCATTCAACCCAGCAATCCCATTACTGGATATATACCTTAAAAAATATAAATCGTTCTGTTTTAAAGGCATGTGCATGCATATGTTCATTGCAGCACTATTCACAATAGCAAAGACATGAAATCAGCCTCAATGCTCATCAATGATAGGCTAGATAAAGAAAACATGGTACATATGTACCATGGAATACTATGCAACCATAAAGAAAAAGCGAGATCATGTCCTTTGCAGGAACATGTATGGACCTGGAGGCCATTATCCTTAGTAAACTAGAGCAAGAACAGAAAACTAAATACCGCATGTTCTCACTTATAAGTGGAAGCTAAATGATGAGACTATATAGACACATAGAGGAGAACAACACACACTGAGGCTTGTAGGAGGGTGGAGGGTGCGAGGAGTGAGAAGATTAGGAAAAATAACCAATGGTTACTAGGCTTAATACTATATATTTGAGACAGGGTCTAGCTCTGTGGCTCAAGCTGGAGTTCAGTGGCATGATCATAGCTCACTGCAGCCTTGATCTCCTGTGCTCAAGTGATTCTCTCACCTCAGGCTCCCAAGTAGTGGGAACTACAAGTGTGCGCCACCATGCGTAGCTAATTTTTTAATTGGTGATAGAGATGGGGTTTTGCTATGTTGCCTAGGCTAGTCTCAAACTCATAGCCTCAAGTGATTCTCTCACCTCTGCCTCTCAACATGTTGGGATTATGGGCCTGAGCCACGGCACCAAGCCAAAATTATATTTTTATATCTGAGACATTATATATTTTGATATTTATTTTTTATAACAGCATTTACAATACTCTTGAGAAAGTTGTAGGTGGAGAAGAGGTAATACTCAAGCAATAGCTCAAATCATAAAAGTGTAATTTATATAAATAATACGTATATAATATATAAATTGCAATTTATTTCTAGGTGGATATTGGCAAATTTACACATGGTAATAGAATTTTCCTTGTGTGTCACTGAAACAGCCATGTAAACATATTTAAACTAATGTGTTGGTAGTCTGCCATTGTAGAAGGAGGCACAGAATATTCTGACACAAGATCTCACACAACAACAAAATGTTGAGGTAGTAAAACAATAAATGTGAAAAGAATAATTATAAGTAGCATAGGGCAACATTTCTTGAAAAGCTAGATGTCTTTTTATATTGAGTTTTTTAATGTAATTCTTTTCAATGTTTGGAACATGTGGACAACACAGAGGACCCTAGCGGACTCTTGTTGGAATGTGAGAAAGTTTGAATCTCTCTCCATCTTCCATCAACTTCTACATAAATAAGTAAAAGAGAATGTGTAAGAGTAGATATGTGTGGAAATCTCAAAGAGAGTTTTATTTTCTCAAAGAGGACAAAATCCTTGTGATAAAGAAGGCAGGCTAATATTTAAGCAATTCAATTGAATTCTATATAACCTGACAGTCAGGGATCACCACAAGTGAAATTAGGTAGAGGGAAGAGAGTAGAATTAGATCAAGTGGGCAAAGTCTAAAATAGAAAGTTCTCTGATTTAAAGTGATAATCAATGACAATATTTTACAAATGCATTTCTGTTCATGCTGGGGCTTTGAGTAGAAGGCGATTTCTATCTGTAAAGGGAATTGTGTTATTTGTGAATCTAAGCCTTGCTGTTGGAAACTTTCATTTCAGTATCCATCCTAAGGGAACAAAAGTCTAGGGCATTTGCATTGTTTTAATGATGCTTACATCTTTACTGGAGAAGCCTATGACTTCCAGGGGAAGAGATGAGGATTAAGGCTAAACCGCATCCGTATTCATTGTCAAGTAGATCTAGGGAAACCATAAGCATTGTGTTTACCACAAGGGACTATCTGCAGCCGAAGTGCAGTTTAGCAGGCAGTTTTACTTAGGAAATCATGTTACAACGATCTCTGACTGTATTATGTTTGAGGAAAAAAACAGTAACCTGAAATAGTATAGAAGTGTAGTAAGAGGAGATACATCGCATACTTATAACTTATGACTTTAGAAAGTTTAGTTTTATGCATGTATAAAGCGGAGACAGTATCTGCCATATTAGAAATCTCATCTCTCTCTACTGTATTAACATCTTCCCACAATTTGGTCATGATAACTAACAATTGATCTTTATAGAGTGCTTATACTGTGTTAAGAAGCATTTTTTTGGTGTTTTAGATGTATTAAGTTTTTAAATCCTTATAACAATTTTATGAGGCTAATACGATAATCCAGATTTTACAGATTAAGAAATCAAGACACAGAGAATTCGTAGCTTGCTCAAATTTATACAACTAAGTGTCAAAAGCTGTTCCATGAACCCAGACCATCTGTTTCCAGATTAGTACTCGTAACTCTCATGATATCCTGATTCATGGGATATTTCTGATTCCTATAACTAAGCCTGTCTTCTTAAATTTGTATAGCTTTGCGCTTGGACCTAGGTCTGCCTGGAATGTCTTTAGTCGCATCTCAAGATTCTCCACAGAAAAGAGTATTTCCCTGATTTCTCCCACCCCAAGTTTCGCCGTGCTGCTATGGAAATCAGTGTTAACCTAAATTATTCTATAACTCAATTCCTTTTTCCTACTTTCTTGTTTTTCCAGCAAATTTGAAAATCTCAAGGGCAGAGACAACTGTAATTCCTCATTAAATATTTTCTGCCAAGATCGCGCCATTACACTCCAGCCTGGGCAACGAGAGTGAAACTCTGACACACACACACACACACACACACACACACACACACACACACACACACGAAGAAAGGAAAACAAATATTTTCTGCATCTAAACAGTAACATGCAGGGATAAAATGAGATAATCTGCTAAAACTGTTTTGTGAACCACAAAGTACCACGCAAATGTTCCATATTATGACTATGCATCAATAAGGCACTCAGAATGTTCTCTATATGGAAAAGGAAATAGTAAAATCATGCAAACAAAGCGGTATAACAGTGCAAGCACTGCCAATTTATACATGCCTGATAAAATAGAAACATTAATTTTACTGAATGACATATTAAGTGGAGGAGTCTTCTGTTAGTGAATATCATGATGTGGCATCAGAGGGTGACAAAGAAGAGTGATCATACATCCCATATTCATTTGGCAAAATTCAGCTTCCAAGGACAGGTGAATTAATCACTAACATCTTTGTTTAAAATGGCAATAAGGTAGAAAGACTCTGAAAGTCAGCTTAGAAGAGAATGTAATTGGTTCACGGAATTAGAGACCCTCTTCGTACTATTTGTTTCCCCTTTTAGAAGGTTATGACAGCCTTTCAATGTGGATAGTAATGTTTACCTCATTGAATTCTTGTGTAGATCCAAAGGTAGCTATGCATGTTAAGTTGCACATCAACACCTGTGTTACAGGTACTTAATAAATTTAAATTTTATCTAACCTCTAACCCCTGTTTTCTTTATATCTGTAGTTATCTATACTAGCAGATCCTTTTTAACATTTTGGTTTTAAGTGACTACAAATTGTAGACCTAGTTTAAAATAGAATTTCCTTTAAAAGTCTTCTTAATCCTATTTCTATAGATATACTAAATGTAATACATGATGATAGTTACCTAAGTTATGATTACAGTTACTCTCAGTAAGTGTTTAAATCTATGGTGGTTTAATTTGTTAGTAATCGATGTACCATAGCATTGTCCAAGAACAATAGAAATTAACTATTCATTGTTAGATACAAGTACTGATTTCCCATGACTGCAAATCAGACAAAAGAGAGTAGTGAAAAAATAAAATAGACTGAGGAAGGCAGAGATTATTTTAGAACAATTTTCACTTCCAATTTTAATAGGATATTTGAATTGTTATATAGTATAAACACTATACTTAAACATAATTTAGCACTTATGTTGAATACAGTCCAGGTTGCTCATTGAAATGTGGATTAGATAACATGCCTGGAGTGATTCATATTATGGTTTCATCAAGGCTCAGAGACTAGGAGTGGAGAGAGAGAAAACGTTGAGAATATAAAGCAGGACTTCTAATATTTATTCACCTTCATATGCATCTTCACAGGTATCAGGGTATATATTAATTTTTCCCATTTTTGTACATGAGGAAATAGGTTTAGAGAAGAATTAACACCTTGGGCCAAGTCACATAGAAATAAGGAAAGTTTAAGAAAACTTTTGAGACAGTGAAATGTTCATAATGATAACACTTAGCATCTATTAAATATCAGAACTGACCTAGAAACTCAGAATATAAAAGTTAGGCAAATAAAGTTCTTCATTTCATAGAATTCAAATTCATCCAGGGATGAGGGGCAATAAAGAAGTCAGCAAATAATGACTCCTGTACCTTTCAGAATAATGAGTAGGGGCATAAATAAAACTGGAAAAGGTATAGATCATGATGAGAAAAGCACTTATATTTTAGAGAGTTGTTATAAAAAGCCTTTCTGAGATGTGAGATTTGAATATTATCCAATGGCTGTGCAAGGAGAAAGTTATGAGAAGCCCCAGGTATAGGTGTTTTAGGTTGAGGCCCTTGGCAGAAATGAGCTTGGCAAGTTCCAAAATTTGCAAGACTTGTTTAGTGGGACCAGAATGAGCAAGTAGAGGAATGGTGAAACCTGAGCTCATAGAAAAAGGCAACAGTGAAATCATACTGGCAGGGGATGGAAAATTTGCAAGGACTATGTGCAGTTTGCACCAGGAATTGAAATAATCTCATTTTTGTTTTTAAAAATGAAAGAAGTATCAGATATCACAATCATTTGATATACCTTAGATTTCAGTAATTCTTTGATTGGTCATTATCTAATTTCTGGTCCTATAAGAAAGGGATGACACACCCTTAAACAGATATTCAATGAATGGAATGATTACAGGAGTGTGAATAGCGTTAGGAGAAAAAAGGTGTGACAAATCTTCATTTTTTTTTCTTAATATTAGTACTTGGTGGGTCTGTCTTTATTTGTGTTACCATAGATTTCTGTTAACTATTGCTGTTGACATGAAAATATGAAAAATCCCCCCAGTGTTTTGAATAGGGTTCAGCTATTTATTTGCTCTCACATTGCAGTTTCTGTTATGCAATTAGTAGCAAGCATTTGGACCAATACAGTAACCCTGTTCTCTGTCTCTTAGTTTAATGGCATGAGGAGCCCCACATGAACATGATAATGTCCCATGGCCATATTCTCAGATTGAGGTATTTTTCCATTTGTGTGCAAGGTTTCTAAGTTTACTGAAACAAATGATGAAGGGACAGGGAGCAAAATTTTCTCAACAGCATTATTACGTGGAATAATGCCAAGAGTCACTTCCATTTCCACATTTTAACTCCTGGACACATATATTCTAGCTGCAGTGGAGACTTCACCTTATGTTATTCACTTGACTAGGGCATATACTATATCATATAATTAAACACCACACATTTGCAGAATTTTTTCTTCCAGCCATTGCTCTTAAGTTTTCAGCAGGTGATTGCACGGTTCTGTCAAAAGAGTGCTTCAATGGTGATGGGGTTGAGATGGGAAAAATAAGCCAACACTTCAAATCTCAAGTGAGTGCATCAATGTTGACAATTAAAAAAATACAATTTCATCCATAGGCTCATGATTTTTCTGAGGCAAATTGGCATAATCATATAATTTTTGTGGTTGTTGTTATACAGGTTAACTCCTATAAACCAGGCCTTTTTACTGTGCCTGCTCTGCTAGCATCTAGCTTTCTATATGAGCTCAGAGGTCATAAAGGGAGAGAGCAGTATGTTTTCTTTAGCAGGGAAGTTCAACTAAATTTAGATATTTAAAGTCCTTTTTCTTGTCTGTATTGGCTCAAATATCCCCATTGGTATATTTCAGAGTCTCAGTCCTTCCCTTACCCTACAAGAAAGCTGGAGGGATTGAACATTTAATTGATTCTGCAGTTCTATAACCCTTATATTCAGACCCAGACAATGATCCACAACCATTAAAACTGGCTAATACCTTTCCTTCCTATCCTAAATTGAGCATTAAAAGTTTTCACTTTGTCTATTACTCTATATAGCCTCTAATTTTGTCAGAAGCATCAGACCAAAGCACAATTTCTCCTTCATCACCACTGTCACCATACTAAGTTGCCAAAGGTACTCTAACTCCTACAACTTCTCCATTTACTTTACTTTCCATACTGCTATCACTGTACATTTTATAAGCATGATGTTCTAAGTCATATATTACCAGGGTCCCATTTGCTCTGACCGGAAGGGTATCTATGCATTTTTGAAATATATGAACAATCCAATTCCATATTTAAATTATAAAAATATATTTCTTGGGTCTACTCCTGGTATCAATGTATCAGAACTCTGGCAAGAAAATACGTGCAAGCTCAAAAGGGGTGATTAAATCTAGTTTAATAAAAGGACAATTACGAGAATGTTGGCAAAGTGAAAGAAAACCAGTAAGGGTTGGTGAAGCACCCTGGGGTGAGTAGCAGAGTTAAGCAACTATGTACCTTCGCTTTTAATGGGACAGAGGAGAGAGCAGTCACTAGAACCTGACAGGAAGCTTATGGTATAAATAAGAATCACCAGTCAAGAGAGAAGATCTTTAATAGAAAAACTCATTGACTGTACTCTTACAGCCCAGAAGGGTGGGAACCTCTCATTTTATCCCACTCTCCAGTTTCCTGCTGGTGCTTACCATTTATCAAAATCAAACAGCAATCAGAGAACAAGGAAACCATGAAAGTAACACTTCTTGGACAATCTTGGGATGCAGAGGAAGGTGGAGAGTATGATAAATACATCTAGGAGAACTAACAAAATATACAGAGTACAATCATGAAGAACAAACAAAATATACAGAGTACAATCATTTTCCCCTTCTGTGCATAATACTTGGCAATGTCCGTGAAAAGCCTATGATGCTATAGTAGGTGAAGCTTCAGCTAGTGAGAACCAGGGTAAATAATTCTCATTTGCTCTCAAACTCTGAAACTTAACGTTTAGGTGTTTCTTTCTAGGAACCATGTAGCACCAGCCCCAGTTTCACATGCATCCTGTGAGAGCTGTTCTGCAGTAAGATAAGGAGGATTTAGAGACATTTGTCAGGGACAGCATTGTGTTACTGATTTCTCAGAAAACAATCAGGGAAGATGCGCATTAAAATTACATCATTTCACTGAAATTGCTCTGGCTTTGGTAACTCCTATATAGGCTGCAATTTGAAATGAACTGTCTGAGACGAAGCTCCATAGAATCCCTTATTATCCCAGTCTCTTTTCTTTGCTATCTATAATATAACAGAGTAAAGATAAAAAGAACAGGCTTGGGTGTAATTCACTTTAGGAAACACATTTTTTTATCTATTATTTATCATTATTGCCTGGTTAGAAAATTAAGCATGATTCTCAAAGACATTCTCAAGCAACTTTCTATAATATACTAAGGGAATAAAAAAATCTAAAATCATTTATTCTGTATCTATCATATGGCTAGTACTGTTGAAGTCTGACTTAAAAAAAAAACAACAACAGAACTATTATGTATTTCCCTTTCAATGATAATTAACTGATACCATCACACACAGAATGTAGATATAGCAGCTCTAATTGCTGATGTGGGACATTGGACATCAAAATTGAACCAATGTTGTTGTTTTTTTTTTTTTTTACAAAAAACTCTATCTCTTCCAATTTGATATTGTTTCAAAGGTGTGGCATTTATATTTCTGTGTGTTGATATACAGAGAGTAACTATAAGTCATATGTGTATCTTAAATACATATTAAGGAATCATATTTAGATAAGTTATACATTTGAACCAATTTAGAGAAAAATATCAAATAGTAGCACAGCTAGTATGCAGATAACTTTATGGATGAGTCATGTAAATGACTAAACTTTGGAAAATATTACCTGTGAAAAGCTGCTTTCTAGGGAAAACGTGGATTACAATTCTATATATATGGTGGGACCAATTAGAAAAAATTGGTTTCTGTCTGAGTTTTAGCATCTAACTTTGTTAGGCACAAATGTGATGTCAATAATAACTTACTAAATGATGAACAATTATTAGATGTAAAGTTTACTTTTCAGCGGAATGGAATTATAATTTCATAAGCATATGCAAATAAAATATGATATATCATTATTCTAGATTGTGGAGAACAGTATTCTTTGAATTACCAAAGAGGTTACCTCTTCCTAATTCTATTAAATTACACACTAGCATTCAGACGTGACAGACAGTAAAAATAGAAAATAATATGAAATAGATGTGAGCAAAAGCAACAAAACTGGGCATTGACTGATCAGCCAGTTTATTATTTAGAAGTTACTTGGTTTGATTGTGGTGGAAACCCAAACTAAACATAGATTGTATAAAAAAGTGAATATTTTCAATTACATGTGAAAATTCCAGGGCAGCATGATCCAGGGTACTAAACAATGGCATTCCCAGACCTAGGCACTGTGTTGTCTTTACTTTCAGGACCCATAAAAATGACTTCCAGCATCTGCAGTTTATGTTATCCTTACTGTCATTAGTTTCACAGGAAAAGAAAATCCTTATTCATGATAACTCCTTTTTAAATCTTGGAGTTCACTTTGATCAAATCAACTTGGGTAAAGGAACGTATCTGAAACAATTTCTTTGGCTAGGGATTCGGGATTATGCTGGATATCCACAAGTTGGTCACATTGTTTCCCCTTCCCTCCATGCTCACTGTAATTTGTGGATAGACTTTCACTGAACCAGATGAAATTAAAGTTAGGAGCAGGGTTGCACCCTGTAAGAAGGTCGGTATACTATTGCTTTGACAAAGTGGGATGGATTCTAGTTTACAAGACAAAAGAAAAGTAAAAAGTCTCTCACAACCATAGGTATGACCAGCAACATATACCTGAGTTACTTCCCTGTGGTACCTTCTGTGAGATGGTTTTTATGCATATTTTAAAGTACTGACTAAGCAATTTACATTTTCTATTCAATGAGTTTAAGATTGCACATAATTTTTTTCCCCAAAAAGACTGTAAACTGCATGCTTCCATCACCTTGCTGGCAGAACTCTATGATTTTAGATAATAGCTGGCAAGGAGAATGCAAAAACAGAGATTGCTGACCCAGAGCAAAGATGGTGCACAGTATTTCAAAAAGAAGAATTGGCTTTCAAAACAATCAAAGAATAATGACTCAGGAAGTAAACAATTTACTTTGAACAAGGGCAGAAGCATTGTACAATACTTGGTTATCAGACCTAAGCGAAAACCAAGGTATTCAATGAAAACAGCAGAGAAAAAAAAAAAAAAAACATAAAAACAACATGAGGCAGAAACAGGAAGATCCAATCTAGCTCATAACTATCCTCAGCTACCCAGGTTCAGGGTCATTGCCTTTTCTAAAGGGAGGAGAAAAAAGAGTAATATTAAAATTCATTGCAAAGCTTGTATTTATTATATTAAATTGTACATAGTGAGGTAGATGAATGTAATTAGTTTGCGTTAATACAGTATGGGCTCAATAGGCCCAGAAAACAATGAAAAAGTGTGGTCCTTATTCAAAAATGCTTATAGATTTCAAAAACATTAAAGCAAGTATGGTGTCCTATAAGTACAGAACCTTGTGCAACTGTATATGAAGCTGTATCTGAGGCCCAATCATTATTAAAATTTATTTGCCATTCTCATGCAGTCCAAAGTGACAGAATCTAAACAGTTACCTGCATTTGATGCCCAGAGCCTAATCACTTAAGTAACATTTCTTTTTCTGGACAAATTATCCTATATAGGACCACCAGTATTATGTTGAATAAAAGTGTCAACAATGGGCATTTTTGCCTTGTTTCTGAATATAGAGAAAAATCTTTCAGTCTTTCTCCACTGACTATAATGTCAGCTGCGGACTTTTCATATGTGACAATTATTGTGTTGTGTTGTGTACTGTTGGTGAGAATGTAAATTGGTGCAGCCACTATGGAAAACAGTATGAAGTTTCCTTAAAAAACTAAAAATAGAACCACCACATGATCCAACAAACCCACTTCTGGGCATATAGCCAAAGGAATTGAAATCAGGGTTGTAAAGCAATCTGCACTCCTATGTTTATTGCAGCATTATCCACAATAGCTAAGATGTGGAGCAACCTAAATGTTAATTGACACATGAATGAAAAAAGAAAATGTGGCATATACATACAATAGTATATTTTTCAGCCTTAAAAATAGGAGGAAATCCTGTCATTTGTGACAATGTGGATGAACTTGGAGGACATTTTGCTAAATGAAATAAATAAAACATAGAAGAACAAGTAATACTTCCACTTACATGAGGATTTTAAGGCAGTCAAATTCATAGAAGCAGAGAGTGGCAAGGGCTGGGAGGAGGGAGAAACCTGGAGATGTTTGTCAAAAGGCATAAAGTTTCAGTTATGCAAGATGAGTAGGTCTTAAAGATCTGCAGTAAAGTGTAGTGCCTGTACTTAACGATGTTACATTGTATACTTAAAAATGTACTAATAGGGAGACCTTATATTACATGTTCTTATCACAAAGCTAAAATAAGTAGGGCAGGAGGAAACTTTTGTAGGTGATGTATATGATCATGACATTGATTTTAATGATGGTTTTGCAAGTGTATACTTATCTCCAAATTGTACACATTAAATATATATAGTGTTTTGTCTGTCAATCACACTTCAATACAGTGGTTTAAAAAAAAAGAGAAAGTTTATTGAACAACTGGAACTTTGTCTTATAGTCATAGTCTATAAGATTAGAACACCAAATTATTCAAAGTTAACATTTATATAAGAAGCAATTGAACACTAAACATTCACAATAGGAGATACTACTATCCTTTGGCATTTCAATTATTTTATAGCTACCATTTATTGAAGCCATATATAGCTTCATAATCTTTTTCTTTTTATTTTTTGAGACAGAGTTTCACTCTGTTGCCCAGGCTGGAGTGCAATGGTGTGATCATGGCTCACTGGGACCTCAACCTCCTGGGCTCAAGCGATCCTCCCACCTCAGCCTCCTGAGTAGCTGGGACTACAGGCTTGCACCAACACTTCTGGCTAATTTTAAAAAATATTTTGTAGAGACAGGGTCTCCCTATGTTAGCCAGTCTGGTCTCACACTCCTGGGCTCAGGCAGTCCTCCTGCCTCAGCCTCCCAAAGTGCTAAGATTACAGGTGTGAGCCACTGTGTCCAGCCTAAATTTTAAAATATGCATTCACATGCCAGAAATAAATTTTATTTTCCTGATTATATGGTGAGGAACGTGAAACAATGATAGCTTCGGTAATTCACTTTTGGCCACGTAGATAGTACATTGGACTTTATAACCAGGACTACGTATCTCTAAAACCCTTGCTCTTATTTCATTATTCCTGTTGCCTGCTTGACTCTTTCCTTTCAAGACAGGAAAAAAGAAAGCTGTGTTAGTTACAAAAAGTTGATGAGGTCTACCATGTTTGAGAACAGAACTGGATGGGGGTACAGAGATGAGAGAGAACACATGGATTTTTCACAGATCGGTCATTCTTTGTGCACTGTTTGAGTGGAGCATTTTTCCTTTTACAGAGCAGCCACTTTCTCAAAACCATTCAGATTCTGGTTGGTAATTGATTCCTATCACAATATCATGGAATGGCTCAGGGATTAATGGGATAAAATCAGATTTGGAAAACCAAAACCTAAGAATAATAGCTAACATTAATTGGGCTCTTAAAAAATGGTCCCAGAACTTTACAAGTAGTGTCAAAACAGCCTTATAAATTGGTTCTATTGTTATCTGCATATTATATATAAAGGAGAAAACAGTGACAGAGAGAGGAAACATGATTTTCCAATATCATTTACTGAAGCTATGAGTCAACTTAGGTTTTACAGATTACGTATACTTAAATGATACTCTATTAAAAATATATATATATATATAATGTTTCTCCCTTTATCACATAAATATCATTGTATTTCAGATATTTAATATTCCTCTTCTCAAAAGGCTCCTGTCCAAAAATCTCTGTGTGATTTTTCAAGCCCAGCTTTAGATAATTTGAAAGGCTTTTCCCAGCAGGCAAAATGGGGAAAAGTTGCTGCTCCCACGCCAGATTTTGTGCAGAGGTCTAAGGAAAGTCATAGGCAAGTACTCAGGCCCCCTCTGTCTCATTCAGCTTTTAGGCATATTTGCATTCCTACCCCAGGTGCCTTCCTTCCTAAGTCCTTTTACTTGGAGTGTTTAGCTGAAATGTCCTTCGGCTATCTCTTCCAAAGCCTCCTTATGTGGGGAAGGGGAGAGAAAAACCTTGAAGATATATTTTCCACTCTTTCTCAGTACCTAGTACTTCTGCAGTCCTAGCCCTTCCCCCTTGCCCCTCTCCCCTGGCCCTCAGGATCCATAAAATTGAAGACCCCTTTGTTTGGAGATCCCTTGTCAGTGGGATGAGCCCCACATCTATGCCAGTCCACCTGACTCTTGAAATGCACGGGTTCCATGGAAAGAAATGACACAGAGTGGGGTTGGCACTTTCTCCAAGTTTCTCTTGTTTATATTATCACAGTAAGTGATGAGAGATTTCACTGTTATTTTTATTTTGGCTTATTGTTCCTCTGATACCTAACAACTCACTCTTGTTCCACCTCAGCTGAGTTCCTAACAAGAGTGATTTGTTTGTATTTTCTAACTTTTTGAAATATATTAAAAAATTGGATGAAACAGGCTTTCCCTTCTGATTTGGATTTAGAAACCCACTAGTGACTTTTATTCTTGTTCTTATGATCAAAACAAGGCATAAAAGCTAAAAACATTTCATAGTTAAAACAAGTCAGAGAGCTGAAGTGGTTAGACCCTCCCCTGAGTGCAAACTTAGCCACCCTCCAAAGTCAGAAAGCAAAGCAGGGGAGATGACTCCAACAGAGGTCCCTGGGATTTCAGAGACCATAAGTGTTTACAGAAACTTTCCTCCTCTAATTTCTTTTATACAAATATACAATTAAGAAAATAAATGGGCAAAGATACAAAGGACAAAAACCTGTTTTCATAACATATGTCTGTCAAGGAACTTATGTTAAAAATATTAAAAAAACTCTTAAAAATGAGCAAGAAAGAGACAATCCACCAAAAGAAAAAAGAAAGCAGGGAAAAGACTTGAATAATAGATATTTCATAAATGAAGACATACCTGTCGCATTTTTGCACATATAAAAGGTACTCAACCGGCTGGACGTGGTGGCTCACGCCTGTAATCCCAGCACTTTTGGAGGTCAAGGTGGGTGCATCATGTGGGGTCACGAATCCAAGACCAGCCTGGCCAATATGGCGAAACCCCATCTCTACTAAAAATACAAATAATAATAATAATAATAATAATAAGCCGGGTATGGTGGCATGCACCTGTAATCCCAGCTACTCAGGAGGCTGAGGTAAGATAACTGCTTGAACCTGGGAGGTGGAGGCTGCAGTGAGCCGAGATCATGCCACTGTACTCCAGCCTGGGTGACAAAGCAAGACTCCATCTCAAAATATAAATAAATAAATAAAATAAAATAAAATAAAAGTTCTTCACCTAAACAAGTCACCAGGGAAATCCAAGTTAAAACAACAAAAGTATATCACTTTAAAATTAATACACTAGCTAAAAAGATAAAATACTGATACTGCCAAGAATTAATGTGATATAGAATGACTGGAAGTTTCATTGGTCAGGTGAAGTGATAAAACTAAACTGCGGAACTGCTTGGCAGTTTCTTATAAAGTTAGTCATAAATCTACCTGAAGCCAACACTGTAGTAAAAAGAATTCTTGATAAGACAGAAAATGTGGATATCTTCCTCAAGTTGATTATGATTTATATTGTGGAAAAATTATTTACTCTTTTTCAATATTAATGCCCTCACTTTAATATTTGAGAGAAGTACCTTTAAAGATTTATAGAAGTTTTAAAATATGCATATAATTATATGTAACAGAGAAACAGAATGATTATGCAGATCACAGACTGCATCCTGAAGACCACAAACAGCCAAGACAGAGTGAGAACAAAAAAGGCAAATCTAATGACAAATTCTGTAGCCAAAGTTGGAAACAATATTTACATAATAGAATAGGTGGGTTTAACATCAGTCTGTACTGACTATTTTAATAGGCTACTAATTAAAAAATTGTAAGCTTGCTATGAATCCCCTCACTGGCCTTTTTTGCCTTGTTTATTGTGATTTCAGGCTTTCTAGTTCACAAGCAGGTGTCTAAAATGTGAGACTGAGACAGAAGGAGTTCTTATTTCTTCATGTTTTTTCCAAGACAGAAAGGGGAGTCCACAGTAAAAATGTGAAGTATTTGTTGGTTTTGAACAAGATCAGAAGAGAGGTGGAAGAAAAATTTGAGAAAAGGGGAAATGCTCCTGTTTCTGAGTTATTTCCTGTTGACTTTAAGATGTATGCCTTAGTACAGCACACAATAGAAGCTAAGAGTCATTTCAAAGGAAACAGAAAGGCAGAATTCTTCAAAATTAAATGATCTGGAGTTCTCTGGAGACTCTTTGCTTCTAATTTTATGTAAGACTCGTGTGTTCAACATTTCATTGGATTTCAAAATTATTTTATTATATGTTATCTGTTGGATGGAGACCCTAGGAGAACCCTGATATTCTCTACTGCAAGGCTGAGATGGCTTCATTGATTGGTTTTAATTTTTGTTGTTGTTTTTGAGACAGTCTCGCTCTGTTGCCCATGCTGGATTGCAGTGGAGTGATCTCGGCTCACTACAACCTCCATCGCCCAGTTTCAAGTGATTCTCCTGCCTCAGCCTCTAGAGTAGCTGGGATTACAGGCAGGCACACAACGCCCAGCTTTTGATTGTGTGTGTGTATTTTTAGTAGAGATGTGGTTTTGCCATGTTGACCAGGCTGGTTTCGAACTCTTGACCTCAAGTGATACACCCACTTCGGCCTCCCAAAGTGTAGGGATTACAGGCGTGAGCCACCGTGCCTGGCCTGGTTTAATACTTTTTTTCTTAAGGCTGTTAAAAATAGTTATTTTCTGATTTTTTAAAATAGATGTGTGTCTTGGTTCTTTTATAAATTACCCAGTACCTAAAATTGGGTAATTTATAAGGAAAAGAAAATTTTTTTGCAGAGTTATGGAGACTGAATAGATCAAGGGGCCATATCTGGTGTGGGCCTTTCCACCGGCTGGGACTCTGCAGAGTCCAGAGATGGCACGTGGCATCACATGGTGAGGGGGGCCGAGCATGCTAACATGCTTGCTTCAGTTTTATAAATTACATTAATGTATCTTTAAGTTCATTGATTTTTTTCTGCGATATCTAAACTTTTATAAATCCTATCCAATTGAATTTTTATTTCAGTGATTATATTTTTTCTCTTCTTTTTTTTTGTTTTTATGTTTTTTGAGACAGGGTCACGCTGTGTTGCCGAGGCTTAAGTGTGGTGGTGTGGCATGATCATGGCTCACTGAGGCCTCCACCTCCCAGGCTCAAGCAACCCTCCCACCTCAGACTCCCAAGTAGCTGGGAATAGAGAAATGTGCCACCACACCCACTTAATCTTTTTTTTTTTCTCCCAGAGAAGAGGTCTCTCTAAGTGGCCCAGGCTAGCTATTGTATTTTCATCTCTGGATATCCGTTTTATTTTTAAAAAATATGTCCTATTTCCCACCTCCATACGTCTGTGCTGTCTTTTAAGCTCTATGAAATGTTATGATAGCTCTTGCAATGCCTTCATTTCTGATTCGTAAATCTCTGCTATTTCTTTTTCCCCCTGTTGATTTACTTTTGTCCTGATTAAGGAGTATATTTTTCTGTTTCTTAGAATGGGTGGTAATTTTATATTAGATGCTTAATCTTATGATATCTAGAATTTATCTTCCATTAAATAATAAGTGTTTTGTCCTTACACTGTGTGTTTTTTTTTTTTTATTCAGTTTTGCTCTTTTGAGGTCTTTTTTTATGCTTTACAAAAAAAGGTTCAGAGATGTGTTACTCTAGGGGTAGTTTGTTCCTACTACAGAAGTATGATGCATTTGATGTCTCCATGAAATGCTAAAGGAATTTTTCAAATGCTCTCTATTCTGGCTGATCAGAGCAAGAATATCTCCCCACTATGAGTAAGCTCTTAAGAGTTGTTTAGCCCGGCTTTGTGAAGATGCACTTTATGTTTGCAGAGCCTCATACTTACCCGTGGTAAGAGATCAGAGAGACCTCTTCAAAGCTCTGCCCCAAAATTCTCAACCGTTTATTCTTCCTAAACTCTGGTTGCCTTCTCTTCAAGTCAGAAAGACCACCAACCCCTTTGGGTTACTCAACTTGTGCGTGTGCTGAGAAAATTGACTCCAGACAGAAAGTTTTTGGTAGGTTTTTGTCCCATTTGTAGTTGTTCACAGCATGAGGGTAATCTGACTCTTATTATTCCACTATGTCCAGAAGCATAAGGCCCTCAGTCATAACATTTTTAATATCTACTCTTTCACGCACACACACACTCACACACACTCACACACACATACCGTCAAAAATCTAAGAAAGTTGAAATTGCATTATTTATAAGCATTGCCACCATTTTCTCTTGGCCATTTTTATTTCAGGAAAGAATTTAAAATATTTTTAGTTTAATTTTCATTATAAAAGTGTTACTTGTTTCATTAAATTTAAAATATAATTTCTTTAGTGGTAATTGCAATTAATGGCATGAAGCCTTTAGGCCTCTAACACATTTAAAGTATTATGGTAAAAAAAAATGGAATGTTTTCTGCCTGATGATATCTGTTTGTACTCCCCCCCACCAATTATCTCTGGTCCTAAAGTCTTTTGAGAATGCCATAGCTTTCATTGTAATCCAGCTTCACAGAAACTATAAGCAGAGATGTAGGCATTGAAAAGAAATATGGTTTTGTTTTCCCTCCTTTTCTCCCTCTCTCTCTCTTTAATATTCTTTTCTACTCTCTTGTTAATATGATTTTCTATTCCAAAAAAAAATTAAAAAAGCAAAATTCATTCCTGTAAACCCTTCAGAAGTACAGGGTGGATTTCATACTGGACTTTAGGTATGTACAGAGTGTGACAGCAAATTACCACATGCTACTTATTTATCATTGTCACACATAATTAAAAAAATAATGCTCCATACTGAAAGAATCTCTAAACAACATCTTGTGTTTTCTTGGGTAAGAAACCCCCAAATAAGTCAGCTAGGACTTCCTCTGCAATGATTGGCTTCTGATATTTTAGAGGCAGCCTGGGAAGTAATCTTCTATTGATCTCAGACTATCAGGACTGCTTTTAACAACCATAAATAAGGGAGATGATATTTTAGTGAATAATAGTAAAAATACTAAAATCTAAAATAATTATGTTCACTTTACTTCAAAAAGGAATCTTCCTATCTTGTATAAAATGAGACCTCTATATATTTTTTCCTTAAAGTTCTTACATTGCCAAATCACATGTTCTTTTTTCCAAATTGACTTCAGGAGTTTCTGGAAGAATGAAACCGAACTGTAATTAGAGAGAAGAAAATTATCTTTCATTTAGAAATGCACATTGTTATTTGTTTTTATCTTTTAAGAATAAATTGAAAGAATTCTCTTATCCCAAAAGAAAATTGCTCTGATAATTTATCACTGCAGAACACATCTGTCATATTTATCCACATCTTTGTATTTCAATTGCCAAAGGCCTACTTTGGCTCCAATCATCAATTATTTGGCCTAGTGCCATAGGCCCCACATCTTCACTCTGCTTCAAATCTCCTGCCTCATTTGGCCCCAGTCATCAATTATTAGGCCTAGTATCATAGCCCCCGCCTCTTCACTCTGCTTCTGATCTTCTGCCTCATTTGGCCTCAATCATCAATTATTAGGCCTAGTACCATAGCCCCCACCTCTTCACTCTGCTTCTGACTTCCTGCCTCAGCCCAATATCTCCTACCACATTGCTGGCTACCTCCTCTCTTAATCACTGATCTAAATCCTGAAATTTATCAATTGGGAGGCCTGCTTAGTTACTCAGCATTTACAGGATCAAGTCCAAATATGGCCGTTTTACAATCTGGCTCGTCCACCCTCCAGCTTTTAATCAGTCCCATATATCCTATGCCCTATTCACAATTGAGTATTAGTGAATGACCTTCCTTACTTCCATGCTTCAGCCCTGAATTCAATTCTCTCACCTTAGAGTACACAAAGCAGAGTAAATTAAATTTGTAGAAGACACCCAAATGCAAAGCAAGCCAGTAAAATTGTTCTTTCCTCTATAAGTAGTGCTCTTTCTCAATCACTAACTTCAATTTTCCAGGATATATTACTGTGACATCTTGATTGGCTGAGGCAAATTATCTACAAAGTTTAGATTTACAGTCTGCATTTCTTTTCGTATTAGGGAACCAATGCTTATACATTTAAAATGTAGTGTGTTTTGCATTCATTTTCATTTTATTTACTTTTTTATTTGTATTTTTTTACAAATGCCTTATAAATGCTGTGTGACTACTTTCATCAACAACACTGTATGTTTTCACATTTTCTCTTGAAAGCAGAAGCATAATGCAATCTCTGCCATCATTAACTTATTATCATGGCTAACATATCTTGTGCACTTGCGAATCATTAAAATGTTAACATTAGGAGGTGAATTTTATTGTTTTATTGTATTTTATAAATGAGAAAACCAAAGCATAGGAACTCCAGGTTTGCCCAACAACACTGGTAAGTAATGAATTCAGGATTTGAACCTATGCTACGCTGCCCCAGTATGTTGAGTTTACATGCTTATTGTCTAAGTTAGGAGGCAGGGCAATAGCTGTTATGTTCTTTCATGTAAAATGTCTGAACTTAATCTTTCATATATAAATCATTGTGTATGTTTATATTATAATATACAGATGTACATATATGCTCTAAGTTGGTATAACTTCCATTAACTAGGAATTATTTTAATTCACTCTGTGACTAATTGCCTATTTTCATTCAGTTGTGAGTAAGGATAGTTTCTGTCAAATATTCAATATCTAATTTAGTGCATTCTACCTCATAGGCCTTCCATATATGTTTACTAACATATAAAAATGAAGAAACAAAAGTGTATACAGCTATAAAATGTCCTTATGCTAATATTCAGAAAGATTGAGACAAATTTTGTTTTTCAAGAATGTGTACATTCTGAAGTGTGTGTGTGTGTGTGAATTGAATGTGGTGTGTGTATAAGGGAATGCAGTCTCTAAAGTTAATGAAGACATATTCCTGCCCCCCCCAGAAGTTTGCTGTTCCGAATGAACTCATTGTCTATATGTCTACATATATATCTAATTACATCATCTATAATGTATCTATATAACATATTTGATAAATTGTCAGAAGTTTCAGTTAAACTAAGTATCACATGGAACAGGAGTATAGTTTAAAATAGTTTGCTATTATTACCTAGCTATGAACCCCTGGCATTTATTAAGTGTTTCCTATATGTTAAGACCTCTATATCCATTATCTCATTTGGTTAGTCCTATAAACAAATGAGGCTATATATACGCATTTTAGAGACAAATTATGTTGTTTACAAGGAATCCAGTATATAGTAATTTGTTATAGCAGTCCATACCATCTGAGATGACACTCTTCTTTCCAAACTTCTCATGCCGTTGCAAATCATGCTTAAGCTTGCTATGCCCATTAGACACTGTAAATTTTGAGACTCCTCAGATCCCTTCTATATAAGTGGAATGGCATTCCTATGCTCCATAAACTTTCATTTATTTCTTAGGCCCCCTGCCTACTGCTGAGGTCCCATCAATGAATCATTAAAAAACATAAATTTTTTATAGCATTAATACAATAGGCAGACTTGTGACCTTCTTGCCATTACTTGAACCCTATTGAAAATCAAATTTTCCCAGTTTATTCATACCACTAACATTTTATTGATACCAATTAGAGAATATACTCTGATTTTTGGCTGAAAAATCTGTGAGAAAATACTCAATGCTAATATACTACTTTCCTACATTTATATTTAAGTCCACAGTTTCCTTATTAAATTGATGTTTGGATAACTTATCCATTGTTGAAAGTGGGGTATTGAAGTCCCCTAATATTTTTATTTTGCTATTTCTCCTTTCAGTTCTATTTGATATTTGCTTAATATACTTAGGTGCTCCAATGTTGGATGCATATATGTTTATAATTGTTATATCTTCTTGATGAATTGACCCCTTTATAACTATATAATAACTTTGTTCCTTGTTATAGTATTTACTTAAGTCTATTTTGTCTGACGTAAATGTAGCTACTCTGTGTTTGTTGTGGTTTTCATTTTCATGAGGTTTCTTTTTTCTTCCCTTAACTTTCAGCCTATGTGTATCCTTAAGCTAAAAAGAGTCTCTTTTAAGGACACATTGTTGGTTCTTTGTTTTTAATTCATTCAGATACTCTATGTACTTTAATTGGATAATTTAATTCATATAATTTAATGTAATTGTCACTATGAAAGGACTTACTATTGCCACTTTGTTAATTGTTTTCCCACTGTTCTGTAGCTCCTTTCTGTCTTGTTGTCTTCCTTTGTGATTTAATAATTTTTTGTAGTGGTATGCTTTGATTTTATTACATTTATCTTTTGTGTATCTACTAGAGGTTTTTCTTTATGATTACTGTCAGACTCACAAACATAATCTTATATCAGTCTAATTACAGCTGATAATGACTGAACTTCAACTGCATACAGAAACCCGACACATTTACTTCTCTCCTCCACCTCACATTTTCCATTATTGATGTCCCAATAGCAACATTTTATATTGTATGTCCATTAACACTTTTGCAGTTATGATTGCTTTTTATCACATTTATAATTTAAATTTTATATTAGAGTTTAAAGTAATTTTTACATCCTTATTTTAGTGTTAGAGTATTCTGAATATGATAATATATTTACTTTTACCATTGAGCTTTATATTTTGAACTATTTTCATGTTACTAGTTAGAGTATTTTCATTTCAATTTGAAGAACTCCCTTTAGCATTTCTTGTGAGGGAAGTCTAGGTTATTTCCCTCAGATATGTACTTTGAGAAAGTATATGTCTCCCCTTCATTCATTCTTAAAGGATGGCTTTGCCAGGTATAGTATTCTTGGTTAGAAGTTATTTATTTATTTTTTTAAGCACAATGAATATATGATTCTACTGGCCTTCATAGTTTTTGCAAATATAGCCTTATTGGGGGTGATGGTTCTTTGTATGTAAGTTGCTTTTCTCTTGTTCCTTTCAAAATTCTTCCTCTGTCTTTGACATTTGAAAATTTGATTTAAATGTGTCTCGGTGTAATCTTCTTTGGGTTGAACTTAGTTGAGGACTTTAGAACTTCATGAAGCTTGATGTTCATATCCCTCTCAAGATTTGGGAGGAATATTTCAGATTTTTTTTTTAATTAAGCTTTCCATTTCTTTCGCTCTCTTCTTCTAGGATTCCCATGATTTGCATATTGTTTTGGTTGATGATGTTTTATAAATTTTACAGGCATTATTCACTCTTTTTTTATTTCGTTTTTTTCTCCTTTGACTGACTGATTTTAAAGGATCTGTCTTTGAGTTCACGGTTTCTTCTGTTTGATCAAGTGCACTGTTGAAGATCTCTGTTGCATTTTTTCATTTCATTCATTGGATTCTGTTTTTCATTTCATTCATTGCATTCTGTTCGGTTCTTTTTATGACCTCTATCTCTTTCTTGAATTGTATTGTTTCTTGTACTGTGGTAAGCTTCCTTAAAACAATTATTTTGAATTCTCTGTTAGGTAATTCATATATTCCAATTTCATTGAGATCTGTTACTGAAAAATTATTGTGTTCTCTTTGTGATGTCATTTGTGTTCTCTGAAGTCTTGGATTACTGTCTTGACATTTGAAGAAGTTACCTCCTCCTCCAGTCTTTACTGAATACCTTCAGAAGATAAAGACCTTCACCTCATATCATTAATTCCATCTGACATAACTGTGAGTCAGTCTGGCTAAGGATTCTAGGGGCACCTCAGACATTTTATGTCAATGTAACCCCTGCATTCTGTTTGCTCCTTGTTGGCAGTACTAAGTCTTAAGACTGTATCTTTGCTCTTGATCCCAAAAAGCCAAGTCGGATTTTAAGAGCATTGAGTTTATTTTCCCTAGGGTAGTGCTTTGACGTGCTCAAGGTTAAGCACCTTCTCCCAATCCAACAGTGTTGAGCTCCCTGTCCTTGTGACCTCATGTACAATCTGCAAAGTTTTACAGTGCCATTAGTGGAGGCACAAGTGGAGCACAGGCCACAGGGAAGGGAGGGATGTGCATCATGTTGGGAGCATGCATGGGCTAAGTAGTGGGCATCTACAAGTTATGCATCCTACTCAGATCAGGCATGGACCTCTTGGTGGAGTCTGACAAGCAGTTAGTAGAAACTGTGGAATTTTGTTGAGTTCCATATCCCTGTTGCTATGAGCTCCTGTCCTGTTTTCCTGCTCCTACCTGCCTGTACACTATCCAGCCACACAGATCTCCTCAGTGTTCTGCATGGGGTGGGAAAGTAATGGGACTCTTAGGCAGTGTCCTAACTGCTGGGGAGACAAGTGCCCACTACACTCTCACTCTCTGCCATGGGAAAAATCAAGTGCCCAGGGGGATTTCTCCACCTTGAGGTAGTGATAATGTGAGTAAAGTGAAAGTTATTACCTTCTTTAACGTGTGTATTCTCAGATGTTTTGCTCCAGTGGTATGCTGGGACCTTACCACTGGACTCCTGGCCTCCCAAAACGTACTGTCATCTATGGGTGGTTGTCAAAATCAGTGTTTTTTCTGTGAAAGAACAAGGGAATGAGGGTTGAAAACTCATATTCTATCACCTTACTGATGTCATCTCCACTGCTTGACTTATTTACTGAAATATTTTATGTGTATCTTAAGCCAAATATGCCAAAACCAAATTTGTGAGTTTCTGAACTCCAAATGCAAAAACTAAATAGCAATAAAAAATAAATGTACATCTCCTTCAATTGTCTACTCATGATTCAATTCAAAAATGAAACCTGATTATTTTTCTGTTTCTCAAGGCAAAAATCTTGGGTTGTTTCCTGATTATTTATTTCCCTTACACACCACATCCAAACCATAATAAAATATAATTATTGTGGTTTTAAGTACTTTCTAGAACATAACCAGCATTCCCTCATGTCCACTACTGCCACTTTCGTCTCAGCAACCATCACCTCTACCCTAGACAATTTTAATAGTTTTCCTAATATTCTCCCTGTTTTCATCCTTGCTCCTTTAGAGATAATTTTTTTTAGGCAGCAGTTAGAGAGATCCTTCGTAATAAGAAGCAGATTATGTTACACTTCTGAGAAAATTTTCTTCATGTCCTACAGGATAAAATATAAAGTCTTTAGTAGGATCTACAAGACATTGTAATCTTTCAGTTCACTATTTTTCTGGCCTCATTGTCTGCCACACTCCATCTAACTCATTTTGCGTCAGCATAACTGGACGCATTGTTATTGCTTGGAACCATCAATGTCCAGTAGAATTTTCTGCAATGATGGAAATGCACTGCCCAATGCAACTGATACTAATCACATGTAACTATTTTGTACATAAAATGTGTATACTGTCAGTAAGGAACTAAATTTTAATTTTAATTAATTTAACTGTAAATAGTCACATGTAGCTGGGGACTCTTTATTGGAGAGTTTAATTCTAAAGCAGCAACCTGCCTTTCGGCAGCAGGAGGGGTACTCATCCCCATATATTTGCTAGCTTAGCTCCTTCAGGTCTCTGTTTAAATACCACATTATTAGAGATGTCTTCTTTGACCAGCCTAGAGAAAATAGCAGTAACATGTTTAAAGATTCACTCCATATTTTTCTTACATAATTTAGACTGCCTATCATTAATTCCATGTGACAAAACTGTGACTTTTTTGTTTTATCTTTCTTTACAATCTAGGGTAACACTTCCATGAGGATAGGAATTTTGTGTAATTCTTTCCACTGCTTTATCCCAACAACTAGTATCTGGCTTATGGTAGGCATTCAATACATATTTTTTAAATAGTGATATAAGTAAATAGATCTCATTTGCTATTATTATTGTGGCACTCCTTTTTCTCAAAATCTTTCTCCTTCCAGCTCTAGCTACAGGTTTATAATCTAATGTTTGTAAACTCATGGCTCACAAGTTGTATCCAGAAGCAGATGTACTGTTTACAAACATCACAACGGTGATAATCAACAACTGACCTTATAAAATGAGGAAATAAGGCTGCTGTGATGGCTAGAAAATGAAAATTTTAGGGCAAGGGTGACAGGTGGCCTGTAGAGTCAGGACAGTGGGCCTGTGAAAAATCTGAGAGTCAATTAGAAGACAGCCCGGAGCAAGGGTGGTGGGATGAGGGGCATTGAGGTCAGAAAAAAATAGGCAAGAGCAAAATTGCAGAGGCAGAAGGACATGACAAACTGGTGCTATCAGTGAAAAAAAGAAAAATTAGTAGGGAATTGGGGACTGAATTTAAGAGGCAATTATGTCTTTCATAAGCTTGAGGCAGTAGCTAATTGTCTAATTGAGGGGACGAGTGGGCTAACAGGACACTGAAGGAAAAGGTCTCAAGTATTCTTGTAGCTCTTTTGTTGTGGAATGAAAACTTAGGACATTGAGTTCCGTGAAACTGTGGCTGGAGATTGAGATTTTGGATATGTCTACCTAGATAACAAACATCTGTGAGTAGATGAGCTAAGAGAAGGAAGTAAGTTAGCTTACGGAAAAAGAGTAAAAGAAAGAGCCCTGGAAATACACAGAATTTCAGAGCAAAGGAGTAGTATAAAAGTTAGGGAGTCTTGATGCAAAATGCCTGTATCTGAATGCTGGTTCTGGCACTGGCTAGGGAGGTGTCTATGTTCAGTAGCCTATCCTTTCTATCATGTGTCCATTTGTGAAATGATGACTGTAATAATATCTACTTCCAGGGTTGTTGTGAGACCACACAAACTTGTACAAAGCTTGGGGCAAGGCTCATTTACAGAAAGTGGTCAATAGATAATGCCAGGGGGAATTAGGAGAGTAAAATACTTGTTAGTGAGTCAGTTGGAAGTACAAAGTTCAGCAATATCAGTGAAGCCCACATAGGAAAACGATGCAAAGAAAATGAGGTCAGGATAACAAAAAGTGGTTTGAACACCTGATCTGCAGTATCCCAACTGATTCTCACAGTACTATTGAGCACTTGATATACACATCTCAGTTAATTCTCACAGCAATTCTATGTGAGATGAAAGTTACCATCCTTATCTAAATGACGAGACAGAGGCTCATAAATGTTAAATGTGGAGATGAAATTTCAGTTCGGGTCTATATAAATCTAGAGCCCATGCTCTTAATCTCCATCCCACATTTCCTGGAGGGGAAGATGATGCTCAAAGGAGGTTCAAGAGGAGGATGGAGACTGTGTAAGTATCATTCAGTTTGAGTGACAACAAGTTTCTGTTAAGTTCAGGACTACAAAGCAGGTTCCTAAGAATTTGATTAAGAGTAAACAGAGGCTGGGCACATTGACTCATGCCCTTAAATCCTAGCATTTTGGGAGGCCGATGTGGGTGGATCATGAGGTCAGGAGTTTGAGACCAGCCTGAACAATATGGTGAAACCCCGTCTCTACTAAAAAAATACAAAAAGTAGCTGAGTGTGGTGTAATCCCAGCTACTCAGGAGGCTGAGGCAGGAGTATCGCTTGAACCCAGGAGGTGGAGGTTGCAGTGAGCTGAGATCGGGCCATTGCCCTCCAACCTGGGTAACAGAGTGAGACTCTGTCTCAAAAAAAAAAAAAAAAAAAAAAAAAAAAGTAAACAGTGAGGAAATAGAAGGAATTTATGTATGTAGGCAATTCATCTGGGAACTTTAGGAATAAAAGGCAAAATAAATAATAACTGGGGACACTGAAATGTCAAGTACAGCTTACTTAGAGGAGGCAGATAAGAACATGTTTTTAAACTAACAGTAGGAAAAAATGAGAAAGAGCTCTTGGAAATGGACGTTTGAGCAAAGGGAAAAATTGTTAAATAGCAGCTATAAAAGTAAGAGGAGAGAAAACTGGCCAGGGAAACTTGAGTGAAGGAGGGTAGGTTTGGGGGAGAAAGGCAGTACTGAGGCTTTGTTGGATTTTTTGGCTATTACTCCATAAGACAGAAGAATGGAAGATTGTTTCTGTCTACAGCAGACAGACGATTTTTGCAAGTCAATGAATGGAGGGAAATTGGGCTATCACTGTGTATTTGCAAAGGGACACCACAGGACAAGAGACGGAGAGAGGTAGAATTATGGCCCATGGTGTCTAATCTGCATTTCAAAGAAAAGTACAGACGAGTTTCCAGAAATGATGTGACAGCCCTGACACATCCCTGTACTCGGTGTAGTGTAGCCACAGAGAATTTAGACTATGCCCACTGGATATATGTTTCTTGTTTCCTATTGGCACTGTAAAAAATTATTACAAACTTAATGACTTAAAACAACAGTCTTACAATTCTGGAAGTCATAAATTCAAAATCAGTATCAGTGAGCTAAATAAAGTGTTGTCAGGGCTGGTCCTTTCTAGTGACACCAGTGAAAAATCTATTCCTTGCCTCCTCTAGCTTGTAAAAGGGTACTGGCATTTCTTGGCTCCTGAATCACTCCAGTCTCTGCTTCTGTCTTCTCTTTCTTTCTCTTTCCTCTGATTCTCCTGCCTCCCGTTTTTAAGGACATTTGTGATTACACTGGGTCCATCCAGGTAATCTAGCATAATCTCCCACCTAAATATCTTTAACTTAATCACATATGCCAAGTTCCATTTACCATGTGTATTAGTCTGTTCTCAAGCTGCAAATAAAGACATACCCAAGGCTAGGTAATTTATAAATGAAAGAGGTTTAATTGACTCACAGTTCCACATGGCTGGGAGGCCTCACAATCATGGCAGAAGGCAAAGGAGGAGCAAAGTCACATCTTACATGGTGGCAGACAAGAGGACATGTGCAGGGAAATTTCCTTTTATAGAACCATCAGAGCTCATGAGACTTACTCACTATCACGAGAACAGCAAGGGAAAAACCCGTCCCCACAATTCAACTACCTCTCATTGGGTCCCTCCCATGACACCTGGGGATTATTACAATTCAAGGTGAGATTTAGGTGGGGACACAAAGACAAATCATATCACCATGTCAAGCAACTTATTCTATTATTCCAGAGATTAGGGCATGGATGCCTTTGTGGGTGGCTGTAATTTAGCCTATTCTAGTACATCTTTCTAAATTCTTGTGATGGCACAATTCTGGTTGTTTGTAGGGCATTAGAGAAGCTAATGCCGAGACTGCTGAGGGAAGTTAAAACCAGCCAAGTCTCAAAACTGGGCTTTGGACTCTAAGAGCACCAAAAAGATCCTAGAAGAATTCTAGTTTCCATCACAGTGTTTTATAAAAGAAGGATTTATTTTTGATTACATATGAGACAGCTCATGTGTGTAGGCATGGGATGAGGAAGCACCAGGTGCTTTGGCAAGTGGAGAGGGGTCAGGGAGATTTGAGAAACTGCAGACATGAAGTTCTTCTTTGGACCCACTAGCTGGTTATACCTGAAGAAACAGAATTCTCATACATGTATCAACTTCAATTAATCTCCCACATTCCCAAATGAAATCCACTATTTCCTGGATTTCATATACTTTTAAAGTACCTGCACAGAAATTACCTCATTTAATATTCACAACCACTCTAGCAAAGCAAGATTCTTTTTCACTGATGTTTTAAAAATAAAGAAACAGAAGGAAGATTCAAGATTCCACATGATTTTTCCAAGGTTACACGGCTAGCATGTGGTAAAATCCAATCATAATAATATATGTGCTTATATCTCCTGATTCTATCTCTGATTAAATCCCTTGGTCCTCTATTATCAATGCCTTATGTACACCCACAAGTCCCTTCCTTTTGCTTACTTGGGAAATACCAGTTCTTGTCAAATTCAACTCTCAGCTTATTTCCACCTCATTAGTATACCTGGACTTGATTAAGAAAAAACTCATCAAATTGAGGAAGGATCTCATCAAATTCATGACATTTGACCTCAAATATGCCACTGGTGCTGTCCAGAGATTCTGCTTTTCTAATATAACACATTCTTTTTTTCCAGCCTACTGGGTGACTATTTCATGACTCTGACCTCAAACCTTAAAAACTCCTTCTCTTCCAGATTCTTAGGTTCCAATAAGAAGTGAGACAGACCTTTCTCAACCAATGATATTCTTACCTTCACAACATCCTTGTGACTCATTTCTATTTGGCCATGCGAGAATAATTGGCAAAGTAATATGTTTTGGAGTCAAATAGGCTTATACTACAGTCTTGAATCCCCCCACTTACTAGGCATGTGATCTTGGGAAGGTTTTTAGCTTCATTGACACTTAGCTTTCTCAGTTGTATAACCAACTGGGCTGTGAACTGGGCTGTGAATTGTCCAGTGTTTGTTAGGAGTATATCTAAATAAATTGTTCTCAAGTTTGATAGCAGGCATCTCCGGGGCAGGACATCTGAAATTGCTGAGACACCACTTAGGGGAGCAGATGTAAGAAAAAAAATTTAGCTGAATTACCTTCTGTATGTTAGATGAAGACTTGAAATGGATGCAAGCTGTGATGACCCGCACTGGCACTCACATACAAATGCATGCTGTTGAAAAAGAAGATCACTGGATTAGGAGAGGACCTGTCAAGTTTTGGCCTGCAGTACAAATAGGCCTGCCACCTGTTTTTGAAAATAAAGTTTTCTTAGAATACAGCCACATCCATTTACTCCCATTAATGTCTTGAGCTGATTTCTCTTCACAATGGCAGAGTTGAACAGCTGTGACAGAGACTGGATGGCCTTTCAAGTATAAGATACCTACTACCTGGCCCTTTATGAAAAACAAAATTTGACACACCATGGACTAGGAGATAGACAGGTGCAAGTTCTTGTCTCTGCTTTGCAAGTTATTAGCTCTTACTTTGAACAAGAAAAATCCTCTTTTTGCATATTTCTTTCCTTTAAAATAATGGGTTTAGTCTTTTCAGACTATGATAGGCAACATGGTAGGCAGAATTCTAAAATGGTCTCTATGATCACCAGCCACTAGTGCTATGCCCTATTATTATTTCCTCCCGTTGGGTATGGGTGAAGCCTATGCTTTGTATCTAATAACTTGAACATGGCAAAGGTAATGAAATGTCACTTTCTGGATTAGCATTATATGCCAAAGGCAATTGGATGTCACTTTCATGATGACATGACACTGTATAAGATTCCCATCTTAGCAGACAGAAGAGAAGGATTCTCTGATTAGCTTTAAAGAAATGAACAGCCATGAAATAAACCACCAATGGACAGTGCCATGTGGCAGGAAACTGGAGGCTGAGGAACTGAGGACCTCACTCATACAATCACAAGAAAATGAATTCTGCCAACGATCTGAATGAGCTTGGAGCAGATTTTTCCTTTCTCATTTCTAGTTTCATAGCTTGGCTAACACCTTGAGTACAGCATGTTGAGATAGTTACAGAACATCTAGCTAAGTTACCCAGATTTCTGACCCGCAGAGACTGTGAGATAATAAATGTGTATTGCTTTAAGCCACTAATTTTGTAGTAATTTTCTGTGCAGCAATAGAATGCTAACCCAGACACCATTTCACAAAATATGTTTGGGTTTGGACACTATTGCTTTTCTGTCTCTCATAATGTCCTAAAGGCCATGAAAATGAACAGTTTTCTGCTGTGGGGAATGTCATTGAGGTGGGCACATTGCATGCCTTTTATCACATGTACAATTTTGGCACTGTGCTCTCTGGACAATCAGAGCAACTGGATTCTCATTAAAAGAAGAGCTAAAAGAGATGCCACGCTATACAGCTCTCTACAGACATCCTAAGACAGATACAAAATCCTATAGTGTTTGTCATACACACTTTAAAATAGAAGGCATAGGGATGTTTACAGTAACTCGATATCTCTGGTAACATACATAGAGAAAGCAAGTTTTAAAGAAAGTAAGATATAAATAAATGGGAGTTTTTATAACAAATGTTTTGCTTCTCGTATGATGCAGTTGTGAACTCTGAAACAAATGTGGCAAAATAATAACATGGGCTAAATTGCTTCCACTGTCATATTATTTTTCTTGATTCTCTGAAATAGTCTATTGATTTAAAGAAAACAATGAAAATCATAGTGAAGTGAAAGACAATTTCCCACATGCCTTAAAATTGACTTTATATAAATTTCATTTAAGAATCATCCCAAGGTCCCACATAGATGAAGATGTTGTGGTACATGGCATATGGTGGGAAATCTAGTAATCAGATCCACCCCTGACTGTTAGGGAAAGAAGACTGAGGGCCCAATCTCAGGGCACTTTGCCAGAGCCTGTGCTTCAGACACCAGCTACTCCATTTGTATCAGGAACATATTAGAAGATGGTAATAACTCATGCACTTGATGCTCCCTGACCTGTTAATATGGACAAAGTAATTATCAGCAAAAAGGAATTATCAGCATCTCCAGAACTTTTAGTAATAGTTATGTTGCTAAAATTCACAGATATTAACATGCTACTTGGATTCTGAGATGATCTGAACAGAGATTTTATTCGTAATGCCTATCTCCTTGAATACACAGGTTTATAGAAACTATGAAACACACAGGCTGCTAATGTGTCCTCTCCGTGAATATACCAGTGGTGCTGCTTCTCATGATTATCTGCCTCCTCCTGTTAAGGAAAAATGACTATAAAAGGCTACAAATGTTCAGCAAAACTACTTATGTCCCTCAGGGTGAGGAGATCTCTGTGACACTCAGGGAGATTCTCTGCAAAGTCAGTCTACCCTGGGATTATCTAACACCCGTCTACAACACCTGGCATCAGAGATGTGTTAAGTGGCTATATTCTCTTGTGCACAATTTATGTGCCTTCTCAACGTTCCCAGAGAGGACATGGGATAGGGAGGAGCTGGTGAGCTGGGCTTGTGAACAAAGAGAACAGGATCTGTCCTATATTGAACTTATCTGGATAATGGATGAAGTTTTTAACTAGATGCCTGATTATTAATACTGATTTGGCTGTGTAATTTTGCATGTGATTCAGTTGCCTCCATACTAATAAAAAGTATATAACACCTCATATGGTTATTGAATGGCTTAAATGAGATAATTGATATAAAATGCTCAGAATAGTGCCACAAAAAGGGTATATCAAGTGTTAGCTCTAATATTTATTGTTCACTTGTGCCTGTGATTTAAGATCACTTTTCTGAACCTCTGCCTTTACCATGTCAAAAATCTGCAAAGTTTAAATATACTCCAGACTTCCCCGGGAATGGAGAAGGAGATTATTTTACTACTCAATTTGTTCATTAGAATGATTTAGGGAGCTTTTCAAAACATAATAGAAAAACTATTATTTAAAAGCATTACATTTGTAATAATTCTCAAATGACAGTTGTAAAAACGACTGCTAGAGATAATAAAAAAAAATAAAGTTAAGCAATTCCCTGGTCAGTTAAAAGTTGAAGTGTTCTTCATTTGTGATAAATACTGCCTACAAATAAATCTCAAAAATGAACCAGAAGAGTGAGCCTGCTTACTCATAAACCCAGTGATGACAGGTTTTATATTTCAAGTAAATATCAGGTGGAGTCCCTTTATGATAAGAAACAAGAAAGTTGTATCAAAGTTGAAGTGACAGCTGTTTATAAAATCCCTGGGGTAGAGGAAGTGATCCAAATGTACTGGTTTAGCTTGACATTCTTCTAACAGGGTATCAGACTGAGCATTTGTTTGGAAGTCTGTGTGTCTTTGCAAGGAGACACCACTAGGGCATTAATCACACAGAACAGATGAGACTGCTTTCATTCATCGGTCAAGTTGCCTCAGGGCTCCATTTTGAAGTATATTTCATAGTGGTCATATTTTATAATATCCAGGAACCAGGCTGAGACCATAAACCTATACAAGATCAATTTTACACACTCTCATTTATCAGAAGTGAAAGATATCCTAGTTCAGTATTTTCATTAAGGAATATGGAGTACTTGACCTATTTCAGGAATGGGACAAAAACCACCGGTAGCCCGGAGCAGGGGTCCCTAACCCCCGTGCCACAGACATGTACCAGTCCATGGCCTGTGAGAAACCAGGCTGCATAGCAGAAGGTGAGCAGTACAGTGGATGATCACGTGAAGCTGAGTTTCACCTCCTGTCAGATCAGCAACGGTATTAGATTCTCACAGGAGCACAAATCCTGCTGTGAACTGTGCATGTGAGGGATATAGGTTGCATCTCCTTATGAGAATCTAATGATTAAGGTAATGTGCTTGAATCATCTCAAAACCATCACTGTCTCCCCAACCTTGTCTGTGGATAACTTGTCTTCCTTGAAACTGGTGCCAGAAGGTGGGGGACTGCTGGCCTAGAGGACCTGTTTCTGGAAGGTCTTGGTAAGTCCAACTTCCTGGAGTTGGTTGTGAAGACACTAATTTCTGAAATGGTACCAGTTTCTGCTTGTCTAGTCTTAGTACCCAACAGAGGTTTGTCACTCACATTAATCTCCTGTTAGCCCTCTTTCTGTAGCATGACCAGGTGGAGAAGGTGCAGATATCTATTATTAAGAAGAGACTACTGGGGTTTACAGGCTCCCTCTGCTTTCCAGAAACAAAATCACATCCTTTCAGATTATCTTCAGTTATTTAAACCAAGTATTAAAAATAAAATTGAAGATATTACCTTTTATATGCAGTTTAAGATGTTTGAATACATTTACTTAATTTCATGAAAAGTAGAGATAAATATTATTTTAAGTCCCTTAAAATGAAGGCTAAAGTGACAACACAGTTGCAACAAGCACACCCAGTACCCAGATACTGGTTTCTAAATGCTATTTTTTCAACAAAAGGAGCCAGATGACTTTGAGAAAAGGCCAATTCAGAGTAGGGGGAATATACAAGCTGTGCATGGGCCCTCTTGTAATGTCAAAAGGTAAGGAAGTGCTTACAAAATCATGAGTCATGTTTTATAAGAAACTATTCTTAATGACTTGCTTTTAAAATTTGGTAGAAAGAAAAAAGTTTAACTTTACAGTAGAAAAGCATGACAAGCACTAGCTCACCCAGGTGATCAAGATTAACATCACTAATGACAAGTCATGTTGATAGCACAAACCTTTGATATGATATGATGAGACTGGCTATTCACCTCTGTGGTCTTCCTCCTAAAACCATCTAACCCTGATCTAATCATGAAGAAATACATCAGACAAATTGCAACTGAGGGGCATATAGTAGATATGAAATGTTTCCATCATGGCAAAAAACTCCTTAAGGTGTTGTTGAAGTCAGATTCCCATTCTTAGCTCCAGACAATAACTTATCTGCCGTAACTATAGAATGATCATAATTTCCCTAGAAAATTATATAAATGGAATCTATATGTATATATGACATATATATGTGTATATATAGGGTCTCTCTCTACATATAGCTCAGCAAAATGTTTTTGACATTCATCTGCACAATTGTATATATCAGTAGTACATAAATTTTTATTGCTGAGTAGTATTCTACTGTAAATATATACCACAATTTGTATACTGCAACTATAATTTATTTGACCATTTTTTATTTCATGGACATCTGCACGGTTTCTACTTTTTCATTATTGCAAATAAATATGCAATGGGAAGTTATGAATGGCTGTTTATACTTTTATGTTAGTTTACATGAATAATTGCTTACAAGTAGAATTTCTGGGATACATGCTTAGTGCCTGAAAACATTTAGGAGAAACTGACAAAATTGTTTTCACAAATGGTTGTACTATTTTTTTTATTATACTTTAAGTTCTAGGGTACATGTGCACAAGGTGCAGGTTTGTTACATATGTATACATGTGCCATGTTGGTGTGCTGCACCTATTAACTCCTCACTTACATTAGGTACATCTCCTAATGCTATCCCTCGCACCTCACCCCACCCCATGACAGGCCCCGGTGTGTGATGTTCCCCTTCCCATGTCCAAGTGTTCTCATTGTTCAATTCCCACCTATGAGTGAGAACATACGGTGTTTGTTTTTTTGTCCTTGCGATAGTTTGCTGAGAATGATGGTTTCCAGCTTCATCCATGTCCCTACAAAGGACATGAACTCAACCTTTTTGTGGCTGCACAGTATTCCATGGTGTATATGTGCCACATTTTCTTAATCCAGTCTATCATTGATGGACATCTGGGTTGGTTCCAAGTCTTTGCTCTTGTGA
The DNA here is from genome assembly GCF_000001405.40 of Homo sapiens. NCBI lineage: Eukaryota > Metazoa > Chordata > Mammalia > Primates > Hominidae > Homo > Homo sapiens. Next base: position 25,836,983 of record NC_000011.10, on the reverse strand, counting down.
ATAGTGCTGCAATAAACATACGTGTGCATGTGTCTTTATAGCAGCATGATTTATAATCCTTTGGGTATATACCCAGTAATGGGATGGCTGGGTCAAATGGTATTTCTAGTTCTAGATCCTTGAGGAATTGCTACACTGACTTCCACAATGGTTGAACTAGTTTACAGTCCCACCAACAGTGTAAAAGTGTTCCTATTTCTCCACATCCTCTCCAACACCTGTTGTTTCCTGACTTTTTAATGATTGCCATTCTAACTGGTGTGAGATGGTATCTCATTGTGGTTTTGATTTGCATTTCTCTGATGGCCAGTGATGATGAGCATTTTTCATGCGTCTGTTGGCCACATAAATGTCTTCTTTTGAGAAGTGTCTGTTCATATCCTTTGCCCACTTTTTGATGGGGCTGTTTTTTCTTGTAAATTTGTTTCAGTTCTCTGTAGATTCTGGATATTAGCCCTTTATCAGATGAGTAGATTGCAAAACTTTTCTCCCATTCTATAGGTTGCCTGTTCACTCTGATGGTAGTTTCTTTTGCTGTGCGGAAGCTCTTTAGTTTAATTAGATCCCGTTTGTCAATTTTGGCTTTTGTTGCCATTGCTTTTGGTGTTTTAGACATGAAGTCCTTGCGATGCCTATGTCCTGAATGGTATTGCCTAGGTTTTCTTCTAGGGTTTTTATGGTTTTAGGTCTAACATTTAAGTCTTTAATCCATCTTGAATTAATTTTTGTATAAGGTGTAAGGAAGGGATCCAGTTTCAGCTTTCTACAAATGGCTAGCCAGTTTTCCCAGCACCATTTATTAAATAGGGAATCCTTTCCCCATTTCTTGTTTTTGTCAGGTTTGTCAAAGATCAGATGGTTGTAGATGTGTGGTATTATTTCTGAGGGCTCTGTTCTGTTCCATTGGTCTGTATCTGTTTTGGTACCAGTACCATGCTGTTTTGGTTACTGTATCCTCGTAGCATAGTTTGAAGTCAGGTAGCGGGATGCCTCCAGCTTTGTTCTTTTGGCTTAGGATTGACTTGGCAATGTGGACTATTTTTTGGTTCCATATGAACTTTAAATTAGTTTTTTCCAATTCTGTGAAGAAAGTCATTGGTAGCTTGATGGGGATGGCATTGAATCTATAAATTACCTTGGGCAGTATGGCCATTTTCACGATATTGATTCTTCCTATCCATGAACATGGAATGTTCTTCCATTTGTTTGTGTCCTCTTTTGTTTCATTGAGCAGTGGTTTGTAGTTCTCCTGGAAGAAGTGCTTCACATCCCTTGTAAGTTGGATTCCTAGGTATTTTATTCTCTTTGAAGCAATTGTGAATAGGAGTTCACTCATGATTTGGCTCTCTGTTTGTTATTGGTGTACAAGAATGCTTGTGATTTTCGCACATTGATTTCGTATCCTGAGTCTTTGCTGAAGTTGCTTATCAGTTTAAGGAGATTTTGGGCTGAGACGATGGGTTTTTCTAAATATACAATCATGGCATCTGCAAACAGGGACAATTTGACTTCCTTTTTTCCTAATTGAATACCCTTTATTTCTTTCTCCTGTCTGATTGCCCTGGCCAGAACTTCCAACACTATGTTGAATAGGAGTGGTGAGAGAAGGCATCCCTGTCTTGTGCCAGTTTTCAAAGGGAATGCTTCCAGTTTTTGCCCATTCAATATGATATTGGCTGTGGGTTTCTCATAGATAGCTCTTATTATTTTGAGATAGGTCCCATGAATACCTAATTTATTGAGATTTTTTAGCATAAAGGGCTTTTGAATTTTGTCAAAGGCCTTTTCTGCATCTATTGAGATAATCATGTGGTTTTTGTCTTTGGTTCTGTTTATATGCTGAATTACTTTTATTGATTTTCATATGTTGAACCAGCCTTGCATCCCAGGGATGAAGCCCACTTGATCATGGTGGATAAGCTTTTTGATGTGCTGCTGGATTCAGTTTGCCAGTACTTTATTGAGGATTTTTGCATCAATGTTCATCAGGGATATTGGTCTAAAATTCTCTTTTATTTGTGGTGTCTCTGCCAGGCTTTGGTATCAGGATGATGCTGGCCTCATAAAATGAGTTAGGGAGGATGTCTTCTTTTTCTATTGATTGGAATAGTTTCAGAAGGAATGGTACCAACTCCTCCTTGTACTTCTGATAGAATTTGGCTGTGGATCCATCAGGTCCTGGACTTTTTTTGGTTGTTAGGCTATTAATTATTGCCCCAAATTCAGAGCCTGTTTTTGGTCTATTCAGGTATTCAACTTCTTCCTCGTTTAGTCTTGGGAGGGCGTAGGTGTCCAGGAATTTATCCATTTCTTCTAGATTTTCTAGTTTATTTGCGTAGAGGTGTTTATAGTATTCTCTGATGGTAGGTTGTATTTCTGTGGGATATGTGGTGATATCCCCTTTGTCATTTTTCATTGCGTCTATTTGATTCTTCCCTCTTTTCTTCTTTGTTAGTCTCGCTAGTAGTCTATAAATTTTGTTGATCTTTTCAAAAAACCAGCTCCTGGATTCATTGATTTTTTGAAGGGTTTTTTGTTTCTGTATCTCCTTCAGTTCTGCTCTGATTTTAGTTATTTCTTGCCTTCTGCTAGATTTTGAATGTGTTTGCTCTTGCTTCTTTAGTTATTTTAATTGTGATGTTAGGGTGTCAATTTTAGATCTTTCCTGCTTTCTCTTGTTGGTATTTAGTGCTATAAATTTCCCTCTACACACTGCTTTAAATGTGTCCCAGAGATTCTGGTATGTTGTGTCTTTGTTCTCATTGGTTACAAAGAACATCTTTATTTCTGCCTTCATTTCGTTATGTACCCAGTAGTCATTCAGCAGCAGGTTGTTCAGTTTCCATGTAGTTGAGCAGTTTTGAGTGAGTTTCTTAATCCTGAGTTCTAGTTTGATTGCACTGTGGTCTGAGAGACAGTTTGTTATAATTTCTGTTCTTTTACATTTGCTGAGGAGTGCTTTACTTCCAACTATGTGGTCAATTTTGGAATAAGTGTTATATGGTGCTGAGAAGAATGTATATTCTGTTGATTTGGGGTGGAGAGTTCTGTAGATGTCTATTAGGTCCACTTTGTGCAGAGCTGAGTTCAATTCCTGGATATGCTTGTTAACTTTCTGTCTCATTGATCTGTCTAATGTTGACAGTGGGGTGTTAAAGTCTCCCATTATTATTGTGTTGGAGTCTGAGTCTCTTTGTAGGTCTCTAAGGACTTACTTTATGAATCTAAGTCCTCCTGTATTGGGTGCATATATATTTAGGATAGTTACCTCTTCTCACTGAATTGATTCCTTTACCATTATGTAATGGCCTTCTTTGTCTCTTTTGATCTTTGTTGGTTTAAAGTCTGTTTTATCAGAGACTAGGATTGCAACCTCTGCCTTTTTTTGTTTTCCATTTCCTTGGTAGATCTTCCTCCATCCCTTTATTTTGAGCCTATGTGTGTCTCTGCATGCGAGATGGGTCTCCTGAATACAGCACACTGATGGGTCTTGACTCTATCCAATTTGCCAGTCTGTGTCTTTTAATTGGAGCATTTAGCTCCTTTATATTTAAGGTTAATATTCTCATGCGTGAATTTGATCCTGTCCTTATGATGTCAGCTGGTTATTTTGCTCATTAGTTGATGCAGTTTCTTCCTAGCATCGATGGTCTTTACAGTTTGGCATGTTTTTGCAGTGGCTGGTACCAGTTGTTTCTTTCCATGTTTAGTGCTTCCTTCAGGAGCTCTTTTAGGGCAGGCCTGGTGGTGACAAAATCTCTCAGCATTTGTTTGTCTGTAAAGGATTTTATTTCTCCTTCTTTTATGAAGCTTAGTTTGGCTGGATATGTAATTCTGAGTTGAAAATTGTTTTCTTTAAGAATGTTGAATATTGGCCCCCACTCTCTTCTGGCTTGTAGAGTTTCTGCCAAGAGATCAGCTGTTAGTCTGATGGGCTTCCCTTTGTGGGTAACCCGACATTTCTCTCTGGCTGCCCTTAACATTTTTTCCTTCATTTCAACTTTGGTGAATCTGACCATTATGTGTCTTGTAGTTGCTCTTCTCGAGGAGTATCTTTGTGGCGTTCTCTGTATTTCCTGAGTTTGAATGTTGGCCTGCCTTGCTAGGTTGGGGAAGTTCTCTGGGATAATATTCTGCAGAGTGTTTTCCAGCTTGGTTCCATTCTCCCCATCACTTTCAGGTACACCAATCAGACATAGATTTGGTCTTTTCACATAGTCCCATATTTCTTGGAGGCTTTGATCGTTTCTTTTTACTCTTTTCTCTCTGAACTTCTCTTCTTGCTTCATTTCATTCATTTGATTTTCCATCACTGATACCCTTTCTTCCAGTCGATTGAATCAGCTACTGAAACTTGTGCATTCGTCACATAGTTCTCGTGCCATGGTTTTCAGCTCCATCAGGTCATTTAAGGACTTCTCTACACTGGTTATTCTAGTTAGCCATTCATCTAATCTGTTTTCAAGGTTTTATCTTCTTTGCGGTGGGTTTGAACTTCCTCCTTTAGCTCAGAGAAGTTTGATCATCTGAAGCCTTCTTCTCTCAACTCATCAAAGTCATTCTCTGTCCCACTTTGTTCCGTTGCTGGCAAGGAGCTGTGTTCCTTTGGTGGGGGAGAGGCACTCTGATTTTTAGAATTTTCAGCTTTTCTGCTCTATTTTTCCCCCATCTTTGTGGTTTTATCTACCTTTGGTCTTTAATGATGGTTACGTACAGATGGGGTTTTGGTGTGGATGTCCTTTCTGTTTGTTAATTTTCCTTCTAACAGTCAGGACCCTCAGCTACAGGTCTTTTGGAGTTTGCTGGATGTCCACTCCGACCGTGTTTCCCTGGGTATCAGCAGCAGAGGCTGCAGAACAGCGAATATTGCTGAACAGCATATGTTGCTGCCTGATCGTTCCTCTGGAAGCTTTGTCTCAGAGGGTTCCCGGTCGTGTGAGGTGTTGGTCTGCCCCTTCTGGGGGGTGCCCCCCAGTTAGGCTACTCGGGGGTCAGGGACCCATTTGAGGAGGCAGTCTGTCCTTTCTCAGACCTCAAACTCTGTGCTGAGTGAACAACTACTCTCTTCAAAGCTGTCAGACAGGGACATTTAAGTCTGCAGAGGTTTCTGCCACTTTTTGTTCGGCTATGCCCTGCCCCCAGAGGTAGAGTCTACAGAGGCAGGCAGGCCTCCTTGAGCTGCTGTTGGCTGCACCCAGTTCGAGCTTCCTGGCTGCTTTGTTTACCTATTCAAGCCTCAGCAATGGCGGGCACCCCTCCTCCAGCCTCGCTGCCGCCTTGCAGTTTGATCTCAGACTGCTGTGCTAGCAATGAGCGAGGCCCTGTGGGCATGGGACCCTCTGAGCCAGGCGCAGGATATAGTCTCCTGGTGTGCTGTTTGCTAAGACCATTGGAAAAGCGCAGTATTAGGCTGGGAGTGACCCAATTTTCCAGGTGCCGTCTGTCACCGCTTCCCTTGGCTAGGAAAGGGAATTCCTACCCCTTGAGCTTGCTGGGTGAGGTGATGCCTCGCCCTGCTTCGGCTCACGCTCAGTGGGCTGCACCCACTGTCCCTCCCCCACTGTCCGACAAGCCCCAGTGAGATGAACCCAGTACCTCAGATGGAAATGCAGAAATCACCCGTCTTCTGCGTTACTCATGCTGGGAGCTGTAGACTGGAGCTGTTCCTGTTCGGCCATCTTGGAACCTCATGCCAGTTGTACTATTTTTAATTATCATCAGAAAAATGGGAAAGTTTGGGGTTCGAATCAATGTCGCCACTGTATTTTCTGTTCCATCAGTCTATCTTTGTATTTTTATGCCAATTCCACAGTCTTGATTAATGCAGATTTATGGTAAATATTGAATTCAAATAGAATAAGGCCATTAATATTCCTTTTCAATTTTCCTTTGCTATTTAATTTTAGGTATATTTCCATTAAATTCTGGAATGAATATATCAGTTTCTACACAAGTTCCCCAAATATTGTTAGTTTGAAATAAACATTTATCAACTTGGAGAGAAAGGGCATCTGCTATCATCTGAATGTGTTTCCCTCAAATGCATAGTTTGGAAACTTAATTCCCAGTGCAACAGTGTTGGAAACTGGGACCTAATGGTAGGTGTTTAGGTCATGAGGGCTCTACCCTCATGAATAGATTCATACAAATTATAAAAGGGCTTGTGGCTGTGAGTTTAATTGCTTGCTCTTTCTCATGCTTGCCCTTTTGCCCTTCTGCCCTTCTACCTTGTTACAATACAGCTAGAAGGCCCTTCCAAGATCAGCCCCTTGGTCTTAGACTTGCCAGACACTGGAACCATGAGTCAAATAAATTTCTGTTTATGATAAATTACTCATGTATTCTGTTATAAGCACAACACACACACACACACACACACACACACACACACACACACACACACACAAATGGGTACAAGGAAGTGGGATCATTGCCATAAAAAAAAAATCTGAAAATGTGCAGGTAGTTCGGCAACTGGGTAATAGGTAGAGGCTGGAAGAATTTGAAGGGTACTCTGGAAGAAACCCAGATTTTCATAAATGGGGAGTATTAAGGGCAATTCTGGTGAGAGCACAGAGGAAAATTAGAGCTGCAGGGGGAGCGCAAATCTTGTTAGGAACTACAAGCTGTGATCAGAATGTCAGTAGAAATATGGACAGTCAAGGCCATTCTAATTAGATTTGAGAGGAAAATTAGAACCAAGGTATTGGAAACTGGAGTAAAGGCCATACTTGTTATGCAGTTACAAAGAACCTGGTGGAATTGTTTCTATGTTCTTGGATTGTGTGGGGCAGAAATTAGGAATGATTAAGTCAGATATCTGGCAGAACAAATATCTAAGCAGCAAAACATTCAAGGTGCTGCATGGCTTCTTTTGGCTGCTTGCAGCAAAATAAGAGAAGACAAAAATTATTTAAAGACAGAATTTATAACTAAAAGTGAAGCAGAATGAAAAACTTGGAAAAACTCTTAGCATGGCCATATAAAGAATAAAGAAAGCATGTTTAATAAACAATGCTAATGGTTTGGCCAAGCAACCATTTGCTAAAGAGACTGATAGTAATAGAATAAAGCTGGGTTCTATTGATAAAGACAATAAGAAAATGAACCTGAGGCATTTCAGAGGTCTTCCAGGCAAGCCAAGGACCTTAAGGGAAAGCTTTCCAGACAGGGCCGTGCTTTCCATACACTGACACAGCATGCCTTAACTGGCCCCCTGTGGCTTGATTGGGTCCAGGTGCAGCTCAACCCACTGCTCCTGAAGGTGCAGACTGTAAAGGGGTGGCATTCACAGTTTTGTAGGCACACAGAATGCAAGAGCTGTGGAAGCATGGCTTTCTCCTAGATTTCAAAGGATGTCAAGGATAGCCTGGGTGCCCAGGTAGAGACTATCACAGACTGTTACAGGGGCAGGGCTACTGCAGAGAACCCCCCTCAAAACAATGCCCAGTGGGGTTGTGGGGTTGGAACCCCAACAGAGAGTCCCCACTAGGGCAATTTCTGGTGGTAGAATTGTCCTTGAGACCCCAGAATTGTAGAGTTATGAACATGCAACACCGGGAGAACCGCAAAAACAAGACTTTAATCCATAAGAGTTGCTATGTGGCCTGAGTCCAGCAAAGCCATAGGGGTGGACCCTCCAGAGCTTTGAAAACCCAACTCCCACCGCAGTATATCCAGAAGGTGGGATATGGAGTAAAAGAAGATTGTTGAGGAAACTTAAGATTTGACATTGTTTGCATTCTTGAGTATGGACTTATCTGGATCTAGCTATCCTTTGTTTTCTTGTCTTTTAATTCCCTTTGCAATGAAAGTGTCTATCCTACTATTATATTTGGGAAGTAGATAATGTGTTTAATTTTATAGGCTCATGGTGGAGGAAAATTTGACTCAGAGTGAATTGTGCCTTGACTCTTATCTGTATCTGATTTAGATGTGACTTTGAATTTTGGACTTTTGAATGGGCGCTGAAACCTGTTAAGAATTTCAGGATATTGAGATGAAATGATGGAATGAATGTATTTTGAATTTGAGAAGGACATACATTTTATTAGCCTTGGGCAGAATACTATGATTTGATGTGTCTCCCAAAAATCATGTTTTAGGACTTAATCCCCAATGCCTGCAACAGTGTTGAGAGGTGGAACCTAATAGAAATTGTCTAGGTCGGAGGGCTCCTTCCTCATGAATAGATTAATGCCATTATAAAAGGGTCTTTTATAATAGTTTATAAAAGAGGCTGAGTTCAATATCTTGCTCTCGCTGATGCTCTTTTGCCTTTCTCTCCTTCCACCATAAGATGACATAGCAAGAGGGCCCTTACCAGATGTGGTCCCTAGATCTTGAACCTCCCAGCTTTCAGGCTCATGAGCCAAATACCTTTCCACTCATTATAAATTATCCAGTAGCAAGTATTCTGTTATAGCACTGCAAAATGGACTAAGACAGCATTTAAACATTTCATTTAGTCTTTCAATAAGTAAACATCTTATCTCTCTGTATATTTAGATCTTTTTTTAAAAAGTCTTTCAATAGTGTGTTGTTGCACAGCTGTTATAAATATTTTTTTTTCCAATTTACACGAAAGTATTTCAACTTTGGATTATATTATAAATGATAATTTCTCTTAATTTCTAATTTTTCATTGCTAGTATACAGAAACAAAATTAATATTTTTGTTTATCCTGATCTTATCCCTTTGATTTTAAGGAAAGTTTTGTCATTTGTATTACTAATTTTTCAATGTAATTTACATTTGAGATTAATGAGCATGAAGTTACTAATAGTTTATCACTATGGTTTTAATATCTGGAGGGTCAGTAGTAATGTGCCTTCTTATATTTCCTTTTTATTTATTTATTTTTTTTGAGACAGAGTCTCGCTCTGTCGCCCAGGCTGGAGTACAGTGGCGTGATCTCGGCTCACTGCAAGCTCTGCCTCCCAGGTTCATTGCCATTCTCCTGCCTCAGCCTCCCAAGTAGCTGGGACTACGTGCGCTCGCCACCATGCCTGGCTAATTTTTTGTATTTTGTAGTAAGACGGGGTTTCACTGTGTTAGCCAGGATGGTCTTGATCTCCTGACCTTGTGATCCGCCCGCCTCGGCCTCCCAAAGTGCTGGGATTACAGGCGTGAGTGACCGCGCCCGGCCTGCCTTCTAGTATTTCTTAATGTTGGTAACTTGAACCTCCTCTCCTTTTGTTTACATTTTTCTGTCTAGGAAATTATTAATTTTATTGATGTGTATAAACAGCAGCTTATAATTTCATTGTTTTCTTCCTAATATTTTTCTGATTTCTATCTTGTTAATTTCTGCTTTTACCTTTATTATTTCTTATGTATGCTTCATTTGGGTTTACTGTGCTCTTCTTTTTGAAGATTTTTAAGTGAAATTTTATTTATTTATTTATGTACTTATTTGAGACCGGGTCTCACTCTATACCCCAGGCTGGAGTGCAGTGGCATGAACATGGCTCACTGCAATCTTAATCTCCTAAGCTCAAGCAGTCCTCCTACCCCAGACTCCTGAGTAGCTAGGAACACAGGCATATGCCACTACACATGGCTAATTTTTAAAATTTCTGTAGAGTTGTGATCTTGCAATGTTACCTAGGAACATCTCCAACTCCTAGGCTTAAGTGATTCTCTTACCTTGGCTTCCCAGAATGCTGGGATTAGAAGCGTGAGCCACCGCACCTGACCTAGGTGAACTTTTAGATGATTGATCTGCTACACTTCTAATATAACCATGTGTTGCTGTAAATTTCCTTTGGGGTATTGCATTAGATGTATCACACAAATTTAATGTGCTGTGCTTTTATTTCTATTGAGATTAAAATATTTTGTTAAGTCTCCTTATGACTTCTTTGACCATGGTTTATTTGAAAGTATGCTGCCTAATTTGTGATTTTTCCATTTAATTTTAATATATTAGAATGCACTTTTAAATTTACAAATATTTGTTTTATAGCCAAGAAATAGTCGATTTAGATAAATATTCCACGTGCATTTGAAATAAGTAGTGTATTCTAGTATTGTCTGTAATATTCTATAAAAGTCCATTAGGCCAATTTTGTTGATATATGGTTTCAGGCTTCTATATCCTTATTGACAATCAGATTGTTCTGTCAGTTGCAGAAAGAGAATATTAGAATCCTCCATTTGTAATTGTAAATTTGACTAGCTCTTTCAACTCATCATCTTTCACTTTACCTATGTTAAAGTTTCGTTATTAGATATGTGCATTTTATTATTGTTCTGTAAATGTTCTTTATTTCTAGCTATATTTCTAATATATGTTCATATCTATCTGTCTATGTATCCATGCATATATGAAACCAGTTTAGCCCCATTTTTCTGTTGGCTGTCAAAAAATATCAAAAAGATGAATAACTCAACAACCTTGCTCTCATTCTTAGGGATTGAGGGCATATGCAAAAATAATACAAATAGGACATATTAATGTGGAAGAGGGGTGGAAACTCTCCACATGTTCAGTGGAGGAAGTGATTTACTTCCATAAGTGAAAGAATAGTAGGTAAGGAAGGCTTCTGGCAAGAAAAACTGTGTCTGCTGTAATTTTAAAAAATGGTTAGGTCTTTGACTATATGACCAAATGTACAGAAACAGGAGATTTTAGAACACGTAGGTGCGATTCTTTCAAAGTAGTATGAATAAATCATGTGAGAGGGTATAATGCTGAAGAGCCACAAGGTAGTTTTGAAAAGAAGGGGAAAAATAACATTTATTCTATATCCTCCTACCCAGGCATTTTGGTGAGCATTTCATGACAACCCAGAAATAAAATCATGTTTTATTCTTTTACAATGTATAATTAAACTCCTATCAGTGGCTAACCAGTATGCCCAAGGTCGCATATCTGGGATTAACAATAATAATGGAATCACTATATGTGAAGACATAGTGTTCATCAGCATGTTAGTAGACCAGGGGTTGCCACATTATCTATTAATTAGAGTCACCTGGGGATCTTGTTCAATCTCTAAAGCCCAGACTAACTACACTAGACTGGTTAAGCCATGGTAATTGGTGGTGGATGCAGCCATAAGTAATTTTTGAAGCTCCTCATGTGATTCCAATATGCAGGCAAATTTACGAACAGGTGTACCACATCATCTCCTTTGAGCCTCTCAATGTCCGGGACGTAATTTTTACCATTATCCCCATCTTACAGATGAGGAAATGAATGCTTAGATTATAGCAGAAATAGTGGAGCCAGGACTTAAATACAGGTGTTTTATCTCCAGGGTGGCTTCAGTACCTTTCTGTGGTAGTCACAAAGCAGGGTTTTCACTTCTCTACAAAGCAAGACATGTTTAGCGTTATTTTCATGCCATTTGCAGGGGTGCGAATTTCTGTGTAGTAGAAGAAAACAAGTCTTGCTGAATAGATTCATTTTTTAAGAACTAAAATGTCTGCTTATGCATAAATTTCAATGTTGTCTCAATAGTTTATTTTCATCTGTCATTTTCCTGACACCCGTTTCCACTATTTCTGGATTTTTTCTTATGAGAAATGCTTTTGTTAGAGAATACCTAGGGAATCTTACCTCAAACATTAGCTCAAAATTCTAATTAGTTCTGACTGAGGCTGTATCATCATCCAGTCATTTCTAAAGTGCCAATAGATTTCGTTTCTTTAAAAGTTCCACTGCTATAAAAAATTCTGAGCAGCAGCATAGGAGAACTAATTGTAGAAGTCACATGAATAGTTTGATTCTACAATGAAAATTTACTAACCTCTTTTCATTCTTACCCAGCCCATCACAGAATGCGAATGGTATAGTAAAAGATAATGGGTTCAGGAATCAGACTAACCTGGGTTCAAATCCCACTTTTTGCTGGATGACCAAGCCTCAGTCTTAATATATTTTAAGAGTGAATTGTTTTTGCAATAGACCATTCAGATAGTGAAATAAAACAGACATACATAGCATCTGTCACATGAAAGGCACTTGATAAATGTCACAGTTAATTTTTATTTATTACTATCTTATTACACAATTTTAGATTACTAGATAATATTTATAGCCTCTTTACTTTGTTATTCTCCTTGCTGTTCTTTTTGCTGAGTCAGAGGATGCAGAGAGGAGCAGTAATAAGAATAAACATAAATCAAATTTTCATCATTTTACAACATATTTTATCTATGTGAGTTTTTTTTCTAGAATTAGTATTTGCATATGGGCTCCTGAATAAATGTATTCCCCTGATTTATAACACAGTCTCAAAATCTGAACATGCTACTAAAATATCAAATGTTGACTTCAATCCATATATTGGCAAAATGTCCTGAGTGCTTGAAGGAAGCTTTTTGTAAATTGTAAAAATTATCTACGTCCCAGAGGTGTTTTCACTGAAAAGACTGCAAGGACCAAAGCTACAGTTGTCTGTGGACATGAAATCCTGATGTGAGATCTCAGATGAGTCAGAATGAATCTTCGTACACTTACTAGTAATATTATAATTGTATCTCTGTGGTATATAGTGCCCTACCTGAGCATTTTGCATGTTTGTCATGGAGATAAAGTGATACACAAAGAGTCAACATAATGTATATTTTGGGGGATAGCAGAAATAGATTCTCAATGCCTCCACCTTTCCCAAAGACTACATCAGTATGGCAAAACTTTATAAGGTCCTTATTATTCTGTGACTAGAAGCACTGTGTGAAGTACTACTTATCGGCAGACTCCCATGCATTAATTCAATACAGTTAGTTAGGTATCATGTATAGTAACAATGCCAAATGCTGGAGATTCAATGCACTAGTGGAGAACTTAGATGTTAAGATCAGTTTAAATAAAGTAGGTGATATAGTTGTTGTTTCAGGAGTATATGTGAAACACTTTCATGAAAATAGCAACAGAGAGGGTATTTCAATTAAATATAAAACAGAAAAAAATAGAAAAAAGAACTTGTGGAGGTAGTAAATTATAGTACTGAATAACAAAAAAAATATTCACTCATGGATGTAGACATTGGGACTGTGGGGTTAGGGGCTAGATAATGAATGTAGAATGTCTTTCAACTCCAGGACTCAATAACCATGAGAGACTTCAGTGAAAATGTGTAGGAACACAGCTGATATTTTGGTGAACAAATGACAAACCAAAGGCATTTGGTAAATACAATTGGATTTAGATCCTGACATTGCTTGTCCTTTGGACAAATGACCATTTTATTCTGAGTGTGGGCTCCTCAGGCATATAATATTGATTGAGGCTATCAGATTTTAGGGTAAATTATACATATATTGTGAACTTGTGAATATGTCACTTGCACATTTGCTGTTCACATTTTTTTATTCCACACGTTGAAAAAAAAGATGTTAATATTTTGTAGATTAATGGAGATGTTCATCTATAATTAATATTACACTAACAGTGTTTAACATATCATCAGTCTCCTTTGCAGTAATTTCTCCAGAAGCTGCTCTGCAATTGTAATATTCTAGATTTCTGGATCTTCAATGGCCAAGGTTTGTCTCAGAGAACCTGCTTATTCTGAAATATCTTTTTGGTTTCTGTATTAGCTGTTCTCACTTTGCTATAAAGAAATACCTGAGGCTGAGTAATTTATAAAGAAAGGAGGCTTAATTGGCTCACAGTTCTACAGGTTGTACAGGAAGCACGATGCTGGAATCTGCTTCATGAAGTTTACAATCATGGCAGAAGGCAAATGGGCAAACGTCTTACATAGCAGGAGCAAGAGCAAGAGAGTGGGGAGGGGCCCCACACTTTTACATGACCACATCTCACACGAAATCACTCACTATCATGAGGACAGTACCAAGAGGGATGTTGCTAAACATTCATGAGAAATTAGCTCCCATGATTCAATCACCTCCTACCAGGCAACCACCTCCAACATTGGAGATTACAATTCAGCGTGATATTTTGTGAGGACACAGATCCAAACCATATCATCCTGCCCCTGGACCCCCAAATCTCATGTCCTTCTTAATTGCAAAATACAATCCTGCCTTCCCAACAGTCCTCCAAAATTTTAACGCATTCTAGCGCTAACTCAAAAGTCCAGAGTCGAAAGTCTCATCTGAAAAAAACCTAGCCCCTTCAACCTATGAGCTTGCAAAATAAAAAGTGAGTTAACTACTTCTAAATTACAATGGGGATAGATACATTGGTAAATATCCCCATTCCAAAAGGGAGAAATTGGCCAAAAGAAAGGGGCTATAGGCCCCATGCAAGACTGAAACTCAGGGCAGTCATTAAACCATAAAGCTCCAAAATAACCTATTTTGCCTGCATGTCCCACATCCAGGGAATATAGGAGTGAGAGGTGGGCTCCTAAGGTCTTGGGCAGCTCTGCCCCTATGGCTTTGCAGGGTGCAGCACCCAAGGCTGTTCTCTTGGGCTGGCGTTGAGTGCCTACAGCTTTTCCAGGTACAGAGTGCAAGCTGCTGATGGATCTACCATTCTGGGGTTTGGAAGATGGTGATCCTCTTTCCACAGCTCCACTAGGCAGTGCTCCAGTGGGGACTCTGTGTGGGGGTTCCACATTTCCCCTCCCCACTGCCTTAGTAGAGATTCTCTGTGAGGGCACCTGGACATCCTGGCTTTTCCATACATCCTCTGAAATCTAGGCAGAGGCTCCTAAACATCAACTCTTGCATTCTGTGAGCCTGCAGGCTTAATACCATGTGGAAGCCACTGAGGCTTACAGCTTGCACCCTCTGAAGCAGTGGCCCATGCTGTACCTTAGCTCTTTTGAGCCATGGCTGGAGCTGGAGCAGCCAGGATGCAGGGAGCATTGTCCTGAGGCTGCACAGGGTAGTGGGGCCCTGGGCCTGGCATCCTGGAATTCCTCCCCTGAAAATGGGCTTTTCTTTTATACCACATAACCAGGCTGCAAACTTTTCAAACTTTTATGCTCTGCTTCCCCTTTAAATATAAGTTCCAACTTAAGGTCGTTTTTTTGTTTATGCATATGAGTATAAGTTGTCAGGAGCTGCCAGGTGACTTCTTGAATGCTTTAATGCTTAGAAATGTCCTCTGCAAGATACCCTAAATCATCACTCTCAAGTACAAAGTTCCATAGATACCTAGGGCAGGGGCATAATGCAGCCAAGTTCTTTGCTAAGGCATAACAAAAGTAACCTTTGCTCAACTCTATCTGAGACCCCATCAATCTGGACATCACTGCCTGCATCACTATTGGCATTTTGGTCAGAATCATTTAACCAGTCTCTGGGAAGTTCCAAACTCTCTCATCTTCCTTTCTTCTTCCAAGCCCTCTCCACTCTTCCAATGTCTATCTGTTCCTTAATTCCAAAGCTGCTTCCACATTTTCAGGTATTGTTATAGCAATGCCCCACTTCTGGTACTAATTTTCTGTATTAGTCATTCTTGCATTGGTATAAAGAAATACTTGAGATTGGATAATTTATTAAGAAAAGAAGCTTAATTGGCTCACAGTTCTGCAGTATGTACGGGAAACATGATGCTGGAATCTGTTTAGCTTCTGGAGAAGCTAACATTTATGGCAGAAGGCAAATGAGAAGCAAATGTCTTACATTGCAGGAGCAGGAGCAAGGGAGAGAGCAGGGAGGTATCATACACGACTTTTAAATAATCAGATCTCTGCAAGAACTCACTCACTATCACAAAGAAAGTACCAAGAGAGAAGTTGCTAAATCATTCATGAAAAATCAGCCCCCATGGTCCAGTCACTTCCCACTGGGCCCCACCTCCAACATTAAGGATTACAATTCAGCATGAGATTTGGTGGGGGAACAGCTCTAAACTATACCAGGTTCATTACACAGGCTGAATATATTCTCTATAAGTGAGGTTGGTTTATTTAGTAAATGGTATTTGAATTCTCTGGTAGTTTTGTTCTTAAAAATTGATTTAGAAAACTTGAAATGGATTATGGAGAGTTTAGAGGCATATTGAATTGTCAGCCTGGGTATGTTTAAATTACTTTAAAATGACTAGTTATTTTCAGCAGCTTTTCCTAAGGGATAATATTGAAGTCACATAGAGAAAGCAAAGGATATACCTGTTCTGTTCCATTTTCATGCAGCTTGAAATTGTGCCTCATATTGTTTAATGGTATAGCAAAAATTAAAGAAATTGTGCATTTTATTTTAATTTTCACTTAGGAATTAAGACTTAATGGTCAATGTAAATTTGTTTTCAAATGTCTTCAACTTCTAAGTGTAGCAATTTTCATTTTTTTCTTAATGAGCTGAGGGAATGGAAAGCAAAAATGGCACGCAATGGGATGTCTTGCTAAGTTTCTTGCTGTTACACTCACATGCACATCCCTTACCAGGGAGAGTTATTCAAGAGTAAGTCATTGTCTGGGGACAATAAAGAAAGGGAATATATAAAAACTAAGCTCTGGAGCAGAGGAGAGACAATAATGTCAGGAGTTTCAAGTTAAGTATGTTTTTGTTTGTTCTTTTGGTTTTATTTTAGAAATTTGGGAAACATTCATTTGTCCTTATTCCCAGTGGTTATCATACATGTGACATTTACAGGCTTTGATAAGCTTTTGACATAAGCTTGATTAATTTTATTTTCTAGGTTAATTGTGGTTTGCTCTAATTTGAACCACAGAGCACATATCCAGAAATATCACTGTGGCTGCACTACATCAAACACTCTGGAAAGTTTGCCTTCATACAAAAGTTTCTCCTTACTATGGTATTTTTCAGAAAGAAGCATTTGTGCCAGTAGATGTTACAAACCAGGTGAATAGTTTTCACAATTTTTTTTCGGACTAAATGACTACTTTCCTTATTAGATAGCTCTTTTATACAATATCTGATCTAAGAACATGGGATAATGTGAAATATTTTCTTACCATAAAATGTGTGGAGCTCTAAAGAAATATTGGGGCCAATTTGTTAATTTTGAAGAAAATAAAGAGAAGCTATGCTAACAGAGGAGGTCACCAAATCAATAATATACAAATATAGATAGCCATAATTATGTCACCTTCCCCAGAAAATTATTAGCTCTTGCCTCTGTGATCCCCATACTATTTGGTTTACACATATATTTTAGTCTGTTTCACAAACTAATCTGCATTTCTATTACTTGCATAAAGTTTATTTTATATAATAGATTTTAAGCAATTTGAGGAAAAGGACAATAAGAAAATCTTTATATTAAGCACCTCTCCAAATACATGTTAGCAGAAGCTTAATGATAATTGTCAAATGAAAACATACAATTTTCAAGAAAGATGGCACTGTATATCTCAACAAATTGGACATTTTCACTTTATAGGTGAAGATATTAAATTTCAGAAAGGGCGTGTGACTTGCCCAGAATTGCAGTCAGTTAGGAAAAATATCAGTTTTGAAAGTATATGTCTAGTGTAACATATATTGATTTACCATCAGCTATATCAACTGCAAAGAGAGACATTGCCATGATTAGTCATCGTTTTTTGTCTTTGAACTTTTCTCTTTTGTTATTTGAATTTATGATTAAAAAAATTCAGTGCTAAATCAGCTTTTTTTTTTTTTTTAGTACTTGAGACACCCATTTGGTACACACTGGTATTATTTCAGAAACATGGGCTCAAAATATACCTTTTCAAGCAAATTTTTCTTAATTGTATATTTAATATTTTTCTTCTTATGTAAACAGCAATTGTATGTTAGTCTCCAACTTTTAAATAAATAAATAAATATTATTTATTATTTACTGTATTTGTCAGTTCTCATGCTGCTAATAAAGACATACCTGAGACTGGGTAATTTATAAAGAAAGGAGGTTAAATTGACTCACAATTCAGCATGGTTGGGGAGGCTTCATGAAACTTACAATCATGGCGGAAGGGAAAGAGGAAGCAAACAGTTCCTTCTTCACACAGTGGCAAGAAGAAGAGGAATGAGAGCCCAGCAAAGGGGGAAGCCCCTTATAAAACCATCAGATCTTGTGAAAATTAACTCACTATCATGAGAGCGGGATGGGGAAGCTGTACTCCTGATACAATTATCTCCACCTGGTCCCTCCCATAACATGCAGGGACTACAGGAACTACAATTCATGATGAGATTTGGGTCGGGGCACAGCCAAACCATATTATTTACTTAAGTGCCTTATTTTATTCTGCTATTATTTTATTTATTATCATTTATTCTTATTTTTCTCATGAAAAGAATATTCAGGTCCCCTTTGTGAAAATATATTCAAATTGGATGCTTTATATAAATATTTTTACTTTTATTATTCTTCAGAAGACCTCTGTGAATGTTAAATAGTTTATTAATAATAATTACATCAGTTTGTTCTTCTTCAACAAGATGCTAGATCTTCTAAAAGTCTCTTTGCCCTATTGCTCATATCCCATAAACTATTAAATATCAAATGGAGTCAAGAAAAGCTCTGGTGAAAGGCAACCCTGACATTAGCTAGGGACCATTGATGATATCCAACTTGAATATTTTCCCATCAAATTGATGTGAAAATGATATCTTGTATTTCAAACAATAACATTTATATGTCTAATAAATATATTAATGATTTATGTTTTTCCAGTAAGCAAACAATATGTGTTTTATTTAAATCAGAATCAGAAGATTTGTTTTTATTCTCCCAGTGCTCAAAAATTTTAACTAAGTGAATGCAACAATTTATTTCCAAGTGATAAAAAGAATAATGCATAACTAAAATATATTTATAGATTTTAAGGTAGATTTAGTTTGCATAATTTCCTTCCTAATCCCTTTTTAAAATTTCCGTAGAGATAAGTCCCCTTTAATGGGAAAGTACATATTATTAATTATTACTATAGATAAAGTGATTGAGTCGCAACTACAGACATTTATGAATTCCCTTGGAGCAAATGGGCATTCTTAGTCTACTCTAGAAATTTCCATATTGTAAAGAGGTTTTTGTTTTAATCCATACTTGCTTTATCATTTTGTTTATGTATCATTATCCTTCCTCTTCTGGTGCTGTTAGTTTTACTCCAAAAATTTCTATTCTTCTGGTGTACACTCTTGTTAGGAAACAAAGTCAAATCTTAGCTTTATCACTAATTAGCAGTAAGACTTTTGAGAAGTAAATTAACATTTCTGGATTTCAATACGGTCATCTATATCAAGTAGGACATTGACTCAAAGGTTTGTTTTAGGTCTAAATTTTATTCTATAGCTGCATAAATGTAAATAATAATTACCTGCTTGTTCCATTTAGAATAAATTGACACTGAAGTAAAATACTATTTCTTTCCTGCTTTGGACATATGAAGAAGTGTGGTTTAAGAGATTGGACCACTTTTTGCATTCTGCGTTTGATACCCATGTTAACATTGTTGAATGTTAATGACAATTGAGTTCTTTTTAAGACAGCTTTTTGGTTTACCTTGTGAAACTATTGCAATGACAAAAACTTTAAAGGAGGAAACATTTTTTAAATGAATGTGTCATGTGTGTTATGTGAATTATAAATAAATCTTCCCCACTCTAAAAGGGAGTGACAATTCTCTTGAAAGTTAGAAAAGTGTATTTTAAAGGTGATTATGTTTCTTCGATCTCCAGGAACTTAAAAATACATGACTTGAACAGAGGTCTGTGTGGTGGCAAATTCTTCTTCCCTGTTTTATACTAGTTATTTATTTAGAAACAGTATTAATCATCCATTTTTCTGGCCCTATCAGGTAGTTAGGTTTTGGGCACCCTTCTATTCTATCTAGTTCTCTCCCCACCTCCAAACTCTCTTCCCTTCCTTTTGCTATGAGGCAGTGTTTGTATTTCACCAGATACTTGTTACTTATCTTAAAATATCTTACACAGGAGAGGCACACAAGTATGGATTTGTACCATTTACACCAGTTACATATGGCATAACATGGGGAGAACTGTATAGATTCTGGAAACATGAAACCTGTGTTGAACTGCAGCATTTATTATTTATTACATAAGTTATTTAACTCCTTTATGTCTCATTTTACTCCCCTTTTCCAAGAAATATAAATTATTTAATCATAATATAATCAAAGAATTTTGGATATATAAAATGAATTCAATTTATGAGAAATTCAGGGGACACATAACAATTATTTATGTTTCACAGCTTCTATGAGTCTTGTTATTTAATGCCACATTTTTTTTTCTTTTTCTTTTTTTGGAGATACAGTCTCAGTATGTTGCCCAGGCTGGAGTGCAGTGGCTCAATCTCAGCTCACTGCAAACTCTGCTTCCTGGGTTCAAGTCATTCTTCTATCTCAGCCTCCTGAGTAGCTGGGATTATAGGCACATGCCACCAGGGCCAGCTAATTTGTGTATTTTTAGTAGAGACGGGGTTTTACCATGTTGGCCAGACTGATCTCAAACTCCTGACCTTAAGTGATCCGCCCACCTCAGACTCAGCCTCCCAAAGTGTTGAGATTACAAGCGTGAGCAGCTGTGCCCAGCCTTAATGCCATGTTTCATGGTTTTTTTTTCTTTTTTTTTTTTTTTTCTCATTTGATGGGCCATTGGGTTTTCTCTCCTTTAAAATTTAGGACATTTACTCTATTTGTGTTTTAATATGAGCATATGACTAATGCTGCACTTTTCTTATCATCTTGGTTTTGTGTGAAAGATTTTCCTAATAGTTAGGGAAAACTGAAAGACTTACATAGTGGTTTAGAGAAGGCAGAAAAGTAACTAATTAAATGCGAGTTATAGGAACTTCTCTTTCTGCTAGGGAACATGACCTTATATAAAACTCAAAAATGGTTTCAAACCTAATGCTAATTTGTGACTAAACATCCCTTGTATGGTAAAAAGAACCAGTTCTTGCTCATGCACTATAGGTTAGTATCTTTGGTAGTCACCAAAGGTGATATTTATTTCTAGGCAACACATTGAAAAATATGTGTTGATTTGTGTTTCTCTGATGGCCAGTGATGATGAGCATTTTTACATGTGTTTTTTGGCTGCATAAATGCCTTCTTCAGAGAAGTGTCTGTTCATATCCTTCGCCCACTTTTTGATGGGGTTGTTTTTTTCTTGTAAATTTGTTTGAGTTCATTGTAGATTCTGGATATAAGCCCTTTGTCAGATGAATAGGTTGTGAAAATTTTCTCCCATTTTGTAGGTTGCCTGTTCACTCTGATGGTAGTTTCTTTGGCTGTGCAGAAGCTCTTTAGTTTAATTAGATCCCATTTGTCTATTTTGGCTTTTGTTGCCATTGCTTTTGGTGTTTTAGACATGAAGTCCTTGCCCATGCCTATGTCCTGAATGGTATTGCCTAGGTTTTCTTCTAGGGTTTTTATGGTTTTAGGTCTAACATGTAAGTCTTAATCCATCTTGAATTAATTTTTGTATAAGGTGTAAGGAAGGGATCCAGTTTCAGCTTTCTACATATGGCTAGCCAGTTTTCCCAGCACCATTTATTAAATAGGGAATCCTTTCCTCATTGCTTGTTTTTGTCAGGTTTGTCAAAGATCACTTGGTTGTAGATACGTGGCATTATTTCTGAGGGCTCTGTTCTGTTCCATTGATCTATATCTCTGTTTTGGTACCAGTACCATGCTGTTTTGGTTACTGTAGCCTTGCAGTATAGTTTTAAGTCAGGTAGCGTGATGCCTCCAGCTTTGTTCTTTTGGCTTAGGATTGACTTGGTGATGCGGGCTCTTTTTTCGTTCCATATGAACTTTAAAGTAGTTTTTTTCCAATTCTATGAAGAAAGTCATTATGAGATACCATCTCACACCAGTTAGAATGGCGATCATTAAAAAGTTAGGAAACAACAGGTGCTGGAGAGGATGTGGAGAAATAGGAACACTTTTACACTGTTGGTGGGACTGTAAATTAGTTCAACCATTGTGGAAGTCAGTGTGGCGATTCCTCAGCGATCTAGAACTAGAAATACCATTTGACCCAGCCATCCCATTACTGGGTATATACCCAAAGGATTATAAATCATGCTGCTATAAAGACACATGCACATGTATGTTTATTGCGGCACTATTCACAATAGCAAAGACTTGGAACCAACGCAAATGGCCAACAACGATAGACTGGATTAAGAAAATGTGGCACATATACACCATGGAATACTATGCAGCCATAAAAAATGATGAGTTCATGTCCTTTGTAGGGACATGAATGAAACTGGAAACCATCATTCTCAGCAAACTATCACAAGGACAAAAAACCAAACACCTCATGTTGTCACTCATAGGTGGGAATTGAACAATGAGAACACATGGACACAGGAAAGGGAACATCACACTCTGGGGACTGTTGTGGGGTGGGGGGAGGGGGGAGGGATAGCATTAGGAGATATACCTAATGCTAAATGATGAGTTAATGGGTGCAGCACACCAACATGGCACATGTATACATATGTAACAAACCTGCACATTGTGCACATGTACCCTAAAACTTAAAGTATAATAATAATAAAATTAAAAGAAAAGAAAAAATATGTGTTGAAAAATGTTTTGACAGAAATTGGTATGAAAAGGGTAGTTATTATTGCAAAACTTTATATAAAGTGATATGAGATCATCCTGGAAAGAATACTTGAGCATAAAGAAGCTTTCACAAGTGAGGATAGTAGTTTGAACCGAATCTTAAAAGCTGAATTAGGCTTATCAGGCAGAGAAGGATCATGAACTATTTTAGAAGACGTAAAGCAGTATATAGCGAGACTTAAGTAAATGGAGTTATTCTGTAGAATTATATTGTCTTTAGACATAGAGAAGGCTAATTTTCCTTATGGCAGTGCTCAGACATGTCTCTAATTTTTTACTCTTTTATATCTATATGTGCAAAATTAATTATTTGGACTGAAAATGATTATTTGTACTATAAAGTTAAGACTTTCAAAAATGTCATGCAGATAAAGTTCAAACTAGAAACGCGTCTAAAGTTGCATATTAAGATTAGAAATCATAGGCTTTTTACCCTAATTCCTTAATGCAGTGGATCTCAAACCGAAATATGCAACAAAATCCCCTGAGATGGCTTGTTAATAAAATTAAAAGCACATTCAGGACCTTTAATATCAGAGATTCTGCTTTAGTAGATCTAGGATGATGCCGAAGAGTCAGCTCTTAGTATGTCCTATAGTGTTCCCAACATATTTCTGATGTGAATTTTTCTTTATATAAATATGATGATACATTTGTATTGTTATTAAAATATCAAAATTATAAAAACACTCTAAGAAAACTGACAGCAAAGCTAGCATGTATTTGTTTATTTTTCTATGAATATGATGCAAAGGATTGAGGATGTGGTACGGACCCAGAGTTATTCATATTAAGTCCTTACTTCATTGTAAAATCTTATTGTTTTAAGACATCATGTATTTTTTTAACACTCAAAAATTTAAAAAAAGTACAGATTCTTTTAGCTGTTGTACACTTAACTGATACACACAATTTACCAATGAGCTCTATTCCGTCTCTAACTCGTATAAACCAGGCATTCTAGGCTAGTAATTTACATTCTAAGATATCCATGGGGTTCTGTGCTCATTTATTAAAAATAAATTGGCCATTCCTAAAAATAATGATTCCACTTGTGCTTGTTATTGTAACATAATTCAATTAAGTCAGATATAAGTAAATATTCATTTAAATATGTGCATAATTATAACCAAGAGAAATTTATTTATATGAGGGCTAAAAGGACAGATGAAAGTAAATTAGTAAAAATAATTGCTTCTGATTTGTTGTGGGGAGTAACCATACAAAATTGGGGAAAAATTGTAACAGTGTAGTAATAGTTTGCACTCCAATTGTTTCTTAAATGTTTTAAAATTCTTGTCTATGTAAAAGAAACTTTGATGCATAATATATGTAGTTTGTGCAATAAAAGATGAGATAGGCCTTCAGTTTGTCAACCTAAGAAAAGTTATCATCTGAACTTAAATATGCATCACATAAAAGCTTATATATTTTAAATTAAAACGTGTACACAATATTTGTATTATGTTTAGTGGTCCTTCATTTTAACTAACTTTACCTGTTAACTGACTCATTACTCTTCCTAATCACATTGGATAAAAAGGCTCCTTTCGTCCATCTAATAAAGAGTACACTAAAGGATAGAAGTTCACTATTATACTTAAAACAAATAGCTCACTGCTAAACTGTAAAAATCAGAAAAGAGAAAAATAAACTTGATATTATTTGGTTTATAATGCATTGATTTATTTCCTAACTTCTCACATAGATAAAATCGATACATTTGAACTCACTAATGTATTAAAAAAATACCATTTGTGTGAATTTATTCTGTCTAAAGACAACCATAAGAGAATTATTTGAATTTTATAGACTGTGCTTTCCTTTTGGAAATGTTTTATTGCCAAAGAAATCAGAGATAACAATTTATATCTCAATATAGAAGAAATCATAAAATAGATCCATGGTTAATAGAACTATATACATCTAGTATTTTAAAAAGGAGTTTAAAGATCAGCACGTCCTTCTTTTACTAGTAGGATCCAGCAAAACGATAAATTAGAGGAAAAGGTCTATTCTATACAGTCTATTAAAAATTAAGTTGCTGCGAATGATCATTTGGATTCATATCTCAGAGAAAGTTTTGAGACTTTCTGATACGGAAGTACTCTCCCTCTCCGTTTTTTGATACTTCTAATTGACTTCTAAAATCGCAGTTTTTCTAGTGAATTAGTATTTTAGCTGATACCTAAAACAATATTTCAGAATAAAAGTCTAACATTTCACAGCTGATTCTGTAGATTTTCATATAGCCTTGCTGAATAAAATACTCATATGCTTAAATACATCTCATTTCATAGAATAAGTGTGATGTAGGTTTTCCTTGCATTAAAATGTATATATCCACAAACCCTTCTCAGTCTTTGGTGTCTATCATTTTACTCTCTATTTCCTTGAGATCAACTTTTCAGCTTCCACATATTAGTGAGAACATGGAATATTTTACTTTCTGTGCCTTGCTATTTCACTTAACATAATGACCTCCAGTTCCATTCATGTTGCAAGTGTCATAATTTCATTTCATAATTTTTATGGCTAAGTAGTATTCTGTTTTGTGTGTGTATATATATATTTATGCCACATTTTCTTTATCCGTTTATCAATTAATGGACATTTAGGTTGAATGCATATCTTTGCCATTGTGTATAGTGCTGCAGTAAACATGTGAATGCAGGTATCTATTTGATGCACTGATTTATTTTCCTTTGAGAATGAGACAGAGGTTGGTCCGTGGGTATCAACATACAGTTAGATAAAAGTCGTAAGTTCTAATGTCCCATAGCATAGTAAGGTGACTATAGTTGAAAATGATGTATTGTATATTTAAAAGTAGGTAGAAAAGAGACCTTGAAGTATTCCCAACACATAAAAATAATGAATACTCAAGGTGAGGGATGGGTAGCCCAAATACTTTGGAGTGATCATTACGCATTCTATGGAACAAATACTCACAAGTACCTCATAAAGATGTAAAATACTATGTGTCAATACAGCAATTTTATATCCAACATAAAGAATGAGTTAATAAAGTATCAAATATATTGCTTAGTTCAAGTTAGGTGTTTAAAATTAGTATTTCTTTCTCTTTCCCTCCCCTATCCCTATAAAGTAAAAGCCTTTGAGCTGGAATATTTCTCTGTTTAGCATGTTTGTGGTTTAATGATGGTTGTGATGAAATGCTATGCCCGTAGCTTTTTGCTGTCTTGCCAGAAACAGCCTGTCACCCAGCAAGAGTTTGATGACTGACTCCTTGATTTTGAAGTCAGAAAATAATACCCAAATTGTTTCTGCATTTAACTAATTGGGTCATTAACATTTTGTACAAAATTAATTGCGATTTGGTGGTTTTGCTTTTTGGATTCCTTCTGTGTTAAATTCCCAACCAAATGTTTTTAGAGGTATATGCTTTCTGATTTTTCACTTCAAAATTTATTTTGTGATCATCTGCCTAGATCTTCAATGATTGTGGTTGTTTTCTCTACAATTATTTAGTAATAATTATTTATATTTGTTGGCTATGTTGAGGCTTTTCTAAAATAAAATTATATATAACTAACCTTTCAAGAGTTCCACAATTTTTTTTAATCTCCAATACATAAAGCATCAATGCAAAGCAAAAATTTAAGAGCCTAGTTTAGCTATCCAGACATTTTCAGTAAACTGAAAAATATCTTTCTCTGTTAAGGAGTGGGCATTGATGAATTATAGTGTAAAATCTATATCTATTGCATTTTTCTCACTCTGATTTAAAGTTCTAATGTGAATAGCTGAGGGGAGTTTGATGTAAGTACGTTTAATATTTCAAAGACGTTTCCTTTGAGGGTTGGATAGAGTTGAACATATTTTCAGAGTCTTGGTCAATGTTGATTTACCCACCGCCAGGCATATTGACAAAATTTGAAAGACTATGAGACAGACTCTCAAATGCAGTGAACTCACTGCAGTAAAGCCTCTAAAAAGACAGCAATTATCTTCTCCCCTCCAAGTTTAGCTTTGATATTTAATCTCTAGAGTTCATACTTTGGTTATTTCTTTGTATCCTTCTAAGCCAGAACACAGCTGTGTTCATAGCAACTTACTTTCTTGTATGTGGAACTGTCACTTGGAACAATTCTTGGAAGTTTACATTGAGTGAAAAATGTCATCTTATTTGAAAACGTATCCACCTAATGAGTCATTGCAGATTGAAGAGATGCTGTGAGTTTCTCTTAGGGAGCAAGGCAGAGTGGGAAAACCATGGACTGTGGAATTGGAAAACCAAAATTTTAATCATGTACCAGGGTGGTTTGAAGCAAGTTGGTTTAGCTTTCATATACTTATTAATTAAAGTATATTTAAAGTATATTAGTCACAGCTAATATATACATTTTATTAATATATACTTCTTACTAATTATATTATTGGGGCTATTCCAAAATGGCTCAAAGTCCAACAGTCAATATAGTGTTTTGTATCTTCTAGGACACAGTATTTAATCATCTTACATTGCTCAAGCTGTTACTGATTTGGAAAGCAAGGTCACAAAATAGAACTGTCTTTTACAAGATGTATTACATTTATTTTATCATCACTTATTTTATGATTTAAATGAGATTATTGAAGTTCTAATAAAAAAAGATAGTTTAAATTTCCATTTTACCTGAATATAAAAACAATATTTTCTTATTATTGTGTTTTCCAGAAGGAAGAATAGTATTTCAATATGAATTGGCTTTTTAATCATCATTCAGAAATGCTAGGAATTATGTCAGTAACACAGCATGATAATGCATGATTCAAAAGAATTGGTAAAAATTACAGCTAGGTGTTTTCTAATTATTTTTATATTTTTTACTTCCTTTATTTATGTTGAATATATTACCTCTATAAATAAGTGATACGTTTTCCTAAGATTTTAATTTAAAAAATATTTTTGATTGAAAGAAGTACTCATCACCTTGACAATATTGTAAGAACATATAAAAATGTGTAGATTCCAAAAATGGAAAAATTTTCCAGTGAAAAGTGTTCTGGCAGATGTTTAACTACTGCCTGTGTCACAGTGGGTCAAGTAAATACAATTCAACCCAGTGTGTTCTAGCAGAGACAGCATTAGAAGTCAGAAGTTATTCTAGCTAATCAACCAATGAGCGTGAAGTCCTGGTACAGACTTCTTACAATGTTGTGTAGGCTGCCTCACAGGGGTGTGTTATGTGCTGCCCAGCTGTGGGAGGTGCTGACTGACAGCAGAAACAGAAGGTCTCCTATATCAAATTCTAGCACAGCAGATAATTTACCTTCTGTGAAAGCTCAAATTTAATATTCACATATAACCTCATTTGTGCTTTTTAAAAATTTTGGTAAAACATATACAACATAAAATTTACAACTTTAACCAATTTTTAAGTGTACCATTCGGTGGCATTAAGTACATTCACATTGCAGTGAAACATCCCCACCATCCATCTCCAGAACTGTTTTCATCCTGCAAAACTGAAGCTCTGTGTCTATGAAACACTAACTCCCCATTCCCATCTCCCCCTTCCTCTGGTGACCCACATTTAAACTTCTGTCTCTATGAATTTGACTCCCTAGGTACCCCATATATGTTATATGTGGAATCATACAATATTTGTCCAATTGTTACTGGCTTATTTCACTTAATGTAATGGCCCCAAGATTCATCTATGTTTTAGGATGTGTCATTATTTTCTTCCCTTTTAAGGATAAATAATAGTCCATTATGTATATACCATTTCTTATTCTATCCATTCATCTATCGATGGATACTTAAGTTACTTCCTCCCAGCCTTGGCTATTGTAAATAATGCTCCTATGATGATGGGTATACAATGCCTTTAGGTCCATGGTTTCAATTCTTTTTGGGTATATATCCAGAAATGGAAGAGCTGGGGCATAAAGTAATTCTATTTTAAATTTTTTTTGTGGAAGTACCATACTGTTTTTCATAGTGGCGACATCATTTTGCATTCCCACCAACTGTGTACAAAGCTTCCAATTTCTCTACATTCTTGCCAACTCTTGTTATTTTCTGTGTTTTGGATAGTTGCCATCCTACCAGATGTGAGGTGATATCCTATAATGGTCTGGATCTGGATTTTCCTAATCATTAGTGATGTTGAGCATCTTTTCATGTGCCTATTTGCCATATGTACATTATCTTTGGGAAATGTCTACTCAAGTTATTGGCTATTTTTAAAATCAGGTTGTTTGTGTTTTTGTGATTGAATTCTGCCTTTATTTACTCTTTTGTTTATTTGTTTGTTTTGAAACGGAGTTTCGCCTTTATGCCAAGGCTGGAGTGCAGAGGAATGATCTCGACTCACTGCAACCTCTGCCTTCCAGGTTCAAGCGATTGTTCTGCCTCAGCCTCCCGAGTAGCTGGGATTACAGGTGCCTGCCACCATGCCCAGCTAATTTTTTGCATTTTTAGTAGAGATAGGGTTTCACCACGTTGGCCAGGCTGGTCTTGAACTCCTGACCTCAGGTGATTCACCCGCCTCGGCCTCCCAAAGTGCTGGGATTACAGGCGTGAGCCCCTGCACCCGGCCCACCTTTATTTACTCTTAATAATTTTCTTAATTATATTGTTGGGATTATAATGTGTGTATATGTAATAAATAAAAGGAAAATAATAAGAATGGGTGACAACTGAAATAAATTCTTGCATTTTTCCTGTATTACATTTAAAAATTGATTAAAATGGTAGCTTTTTGTTAGGTGTGTCTTACCACAATTTTAAAATTATGTAAGTTAACTGAAATGCAATACCTTTTAATTCTTTTCTCAGTATAATTTTTTTTCTTTTCTTTTATTATTATTATACTTTAAGTTTTAGGGTACATGTGCACAATGTGCAGGTTTGTTACATATGTATACATGTGCCATGTTGGTGTGCTGCACCCATTAACTCGTCATTTAGCATTAGGTATATCTCCTAATGCTATCCCTTCCCCCTCCCCCCACCCCACAACAGTCCCTGGAGAGTGATGTTCCCCCTCCTGTGTCCATGTGTTATTGTTCAATTCCCACCTATCAGTGAGAACATGCAGTGTTTGCTTTTTTGTCCCTGCTATAGTTTGCTGAGAATGATGGTTTCCAGTTTCATCCATGTCCCTACAAAGGGCATGAACTGTTCATTTCTATGGCTGCATAGTATTCCATGGTGTATATGTGCCACATTTTCTTAATCCAGTCTATCGTTGTTGGCCATTTGGGTTAGTTCCAAGTCTTTGCTGTTGTGAATAGTGCCACAATAAACATACGTGTGCATGTGTCTTTATAGCAGCATGATTTATAATCCTTTGGGTATATACCCAGTAATGGGATGGCTGGGTCAAATGGTATTTCTAGTTCTAGATTTCTCAGTATAATTTTTTAATGTGTAGTGTAGATGGAGAATTGTCTGATCTGAAATTCTCTTTGTGAGTCTAGACTTTGGTATTTCTTTTCTTATTTATATGTTTATTCTTTCATATTCTGTTGAAATAGGGCTTTCC
Source organism: Homo sapiens (assembly GCF_000001405.40). Lineage (NCBI taxonomy): Eukaryota > Metazoa > Chordata > Mammalia > Primates > Hominidae > Homo > Homo sapiens. The sequence goes on along the minus strand of NC_000011.10, from coordinate 25,807,014 downwards.
TAGAGTCCACATATTCTCAGGAACCTGTAAGTATCTTATGCTTCATTATCTGTAAATATAATAGGTTTCTATGATAGTTCTAAGATTGATATTTCTCTCCAATACAGTCTTTTGTTTTTTTTGAATCGGAGTCTGGCTCTGTTGCCCCGGCTGGAGTGCAGTGGCAGTCTCGACTCACTGCAAGCTCCGTGTCCCGGGTTCACGCCATTCTCCTGCCTCAGCCTCCCGAGTAGCTGGGACTACAGGCACCCGCCACTACGCCCGGCTAATTTTTTTTTTTGTATTTTTAGTAGAGACGGGGTTTCACCGAGTTAGCCAGGATGGTCTCGATCTCCTGACCTCGGATCCACCCGCCTCAGCCTCCCAAAGTGTTGAGATTACAGGCGTGAGCCACTGCGCCCGGCTTCTCCAGTACATTCTAATAAATCCAGGCTAATTTCTCTCTTTAGCTGTTTGTTTGATGCTAAGGTGCATTCTTAAACTGTACATTCTATTCTCTTTGCATTGAATTACAACGTTGCTATAAATTGTGGCAAGAGGTTTTTAAAATAATTCTTATTGACATAAAAATAACTTTCTAAATGAATTTTGACCTGTAAATACAAACCACTGTCCACCCCCACACCCTAAACTAAGAGTTTACTTGGATGCTATGCATCCTCTGAAAGAGGACCCCTTTGTGTTCTATAATATGAGCAATGTTTTCCAGGCTGTAGTATTTCTGAACAGAGTTACTTAACCAGTGTTCTTCAAAATGTGTTTCCCTAAATACTTCTTCTGTTCAATATTTGCTTTTATAGGGGTTCTTTGACAGATTAAGTTAGGGAGACACTGTATGCATTTTTTCCTCTTGGAAATTCACAGTATATTAATATACTAAAGGTTCTAGGAAGTATGGGAAGAAACAAACACACAAAACAAACAAAACATTTTTGATGTTGTCCCAACCATGTTTTCCCAGGGTTAATTTAATAGAATACATTTTGAGTCTATCATGAAGTAAATCTCGATTGTCTTCAGTGAAATGGACTTTAGGAAACGCACATAATGACACATTTTCTATAAGTAATTTGATATATTTTGTTGCTTGTCATTTATATTTTTCAAATTAGACACTTTTAATAATTTTGATTTCAGAGAAGTTATGTTTTTGCTTATTTCTTGCTACTGGAATTTATTCCTTGATACAAATATTTCACAATAGTGGTAATATTTATCTTCCTGAAGATATAAAAAAAGTCCTGGTTAATTTTAGTTCCTTACTTTCCATCTGTGTCAGATAAAGGATTATTGTGTTTTCTTAAAATAACTCAGAAAGGTCATGTGAAGATGATATTGGAGGTAGAGAACAGAAAGTCCGGTGCAATATTAGCAAAGCAAGAAACAAAATGCTATGTGTATTTACAGATTTTAAAAATCTAGTCATGCCAAGGATCCTTTAGTAATTGTTCTTATCACATGAATGGCCAGATACTTAATATTTTCATTCAAATAATACCTAAAGATTGATATGCTGGGATATTAATTCAAAAAAAGAACTCCTATAGTACTAGGCTTCACAAAGCTTACAGTCTAATTTGAGCGTTTTCAAACAAATGTCAACATACAGCAATATACACTTTTAACCACTGAAGTTAAAGGCATAAGTGTAAATGTACTAATTTCCAATATATTGCTTCCAGGTTCACTATTTTAGGTTGTGTGTGACATGTGTGGGTCAATTAAATATAAATTGCTTCCTTAGATAGCAATTAATATACCCTAATGTATGTTAGAACAAGACAAGCACACAACTCTAGGTAATATTATGGGACTAATATTTATTCATCATTTATTTTGGAATAACATTTATATACTTTCTTACTGAATCCTCGTACCAGCTCTACAGAGTCTATAAAGAAGTCACATATACTGCTACTAACCTGCGCATTTTTTTCCTTCTTCCAATATGCCCAATCTTCTGATGGTTTATGATTGGTCAAAGCCAATCAAGACAGTCATGTTCTGGGATGTATGTGCCTTCCTTAAAGCCAGAGGTTTACCTTACATTTTAATTTACATTGCTTAAAAATGTAAATTAGAAGGGAAAGGTTTGTGCGTAGATAGAACATAAATCTGTAAGTCACTTAATTTACATAGTTATAAAAGTGAGCCTCAAATGTTTTCCATTGCTACCCTTTATCAAGTACCTACCATGTCACACAATACATTGTCCCCTGAGCCCCGCTGTCTAAATCCTGGGCAGTATTAACTGAGAGGGAATCTTCTGGGTGGTGGGAAGAATCTGAAAATGCTTCTGCTTTCCTAACAAATGGAAACATAAAAAGACTAATCTGAAAGCATCTTTCCTCCTCTGCTCTTTACCGTGAGCCCTGTAATAATAAATGTGGACTGGCAGAAGCCATTTGATGACTTTGAAATAACAAATACCAGGATAAAATATAGCACTGTAAGAATGATATGGTAGGAACACAAAAACAGTTTGGGTTTATGCTTTCGTCAAAAAGAAGTTCAATCAACAACAGTGATGCGTGGCTTCAGGATTTTTAGTCAAAAAACTGACCCCTGTTTAAATCAGTAATTGTGGTCGTTGTTGTTACATGTAGTTAATTACATTTCTAATAAATGTATTACTATTACATATATGTATGGAGGATACTAGGGGAACTGAGGACTAGAGACACTAAATGACTCAAGGTTACACCAAAGTAAGTGAAGGAGCTGAGACTTGAGCTAACTCATTCCATTACATATCCTGTATTGTTAAGAGGACAGTACAACAATTCATTCAGGGGATCAAAGGGGATGTTGGAGAAGTGGAGTAGCAAGATCTTCCTATGGGAAAGTTACACTGCTGATATTGAGACAATGATTGTTATTGGAAGACACTTAATGAAGTCTAATCTTGTCCAGAAAAATAAAAAAAAACTAATATACACACGTGTGTGTGTGTGTGTGTGTGTGTGTGTGTGTATAAAACTAAAGACTAGGGAAGAAGTAAAGAAGTGCTGGAGCTTGGTGTACATTTCTCTGTTTCCATTTATTTTGCCAAAATTAAGAATTTCCCTTGGCTTAGCAAACATTCTTTTCTAGGCTTTTTAAAAATCATGGGTATGTTGGGTGCAGTGGCTCACAACTGTAATTCCAGGACTTTGGGAGGCTGAGGTGGGTGGATCACGTGAGGTCAGTAGTTTGAGACCAGCCTGGCCAACATGGTGAAACCCCATCTCTACTAAAAATACAAAAAATTAGCCGGGCATGGTGGCGGGCATCTGTAATCCCAGTTACTCGTGAGGCTCAGACAGGATAACCGCTTGAACCCAGCAGGTGGAAGTTGCAGTGAGTGGAGATCGCACTACTGCACTCCAGCCTGGGCAACAGGAGCGAAACTCAAAAAAAAAAAAAAAAAAAAAAAACCCTGGTAAAAAAATTGTTCTTATTTATGAAGACAATAGGACATCTCTGATTACACTGTCTGTGACTTTTCTGCAACCAATCGAAGATTTGTTGACAATTTATGTGGGCTCTTTACAGAGTCAGCCTTAGTGGTGCTAAGCCAGGTATTGTGATCTCTGAAGGCCATTCTTTTCTGTCTATTTATACCACCTAACATGGTAAACCAGAAGGGTAAAATAAATTGTGAAGCAAAGCAGACCACAGTCTTCAGTAGCTAAAATATGCACAGTGTGACCTCAGAGGTCATTCTCATCATGAATGTGCATAGATCTACGATTTTTCCTTGAGCTTAAATGCACTCTGTTGATGTAATTGTTGAAAACTTTATTTTGTTTGAGTGAGTTTTCTACAATTTTCAGCAAGCTTTTCAACTTTTCAAGATTTATTACTGCTATTCCCTTCCATTAAAGTATTCGTTTTCTTTCTTGTTAGTTACCTTATGAATACATGGTATTCCTTTCCTTTTTTTTTTTTTTTTTTTTTGAGATGGAGTCTTGCTCTGTCGCCAGGCTGGAGGGCAGTGGCACCATCTCGGCTCACTGCAACCTCCACCTCCTGGGTTCAAGTGATTCTCCTGCCTCAGCCCCCTGATTATCTGGGATTACAGGGACATGCCACCATGCCCAGCTAATTTTTGTATTTTTAGTGGAGACAGGGTTTCACCATGTTATCCAGGATGGTCTCGATCTCCTGATCTCATGTTTCACCCGCCTCAGCCTCCCAAAATGCTGGGATTACAGGCTTGAGCCACCCTGCCCGGCTAAGATTACTTTTCATATATTTTCGCTTTAAAAATTCATCAAGCAGTTGAATCAGTTCATTTTTTGTCTAATAAATGCTTGTGTGTGTGTATTTTTTATGCAGTACAAAATTAAAGGCAGCTTTTAATTCAATAAAATAGCCTAAAATAAAACTTTTTAAAAGTGTAATATTAATTGCTTAAGAATGTAAATTAGAAGGGAAAGATTTGTGCGTAGATAGAACATAAATCTGTAAGTCACTTAATTTACATAGTTATAAACGTGAGCCTCAAATGTTTTCCATTGCTACCATTTATCAAGTACCTACATATGTCACACAATACATTGTCCCCTGAACCCCGCTATCTGCCAAAACCGCTATACGTATATAAGAGACCCAGCTACAGTTAGCCAGTTGCTGGTTAAACATTGTCAAGGTTAGGGAAGTCACCATATCACAATTCAACTGACTCTTACAACAAAGAATTTGTTTCACACTAATAATTTGGGTTGAACTTAGATTTCCTTTTTTACATTAGTCAAGTTAGTTGAATTCAATTTAAATTGGTTAAAAATATAAGGTGCCTATTTGAATACATTAATTTGGGGGCACATACATACAATCTATACAGGTAGAAGCCTGTAATTTATTTCTTTTTTGTTATAAATTAATATATTTTTAGCAAGTGCTTTTACCTTTTCTAATGTCCTCTCCTTTCAATGTGTGTGGATGCTTTGCTAGATCTCTCACTATTCTTGGCCCGTATCAACTGTGAAGGGTTATAAGCATTGTTATTTATATTTGTTTTTGCAAATTGCTCTAAATCTGACATTTTCAAGTGCTCCAAATTAACTTTCAGATATGTCTTGATTAAGTATCTTGATAAATTATTTGTTTCTCTGTAATGGATTTAACAAAATGCTAGCTATTCTGTTCACTTAGGAATGACTGTGATGGTTAATACTGAGTGGCAACCTGAATGGATTGAAGGATGCAAAGTATTGTTCCTGGGTGTGTCTGTGAGGGTGTTGCCAAACGAGGTTAACATTTTGAGTCAGTGGGCTGGAAAAGCAGACCCACCCCCAACCTGGGTGGGCACCATCTAATCAGCTGCCAGCACAGCTAGAATAAAGCAGGGAGAAGAAAGTGGGAAGACTTGACTTGCAGAGTCTTCCAGCCTTTAGCTCTCTCCCGTGCTGGGTGCTTCCTGCCCTTGAACATCAGACTCCAACTTCTTCAGCTTTTGGACTCTTGGACTTACACTAGTGGTTTGCCAGGGGCTCTTGAGCCTTCAGTCACAGACTGAAGGCTGCATAGCTGACTTCCCTACTTTTGAGATTTTGGGACTTGGGCTGGCTTCCCTGCTCCTCAGCTTGCGGATGGCCTATTGTGGGACTTCACCTTGTGATCCTCCTTAATTAACTCCCTTTCATATGTACATCTATCCTATTAGTTCTATCCCTCTAGAGAACCCTAATACAATGACTTTTTCCAATCTTCCTGACGTAGACAGACACTCTGGGTCTCTGTTCTCTGTTGCAGTATCCTGTTTCAATGTCAGAGACATTTTGATGGAAAAGTGGGCCATCTACTGTTGCATGTGAAAGACTCATATCTGGATTGCTGCTCAATTAAGAAATAAATGTTTTGCTCCTATTGCCTATTGTTCTTCCTCACTCTATATAACACCATTCCATACCTAGTTATTAGCCAAAACATAGCATTGCTACTTTCAACCATTCATAGCAAACCTTTAAGCTTCGACTTTCACACTGAGGACAAGTTTTGTTTAATAGATGTATTAATCCATTTTCACACTGCTATAAAGAACTGCCTGAGACTGGGTAATTTATAAATGAAAGAGGTATAATTGAGTCACAGTTTAGCATGTCTGGGGAGGCCTCAGAAAACTTACGATCATAGCAGAGGGTGAAGGGGAAGCAAGGGACCTTCTTCACAAGATGGCGGGAAGGAGAAAGAACACAGGAGGAACTACCACACATTTATAAAACCATCAGATCTCATGAGAACTCACTCACTATCATGAGAACACATGGGGAAACTGCCTCCATGATTTAATTACCTCCACCTGGCTTCCCCCTTGACATGTGAGGATTATGGGAATGATGGGGACTACAATTCAAGATGAGATTTTGGATGGGGAAACAGTCAAACCATGTCAATAGATATTTGTTAAATGTGTGGAAAAAGTGGTATATGAGGTAGACAGCTGTTAACAAGCTGGAAGCAGAATTTTAAGATCAGTAATGCCAAGGAACAGAGTAAAGAATTTTGAGTGCTCACTGTTTCTTAAAAGGTGTACTGAATATATGAACATTCATATAATTTGATTTCTAATACCCATTAACTATTCAGAAAAGCTTTCACCTGTCCTGGAAGGTTTTCAAATGGCTTATTTCTTTAGAAAAATAACAGTAAATTAACATTAGTTTACTATAACATAGCAACATGATTTACATTATCCTCATGTCCATCTTGAACAATGTTTCAATATTTCCAAAGGCTTTGTAAGAGCCATGCCAACAAATTGAAAGAACAAATCATACAAGCACCTGAAAAGACACTGTGGGAGATGAAACGAGAGAGGTTATTTTTGATAGCTGTCTATTCATGCAGAACTTTCCTAAGTCAAAACATAAGTTGATTTATGGCAATCCTACTCTGTTTCTCTGCCTTTATAATTATGATTTTTTTCTTAGATATTTAAAAGCCTTTTGAATCAAGAGAACGTAAAAATGAGAGAACAAAAGAGTCAAGGTATTTCTTCTTTAGTAACTAAAATCCTTGGGTTCCTTGAAAAGATGTATTTTTTTTTTTTTTTGCTTAGTATTTAGCAACCTGGAAAGTCTGCTAGCAATCAGAATGTTATTTTTAAATACAGCACAAGAATGTGGAATGTTTTATTTATTCTACTTCACCTAGGATCTAAGAAAGCTGTGTTAGCTATTTCTACTCCACAGAAAACTAAATCTTTTTTGTATTTCTCTACTCCAACTCTAGGTATAATTTGCTTTGGCTGCAAGTTTTATTAAATGCCTCTTATGATGAAAATTATAGTACATAAAACATGGCACACAGCTTATTTGGTCATATCTTGGACCCAATTATTACCAGTGGTTAGGATGAAGCTACAGATACTTTTTTAAAAAATTAGCTTAATTGCATAGCAGCTTTATATATATATATATATATATATATATATATATATATATATACACACACACACACGTATATATATGTATATATAAATATATATACATATACACACACACATAAGTATAATCCTGTTTTTCTTTCTCTTTTTTTTTTTTTTTTTTTTTTTTTTGAGACGGAGTCTCTCTCTGTCACCAGGGTGGAGTGCAGTGGTGTGATCTCAGGTCACTGCAACCTCCGCCTCCCTGGTTCAAGCAATTCCCCTGCCTCAGCCTCCTGAGTAGCTGGGACTACAGGTGCATGCCACCATGCCTGGCTTTTTTTTTTTTTTTTTGTATTTTAAAAGAGATGGGGTTTCACCATTTTGGCCAGGATGGTCTTGATCTCCTGACCTCATGATCCACCTGCCTTGGCCTCCCAAAGTGCTGGGTTTACAGGTGTGAGCCACCATACCGGGCCTAATCCTGTTTTTCTTAGTGTACAGTCAATTAAATGAATTTTGGTATTGTTCTATCTTTTCACTATTTTGTTAGGTCAATTTTCATTGACATATGTTCACATCTATTCTAAGTTTTAGCAACAAAGTGTATAACTCAGTTGTTACTTGGAATCACCTAGCCACTATGATAGTAATTGTATCTGTCAACTTGACTGGGATACAAGGTGTTCAGATATTTCATCAAACATTTTATTCTTTGTGCTTCTGTCAGTATGTTTTTATATAAGATTAACATTTAAGTTGATAGACTGAGTAATCATATTTCTCTCCTAATGCAAGTGGGCCTCATCTCATTAGTTGAAGTCCTGAATAAAACAAAATGATTTATCTTCTCCGGATTAAGAGAAACTTCTTCTTCATGCCTGACTGCTTTTAAACTGATACATCAGTTTCTTTCCTACCTTTGGAGTCAAATTTCAACATTAGCTATTTCTGGCTCTTGAGCCTTCTGACCTTCAGACTTCAACCATACCATTGGCTTTCCTGATTCTCAGGCTCTCAGATGTAGACTGGAACTATATTGTAAGTTCTCCTCGATCTCCAGCTTGCCTATTCATCCTGAAGATCTTGAGATTTGCCAGTGCCCATAACCGTATAAGCTAATTCGTTGTAGAAAATACACACACACACACACACACACACACACACACACACACACACCCCCTATTGGTTCTGTTCCTCTGGAGAACCCTGTCTAATACAGCCACCATGAGCTAACACAAATATATGTGTCGCTTTAATCAATGACCCCCTTGGGGACAATTCTCCCTCTACATGGCTAACTCTATTATGGAGCTCACACCCTAAGCTACAGAAGAGAAGTAAGACAGTGTTACTTAATATTGTGTATTCAATACATAAGATACCTCAAGAAGCTTATGTTAAAGGAATATAAAATATGTATAAGACTTTGATACGGGAGTGACTTTAACTGATACAGATCAGACAGCAAGAGTGTTTCATATGTTACTCAAAAAATGTGGACATTGCCCTGGAAGTAAGAGTCTATTAAACCATTTTGACATGCTTGTGTGTTAGCAAGGTCACATAACAGAAATATAGAGTAAAATTTGGAAGTGATAGAAAGCAATAGAAAGAGAAAGACTATTGGGAGTTTGGAAATAATCCTGAAATGGAGTGTGCTTTTGCCAGAAGACACAGTAAAAATCCTATTAACCTACAAGTTATGTGTAAAATACAGGAACTTAGGGATCCTTGTGTCCAGAGACAAGCAGTCTATATGAAATGTCATAATTTTGACAAGGGCTGCTGATCAAGAGGACAAGGTAGGGCTGTTGTTCGACAAAGCATATGGAGAGGAATATGATTGACAACTTGATGTTACACTTGGGAGCCTCTTTCCCAGATATGATGGTAATGCCACAACCCTGGTCTAAAAAGAGCATAGTAAACAGGTATCTGGTTGTCTCAAAAGTGAGAAACTGGTCATATCACCTAAGTCACTGAAACTAGCAGAGATTGTAGTTGAGGACAAGGGGGATTTAGAATGGATAAAAGAGGAAGCAAACGAGTATAGGTTTCTGCTCAGAGACCAGCTGCAGTGGTAGGGGCTGTGGGTCATCACAGTAATCACAGTAACTTTCCTCTTCTGAGTCACCCAAGGAAAAAAAATCTCTCTGGAATTTTGGAGGAGCTGTTGCCCAAACAGATATGAAAAACTGGATGTGAATAGCACAGTGGATGAAATAGGGTGGACATGGAGAGTATCTGCCCAATCATCATCAAGAATAGACTTGTGGTCCCAGCAATCTGCAGACAGCTGCCAGATAACAGATCCATCATGGTTTGTCTCAGCTGCAAAGAGCTACCTTGCTGGAGGACACACTCTTCCCTGTAAGGCCTATACCCAGTTACTTGAGTGGGATTAATTGTTGGCACAACATAAATCTTTGATGAAAACACTTTGATACGGGAGTGACTTTAACTGATACAGATCAGACAGCAAGAGTGTTTCATATGTTACTCAAAAAATGTGGACTTTGCCCTGGAAGTAAGAGTCTATTAAACCATTTTGACATGCTTTTGTGTTAGAAAGGTCACATAACAGAAATATAGAGTAAAATTTGGAAGTGATAGAAAGCAATAGAAAGAGAGACTATTAGGAGATTGGAAATAATCCTGAAATGGAGTGTGCTTTTGCCAGATGATACAGTAAAAATCCTATTAACCTACAAGTTATGGGTAAAATACAGGAACTTAGGGATCCTTGTGTCCAGAGACAAACCATATATGCTATATGGGTAGCTGAGGCATTTTTGTCACTGTGTTGCATTTCATCTCTCCTACCCAAGACTTTTAAACTAAAAGTCTTATAGAAATTTCATTAATCTTCATAAGAATTATAAATTTAATGAATATATAACTGCTGGTTGTAATAACATACAATCACAGTATTGTTGTGCAATTTGGCTATTTGTAGTATTTTGGTTTTCTTTTAATGAGACTGGGCATTTTACTTTGTTTCCATGAGTTACATTCTGAATAAGTTTCCTAGAGCCATCTTACTAGGTCAAACTATTTAAATGTCTTTGTAGCTATTGCTTCACATTACCTCATTGCTTTTTGAAGTGTTTCTATCAATTTATGATGCTAGGAGTACTTTCTTTAAAACTTTGATAGCAGTAGGCATTACAATTATTATTTTGGTTGTTTAGTTAATATAAAATATTGCCTTGTTAGTTTTCATATGTATTTTTTATCTCTCAAATTGGTAAACATTTCAGACAGTGTTTGCTATTTGTATTTTCTTTTTATTAATTGCCTCTCATATGTATAACTTCAAAATTCAGCACCAAATAAAGAAGAATAGGCATTTCCCCTATTTGGTAATCTTCCATTACTTTTAATAATAAAAGAAAAACAAAACATCTATTTTGGGGGCATTTCTATTAGGAGAGATACTAAATATATTAAGATAAATGATACCTCCTGATGTGATGATGTGGTGTATGACTGACGACCAAAATAAATGAAGGAAAAACTCTATAGACTATGTTTAGGATTTCTTCATATTAGAGGCTCTTTGGCTAAAGTGTTATTGACTGTTAAATACCTAAAGGGAAAAATTAAATTGAAAGAATAAATATGATAAAACAGCATTTGAAAGTCTAAGCAAAGGAATAAAATGTTACATTTTGAAATGACACTTAAAAAACAGATTATAATTCTTCAGAAATTCATAATGCAAATAACATGACATTAGTTTTAAAGTATAATTAATTGCACTGTTTTCAGGAAAACATAAATCAAGAGGAGAACAAAAGAAGGAAGAAAACAGAAGAATAATTAGAGAAAGAGATACTGGCAGGAGAACAATAAAAAAATACTTAGTTGTTAGAAATTACTTAAATTCTTATTGTTTTCTATAGGTCAATGATGTCTAAAGTCATTAGACACTAGTACTGAGATTGACAAATATCATACCTACCGCTCTCCCCTTCCGTCACTCCCTCCTGAGTCAAGTTACTCTTCTGTATTTCCTTCAACACACCAGGTACACTCCTGATTTAGGGTTGTACTTTAGATTTTAAGATAGGTTAAACACTGCTAACCAGACATGTCAGTTCTCTCTAGAAAGAAGCAGCACTTTTATGAATATTGCTATTCATATATTACCATACCTCAAATACAATATGAAGTAGAGAACATTAGAAACTAAAGGAAAACCAATGAAAAAACCTGCGAAACAGAAAAAGAGGGAAGCATGACCCCCATCTCTGATGAGATCCCTAGGAGCCTGTATTGCATGGAAAGGGTGAGAGTGTTTTGGTGGCCCTCATCCCTGCTGCAGCCTGCCAGGATTCCACCTAGGAGAGAACTCCTCTGCCTTCCCAAACCCTGACAGTAGTGTGGGTGGTGACCTGGAGACCCCTTGAGGGCATTGCCCCAGACTGTGAACTCATGTTGGGTCACTCACTCACTCGCTCTCCCTGCAAGACTCCAGTGGCTGTGTGGCACAAAGCCTTCAGGGGGCTGAATCTTGCCCTTGGAACTCTAGCCTTTGTATGTCCACATTCTGGGAGCTTCTGCTGACATTCCTCACTACCTGCACAGAGGGCTGCAGCAACACAGTGTGAGCTGGACCCAAAGGAACTACAGGGTTCCCAGTAATCTACCCCTCAGGAAGTGCCACTCCTAGGAGACAGGAGAGGGCAGCACACCAAAAAGATAGCTCTTGGGACAAAGGAAATCATACCCAAGAGCTCCCTGCTTGGGTCTGTGAAAAGTGACCCTGCTTCCAGCATGGGCACAAACTCCCTGCCCATGCTTCTCTAAGTGAAGAGTGAAATCCCCTCCAACCAGCTGAGTAGCTTCTGTGCTTCAATGCAGGCCTAGGGAAGGAGATTCCTCCTCCCCTTCTGCATATTGATGCAGGCACAGCCTCTATTACTGGCATAGGAAGTTGACATGGTTGAGCCAGAGGGCTGCCTCTCTCAGGCAAGAGTGGCAACTGTGACCCCACTGATGGCATAGCCTCCAGACCTGCACTTAAAACCAAGTTGGGGCCCTCTCCCACTCTTTACAGCCCTGTAGCACTGCTGCCACAGAGAGCAAGAGAGCCTGAGAGCTCCTGTTCTGGGCTGTGCAAAGTGACTCTGACTTCAGCAGACAAACTGTGTGCTGGGCTTTAAAGGTGAAGGGTTAAATCCCCTTCTACTGGGCAAGCGGACTGTGCTTGCTGGGACGTAGGAGTAGAGAACAAGAATACTCTCCAGCTTTCACACACCCCTGAAGGCATGGTCCCTGCTGCTGCACTGGAAAGCTGGGGCAAGCAAGCCAGCAGGTGGCCCATCTGGCTTTGAGGGGTGATTGCAACTCTAGTGGCAGCATGGCCTCCTGGCCTGGGCTTGCACCCTTCCCTCTCGGCATGGAGCTGCAGCGCTGCTATCACAGAGAGCAGGAGAGCCCAAGGTCTGGGTGTTTAGGGCTATGAGCAGAGATTCCACATTGCACCCACTTCCAGGTGCCAGAGAAGTTTAGTGTTGAGCCAGTGGGCTGGAGTCTCCTACAGCCCCGAGCCACATTGCAGTCTAGAAGCAAACTGCACTGCCTAACCTAACCAAATATCCTGAACAGTGGGACAGGAGCACACGAGGGAAACAGATCACATTCCCACCTGCTGAGAAATTGGTGCTGGGACGACCCTTCCTCCCTGAGCAGAGAACTCAGTGACCACACATCACCTCCCAGCTATTTCTCCAGGGGCCTGGAGACTCCCCTGTGACCCCCGCAGGAGCTGCTGCTTGCACCTACCACTGGGGGACCTGAGTTCAGGCTTCCCTAGTCCGGCTCTGCCCGGTTTTACCACCCTCCTCCTACAGGAAAGGCAGAACCCAGGCCTGAGCACTCCAGGGCCCAACCCACAATCTAGGACACTGGAGCATTTCTGCAAGATAACAAATGCCAAACATAAACTTTAGTTATCACACCTGGCTGTTATGTGCAAGCATCGCCTACTGGCCTGGAGATCAAACCGCAGGGTCCATTACAATATCTGCAGACACAGGTTCACAGCACTCAGAAAAAAGACAAGTTTCTTTCCACCTCTGCTACCACCATCTCCACACCATCCTTGCTACCCAGAATGCAAACCAACTCACCCATTGATACACCACCGCGACAACCGGCATTCAAGAAAACCATCACACTAAGGCTATTTATAACAAAGGAAATCATACAGAGTCTTCATCACTGAATGCACTCAGAAGCAAAGCCAAACAGCCTTACTCAATATACGTCAGTCACTTCCTCAAGGAAAACAACAACAACAAAAATTCTCACCGCAAATAAAGTAAATTCAAAAATAAGAAGCAACTGTTTCTCCAGATACAAAGAAATCAGAATAATAATACTGTGAATATGAAAAAGCAGGATGTTATCGCACCCCAAAAGAAACACAGTAATTCTCTAGAAATAAATCCTAACCAAAAACAAGTTTACAAAATGTCAAATAAATAATTCAAAATATTGATTTTTAAAGAAGCTCAATGAGATGCAGGATAAATCTTAAAAGCAATGTAAATAAATCAGAAATCAATTCAGGACATAAACTAAAAATTTACCAAGGAGATAGGCACCTTAAAAAAAACAGGAAGAACTTCTCAAAAGGAAAAAAGAAATATTGGTGGAATTGCAAAATACATTTGAAAGTTTCGACAATAGATTAGACCAAGCAGAAGAGAGCATCTCAGGACGTGAAGACAGCTCTTTAGAAGTAATCCAGCCACACAAATAAATTAAAATTAATTTTAAAAACAAACTAAGCCTTTGAGAAGTATGGGACCACATAAAATGACTGGATTTATGACTCATCGGTTCTCGAAGGAGAAGAAAAAGTAAAAAGTTTAGTAAAACTATTTAAAGAAATAATTGATGAAAACTTTCCTAGCCTAGCGTGAGATTTAGACATCCAGATATGAGGCCCAACAAACGCTAGTAAAATACATTGCAAAATGGACTTAACTAGATACATAGTCATCAGACTGTCTAAGTGAGTGGTCCCCATGGGATGGGCTTTGAGGAAGATAATTTTTCCAGGGACTAGGGTAGGGTGGGGATGGTTTTGGGATGAAACTGTTTCACCTATGATCATCAGGCATTAGATTCTCTCAAGGAGCATGCAACTTAGATCCCTCACATACACCGTTCACAATAGGGCCTGTGCTCCTATGAGAACCTAATGACGTTGCTGATCTGACAGGAGGTAGAACTCAGGCAGTAATGTGAGTGATGGGGAGTGGCTGTAAATACGGATGAAGCTTCACTTGTCCACCTACCACTCACTTCCTGCTGTGCAGCCTGGTTCCCAACAGGCCACAGACTGGTACCAATCCATAGCCCAGGGGTTGGGGAACCCTGGTCTAAGATCAACATGAAGGAAATAATGCTAAAATTAGCAGAAGAAAAGCATGTACATCTATAATATTAAGAGTACCCTATCAGAATTACTGACACTCCTTATGTGCAGAGTCTCTCTGGAATACACTGTGTTATGTCAAGGGGAAAGTGGACATCTTTCAGATGTCCAAGAGAATCAGAGGCAGACACTTCATGTTGACACTCAGGAAAATAAATTAATACAGATACTATGTATTAATATTTTTCCTGTCTTTCTCCTTGGCTCCTAGGAAGGAACTCCAAACTAAAGGAATTTCCTCAAGTGAGAGGGGTGTTTTTGTTTATATGTAAATTGAATAAAGCATAATTATTATGCTTCCAGGATTTGCCCATTTGGTATAATATTGGCTGTGGGTCTGTCATAAATAGCTCTTATTATTTTGAGATACATTCCATCAATACCTAGTTTATTGAGAGTTTTTGCATGAAGTGGTGTTGAATTATATTGAAGGTCTTTTCTGCATCTATTGAGATTATCATGTGTTTTTTGTCATCGATTCTGTTTATGTGATGAATTACATTTACTGATTTACATATGTTGAACCAGCCTTGCATCAGAGGGAGTTTTGTCCAATGGATCCTCATTGGAACTTAAGAAATCTTGATAAGGACCTGGAATTAGCATCAAATATGGAAATATGTCTCCACAATTTTGTTTCCTCTAAGAAATAAAGGAAAAGTTAATATCAAAACATTGGAGGGCTTTAGCAGAATACTGGGGGTATAGAATTTTTAAGAATTAACTTATTAATTAAAAAACCAGAGCTATACTGAATAAAATTTTAAGGATTTAGCAAAATATATGAAAATAATTTGTACAAACTTTGACACTTTCAGCCTTTGAATGTGCAATATAATAATTCTTAATCAGAAGGTATGGTTTCTAGTCAGGTTTCTTATATTTGCTCAGCTAGAAAAAATAATCGAGAGTATCTGTTGTATTTTACATATTTTCAATAACTATTTGTTGACAATTCCTTACTTAAGGAAGGAAAGCAATAAGTATTTGTTGAAAATTCCTTACATAAGGAAAGAAAGCAAGATTTGTCTTGCTTTCTTCAAATAAATCTGTCTCTCAAACTTTTCTTAGTATGCGTGAATTCACTAAAAGGAAAAAAAAAAAAACACCCTAGCCCTGTGATTTTAAACAATTCTAAAAGAAACCCAGATGAAATAATAATTGTGACTATTCGTTGAGCACCTATGAAAATCTGACATTAATAAATTTTAGCTTACTTATTGACATATATTTCAAAATTAATTTTTCTTTTTTATAGAAAAGAAAAAAAATTACCTCTAGTAGGGGATATTCAAGAGATGATTCAAGCAAATAGCTTGTTTAATATGTGTTCCACAGATAGCAGTTAGGACATATTTTATCCATAGATTACAGGAAAAAAATAATCTTGCTTAAAAAGTCATTTGGTACTCTGTGGACTCTGTTAAGGCCAGAGGAACTTCTGTTCTTAGTACCTCTTTATTGTTTTATAGGTAGTTGTCAGCATATTCATTCTAAGGAAATAACCTGAAATGGTGTAACAGCAATTCTTAAGGGAATTGCATGAACACTTTGCAAAAATCTAACATGCAATGCCACTTAACTTCTCAGGTGTCCTGGGACTGTTCCCAACTGTTTCTTCATATATTTGCTTGCCTCAATCGATACTCTGTTAGGTGCAGCAGTTTTGTTGCACTCAGCCATAAAATGGTATGACTAGTTTTTCCATCCTGTTGCTTCATTAAAGGAAAAGGAGCACCCCCATGTAATGTTACTAGAATACTATAGACAATAAGTCCATGTCATGATAGTGAACAAAGTCAATCTTGTCCAATATTAAATTTAATGAAAAGCAATTCCCACAATTACTAGTAGATCATCTGGGTTTTCTTACTAGTTTAAATTTGTTCAAGGAGCCATTGACACCCTGAATGCATTGCTATATTTTTACAGTGCTCTAAATGACTCACAATTCAAAGCACATATATATAAAAGCTGCTGAGATCAGTTCTCAGAATGCAGACAAATTATTATTAAGTCAGCTTAGTGAGATATTCACAACAAAATTATCCTGCTTTATAAGAAATGCCTCATTGAGTTTCACATGGTTCACAGAGTTATAAAGGCTTCTAATATTTTGATTGTAAAGTAATATGCAAAGCACAGTAAATATTCCAAATTACCATAAATGATAGTAATGTCATATTCAATGGGCATAATTATTATTCATTGAAGACAAGGCAGATGGTGTTTTTAAAATTGTTTTGTTAATCAATCTTATTTTGGAAGGTTTTTGATCGAGGTCGATATAAAAGGCATGTCAGGTTGTAAAGTAAAACATTTAATTTAGATGAGAATAAAATGATATAGAGGACTGTGGGTGTTGTTATTTTCAAAACTGGTGGACTGCTGATGATATTTGCAGTTTGTCATTTCATTTGCCTCTGTGGAGTCTCTTGGAAGTTGAGGATGGATGGATGGATGGATAGAAAGAAAGAAAGATAGATAGATAGATAGATAGATAGATAGATAGATAGATAGATGATAGAATTTTTATATTCTTATTTTATTCATAGTAGTTGGCATTATTTGAATGTTTAATATTGTTAGGGCATTGTGAGAAATTGTCTTCCCATTTAATTCTCACAACATGTGAAATGTGTAATATTATTATCCTTTTTGTACAGACGAGAAAATAAAGATTTATAAACATTTATGTAACTTATCCAAGGTCATAAGTCTCTAAATGTCAAAAGCAGGTTGCAAATTCAGAATATTTCATTGTCATTACTTTTCAGCTTCTATTCACTGGTGAGTGAATTATATGAGGACTTGAGTATTGGATTTATATACTGAATGAGGTTTACAATGCCATATCTATTACTGTCTTTTTAGCATAAGGAGGATTCAAAGAGAGCTATTGATATGAAATTCAGTTTTCTCAGTTTTGTTTCACCTATCTCATCTAAAATAACTATGAAGTAAATCAAAGTTCATATGTGATTCTTAACCTTAAATCTGACACATTGTAAAAGTGAATATTTATAATTAAGCATAGTTTTTTTTCAGGTTTGAAAGAGGGAATATATCAAAATCTCATAGTACAGTGGCTTATCTATTATGTTTTAATAAATATTATTTTTCTTTTATATTTCCTTCATGATTATATGAAAAAAAGAAATTCATGTGTAAACACTATGTCCATGTCATTCCATACTATAGACCTCTAAATCACTAACTGTAACTTACTGGTTTTATTGATATTATCATTGGTATTGATTTTGTCCATGATTAATTTCTATTCAACTGATATTTTGAAGTATTATACCACATCAGTTTGTGAAGCTTTCCCAGAACCATCTTTGCTATATGGTTTCAAGTCAGAATGTCCAAAAAAGGAATTTCCATGAGACTTGTACTGCAGAATAGAAGCAGCAACATTGCACTTGAGAGGCCACTGAAGTTAGATATAGAACCAATAATCACAAAGATGTTCATTGGGTTCCATTTGAACTAATACTTCCTGACTTTGCATCCAACTTATCTTCCTGTGTTCAATACTAGTGGTACCAGGAGCATCAATAGATGCTTGGCTAGAGATTCACAGAGGAAGTACATACACACAGGTAATGGCTCCCCAAAGGCTTGTATATATATTCCTCTTTCATGATTTTATTTTATTCAGTTGATGTACTTTTCCTTTTCTGTTTTTTATGATGCAGCTTGTCTACCCAAGCTAGTACTTCAGACAGACATGTTAAGGATATTTTCTGCAATCCTCTGATTTACCTTTCCAGACTTCATGTCTCTATCAACTCCCACTGGTGTGTAAGATCTAATTCATAGATAAATTATTCTTATTCTTAAACATTATTCTTATAATGTTTATGGGAAACAAAGAAGTGGTTCTACTTCTTTAGGTGAACCTGAATTAATACAAATGTCCAAAAGTTGTAAATTCAACAATATATGAATATTTTCAAAGTGCCGTTAGAGTCTACCTTTTATTGATGTTTTATAAATTTTTATAATAATTTTGACGAATATTATTAGTAAAATTACTTATTACATTTTCACTTTCTTCTTACTAATTCCACTTATTTTCTCTTAATTACTTAAACCTAGATGTGAGACTTATTTTCTATGGATGAGATTATGCAAATTAACATAAAGGGTCATGTTTCTGAATTTTTTCCACCCTATTTTAACTTTAATAAATCAACAGTGGAGACAGTAGTATGAAAATTTATTATTTTCAATTGTAAGAGTCAGGAACTTGAAAAAAAGGCTTCTATCGCAACATTAAAATTTAAAGTTTTGAAGGAAGAAGGCATAAAATTTATCTCTAAAAATGAATTATTAAAACAGGAACAAAGAAACTTTTTGCAATAAAATGTTCTAACAGTTCACTGTGTTGCTGGTTGCAAAGTAATATACAATTATTTAAAATAATTAAATTGCATTAAGTGATTATAAAATTAAACTCATTTAGTTCTAGTTTTCCCCTTCTAAGTAGTAAGAGTTGGACCAGCTCTGGAAAGACGAAGATTTACAGGGCTTTAAAGAGTCTGGCATTCTGATCTTTCCAGTGCTAAACCCCTATGTGATTTTGCATTACTTGACAGTCTTTGCAGATAATGTGGTTAGCTTGCAGTGTATCACATTACAACACTGTATTCTACTTCACAGCGATCATATTTTCCAATGTACAGAGAAAATACCATTGCACTTCTTGTCCCAGATTAATTATTACTAGTTTCCATTTTCACACTAGAAATTAATTGAACAATACATTTCGTATTTAGTGCTAAACAATAAAATCATAATTACTACAGAAGGTCTCCAGATCTTATACATTTCAACATGAAATAAAGAGAAGTATCTACTAATACCCTTATGGTCCCCCAAGTAGGCAATGGAAATTGACAAACTCGTAGTAAAGGATGGAAAGCAAACTGAAGAGAGGACAACAAAATGTAGAGTGTGTGAACCTTGCAAATAGGGGCCAGTGAAGGGCACTGCAAAGCTGTAGGGACCTGACAAGATAAATAACCCTAAACCAGAAGCTAAAGGGAGCAGAGAACAATACAAGGAATTATTATACACCTGCCAGTTCTTGCAACAGCCAAATAATTTTGATTATGAAAAAGATGAGTGAGAATTTTAAAGCCTTGAATTTACACAGTAGAGACTGAATTTTGTTAGGCTGGTAATGCAATTTTGTGCTCACTCTTTTCAAATAGACTTTCTCTGCTTCTTGTACATACAACACACACATCTCCCTCAATCACAGTCATAAGATGTCTATGTATCCCAGTTCCAAATTCCTGAGTATCTGAGCAATCTGTAGACTAGCCATTCAACCAACTGTAGCATTTGGGCAGGGTTAGGAATTCTAGAGTCTTTCACCTGGAGGTTGGAAAGAGGGTGAGCTTTCCAGAAAAAAAGGTGACATAGTGAATATGCAAACATCCAAAAGATGTCTACTACAGCAATATAGACTGGCTTATATTGATTATAGTATTTAATCTTTCACTCTTCTCAGTAATTTTTCAGAGCATGCTAGTTAGGAGTCTAAAAAGCAAACAAATATTATGCAGTTTGCTCATAGTGTCAAGCAGAATAAATACATTACTCTGAATGATCCACATCTGTATATCATACCCTTTCTTTGAGTGTCAGTGAGATCTTTGAATATGAGGGAGTATCACTTTTGTGATTATGTTACGTGGCAAAATCGAATTTTGCAAATGGAATTAAGGTCTCTAATTAGAGCTAATCAAAAATGAAATTACCTAGTTACGCTTATCTAGCTAAGTAAGCTTTTAAAACAAAGTCTGGTGGTCGGAGTAACTCTCCCTTGCTGGCCCTGCAGAAACAGCCTCCATAAATTCCATAGCTTCAAGGAAATGAATTTTTCTAAAAACCTCATGAGCTTAAAAGGGAACCTGAATTTCAGATGAGTAGCCCTGATTGACACCTTTATTTTAGTTTTGTGAGACCTTGAGCAGATAACTCTACTATGCCCAGACTTCTGATCTATGGACAATGTGGGATAATAAATGAGCATTGTCTAAAACATCTTCGTTTGTGTAATTTGTTATAAAACTATGTAATACAACCAGAGTCACAAAGCTGATTGTCAGGTCTAAGATTTGCATCCAGTCTGAGCTAAATTCAAAGCCTGATAAGAGTCCCAATAAAACAAACATGAAAGCTTCCAATTTGCTGTGTATTGTGTGTGTTTGTGCACATGCGCATGTGTGCGTGGAAGAAAAACAGGGACAAAACAACAACAAGGAAGGAAGAAAAGGAGAAAGGGAAGAAGGAAGTAAAACAGTACTAACCATGAAAACTTTTTCTGGAAGATTATTGTTTCTTCAATTAACGGCACTA
Source organism: Homo sapiens (assembly GCF_000001405.40). NCBI lineage: Eukaryota > Metazoa > Chordata > Mammalia > Primates > Hominidae > Homo > Homo sapiens. Next base: position 25,785,832 of record NC_000011.10, on the reverse strand, counting down.
AGGCAGTAATCATGAAAGACACTACACTTATGCATAGCAGCTTATAAATTGTTTCCTAATATTACTGGTAAATACTCTAAGAAGACCAGAAAATACTCTAAGAAGAAGATAAGAAAAATTATGTTCTTGTGGAAAAAAGGTTCTTAAATTTCTATTTCGAAAAAAAAAGACAGAAAACTATGTTATGTTCAACCAAGGAATTACTTTAGCTTTTCCATACCCTAACCTTTGGATTTGATAAGATTATGTATGGTGCATAGCACCACAGCATATACTGGTAACCTTGGTCTGTAGGACTGATAGTTACCCCTAGGTGCATGTTCTGTTAATGTGTTCTATACATTCTACAACAAAATTTTCTGCAGTGCTATTGTAAAACATAATATGAGTAGCTTGGGAAAGCATGATGAATATTCAATGCTTGGAAGATCAGTTTCAGGGAGAGGGATATTTACATGTGTCTGTGTGACTGCTAATTATAGCATAACTGTCTGTTGCGCTAATCACAAATTTCAACCTTCTACAATTTGGTAGCCCTTATTTTCTTAAATTCAGATTGAAGATAGCAGAAATTGTTTCCATGAAATGTTATACAATAGTTGACTGTCTGGTTAATATTATCATATTAACTGCTTTGAAATGGCACTAAGTCTCATCTACCAGCTGAATGCGGGGTTTTTATAGGCACAAGATGGGGTAAGGTGTGGCCATGCGTGATTTACGAAAAGGCAGGATTCTAGTGGAAAAGCAGAGATATAAGTTCTGACTTTGTGCTATGGTTTCAGGCCTTCTGGCTTGAAGGTGGGGTTTTGCCAAGGATCCACCCTTTTCTGCCTAGAATTTGTTTGCTTCTTGTCCCTATTAATATTGAGTTTTATTGAAAACCTTTTCTGCGGCTATTGAAATATACATGTGATGAGTCACATTTATTGATTTGTGCATATTGTGTATATTCCAACCTTACATTCTAGGAATAAAGCCTGTTTGATTGTGGTGGATGAGCTTTTGGATGTGATGCTGGATTGGGTTTGCTAATATTTTGTCGAAGATTTTTGCATCTATGTTCTTCCAGGATATTGGCCTGAAGGTTTTTGTTGTTGTTGTTGTTATGTCTCTATCAGGTTTGGGTTCCAAAATGTTGCTGGCCATGTAGAATGAGTTAGGGATGAGACCCTTCTCAATGTTTGGGAAAGTTTCAGTGGGAATGATACCAGCTCTTCTTCATGCATCTAGTAAAATTCAGCTATGAATCTGCCTGGCTTTTTGTTGTTGGTAGTGGTAGGTTTTCATTACTGATTCCATTTCAGAACTCATTATTAGTCTGTTCAAGGATTCAATTTCTTCCTGGTTCAATCTTGGGATGTTGTATGTGTTCAGGAATTCATCCATTTCTTCTAGCTTTTCTACTTTTTGTGCATAAAGGTGTTCATGGTAGTCTCTGAGTTTTTTTTTTTTTTTTGTATTTCTATAATTCAGTGGCAATGTCCCCTTTGTTATTTCTATTTATTTGGCTCTTCTCCCTTTTGTATTTTATTTGTCTAGCTAGCTGTCTCTTATTAATTTTTTCATGGAGAAATTCCTAAATTATTACTCTTTTGTATGTTTTCTTGCATCTCATTTTTCTTCAATTCAGCTCTGATTTTGGTTATTTCTTCGGGTATTTTTTTTTTCTTTTTTATCTAGATCCTCGTGATGTTAGGTTGTTAATTTGAGATTGTTATAACTTTTTGGTGTTGGTGCTTAGTGCTATGAACTTCCCTCTTAACACTGCCTGGGCTATGTCCCAAATATATGTTGAATTTTTGTTCTCATTAGTTTCATAGTATTTCTTGGTTTCTACCTTAATTTCATTATTTACCCAAAAGTCATTTAGTGGGAGATTGTTTAATTTTCATGTAGTTGTATGATTTTGAGATATTTTCTTAGTATTGATTTCTATTTTTGTTGTGCTGTGTCCTAACGGTGTGGTTGGTATGATTTCAGTTTTTCTGAATTTGCTAAGGGATTTTTAAATGTCTGATTTTCTGATCAATTTTACTGTATGTGCCATGTTGTGATGAGAAGAATGTATATCCTGTTGTTTTGGCGTAAAGAACTCTGTAGATGTCTAGTAGGTCTACTTGGTAAAGCATCAAATTCAAGTTCTGAATATCTCTGTTAATTTTTTTTGTTAATCCCTGTTAATTTGATAATCTGTCTAATATGGTCATTTGGGTGTTATAGTTTCCTACTATTATTGTGTGGAAATCTAAGTCTCTTCAGAGGTCTGTAAGAACTTGCTTTATGAATCTGAATGCTCTTGTGTTGAGTGCATATGTATTTAGGATAGTTATGTCTTCTTGTTGAATTGAACCCTATAGCATTATGTAATTTCCTTTTTTAAAAATGTTTGTTGCTTTAAAGTCTGTTTTGTCTGAAATTAGAATAGCAAACCCTGGTAATTTCTACTTTCCATTTGCTTGGTAGATTTTTCTCTCTCCCTTTATTGTGATCCTATGGGTGTCACTGCATGTGAGACAGACCTCTTGAAGACAGCATTAACTATATCTTGCTTCTTTATCAAGCTTGCCCCTCTGTGCCTTCTAAATGGGGGCGTTTAGCCCATTTATATTCAAAGTTAATATTTATATTGTGGATTTGATCATGTTATTGTGTTGTTAGCTATTATTTATGCAAACTTGTTTGTGTGGTTGCTTTGTAGTGTCAGTGGTCTGTGTACTTAAGTGTGTTTTTGTAGTGGCTGGTAACAGTCTTTTCTTTCCATATGTAGTGCTCCTTTTAGGACCTCTTGTTAGGCAAGAATCGTGGTAAAAAATTCCCTCGGCACTTGCTTCTCTAAAACGGATTCTGTTTCTCATTCACTTACAAAGCTTAGTTTGGCTGGATACAAAATTCTTGGTTGGAATTTCTTCCTTTCAGAATGCTGAATATAGGCCCCCGTCTCCTCTGGCTTGTAGAGTTTCTACTGAAAGGTCTGCTATTAGCCTGATGGGGTCCTCTTTGTAGGTGACCTGTCCTTTCTTTCTAGTTTCCTTTAGCATTTTTTTCTTACATTTTGACCTTGGGGAATCTGATGATTATGTGTCTCGGGGATGGTCTTTTGTAGTATCTTGTATGAGTTCTCCGAATTTCCTGGATTTGAATTTTGTCCTCTCTAGTGAGGTTGAGGAAGATTTTGTGGGTGATAACCTGAAATATGTTTTCCAAGTTGATTGCTTTTTCCCTAGCTCTTTCAGGGATGCCAATGAGTCATAGATTTGGTTTCTTTATATAATCCTATATTTCTCAGAGGTCTTGTTTATTCGTCTTTTATTCTTTTCTCTTTACTTTTGATTGAATGAGTTATTTCAAAGAACCAGTCCTTAAGCTCTGATATTCTTTCAGCTTGGTCTATTATGCTGTTAATACTTGCAATTGCATTATGAAACACTTATAGTGCATTTTTCAGCTCTATCAGGTCAGTTTCATTCTTCTTATAATGACCATTTTGTGTATCAGCTCTTGTATCATTTTATTGTAATCTTTATATTTCTTGGATTGGGTTTTGACTTTCTCCTGAATCTCAATGATCTTCCTTCCTGACCATATTCTGAAATCTATTTCTGTAATATTAGCCATTTCGGCCAAGTTAAGATCCCTTACTGGGGAATTAATGTAGTCATTTGGAGGAAAAAAGACACTCTGGCTTTTTTGAGTTGCCAGAGTTCTCATGTTGTTTCTTTGTTATCTGTGTGGGTTGATGTTCCTTTAACTGCAGTGTAATTTGAGTACAGTCAGTAGACTTTTTTTTCTGGATATTTTCAGAGGGCTAAGGCTTTAGGTAGGGTCTTTATTTGTAGTTAAATTATTGTCCTTAGTTCCCCAGGGGGTATATTAACAAAGTATTTTTGCTGTTGATGTTACACTGTGATGCAGTAGATGGTGCTTAAATATAATGGCCAGTAGGTAGACTCTTCTTCAGCCACATGCTCATCTGTATTTTGCTCATGATTGCAGTCATGCACCCCCTCAGTGGTCTGAAAGTGTGTGCTCCTCTTCCACTTGAGTGTTGGTTGCAGATCTCACCTTGGCTGTCCTGAGCTGTATACCACTGGTCTGAGGCGAGCTCAAGCTTTATGTTCTCTCCCCAGCTTGGAGGCAGCAGGGAATGGGATCTTGATGATGGTTGTGAGAGAGATTTTTTCAGTTGTCTCTTGAGGGTTCCCTAAGAGAGATGTAGAAGCACTATCGATCAGTGTGATCAGCCTGGGGTGGGGGCAGTTGTGCTGTGGGCCCAAGTTAGGGGATCTTGCCCCTAAGTAGGGAGGTCAGGGAGGTCAAGTAGGGAGGTCATCAGGGAGACAGACTGGCCTCTCCTTCTTAGGGGAACTGCAGCTTGCTGGAGGTGTGGTTAAATCACTCAAGGGGCTTTGCTCCTTCTCCAGTCTGAGGACAACAAGGATAGTACTACTATACTCTATACTATCCAGTGGCAGTGGATAGAGGTATTTTCAGTTGTCTCTGGGAGCTCTACCTCAGAGAAACGTGAAGCCAGTGTTACCAGGAATGTTCAGCCAGGGGCTGGATGACTGAGCTGCTGGCTCTAGCTGAGGGCTCTACCTGCTGAAGACAGTGGGATGAGAGGTGGGGTGTTGAGTGCTCCCAGGGAGGAGACACTAGGCTCCTCTCCCTGTGGTGGCTGTGATGTGCTGGAGGCACAAATGAAGCCCTCAGGTTCTTTGTTTCTTCATCAGACCAAAGGCTACAGGGGCAAAACCCCTGCCATTGCAGTATTAGAGGGCCTGTCAGTTGCCTCTGGAAGCCCCTCCCAAGGGAAACACAGAGCCACTACCTGTGGGTATGCTCAGCTTGGGGTGGGGTGGCTCTTGTGCTGTCTTGATCTTGGGGGCCCTGCCTGGTGATGAGTGGGGTATAGGAGCTCACAGGGAAGGGAGACTGGGCTTCTTTTTGTATAATGGCTGCTGTGTGCTGGAGGTGCTAGAGTAATGACCAGGCCTTTTGTTCCTTCCCCAGCCTGAGGCTGGTCAGGGAAGTAGCCCTGCAGTTGCAAAGGCAGAGGGGCTGTGGTTTGTCTCTGAAGTTCCTTCTAACAGAAATTCAGAACTGCCTCTGACTGAGGTGTTCAGGCAGGGGCAGGGTAGTTGTGCTGGAGCCTCAGGCCAGGATGACCCACCCAGTAAGAAGTGAACCCACATGGGAAATAGTCTTACCACGTTTTCATGGGGGTGGCTACACTGTGCTGGGGGTCCGCACCAGTCTCTAGTCACTGAGAACCTTCCAGAGTCGGGGAGTAACAACTTTGAGGGCTGTGGGGCAGCAGAAATGGTGTTCTGCCTGCTCTGTCTGGGAGATCTGTCCCAAGAAAATGCTGAAAATTATTTTAAATGTACCCATATTCCTTAGTGTAACACCAGAAAAAAGTCATTTATCTGTATGTAAATAATTTCCTTTTTATATGAATGTTGAATATTTTTACTTAACTACCTCCTAATAAAATAAATTTAGGTTAAAATGTTTAAGTCATTATTTAAAATTTTACTAGTAAGAGTTGAAGGTGATCATCTTTAATAAATTATACCATAACATTTCTCAGTAGTCTATCATCAAAATAAGTTGAGATTGTTAATAAATTATAATTGGACATCACAGTTATGATAAACAATAAACTAATGTGTATTTTTAACACAAAGTATTCATAGTGGAAATTCAATGTGTTTATTGCACACGTTATATGTTTTTTACTTTAGTGAAATAAATGATGATATGGCTATTCCTCACAAAGCAACTGTTTTGTGCCAAACAATTTATATATATATCCTAATATATATATTTTATTATATATATAAAATAGGATTATTATTTATTATATATAATAGGATTATATATAATCCTAATAATAACCTTATGAAGTAGGCATTATTACACTCAACTTACAGATGAGGAAACCCAGACAAATATGTATAATGTTGCTGCCTTTTGTAGGCAGCAGATTAAATATATATTTACCAATACCAAAAGAGATAATTAAGACCAATGTAAAATGAAGTCACTGAAACAATGAGAAACTAAGCCCCCATATAAAATTAGAATACATGCAAATATATATTACAAAACCATATGTAATGATGCTATATATGTATATAAACATATGTGTGCATATAACGTTATATATAGGCACGTATACATATGCAATAATCGTAATGTAAGCATGTGTGCATATGTGTGTGCATGTGTAAGTATAGAGAAAGATCTCATATTTTAAATATAAGGTTTAGTAAGTTTTCATATTAATATCTAGTGCTTCCCCTCCAGGTAAAAACTAAGACCATTGCGCAGATATCACAAAGGAAAATAGCACAGACCTGATGTTACCAGCATCTTTTTTTTTTCTAATTCATCACAATTTTATGTTACCCACTAATCTTCAAATTCTCACATCATTTTACATTGAAATGGCACTGCAGCATCTGCATTAATTAAAAGAAATGTGTCTCTCAGCATATAGTAGATCAATCCAGATCTTCACTGGGTGTATTGACTTGTCTAGTGTGGTCCTTACTAGCTACTGTGCACATTCAATAAATCATAAGATGAGGAGAGTCTGCTCTTCTTTAAGAATGCATGCCACAGCTATCTGGACCACCTCCTCTGTGGCTCAGCAGCTTGGAGAGATAATAGAGGCTGCCTTTCAGCAGGAGGATCATATCTAAACAGAATTATCTCTACAAAATGATTTTATTCTCTGAAGAAGTTATTGCCACTATTATTTCATGTGTGATTAAATCAGGTCTCCCGTGCTTCTCACTGCAAATGCCCAGGGTTTTGTTGTGTAATTATCAATTCTCTACTTCTACACGAAATAAAATTGTAAATAATAATACTAATTACGCTCATTGTATTATCTGCAATGTGCTTTAAGCAACTTCAGTATAAGTAGTGTACAATGCCTGCATGTCTTAGTTCTTTCCTCTATCTAGGGAAGTTAATTTTGGAACCTTGCCAATCAACAATATACTCTCCAGGGATATTGTTCTACAAGTGCTTTAATATGGTTATATAATTTTCACTAGACTGTGCTAATTACAATAAGTGATGATAGATTTTTTTTCATTGATGAAATAAATGATATTAACATTTGTGGATTTGTTAGAAATATTGTACTCTGTACTCTGACATTATTAAGAATGTAAAAATCTAGTTAGTTTTAGCAGCCAGTTTTCCCCTTGGTGCTCTTAGTCTAGAACTCAGATGTGGTTCTTTTGTCCCACCACCTACTAGAGCTGTGCAGTCCAATCTGATAGAAGCTAGCCACATGAAGCAATTTAAATGTAAATTCACTAAGATTAACTACATACAATTTAATATCTATCACACTAGCTACATTTCAAGTACTGAAAGGCCACATGTACCTAGTGGCTACAGTGTTGGATAGACAAGATATACCATAATATATTTTGATCACCTCAGGATGTTCTATGCACAGCAATGCACTGGAGAATTGATATTACCTAATTTGACCATAAAATTAGCTGAGATGTCTGTTACAAATTGTTGCATCTGCCTCAAGACTACTTTCACACAAAGTTTTTGGTGGAGTTCTCATGAGTTTAAGATCTAAAATTTCATCAAATTTAAACAACAAGGCCATATAGTTATTGTGTATGAGTGCATATGTGTGTGTGTGTATGTGTATGTGTGTTTGTGTCTTCTTGCTATTGAAAGTTTTTAGGCAAGATCTAAATTGAAACTTTATTCCATTTAAACATGTTACCTTACATGGGGATAGTGTCTAAGAATCCTCAAACCATAATTCTATAAAACCAGTGAAATCTATTAGCTATCTATTGCTTCCTAGAAAATTACTCCAAAGCTCCGTAGCTTAATACAAGTTTTTTTTTTTTTTTATCTCATTGTTTCTATAGTTTAAGAATTCAGGTGTGACATCTGAATTTGAATCACAGTGTCTCCCAAGTTTACAATCAAGGTGTTGATTGAAATCATCTCAAGGCTTGATGAGTGGAGGATCCACTTCCAGGCTTACCCAGTTGGGTCTTGTGAGGTCTCAGGCCTGGTTGTTGGAAGGACACATCAGTTTGTTGCCACATGGGCCTCTGCATAGGGAATCTCACGGTGACATATCTAGATCCATGAAGGTGAGAGGAAGAGAATGAGAAAGAACAGGAAAGGACAAGCAAGAGAAAATCATAGTCTTTTTTAACATAATCTCAAAAGAGATATTTCATCATTGTTATAGAATTTTATTTGTTACAAATGAGTCACTAGGCACAACCCACACTCAGGAGAAGAGGATTACACAAGGACATGGATATCAAAAGGTGAGGTCGCTAAAAACCATTTTAGAGGCTGTCTGCCCCATCTCCAAAAATAACACATGGTGGTGAGGTTCAAATTGGCTCATGTCAGTTTACAACAAATAGAAATAATAGACTGCATCCATAGAAGGATTACTAGGAGATGGACACTGAACTGAGCACTTTATTTGCATTGTCACATTTAATCCTTGAATAAGATTATGAAGGAGGTAATATTCTCATTCTTCTGAAAAGAAAAATAAGATGTAAAAATATACATATGCACACAAAAACATAAAATTGCAACTATTATACAAACACAAATTTATGATTTTGCATAGCATTATAAAAGGCTTTTCTTCAGGATTTAAAAAATATTTATAGTAACTATAATTTAACAGATATGTAGTGACATTTGTATTAATGCATAAATTTCAGTGTTATGTAATTCGATTTTTCATAATTTTAAATATATACTACTGAACATTTCTGCACATAAAGTTTTCTGCTTCTGTTTTGCTATAATTGTTGGATAAATCCCTTGGTGACAAATTTTGAAGTAATTAGAAATATTGGTACATATTGCCTTGTTTTTTCAAAAAGCCTATACCACCTTACAACGCAAAAAGTATAGGCATGCTCCAATTTTACTGTGTTTTGGTAGCAATGGCTTCAACAATTGTAATTTTTAATAATGTGTTAGCGTAAAAACCAGCTCCTTGATATACATTTGTATGCATAATTTGATCTCAAATATACATTTATACACATTATTGTCACTTAACAAAGGTGAGTATTTTCACTTTTGTATATTTACTACCTGCCTTTCTTATGTCAACTGATCATTTTGCATGCATGTAATTTTTCATATTTTAGCAACAAGTGTGGGAGGTTACATTTTGTCATTTTCTCTAAATTTGTTAATCATGACCTGCTTGTAAGAATTTAAAAAAACCGAAAGATGTCACATGGTATTTCTATTTGCAACATTGTTACATCCATTTGAGTTAATGACACATAATAACACAATGTCAAATATGTAAAAGATCTCTGGGAATGGTGGAATAAAAACTCCCAAAGCACTTTCCATGTTCCCATGATTCCAGAAACTCTTTTCATAAAGCTGCTTTATTGACAAGGCTTAAGATATTTAAAAGGCAGAATAGAATTGAAAGGATAAAGTTTAAAAACTAGAATTTAAAAGGCAAAGGCAAAGAACAAAGCAGGTTCATTTCCCATCAATACCCATTTTAAGACAGACTGTAATTCTCCAGAGTATGTATTGCAAATAACATAGACAGTGGATTTAAAATGTAATTGATTGCAATATTTGCAGGAAAAGATAATCCAGAGATTGCCAAAACAATGGTGAGGCATAAAAGAGAGAGAGAAAGATTTTGGCGAAAGAAGGATTGAAAGAGATTTTGATTTGTTAAATAAATTATAGACCCTTCATTTACCTTATCCCATTTTCCCTCTAGTTGCAATACTTAGAAATATAAATAAGATACAAGAGTTAGAAACTACCACAAGTTAACTAGCCCACATTATAATATTATTTTGTAATAATTAAACATACTTATTTCTCACTTGTAATACAAAGCAGAAGGTAAGAGCTGAAGGAATACTCTGAATGAGTAGAAAATCTTCCGTAAGTTTTCATTTCCTGCTCTGACTGAGAAAACACATCCTTCACAATCTGATTCCTCCACTGAGGCTGACTCATTCTCCTTAGCAACATGGAATAGAAATGTCTCAGCTAATTTTGCTATCCATCTAATGTGGCTAGATATAACTATTCTGTCCCTAAATCTGTCAAATCATCAACTTGGATACATTTTTATATCTGGGGAAGATAGAGTCTTAACATGAATAAATGTAAGTTCTGAAATGTTTGGATTGATTTTTGAGGCAGAATGCAGACTGGTGGAATGGGATTTTAATTGTCCTGCTATACACTAAAATTTTACAAGGGACCAAAGTCAGACAGCCAAGAGTTTGAATCATAACTCCATCATCTGCAGTGCTATGGCTGTTAAAGTGCTGGTTTTTTCCCTCAACATATAAAATATTGAGAAAATGCCACTTGAGGGATTGGCAGGATTAAAATCTGCTTTGTAGTGGAAATCTTGTAAAGGAGCTAGTCCTAAGAAGAAAAACGATGCTGTCAAATGCAGTGTTTTCCTCCATTTCGTTTGTATTTAAAAGATGTTGATGTTGGAAGTTGGTGGCAATAAAGCTAGGGTGAATTCTCAAGTCAGATCTTTACGGCTGAGAGGTCTAATAGTATCTAAAATCTTTTCCTCAGCGTGAGATTCATAGTAACAACAGGAGGAATTTATGCAGACCTCTCCTCTCTCATCAAAGCTGAAAAAACTGAGTACATGGAAGGAGAAGAGACTTGCTGAGATTCCACAACCAGAGACATTAGAGGGAGGCCCACACTGGGTTATTCTTATTCCCCAGGTGTGCATTTTTATATTTACCATCACTGTTCCTCTGTTTCTTGGATAATTGCATAACCCTTAAATCCACTTACATTATGGAAACACAAATGTCTCAGCATAGCTATTCAATCCACGTAAAGTATTCTTGGAGCAGTGTGTCAGTTGGAGATAGGCAACAAAGTGCAGAAATAAAGATAAAAGCTGGTAGTAAATTTCTCTTCACTGATTAATCTATGAATCTACAACAGAAGAGAAATAAAATTTCTCTTCTTCCCCTATTAAATTTAATAAAAGCCTTTATTCTATTTGACAATTTTAACTTTCTTCTTTTTTTTTAAAAAAAAGTACAAACATTTTCTTGTTCAATATGTGCCACTGTATTAAATGATGAACCTCTAATTAAGTAGTAAAGCCAGTCACAACTTTTACAAGTATTCTTTCATGTTACTGAGGAAAGAAAAGGGTCTGGGAAGCCTTAGTTGAACTACACATTGAGACAATATATTGGAAAAAATAATTTTATATATCTAAAATTAAAACATTCATATTCTTTGGCTTCATAATATCCATGGAAAGAAATTTACCTTTCAAATATAGTCTCAATCCAAGTTCTCAACCTTCAATTCTCAGTTGAAATACAAACACACACATATAATCATAATTATCAGGGATTTTTATTGCAAAATTAATCTTTGTGATTAAAATCACAGCATTAATTCATTCTAAAACTTTTCTTTGTAACTATAGCATTTAAAATAAAAAACTGATTGTCGGTGAGGATGTAGAGAAATTGGAAGCTTTTCGTACTTTGCTGGTGGGAATGTAAAATGCTGCAGGTGTTTTAGGAAACAGTCTGGCAAGTCTTCAAATATTAAACGTAGATTTATATATGTCCCAGCAATGCCTAGGTATATGCCCAAGATAAATGAAAACACTCATAAGTATACATGCAAGATAAGTGAAAACATATGCTCATGCAAGCTATATACCTGGATATTCATAGCAGCATTATTCGTAAGAGCCAGAAAGTAGAAACAACCCCAAATGCTCATCAGCTAATATATTAATAAATATAACATGGTAATATTATTTGACAATAAAAAAGAAATGAAGTACTGGCACATGCTAAACCAAGCTAAGTCATGAAAACAAGATGTTAAGTGAAATAAGCCAGTCCCAAAGACCACATATTGTATGATCCATTTATATAAAATGTCCAGAATACATACATCTATAGAAACAAAAACTACATTATTGTTTGCCCAATTATATATAGACCTTGCAATCTGACTCTTAAGAAACATTTTTTTAAAATTATTTTTAAGATTGAGGGAGTGCTACCCTTTTATAGCTGAAATAACTAACTACAAATTACATAGTTGGTTTGTTCATTTTTTTATGTTAGATTGCATTATCCAGAAATTTTACAACAAAGTTAATTGTCATAGTAATTGTGGTATATGGGCAAGATAGGGATAAGAGCCACACTTCAGAATAATTTAACAGTACTTCAGAGAAGCGATTTGTCTAAGGCCTCACTTCTAGCACAAGTTATGAGTAAAACCTGATCACAAATTCTTTGCCAATACTCAGTCGACTGTTGAATTTATATGGTATAGAAGTTATTCACCCCTTCCATAATATGTAGGGCAATATGACCTTTAAAAGACTTTCTACATCTCAGAATTTACGATCCTGTCATTTCACTTTTTGTTACTTGGAGGTTCTAATAATGCTGAAAGTGAGGATAGACAGAGGCTGAGAACAACCTTCAAAATAAATGAAAGTTGAATGCTATACCCTTTCTGCAAGATGAAAATTGTCCGTACATGGAAAGTAGGGTATGTAGTTCTAAAATTTTAAACCTGATATGAGAAAGATCCTCCAATCTTTTCTCATTGAATTCTACTTCTCTGGTCCTAAAATAACTATTTCTAAGAAGAATAAATACTCTTAGTATAAAGTCCAAAATTAACTGTTAAAATAAGTGAGAGATTAAATCAACCTACATTTTATTACAAGTATATTAATATTTTATTTGAATAACATGAGAGGATGCAATCTGGGTGTCTAGAATTCCCTCCCTCAAAATCCTGACAATAATATTAAAAGCTTGAATGAACTGATCTAAATATGATCTAAGCCTATACCTTGGCTTAAATCAGGCCATGGACTCATGCCAGAATTGGCACAGAGTCTAAGGAAAGTAATATGCTCGAAACAAAGAGATAGATAACCAGATGTCAGGCTTCTGAGAGCAGTGGTGGTGTCTGATACATTTTTATAACCCAAGCAACTTAGTTCAGGCCTGGCACATGGCTAGTACTCTGTATTTAGGGCTTTAAATTCAGGGATCCTGAAAGAGAGTTACGAAGTTCTGTGTCTCAGGAACATCCAAAATGTAGAGGCATAGAACCATTAGAATGAGAAGGAGGAAAATTGAGGAACCTATGATCATCAAAGTACATATGAGGAAAGTGGCAAACAGAGACAATTTGAAACAGAGAAGTGAGAAATACAAAAATATTCAGAGACAGATACTGGGAGAATATACATTGAAATGCTATTAGTCTCATGGCATAATTGCTTCTTTCTTTTGCTTTTTATTTCTTTTTCATTTTTATATTAAATACTTAATTTTTTTAAAGCAGTTTTAGATCATAGCAAAATTGAGAGGAACATTTAGAGATTTCTCTAATACCCCCTGGTCCCACACATGCATATTTTCTCCCATCATCAGCATCCCCGACCAGTGTACAGTCATCCCTCTGTATCTGTGGAAAATTGGTTCCAAGACCTCCTTTGGAAACCCAAACCCAAAGATGATCAAGTCCCTAATACAAAAGGGCATAATATTTGCATATAACCTATGCATATGCTCATGTATACTTTAAATCATCTCTGGATTATTTATAATATCTAATATAATGTGAATCCTATGTAAATTGTCATTATGCTATATTGTTTAGAGAATAATGACAAAGCAAAAAGTCTTCACACGATCAGCACACACATACAATTTAAAATATACATTTTCTATCTATAGTTGGTTGAATTCACAGATGTGGAACCCATGGATACAGAAGGCCAAATATAGTACATTTGTTACACTTAATGAACCTACACTGACACATAATTTATCCAAATTTCATGGTTTACATTAGTGTTCACTCTTGTTGCTGTATTCTCCATGGGTTTGGACAAATACTTAGTGACATGTAACTGCTATTATGGTATCATATAGGATAGATTCATTGTGTTTAAATATTCTACGCTCTGCTTATTCGTGCCTCTCTCCCCATTAACCCCTGACAAGTGCTCATCTTTTTCCTGTCTCTGCAGGTTTGTCTTTTCCAGAATGTCATATAGTTGGAATCATACGGTATGCAGCCTTTTCAGATTGACTTCTTTTCACTTAAATATACGTTTAAGTTTACCTCATGTCTTTTCATGGCTTGATAGCTCTTTTCTTTTTAGTACTAAATAATATTTCCTTGTCTAGATTTACCACACTTTATCTATCTATTCACCTACTGAGAGATATCTTGGTTGTATTCAAGTTTCTGCAATTATGAATGAAGCTGCTGCAATATAAACATCCTTGTTCAGATCTTTGTGTAAACATGTTTTCAACTCCTGGGGGGTAACAAGGAGTGTGATTACTGGATCTTTTCTATTTTAATTTCCTTTTGATATTTGTATAAAGTGTCTCATGTGAAACATTATATCACTGTGTGCTCCATGATCTAAGCTCCGCCTTCCTCTCTTCCTTTATCTCTTTTCTGAAGTAGCTCCTTGCCAAGACATCCACACTGACATTCTATTTCTTTCTCAGGTATACAAGAGTCTTCCATCTTAAGCCTTCTACTTACTCTTCCCTTTTTCTGAAAAACTCTTACCTCAGTTTTTTTTTGTTTTTTTGTTTTTGTTTTTGTTTTTTTTGTGGTTGGATCTGCTAAGTTCTTCAAATCAAAGAAATGGGCACGCATGAGGAGATCTCCTTAGCACTCCATCTAAGGAGCCCATTCCATCATCTCCCACCTCCAGTCAGCATCTGTGAAGTTACTAACATAATTTTTTCATGGCACCTATCAACGATGATTTTTAGTTTACTTAGTTATTACCTTTATTTCAGTCCCTGAAAGAAACTTCACAAAGCAGGGACTTTGTCTAACTTGTACATTCATATATGTCCACACCTAGGATAATATCTAGCTCCCGCTAAATGATCATGAAGTGATTGCTGAATAAAAATGAATAAATACATATTTGCTGCAATTTTTATATTCTGTTCAAGTAAATTAGAAGAATACCGATGTATTAAGATACAAACATGGACACTAAGGAAGACACTCTAGTGTTTAAGTTGCATCCTCTAGCATGGTTGTCTAAATGTACCAAATTGATTTAATAGTTGTTCAAATAACTATCTCTGAAGTAAAATAAGGGCTTCATTAGTGGGACTATGGTGGGAGTGGGTAGGTGAGGATCAGTATTGTTCTTACTCTGGCTGAAGTCAGGTCCAGTTTGGGAATAAGCACTTTTGATTGTTGTGCCTAGAACAGAGCAAAGGATGCATGATGCTGGTGTTCAGAATGGGGAGCTGTGAAACAGAAAAGACAGAGTAAAAAGGTTTGGAAGGTAGAATCTGGATATGCCTTCTAAGGGAAAGTAGCAACAAAATAATAGCCTCTCTTGTCATTGGTGAGCAGCTATTACTTGCTAGGCATCTTGAATAGCTCATGTTAGTCTTGCAACAGACATTATCTCAATCCTTATAACACAAACCTAAGACAGAAGCAATATGATTACCTCTTATAGAGGTTAGATTGGTATAAAATTAATCTATGCAGCAGTTTCCTATTAAGGTTGGCATGGAGCTAGGAATATCTGCTAAGGTAAAAATCCAGTATCCTTTATCTACCTTTATTCTGAAGGTTGTGATAGGATATACTATGATGGCAAAATTATGCTTTCTCCCTTCATTTGTCTCAAATGCATATGAGGCTGTTTAGTTAGTTGTGATGGAAATCATTTAGAAACAACAGAAATCCTCTTTGGTAACTTTTCTAAGACCTCTTTTCCTCTAAGCAAACATTAGCAGAAAACAGCATGCTTTCATTCTCTTGTGATATAATCTGAATCAACCTAATCCACTAAAAAAAAAAAAAAAATCTCCCTGAAGCAGTCCACAAGAGAGGAAAAAAGGTGAATCAACAATGCAGAAGAAAAAAATAAAACTGTTTTTTTCTTCTAAAAATTTCCCCCTCTCTATTTAGCCATCCAGTTGATTACCCATTTATACTCAAACTCATTCTTAGCTTGGGATAGAGTTTACCATTAAAATTGAGAAATGTAATCAACATGGACCTGGCATAGATACATTGTCAAAGTGATTAAAATGCCTACAAAAGTTACATAGAACCACGCTCACCCTTCTGTCTGCATTTTCTATTAACTCCCCTCGTTTAAAATCTGTTCCAGAAACAGCATTTTCTTTGCTGTTTTATAAATATACTAGATATGCTTTGTTTGTATGCCTTTACTCCGATTCCCCACCCCCAACCCTTGGCAAGGAATGTTCTTGCTCAGATACCCACATGACTCACCCTCTGCTGTTCTTCATGTCTGAGCTCCACTTTATTTTTTATTTTTATTTTTTATTATACTTTAAGTTTTAGGGTACATGTGCACATTGTGCAGGTTAGTTACACATGTATACATCCTGGTGTGCTGAGCTCCACTTTAAGCTTCCAAAAGAGGCCCTTCTCTGACTATCCCTTTAAAGTTACAACTCATTCCTCCCCTTCAACTTGTTCTACTTTTCTTTTTCCATAACATGTATTAACTCTACTATACACTATAGTTTATTTATCATGTTTATTGTTTTCTGTGTGTCTCCACCCCCTCCTGCTAGAATATAAGCTCAATTAATACTGGGATCTTTATCTTCTTTGTTCCTTGATGTATCTCAGCTCCTAAAACAGTGAGAAGTTCACAGTAAAGGCTCTCAGTTGCATGATGGAATAGTGAATAGCTTTCCTTTGGGCTAAAGAGCAAGTACTGCCTAATCAGATAATAATTATGACATCTTAAAAAGTCCTTCAGAAAAAGATGTGAGAGATACGAAGAAAAATCCCCAGCAGTGGTCTCTAAGATCAAGATGTAATTTTTCCCCTGAAAAATTGCAGTGCCTTCTGGGCTGAAAAAACAGACTGTCATCCCACTGAAGAAATGAGTTCTTTCAATACAGGCACAAAATTGAAAGGAAAATATATGAGCAATGTAATCTGAGCCGCCTTTAGAGTTTTTTCTCCTAGAGACTGCTTATTTTAAGAGAAAGAAAATGAGAACACAAAATATGAATTTTTTATGTATTGATATCATGGTAAAGTTCAGTGTTGGTTTCAGTACTGACTCTCCAACACACACACACACACACACACACACACACACCACTCTACACTCAGGATTTCATTGGTAATGACTTAATTAACAAACCGGTAATCTTATCACACCATTATATTTATACATATGACCTATTAGATAGCATAAATTCATTAGATGTATAAACACAGTAAAATCCCTTTCTACAGTCACAAATTATTAATTATTGTGACTAGGGCTGAGATAATGGAAATGTTAATGTTCTGACTATCTTGGTCTGAGACAAAGAAAAAGTTCTAACTACCCTGATGCCTGCAATAGTAACCTTGACACAATGTGAATTTCAAGTTTGCTTTTCCTGTCTACTTCTGCAACCTGTACACTAGATTTTATTTATTTATTTATTTATTCAGATGGCACAATGTGCTCACATATTCTGACATCTCCAGCTCAGTAGTCATGAAACAATCTGTTTTGCCAAGGAAAATAAATGCAAAGTGTGTGGTCACCACTTCTTTTCGTTGTATATATGTAAGTATATGTGCCTGTGCTTTCTTCCTCTCTCCCTCCATCCTCCCTCTTTTCCTTCCTTCCTTCATGTTTTCCCCTTCCCTTCCCTTCCTCTCTCTCTCATTATAGAATAACTTGTAGTTTCACTGAGACTTCTTTTCATAGTGACCAGATTCCTGATCCAATTTATTGTCCAATCACTTATACCCTCCCTGTAACAAACACATATAATAATTTATTTCCTGACTTAAAGGATGCTAAAAAGTAGCTTAAGACATGTAGCACAAATGTATGAATAATTAATTAATAGCAGAAAGTCCAGAGTGTGGTGGATGTGATATAGGTAGAATTAAGCATTGTGGTATAATGATGATGATGAATATAGTAACTGGAGAGTATTTAAAATGTACTATACACAGTCCTATGTCCTTTACATGTAAGTCTCTTAACAGCTTTATGAGAAATATGTTGAAACAATTCTCATTGTTCATGTGAGGAAACTGATAACATAGATGTTAATCAACTTGCCAAGTTTACATAGTTGGAGACAGATAAAGCCAAGGTTTCAGTCCAGATCTATCTGCCTCAAGAGTCAAAGCAAGCTTTAAATCGCATTACTTTGGATGAGAAGTAAAATAATCAGAAGTAGCTCCCTGTAAAGCTAGAAATTGAGTGGTCCTGAAAGTCATTAAAATTTAGCTTGGTAGAAAGGACAGGAAAGAAAAATAGAAGCCCCAGCTTAAGGATAGTAAAGTCAATTTATCACCTCTATAACATAACATCATCCTACAGCTTTCCCTTAGCCAATGATTTTAGAGACCAGCACAGGAAGTCATTTGAAAGTTACTATAAATAAATATTTCTGCTTCAATATTTATTTTTGCTCACCATGAATTGGATGAGGAAGAATTTGTCAGAAATTAGGTTTATCAGTATGATCCAATATTACAGAAGTCCCAGGGTTACTGAAAAAGATTTGAGGAGAAGGGTTGATTCCTTTCTCTCAGTCTCATTGTATAAAAATAAAAAAGAAAAATTAACTCACCCTATCTAGCTAAGTGTATGAAATCTTATTTCAGTGCCTGAAGAATTCATCATTTGTCAGACCAGCTGCATTTCTGTACTGTTTATAATCTAAACCAATGCAAACAAAATTTTTAGTGGAAAAAACTGAAGAAGCAACTCAGATTAATGAACAATGTTGTAATGGGCAAAATGTAATAAGTTTAAAATATGAGTTATAAAGAGCTTAAGGAAGATGAGACATGATAAAGTTTTAAGAGGCAAACACTGGCATTTAATGAGTCACAGGTTTGTTTGCATTAGTGATGGTAACAAGGCTATGAACCTTCAGGAGGAAAATCAGCAACCATCGCCTACTACCAAGCTACATTCACTAGTGCAGACTACTCACTTTCGTCTCTACCACAAAAAAAAAGTCTATTTCGAGTTGGCTATTTTGCATTAACAAAAAAGGGGATTTTATTTAGATATATTAGCATAAGTTGTGGCAAACTCTGCATACTATTTAAGAGGAAAAAAGTTTTCCTTGGACTAAGTAGCTGGCACAATCAACCTGGAGATAAAATAACATGAAACTTTATGCTTTGCCCTGTGGTTAGTTATGAGCATACTGCACTACCACATCCCATCACAAACACACACACCTGTTAAATTCCTTGAAGTTAGTTAATATCTTAATAGCATTTATAGTAGTAGCCCCAGTAGCCAGAAACACTGGTGCATACGTTGTATGTGCTCAACATGAAAGAAATTAAAATATTTTCTTCTGAGAAATACAGATTTCACACAAATATTGTGAGTGCTATTTTGATAGATTAAAAATGATCTTAGCTTCTAACACACAGGAGAAAAACTGTGAGAGGAAGAATAGCCTTTATTCTTCTTAGCCAAGTGTTCTTTCCAGAGCTGTATAATGTCCCTAAGTGATCATGAAAATATTTTTGAACGGTAACACTGTCTTCTTAGCTTTTATGCATCAGATCCCACCTTGTTTATGCACTTAAATATTTGCACCCATTGTTGTCTTTAACAATAAAGGCTTTATCTGAATTCACCTAAATGTCATGCAATTCAATGGTTTTCCATACAAAAATGGGCAAATGAGAACACTTGGATTCCATAGCAGCACTGGGTGACTCTGACTTTGGCTTAATAATTCAATTAGAAGGTAAATGAAGGATGCAATAATACAAAGCACCATGATTCAGCTATGATGATCACAGAACATTTTCTAAATGCTAATGTCCTTCCTTTGTGAAATCTCAAGAAGTCTTTTTGAAGTACTTTGTCTTTACAATAATTTTCAGTTTATATTGTTCTGTGGTTATTTCATGCGTTGTCTCTTAAACACACTGAGTATACAAGCAAATAACATAATAGATGAAAAACACAGGTAACAGAAAAATGTGTGTAGATGGCGGAAAAATGTGCTAGAGTGACAGTTAATTTTGGGCGTCCACTTGACTGGATTAAGGGCTACCTAGACATCTGGTAAAGCATTATTTCTAGGTGTGGCTGTGAAGGTGTTTCCAGAGGAGATGGGCATGTGAGTTGCTGGAATGAATGGGGAAGATCCACCCTTAGTGTGGGTCTGCACTATCCAATTGTCTGGGGACCTAGATCCAATAAAAAGACTGAGGAAAGACTAATCTGTCTCTCTCTCTCACTCACTCTCTTCCCCCCCTCTCCCCACACACACACAAAACAAACAATTAAAAACCAAAAAACTAGGTCAGCCTTCTTCTATTGTCCTTGGACATTAGAATTCCAGGCCCTCCAGCCTCTGGACTTGTACCTACCCTCCCCAACTCCCTGTTCCAGGTTCTCAGGTCTTTGGCCTACTAATTTCTAGCATAGCCCTGAACATTTTATGGTACACTGGAAATTCTATAATTGAGGAGTTCCTCCACTACCTTGTATTGTCTTGGTTGATATAATAGTGATTGTAGTTAAATATTTACTGCATAGTTATATGGGCCTTGAAATCCCAATATGACTTCATGCTGTAAGGATATTGTATGGTTGAAAGAAATTCTAGAGATAAACAACACCAAGGATAATAACTAAGTAGCAATACACATTCTTGAATTGATTTTTTGAGCTACTTGGAGAATTGTGTTGAAAACCCTCTGAAGCACTCGCAGACTTAGAAGGATAGACTGTTGGTAGATGTTAGTGATATCAACCATGGTCATAGAAGAGGATATTTGTGACCTAGGCACCGGATATTTGATGTCACATCCTTTAATTTTTAAAAACAAATTTTTATTAACATAAAATTTGCATAATATAAACTTCATTATTTTAACTATTAGAAAGTGTACAATTAATTGGCTTATAGAATATTTGCAATGCTGTATAATCATCACCACTGTCTAATTATAGGACATTTCCACCATTCCAAAAGAAACTCCTTGCCTTGTCATTTCTCCCTTATCCCCATCTCCTGGCAACCCCTGATCTACTTTCTTTTTCTATGGGTTTGCCTATTCTGGATGTTTTATACAAATAACATTATAATATATTGTCTTTCATGTCTGGCTTTTTTAACTTACCATAATTTTTTATAATGTTGTAACATGTTCAGGACTTAATTTCTTCTTTTAACTGAATAATATTTCATTGCATGGACACATCATTTTTATTTATTTATTCATTAGTTACTGGATTCAGTTACATACTAGGCAATTGAAGTTTTCTTTTTTTATTATCATTATACTTTAAGTTTTGGTATACATATGCGGAACGTGCAGGTTTGTTACATAGGTATACACATTCCATGGTGGTTTGCTGCACCCATCAACCCATCACCTACATTAGGTATTTCTCCTAATGCTATCCCTCCCCTATTCCCTCACCCCCTGACAGGCCCCGCTGTGTGATGTTACCCTCCTTGTGTCCATGTGTTCTCATTGTTCAACTCCCACTTATGAGTGAAAACATGCAGTGTTTGGTTTTCTGTTCCTGTGTTAGTTTGCTGAGAATGATGGTTTCCAGCTTCATATGTGGCTCTGCAAAGGACATGAAGTTATTCTTTTTTATGACTGCATAGTATTCCGTGGTGTATATGTGCCATGTTTTCTTTATCCAGTCTTTCATTGATGGGCATTTGGGTTGGTTCCAAGTCTTTGCTATTGTGAAGAGTGCCGCAGTAAACATATGTGTGCATGTGTCTTTGTAGTAGAATGATTTATAATCCTTTGTGTACATACCTAGTAATGGGATTATTGGGTCAAATGGTATTTCTGGTTCTAAATCCTTGAGGAATTGCCACACTGTCTTCCACAATGGTTGAACTAATTTACTCTCCCACCAACAGTGTAAAAGCATTCTTATTTCTCCACATCCTCTCCAGCATCTGTTGTTTCCTGGCTTCTTAATGATTGCATTCTAACTGGTGTGAGATTGTATCTCATTATGGTTTTGGTGTGAATTTCTCTAATGAAGAGTGATGATGAGTTTTTGTTTCCTATGTTTGTTAGCCACATAAATGTCTTCTTTTGGGAAGTGTCTGTTCATATCCTTCACCTACTTTTGGATGGGGTTGTTGGTTTTTTTCTGGTAAATTTGTTTAAGTTCCTTGTGGATTCTGGATATTAGCCCTTTGTCAGATGGGTAGATTGCGAAAAAGTTCTCCCATCTGTAGGTTGCCTGTTCACTCTCATGATAGTTTCTTTTGCTGTGCAGAAGCTCTTTAGTTTAATTAGGCCCTATTTGTCAAGTTTGGCTTTTGTTGCCATTGCTTTTGGTGTTTTAGTCATGAAGTCTTTTCCCATGCCTATGTCTTGAATGATATTGGCTAGGTTTTCTTCTAGGGTTTTTATGGTTTTAGGTCTTACATTTAAGTCTTTAATCCATCTCGAGTTAATTTTTGTATAAGGTGTAAGGAAGGGGTCCAGTTTCAGTTTTCTGCATATGGCTAGCCAGTTTTCCCAACACCATTTATTAAATAGGGAATACTTTCCTCATTGCTTGTTTTTGTCAGGTTTGTCAAAGATCAGATGGTTGTAGATTTGTGGCATTATTCTGAGGTCTCTATTGTTTTCCAATGGTCTATACATCTGTTTTGGTACAATTGCCATGCTGTTTTGGTTACTGTAGCCTTGCTGTATAATTTGAAGTCAGGTAGCATGATGCTTCCAGCTTTGTTATTTTTGCTTAGAATTGTCTTGGCTATATGGGCTCTTTTTTGGTTCCATATGAAATTAATGTAGTTTTTTCTAATTCTGTGAAGAAAGGCATTGGTAGCTTGATGGGTATAGCATTGAATCTATAAATTACTTTTGGCAGAATGGCCATTTTCACAATATTGATTCTTCCTATCCATGAGCATGGAATGTTTTTCCATTTGTTTGTATCCTCTTTTATTTCCTTGAGCAGTGGTTTGTAGTTCTCTTTGAAGAGGTCCTTCACATTCCCTGTAAGTTGTATTCCTAGGTATTTTATTTTCTTTGTATCAATTGTGAATCAGATTTCACTCATAATTTGGCTCTCTGTCTATTATTGGTTTATAGGAAAGCTTGTGACTTTTGCTCATTGATTCTGTATCCTGAGACTTTACTGAAGTTGCTTATCAGCTTAAGGACATGTTGGGCTGAGACAATGGGGTTTTCTATATATACAATCACTTCATCTGCAAACAGAGACAATTTGACTTCTTCTCTTCCTATTTGAATACACTTTATTTCTTTCTCTTGCCTGATTGACTTGGCTGGAACTTCCAATACAATGTTGAATAGAAGTGTTGAGAGAGGGCATCCTTGTCTTGTGCCTGTTTTCAACAGGAATGCTTCCAGGTTTTGCACATTCAGTATGATATTGGCTGTGGGTTTGTCATAAATAGCTTGTATTATTTTGAGATATGTTCCATCAATAACTAGTTTATTGAGAGTTTTTAGAATGAAAGGATATTGAATTTTATCAAAGGCCTTTTCTGCATTTATTGAGAAAATCATGTGATTTTTGTCATTGGTTCTGTTTATGTGATGAATTATGTTTATTGATTTGCACATGTTGAACCAGCCTTGCATCCCAGTGATGAAGCCTACTTGATCGTGGTGGATAAGCTTTTTATGTGCTGCTGGATTCGGTTTGCCAGTATTTTATTGAGGATTTTTGCATGGATGTTCATAAGGGATATTGACCTGAAATTTTCTATTTTTGTTGTGTCTCTGGCAGGTTTTTGTATCAGGATGATGCTGGCCTCATAAAATGAGTAAAAGAGGAGTCTCTCTTTTTCTATTGTTTGGAATAGTTTCAGAAGGAATGGTACCAGCTCCTCTTTGTACCTCTGGTAGAATTTGGCTGTGAATCTGTCTGGTCCTGGGCTTTTTTTTTTTTTTATTGGTAGGCCATGAATTACTGCCTCAATTTCAGAACTTGTTATTGGTCTATTCAGGGATTCAACTTCTTCCTGGTTTAGTCTTGGGAGGGTATATGAGTCCAGTAATTTATCCATTTCTTCTAGGTTTTCTAGTTTATTTGCAAAGAGGTATTTGTAGTATTCTCTGATGGTAGTTTGTATTTCTGTGGGTTTATTGGTGATATCCCTTTTATCATTTTTTTAATTGTGTCAATTTGATTCTTCTCTCTTTTCTTCTTTATTAGTCTGGCTAGCAGTCTATCTATTTTGTTAATCTTTTCAAAAAACCAGCTCCTGGATTCATTGATTTTTTGAAAGTTTTTTTGTGTCTCTATCTCCTTCAATTCTGCTCTGATCTTAGTTATTTCTTGTCTTCTGCTAGCTTTTGAATTTGTTTGCTATTGCTTCTCTAGTTCTTTTAATTTTGATGCTAGTGTGTTGATTTTAGATCTTTCCTGCTTTCTCCTGTGGGGATTTAGTGCTATAAATTTCCCTCTAAATACTGCTTTAGTTGTGTCCCAGAGATTCTGGTATCTTGTGTCTTTGTTCTCATTGGTTTCAAATAACTTATTTTTTTCTGCCTTAATTTCATGATTTACCCAGTAATCATTCAGGAGCACGTTGTTCAGGTTCCATGTAGTTGTGCAGTTTTGAGTGAGTTTCTTAATCCTAAATTCTAATTTGATTGCACTGTGGTCTGAGAGACTGTTTGTTATGATTTGTGTTCTTTTTCATTTGCTGAGGAGTGTTTTACTTCCAATTAGGTCGTTAATTTTAGAATAAGTGTGATGTGGTGCTGAGAAGAATGTATATTCTGTTGACTTGTGGTGGACAGTTCTGCAGATGTCTATTAGGTCCACTTGGTCCAGAGCTGAGTTCAAGTCCTGAATATCCATTTTTCTGTCTCATTGATGTGTCTAATATTGACAGTGGGGTTTTAAAGTCTCCCACTATTATTGGGTGTGAGTCTAAGTATCTTTGTAGGTCTCTAAGAACTTGCTTTATGAATCTGGGTGCTCTTTTATTGGGTGCATATATATTTAAGATAGTTAGCTCCTCTTGTTGCATTGATCTCTTTACCACTATGTAATGTCATCGTTTGTCTTTTCTGATCTTTTCTTGGTTTAAAGTCTGTTTTATCAGAGAATAGGATTGCAACCTCTGTTTTTTTATTTTTTTCCATTTGCTTGGTAAATCTTCCTCCATCCCTTTATGTTGAGCCTATGTGTGTCTTTCCACATGAGATAGGTCTCCTGAATACAGCATACTGATGGGTCTTGACTCTTTATACAATCTGCCAGTCTGTGTCTTTTAATTGGAGCATTTAGCCCATTTATATTTAAGGATAATGTTATCTGTGAATTTGATCCTGTGATTATGATGCTAGCTGTTTATTTTGCCTGTTAGTTGATGCAGTTTCTTCATAGTGTCGATGGTCTTTACAAGTTGGTATGTTGTTGCAGTGGCTGGTACAAGTTTTTCCTTTCCATATTTAGTGCTTCCTTCAGGAACTCTTGTAAGGCAGGCCTAGTGGTGACAAAATCTCTCAGCATTTGTTTCTCTGTAAAGGAATTTATTTCTCCTTCAGTTATGAAATTTAGTTTGGCTGGATATGAAATTCTGGGTAGAAAATTTATTTAAGAATGTTGAATATTGGCCCCCACTCTTTTCTGGCTTGTAGGGTTTCTGCAGAAAGATCCAGTTAGCCTGATGGGCTTCCCTTTGTGGGTAACGCGACCTTTTTCTCTGGCTGCCCTTAATATTTTTTCCTTCATTTCAACTTCTGATGATTATGAGTCTTGGGGTTGCTCTTCTCAAGGAGTATCTTTGTGGTGTGCTCTGTATTTCCTTAATTTGAATGTTGGCCTGTCTTGCTGTGTTGAGAAAGTTCTCCTGGATAATATCCTGAAGAGTGTTTTCCAACTGGGTTCTATTCTCCCCATCAATTTCAGGTACACCAATCAAACGTAGGTTTGCTCTTTTCACAAAGTCCCATAATTCTTCGAGGCTTTGTTGGTTCCTTTTCATTCTTTTTTCTCTAATCTTGTCTTCATGCTCTATTTCATTAAGGTGATCTTCAATCCCTGATATCCTTTCTTTTGCTTGATTGATTCGGCTATTGATACTTGTGTATGCTTCACGAAGTTCCTGTGCTGTGTTTTTAGCCCCATCAGGTCATTTATGTTCTTCTCTAAACTGTTTATTCTAGTTAGCAATTCCTCTAATCTTTTTTCAAGGTTCTTAGCTTCTTTGCATTGGGTTAGAACATGCTTTTTTTTTTTTTTTTTTTTTTTTTTTAGCTCAAAGGAGTTTGTTATTACCCACCTTCTGAAGCCTACTTTTGCCAATTCTTCAAAATCATTGTTCCCTTGCTGGCGAGGAGTTGTGATCCTTTGGAGGAGAAGAGGCATTCTGGTTTTTAGAATTTTCAGCCTGTTTGCCCTGTTTTTTCCTCGTCTTCGTGGATCCATCTACTTTTGGTCTTTGATGTTGGTGACCTTCGGATGGGGTTTCTGTATGGATGTCCTTTTGGTTGATGTTGATGCTATTCCTTTCTGTTTGTTAGTTTCCCTGCTAACAGTCACGACCCTCTGCTGCAAGTCTGCTGGAGTTTGCTGGAGGTCCACTCCAGACCCTATTTGCCTGGATATCACCAGTGGAGGCTTCAGAACAGCAAAGATTGCTGCCTGTTCCTTCCTCTGGAAGCTTCAACCCAGAGGAACACCCATGAGATGCCAGCTGGAGCTCTCATGTATGAGAAGTCTGTCAACCACTGCTGGGAGGTATCTCCCATTCCAGAGCCATGGGGGTCAGAGACCCACATGAGCAGGCAGTCTGTCCCTTAGTAGAGCTCAAACACTGTGCTGGGAAATGTGCTGCTCTCTTCAGAGCCGGCAGGCAAGAATGTTTCAGTCTGCTGAAGCCGTGTCCACAGCCGACCCTTCCCCCAGGTGCTCTGTCCCAGGGAGATAAGAGTTTTATCATCTATAAGCTCCTAACTGGGGCGGCTCCCTTTCTTTCAGAGACCCCCTGCCCAGAGAGGAGGAATCTAGAGAGGCAGTCTGGCTACAATGGCTTTGCAGAGCTGTGGTGGGCTCTGCCCAGTTAGAACTTCACTGAGGCTTTGTTTACACTGTGAAGGGAAAACTACCTACTCAAGCCTCAGTAATGGCGGACACCCTTTCCCTCACCAAGCTTGAGCAACCCAGGTTGACTTCAGACTGCTGTGCTGGCAGCAAGAATTTCAAGCCAGTGTATCTTAGCTTGCTGGGCTCCATGGGGGTGGTAACTGCTGAGCCAGACCACTTGGCTCCCTGGCTTCAGGCCCTCTTTCCAGGGGAGTGAATGGTTCTGACTCACCAGCATTCCAGGCACCACTGGGGTATGAAAAAAGCTCCTGCAGCTAGTTTGGTGTCTGCCGAAATGGCCACCCAGTTTTGTGCTCGAAACCCAGGGCCCCAGTGGCATAGGCACCCGAGGGAATCTCCTGGTCTGAGGGTTGTGAAGATCATGGGAAAAGTGTAGGATCTGGGCCAGAGTGCACAGTTCCTCATGGCATAGTCCCTCAAGGCTTCCCTTGGCTAGGGGAGGGAGTTCTGCGACCCCTTGCACTTCCCGGGTGAGGCAATGCCCCACCCTGCTTCTGCTCACCCTCCATGGGCTGAACCCACTCTCTAACCAGTCCCAAAGAGGTGAGCCAGGTACCTCAGTTGGAAATGCAGAAATCACCCATCTTCTGAGAAAAAAATAACTTTTATAGTAATTATTTATTACTGTATTTTTTACTTTGATATATTTTTTAGCAGCTTTGATATGCATATTTAGCTCTAGATTTTTCATGGTAATAGAAGAGCTTTTACAGGAACTATTTAATTTTTTCTAATGGAATGAACATGTGAAATAACCCTGGAGTCACCACATATTTCTTTTTTTAAATCCCTTTTTATGTTCAAAATTTGACACCATGAAGAAAAAATTAAATTCAGGGTCTGCCCAGAGTGGGCAAAGAGGTACCAAATGAATATATACGTAATATAAAATAGAAAATGTCTATACTGTTAAAAATATCATGTCTAAATTATTATTAATAACAGCCTCTAGTGTAAAACTAGAATTCTTTTTATGTTTGATATTGATCTACATGGTACAGAAAAGCCTCTCTGTAATAGAAGATAGGTGTCTATCTGAAGAGATTGATTGGCTTCGATACCTAAAATTAGTGACTTTTCATAGATATTTCAAGGCAACAGCTCTCACTGAGTTAACACCTATGCTATCCTATATCAGGTCTATTCTACATGCTTTCTCAAATTTCATCTTTGTATCTTTGGAGAGCAGTGGTAAGCACAATATAAAGTAAAGTAGTTGTTCAGTTATTCTTTGAAGAATTTACTCAAAATTATTAGTTAGGTATCCTGGCTAAAGGCAATCTAGGTACCCCATCCTCAACTTACTCATGAACTCATTGGCTAAAAGAAGCTATAGCCTCTTAGTGTGTAAGAAATTGGTGGGTTCTTGATCTCACTGACTTCAAGAATGAAGCTGTGGACCCTTGCGGTGAGTGTCACAGTTCTCAAAGATGGTGTGTCCGGCGTTTGTTCCTTCTGATGTTTGGATGTGTTCAGAGTTTCTGCCTTCTGGTGGGTTCGTGGTCTCGCTGGCCTCAGTAGTGAAACTGCAGACCTTCACGGTGAGTGTTACAGCTCATAAAGGCAGTGCGTACACAAAGAGTGAGCAGCAGCAAGATTTATTGCAAAGAGCAAAAGAACAAAGCTTCCACAGTGAGGAAGGGGACCTGAGCCTGTTGCTGCTGCTGGCTCAGGCAGTCTGCTTTTATTCCCTTTTCTGACCCCACCCACATCCTGTTGATTGGCCCATTTTTCCAGAGAGCTGATTGGTCCATTTTACAGAGAGCTGATTGGTCCATTTTGACAGGGTGCTGATAGGTGCATTTACAAACCTTGAGCTAGACACAGAATGCTGATTGGTGTATTTACAGTCCTCTAGCTAGACATAAAATTCTCCAAATCCCCACTAGATTAGCTAGACAGAGAGCAATGATTGGTGTGTTTACAAACCTTGAGCTAGACACAGAGTGCTGATTGGTGTATTTACAATCCTTTAGCTAGACATAAAGGTTCTCCAAGTCCTGACCAGATTAGCTAGATATAGAGTGCTGATTGGCGCATATACAATCCTCCAGCTAGACATAAAGGTTCTCCAAGTCCCCACCCAACTCAGGAGCTCAGCTGGCTTTGCCTAGTGGATCCCGCACCAGGGCCGCGGGCAGAGCTGCCTGCCAGTCCCACGCCACGCACCTGCACTCCTCAGCCCTTGGGTGGTCGACAGGACCAGGTGCTGCAGAGCAGGGGGAGTGCGGGAGGCCACTGCAGTGGGGGCTCGGGCATGGTGGGCTGCAGGTCCCAAGCCCTGCCCCACAGGGAGGCGGCTGAAGCCCGGCGAGAATTCGAGCACGGTGTGGGCAGTCTGGCAGTGCTGGGGGACCCGGTGGCCCCTCCGCAGCTGCTGGCCTGGGTGCTAAGCCCTCACTACCCACAGCCAGCAGTGCCAGCTGGCTGCTCTGAGTGCAGGGCCTGCCTAGCCCACGCCCACCCAGAACTCACACTGGCCTGCAAGCACCGCGCACAGCCCCGGTTCCTGCCCATGCCTGTCCCTCCACGCCTCCCCACAAGCAGAGGGAGCTGGCTGCAGCCTTGGCTAGCCCAGAGAGGGGCTCCCACAGTGCAGCGGTGGGCTGAAGGGCTCCTCAAGCGTGGCCAGAGTAGATGCCAAGGCTGAGGAGGTGCTGAGAGTGAGCAATGGCCACCAGCACATTGTCGCCTCTCATTAGGATACCCAGTTTACCAATAGTTTTTAAATATGGCCACACCCATCTGTAATTGATACATGTGAAAGTCAGTTAGGGTAGCTTACCCTTGCCAAACACAGTGACATATGCCTTCTTCCAGACTCAATATAAACTCTTTCCCATTCCAACACAAGATTCATAATACTAAAACTTTGGAAAAGAGTATGTCCAGCCATTGTGTTCCAATCTAATGTATTCTGAGGAGAATAAGAATATAAACGGCCTGGCATGTGAGCCCCTGACTGCCTTGCCTTTTCGCATCTTCCCATTCAAGACTAGATTGATATTTGTAAGTGTGGCCATTTGTCACTTCTTTGTGCCTGTTCCCTTCAAAGGCTAAGTTTCTAGGCAGCATTGAATAGTTTGTGCCAAGATTTTATGATAGTTCCTGCTCTCTATTACTTTCACTGACATCAAGGCTTTCTCCCTGATTGATTCCTCTCTTCAGAAATGCTAGGTTACTTTCAGAATACATCAGAGTAGGAATGCTTTGAGACATACTTAAACAAGCTATATTACTCAATGCAAAAGTTATTGTTTTTCATAATTATGACAGATTGAAGATGGCAGAAAATTATTAGACATTACCCCCTACAAAGAGATAAAATTTATCTTTCCTCTCCTTGCATTTTCACCTACTTTAGTAAATTCTTTTGATATTTGATACACTGGAAGTGACATTATGAGCATTCCAAGTTAGGTCAAAAGAAGCTTGCAGGCCGGGTGCAGTGGCTCACACCTGCAATCCCAGCTCTTTGGGAGGGTGAGGCAGGCAGATCACCTGAGGTCAGGAGTTCAAAACCAGCATGGCCAACATGATGAAACCCTGTCTCTACTAAAATTACAAAAATTAACCGGGCATGCTGGTGCACACCTATAATCTCAGCTACTCGGGAGGCTGAGGCAGGAGAATTGCTTGAACCCAGGAGGCGGAGGTTACAGTGAGCCGAGATGGCACCACCACACTCCAGCCTGGGCGACAGAGAAAGGCTCCATCATCTCAAAAAAAAGAAAAAAAAAAAGGAATCTTGCAGCCCCAAAGAAAGCTGCAGTGTTAATTATTTAATATGCCAAAAAATTTACAATTTCTATGTCACCTCATTTTTTTAAAACTATATTGCTTCATTTATATTATCAGCTTTAATAACATTATAAATTATTTATTTGTTAATATTTGTTTATTTGCCTATTTTACTAAGATCTATATGAGTCCTTGCTAAGATTATTTTGCCAGGATTTCTTGCAATATTATTTTTAAAAAGCAAAACCTACTCAAACCAAAAAAACTTACCACAAACCATCATTTTGTGTGAAAAAGTGAAGATGAGGAAAAATTTAAAACCTTATGAAATTGAAATACAAGATTCTACCCAAATTTGTCTAGCTTAATGAGTCCTATTCTGTTCTTTGTAGCTTGAAGCTTCCTTAATTATTATCAACTAATATGTTAGCTACTACAATATTTTGTTTTCATTAATTACAAAATGAAGCCAATTTATTATACAGTTAACTTTGAAAGTCATAGTTAATGCTGTTTATTAGGTGAACTATAGTCATTTATGATAGTAATTTAATACAAGGCTGTAAAAAATTATGCAAATGATTAAACTGTTAAATTTAAATCTTCTGTTAGTAATTTATGTATCATAAGATTGTCTAATGGTGAGATAAATATTCATTGTTAAAATTATGTTTTCTAAAATTTAAAAATACCAGGGAAAAAAACTACTACAATAATAGAAAATGAGGAGCACAGAGAGAGCTCTATTTTGTATTAGCTTTCATTTCTAATTTTAAAAGAAAATTCAAATTTTATATAGCATTAACTAGACAAAAAATGTTTGGTGTTTATATTCAAAGCAGTCTAGTTTCTGATAGAAACTAGATTAATAAAATACCTAGAGCTATGTATCTTATGGTATAATTATGGGCTAGAGGCCTAAGAGATGAGACTAAGAATATTAAGAAATATTTTAAAAGTTGCTATTTTTTTTACTTTTACATACATAATCTCATAGATCCTGGACACGTCTTTGTTTTTCTCAGTTTTATAAATAAACATTCAATACTCACCACTCAGAGACAAGAAATGCATTTTAAATTCTCACTGTCGAATGAGGTGAAGTAAATTACTTATAACATTAACATTTAGTTATAACAAAATGTCAGGCATTACCTAGAGACTGAGGATGGTGAAGAAGTAAATAAGATCAAGTTACTGATTTACAAAAAACATATATTTTGTGGGGAGCAGAGGCAATAAAGAAATCAGTAACTAAATTACTAGTACCACATGAATCCTGGAAAATACATAGATAAGGTACAGAGAGTATAGAATGATGAAGGGAATGCTTTCACTTTAAGCATTTTAAGAAGAAAAGTTCTATCTAAAGAGGGAGAATTTGAGCAAATCATGAAAAGCCCTGGGGGCAGGTAGTCCAGCCTGAACCCCTTAGCAGAACTAAGCTTGATGTGTTCCAAACTTCAAGAAGACTACATGCCAGATCAGAGAGAATAAAAGGAGGAGCTGTGGGAATTTCCATCTAAGAATTTACCAGTGGCCTAATCCTGTCTAGTCCAGTTGTGATTCTGGCCAGTATGAGGTAGGTTACGATTGGGGCGAGGGTATTAGTTATTGCAGCAGTCCAGGTGGAAGCTGATGGTGGCTTGAAAGAGGCTGTAATGGTAGCAGTAATGAGAAATCACTGGTTTTAGTATATTTTTTCAACTCTTCAATTCTTTCATCAATTCCTGCTGAAACATTGGAAATTATAAGGAATTAGAGAAAGTAAGGTGTATGTTTGGACACAGAAAGTTTACATTAATTAAGATGTGAACAAGTAAGTACTAATTTTGTTTTCTGTTTGGTATATTTTTGTCAGGGAGTCAAATAAATGATGTGTTCTCTTCAGAAATGTTAAGTTACTTAGATGTAGACCTAACATGATGTTTTATCCATTTAATTAATAGCAATATGCTAACATACAGAGGTTACAAATTAAAATTTTAAATATATTGAGGAATATACAAAATAATGCAAGCTCTGGAATTGGACCATTGATATTTTTAAGTAAACTTCATATTCAAATTGGATAATATACTATTATTAACTATAGTCACCATGATATGCCACAGATCACCAGAACTCATTCCTCCCTCTAACTACAATTTTGTACCCTTTGATCAACATCTCCCTTTCTGCCCCCAGCCTATGGTAAACACCATTGTACTTTCTATCTTGCTTTTCTCCCACCTGCTAATCTCCTGCTGATATCCCCTTTGGTCTAACTGCACCAGAATCTGAATGCTAAGGAACTCAAATGATATGATCCATAAAGGCCACATTCTGGAGCAAAGGAGATGGTGAAAGGTGGAGAGAGGACCTAAACAGCAAAGGATAAATGCCAAGCACAGTGGCCTTTTATTTCTACGCATTCTGCAATATACCTGGAAAACCCACACCACCTACTCACCCACCAAAATATTATCCTATGGGTTTTGTATATTAGAAACAGACCAACTAATCCTCACTTTTTCTAAAAATTTGCAATTTAAAGTTTAAAACTCTCAATTTTGAGACTGCCTAAGTGAACTACAGTGTTACAAGTATCCAATAGAATTGTTATTCAGGGAAATAAGCATTGGGAAAATAATCATTTGTCAGAGACCATGTTTTGTTTTTTCATTCTTTTTTAAAAACACTGCACACACACACGGTAATTGCATGCTAAAATTGCATCAATTCACAGAAATCATCATGGACAAACTGAAAATTCACAATGCTTCTGAATTCAACACAAAACTGAATTTTCACAGTATTCAAATAAATCTTCAATTTGTAAAGAAACAGGTGTCTTGTGGAAGAAACAGCAACTGAGAATCTGCTCACCTAGGAAAGATGCTGCTTGCTGCCTCATAAGCTTGTAGGAAGATATAGGTAACAAATTTTAATGAATTGCTGATAACTAGTTGTGGGTTAGCATGAGGTTGGGTTTATGCCCTCTTACATGTGTTTCTCTACAAACTCTACCAGTGCTCATAGAGAAGAACAGGGAGAATCTTGGAAAAGATATTCTCATGGTGACTCTGGGAGAGAACAGCAGGCATTGCTAAAACTCTGCCAGGATCTATTTCCGCTACATCACTACAAAGCAAATGCCTTATTCTGCATGTGGCAGAGCAATAAAAGGTGTCATCTTGAAGGTACTGATGGAAACCCACTGCAGCTCGGGGAGGGGGAAAAGGACATTACTATCCCAAGAGAGAGAGACAGAAATACTTATTAGATCCATGCTACATATAGAGGAGGAATAGAAGCACATGTGAAGGCAACACTTCAAAATCCAGGAACACATTGCAGCTCGGGGAGGGGGAAAAGGACATTACTATCCCAAGAGAGAGAGAGACAGAAATACTTATTAGATCCATGCTACATATATAGGAGGAATAGAAGCACATGTGAAGGCAACACTTCAAAATCCAGGAACACAGAGATGGCTTTCAACTCACGTTAATGAGAACATTGGAGAATGCTCACCACCCTGCTAGCCCTACAAAATTCTACTCCCCACCACCGGTGTTCCCTTAAGAGTAAGATGTGAAAAACAACTTACAGGCTACTACCTCTCATGAACACAGACACAAACACCCTTAAGTAAATTTTAGGAAATCAATATTTAGTAATATATATAAAAAATACTCATGATCAAATGAGTCAAGTAGAATTTATCCCAGGAAAGAAAGAGGTGTTAACATTCAAATACCAATAAAAATAATTCACTGTATTAAAATAAATATATTAGTAAAGGTATAGAAAGCATTTGAAAAAAAGTTTACTATCCTTCAATGATAAAAACTTTTTTAAACCAAGGAATAAAGGGGAATTTCCTCAATCTGATGAAGAGCATCTGTGGAAAACCTATAGCTAACATCAAAATGTTGAAAGACTGTTTTCATCCTAAGATTGGCAATATAGCAATGATGTCTTCTCTTATCACTTTATTTCAACATTATATTCATGGTCCCAGCCAATTCCATAAATCAAGAAAAATAAATAGAAAGCATGCATATTAAAATGAAAAAAGTATAGCTGTATTTACTCATTGATGGCATTGCCATAAATAGTGATTATAACTAAAAACTAATCATAAATAGTGATTAAAATGCCCTCCACAAAAAAAGAAAAACGTACCCTTCACAGTACAATAAAAATGACCTTAGGCATAAACATTTTAAATAGTCGCCCAAAATATTTACACAAAAAATAGAAGTTATTGCTGTGTACAATTTTATAAAGCCTCAATAAATAGAAACTTATACTGTGCTCAATAGAACTATAATAATTATTAAAATCATAGGAATTAACAAGCTATGGTACATTCACACAATGGAATATTATTCAGTTATAAAAAGAAATGAGCTGTCAAGCCATGAAAAAACAAAGAAACTTAAATGTATATGGCTAAGTGAAATAAGTCAATATGGAAAGACTACACACTGTATGATTTTAATTTTAAGACATTCTACAAAGGCAAAACCAAGAAGACAGTAAAAACATCAGGGATTACCAGAGGTTCTGGGGGAGGGAGGAATGGATGAATAGGTGAAGCATAGGATTTTTAGGGCAGTGAAACTACTTCATATCATACTCTAATGGTGGATACATGTCAATTTATATTTGGAAAAGCCTATATAACGTACAACACAATGAGTGAACCCTAATGTAAACTATGGACTTTAGTTAATAATAATGTTTCAATATTGGCTCATCAGTTTTAACATATGCACCACACTAACGCAAGATGTTAACCATAGGGACAATTAAGAACGGGATAGAGAGATTGAGGCCAAAGGAAGAGGGTGTTAAGGTAGGATTTGAGAAGTCTCTGTAATTTCCACTCAGTTTTTCTATAAACCTAACACTGATGAACATAACAGAGTCAATTACTTTTTTAAAATAGTTTTTCTTTTTGAATCTATAAATTCAATCAATGTGAAATCAACTTCCAATGGAGATTTTTATAGACATTAACAAGGTGATTCCAAAGTTTACATTTAAATGTAAATGAATTAAACTAGTCAAAGTATTTTGCAAAAAAAAGAACAAATTTCAAGTACCAACAGCACATAAATACAAGATTTACTATAAAGCTATTATAATCAAGGAAGTGTAATATTTATACAGAATAGACATATAGATCAATGAAATAGTGTTCAGAAGTAGATACACATATATGTGACCAATTATTAACATGGATGACGGAACAAATCAATGAAAAATAAATACTAACTCTTTATTTTATTATTAGTATACTTTAAGTTTTAGGGTACATGTGCACAATGTGCAGGTTAGTTACATATGTATACATGTGCATGTTGGTGTGCTGCACCCATTAACTCGTCATTTAGCATTAGGTATATCTCCTAATGCTATCCCTCCCCCCTCCCCCCACCCCACAACAGTCCCCGGAGTGTGATGTTCCCCTTCCTGTGTCCATGTGTTCTCATTGTTCAATTCCTACCTATGAGTGACAACATGCGGTGTTTGGTTTTTTGTCCTTGCGATAGTTTGCTGAGAATGATGGTTTCCAGTTTCATCCATGTCCCTACAAACGACATGAACTCTTCATTCTTTATGGCTGCATAGTATTCCATGGTGTATATGTGCCACATTTTCTTAATCCAGTCTATCATTGTTGGACATTTGGGTTGGTTCCAAGTCTTTGCTGTTGTGAATAGTGCCACAATAAACATACGTGTGCATGTGTCTTTATAGCAGCATGATTTATAGTCCTTTGGGTATATACCCAGTAATGGGATGGCTGGGTCAAATGGTATTTCTAGTTCTAGATCCCTGAGGAATTGCCACACTGACTTCCACAACGGTTGAACTAGTTTACAGTCCCACCAACAGTGTAAAAGTGTTCCTATTTCTCTACATCCTCTCCAGCACCTGTTGTTTCCTGACTTTTTAATGATCGCCATTCTAACAGGTGTGAGATGGTATCTCATTGTGCTTTTGATTTGCATTTCTCTGATGGCCAGTGATGATGAGCATTTTTTCATGCGATTTTTGGCTGCATAAATGTCTTCTTTTGAGAGACGTCTGTTCATATCCTTTGCCCACTTTTTGATGGGGTTGTTTGTTTTTTTCTTGTAAATTTGTGGGAGTTCATTGTAGATTCTGGATATTAGCCCTTTGTCAGATGAGTAGGTTGCGAAAATTTTCTCCCATTTTGTAGGTTGCCTGTTCACTCTGATGGTAGTTTCTTTTGCTGTGCAGAAGCTCTTTAGTTTAATTAGATCCCATTTGTCAATTTTGGCTTTTGTTGCCATTGCTTTTGGTGTTTTAGACATGAAGTCCTTGCCCACGCCTATGTCCTGAATGCTATTGCCTAGGTTTTCTTCTAGGGTTTTTATGGTTTTAGGTCTAACATGTAAGTCTTAATCCATCTTGAATTAATTTTTGTATAAGGTGTAAGGAAGGGATCCAGTTTCAGCTTTCTACATATGGCTAGCCAGTTTTCCCAGCACCATTTATTAAATAGGGAATCCTTTCCCCATTGCTTGTTTTTGTCAGGTTTGCCGAAGATCAGATGGTTGTAGATATGTGGCATTATTTCTGAGGGCTCTGTTCTGTTCCCTTGATCTATATCTCTGTTTTGGTACCAGTACCATGCTGTTTTGGTTACTGTAGACTTGTAGTGTAGTTTGAAGTCAGGTAGCATGATGCCTCCAGCTTTGTTCTTTTGGCTTAGGATTGACTTGGTGATGCGGGCTCTTTTTTGGTTCCATATGAACTTTAAAGTAGTTTTTTCCAATTCTGTGAAGAAAGTCATTGGTAGCTTGATGGGGATGGCATTGAATCTATAAATTACTTTGGGCAGTATGGCCATTTTCACGATATTGATTCTTCCTACCAATGAGCATGGAATGTTCTTCCATTTGTTTGTATCCTCTTTTATTTCATTGAGCAGTGGTTTGTAGTTCTCCTTGAAGAGGTCCTTCATGTCCCTTGTAAGTTGGATTCCTAGGTATTTTATTCTCTTTGAAGCAATTGTGAATGGGAGTTCACTCAGGATTTGGCTCTCTGTTTGTCTGTTATTGGTGTATAAGAATGCTAGTGATTTTTGTACATTGATTTTGTATCCTGAGACTTTGCTGAAGTTGCTTATCAGCTTAAGGAGATTTTGGGCTGAGACAATGGGGTTTTCTAGATATACAATCATGTCATCTGCAAACAGGGACAATTTGACTTCCTCTTTCCTAATTGAATACCCTTTATTTCCTTAGCCTGCCTAATTTCCCTGGCCAGAACTTCCAACACTATGTTGAATAGGAGTGGTGAGAGAGGGCATCCCTGTCTTGTGCCAGTTGTCAAAGGGAATGCTTCCAGTTTTTGCCCATTCAGTATGATATTGGTTTTGGGTTTGTCATAGATAGCTCTTATTATTTTGAGATACGTCCCATCAATACCTAATTTATTGAGAGTTTTTAGCGTGAAGGTTGTTGAATTTTATCAAAGGCCTTTTCTGCATCTATTGAGATAATCATGTGGTTTTTGTCTTTGGTTCTGTTTATATGCTGGATTACATTTATTGATTTGCGTATGTTGAACCTACCTTGCATCCCAGGGATGAAGCCCACTTGATCATGGTGGATAAGCTTTTTGATGTGCTGCTGGATTCAGTTTGCCAGGATTTTATTGAGGATTTTTGCATCAATGTTCATCAGGGATATTGGTCTAAAATTGTCTTTTTTGGTTGTGTCTCTAATACTAACATTTTTAACAATAGTGTGGGGAAATTTATTATTCTTCTTCAATAAAGAATAAAATAACTGTCAGAGTCAAAAGGAAAACCTTTAAAAAATAGAATTGAAATTATAGTGACTATACATTAATTCCATATTTCTTAAATAAGACACAAAAAGCAAACATGAAAACATAAAATAAGAAACTTTGATAATTAGACTTAAATGAATAGGAAATCACCATGCTATGAAAATATATGTGATGTATGTACCATTTATGTGAGAAATTATATAGTACACTTTACATACTTACAGTATAAATATGTGATATATCGTACTACACATTTATAAAATATCCATATTTATAGTATAATACATTCCAGCAAATACATGTACACACACCGCACATACAAACATGGACATTTGCACACACACACATGCACAGACATTTGTAGTTTAATAATGAGAAACAACTAAATAAAAGAATGGGCAAAATATTTGATTGGACCCTTATCTGAAACAATATAAGATGGCAAATAAACATCTGAAAAATGTCCAAGATCATCAGGTTTCAGGAAAATGTTCATTAGGACCATGATAACACACTATGACACACCTATTGGTTTGAATAAATTAAAAATTACTGAAATCACCATATGTTGGGGAAGATTGAGAGGAACTCTCATATATTGCTGCTGATAATACAACATAGTATGGCAACCTTGGAAAATAATTTAAAAACTATTTTAAATTTTAAATAAATATACAATATGATCCAGAAATTTCCCCTGTAGGTATCTACTCAAAATTAATAAAAACACAAGTAGACACAAAGACTTGTATTCAAGTGTCCACAGCTGCTTTATTATAACAGCAATAATCTGAAAATAACCAGAATGTTCATGAAAGGTGAATGGACAAATAAATTATGCCCCATCTCTACCAAAACATAAAAATAACCCCCCCTCAAAACAAAAGAAAACAAAAATTAGCTGGGTGTGATGGCATATGACTGTACTCCCAGCTACTAAGGGGGCTGAGGCAGGAGGATTCCTTGAGCCCCAAGGATCTCTTGAGCCCAGAAGACGGAATTGGCAGTGAGCCAAGATTGCGCCACTGCACTCCAGCCTGGGTAACAGAGATGCTGTCTCAAAAGAAAAAAAAAAAAAAGAAAAGAAAAAGAAAAAAAAAGAATTTATGCTATGTTATACAATGAATGCTAATTAGCAATAAAAACCCTGAACTACTGATACAGA
Organism: Homo sapiens; assembly: GCF_000001405.40. Classification (NCBI taxonomy): domain Eukaryota; kingdom Metazoa; phylum Chordata; class Mammalia; order Primates; family Hominidae; genus Homo; species Homo sapiens. The sequence continues at coordinate 25,745,915 of NC_000011.10, read as the reverse complement.
CAACAACTTATAGATTCTTACAAGCATTATGCTAACCGATAGTAGACACAAAATACTGAATCATATGTGATTTCATCACATGACATTTAATAGAATCGAATTCACGAGGATAGAAAGCTGGTCAGTGATTGCAGCGCTGTGGCAAGGGAATCTTTGGGGTGATGAAATTGTTGTATATAGTGGATGATTAAGCAATTGTATATATTTATCAGAACACATTGTATTATACACCCACAAATAGTGAATTTTATTTTGTGTAAATTATACCTAAGTAAATATGATAATCCCAAAATATAGTTACACCATCTCAAGATCTCTGAAACCATCCTGGATCACACACCTCTAAAGGTACACATTCAAATTTCCCTTGATTTCTGTGGGATGTTCTAATGCCTTTCTCTTTTGATAAAACCAAAAATAAATAAATTAATTGGACATATAAAAATAATACAATATGGATTTACATATTGTCTAATGAATTATTTATTTTTAGACCAAAATAGAAAAGTTGACTTGGAAGGGAATTCAGAAGAACAAAGATGAGCATCAACTTAATATATAAATATATATATATTTATATTATATTCAGATGAATTTAATGAGAGACAGAAATCATTAGAAAAGTAGTAGTATCCAAACATGAGCTGAATGACAACATCATGTGAAATTAGTAGCGAAGAATATAGCCCATTATATGTATTTTATTTATTTGTAGTGAACTTGAAACAGAAACACAGCCAGGCAGATTGATAACCCCTTTAGCAGACCACAGAGTGTCCACATGCAGTAAACTTTTGTTTTCTTTATACAGTAATTCTTGTTTTATGTAGACAGATTTTACTTTTTTTCTTAGACTTCACTGTCTTTTAAGAAAAACTATATATTTTACTTGTATTTGGGATTTCTAACTCACAATATTCTATGAAATTATCTCTCCATACGTCCCCAATATCAAGAGTAGACTGTATGGAAATAATCATAATTACAGAAAAATTAGAGCAACAACTTTGGTAAAATCAGACACCTACCATTAGTGAAATTATAGCACAAATGAAATCAAGTGATGGAAAAGAGTGAACAATGTTTGTAGAATAATATAGGTTAAAACACCCAGGTGTTAATCCTGCTTTTATGCCATTATTTGCATAGCCTTGGACAAGTCATCTCACCATTAGGAGCCTGAATTTCCTCATATGTAAAATGAGGATAGCAAACCCTATCATGGGAAAAAGATGAAAGTAGAAGAAAGCTTTTTCTACACTCCTAAATATTAAGTGCATGCTAACATTAAGCATTCTTAAAATAAAACGTTATTCATATAATGCTTAATGTTAGCATACACTCAATACTTATTCTTAAAGTAGACTAATAACAATATTAATAAGCCTGTGAGTAGTTTGAGAATTTCATAGAGCTGTTGATTCTCCTAAGTGAAATATATTCAAACACTATCCCTTCTCCCTGGATAAGATATGAAGTTACTTTAAAACAACGAATCATGGTCAGATAAGACATGCTTTTATATGAGCTAGTGGTGTTTGTTTACTGAAGCCACTATTTTCACTCTGGCATATTTGAATAGTTGCTTAAATCTTTGGCAGCACAATAGATTATATATTATTCAAGGATTGGCCTAATGAGTGCTTAATATAAGTAGTTACTACCTTAACCTAAGAGAGAAAGAATGGCTTAAATGTATAACCAAATCCTCATCCCATCACAATTCCTACTTTCCTACCCTCAATATTTTAGGAAGTTTTGAAGGTGATTATATTTCTCCTCATTACCTCTGGCTCAAATTTTCTTCTTCTACTGTAGTTTTTATTTTCTGCTATGCTACTTCCCACCTCTGTGATTTCAAAAGGATGACAACTCAGATAATGTTAAGGGAACTGAAGAAAAACAAAGTTTTTCCATGACCACTTTTCCTCTAGTCTTGATGTGAGCTCTTAGAAGCTATTATGAGCTTAGTACTGTCTAGATTTCCACAACAGTTTTTCATAGTTCACCTCATTTACTTTTGTAAGTATCAAATGAATGAGATTTTTATGATAAACATTAAACTCTACATCTTAGATATGAGGATCAGGTGGTTAAGAAATATATTCATGTTATAAAATAAGCAAGGACATTTCACAGAATAAAATTTCAACACCTGATCTTCTTCATCTAGACAAAAAATGCTGCCATTTCCATGTTTAATAGTTCATAATTTTGACTTCTTCCTCATCCATTATTTGGTAAAAATGTTTTATTCTTCTTTGTTCTACTTAAATTCTTTTTTTTTTCTTTTTCGAGACCGAGTCTCGCTCTGTCACCCAGGCTGGAGTGCAGTGGCATGATCTCGGCTCACTGCAAGCTCCACCTCCCAGGTTCACACCATTCTCCTGCCTCAGCCTCCCAAGTAGCTGGGACTACAGGTGTCCGCCACCAGGCCCGGCTAGTTCTACTTAAATTCTTGAATTTCTGTTTGCAAATCTACAGGAAATAGTGTCTTCTCCGTTTATTTTTAATCCACTTTCAGGCTATACTGTTTGTCTGGGTGACATAACCACTAATCAAAATATAAATATTTCAAATGTCAGCACATTGAAAAGTTTGACTTAAATAGTGTCCATCACCTTTATTTTCCCTCAGTTACAGTATACATCCCAAAACCACAAAGTTCGTAAGCTATCACCAACCCTTCTTATTTTTCACTTTTCCTATAGCTAAAAAAAAAAAATTCTTAATAATGGTGCAAAAAATTACCAATCTAATTTTAATTGGTAGGAACAATTTAGGAATAACTCATTTTCAGCCCATTGTTGACCTACCTGTAAGAAATAGCAGTTTATTCACAGTGGAAGCCAGTGCTATACCAAAAGGGAACAATTATTAGAATTTCATATCTAACACACATTCAGAATTTTCAAGTTGTCAGCAAAATCATGTGTAAATTATCAGCAGGCTAAAATTAGCAGACTTGATAAAGATAAGTGCAATAAACTCTACACAGCATGGAAATCTCACTAAGTGTAAAACACAAGTTTAGATTTTGGACCTTTGGAAAATAGGCCCATGGGTATATTTTTTCATTATGATGCAGTCTGTCCAAACCACTTTATTATTGGCCTAAGATAATCACTGCTTGTGTTTACATGTTTGGTTATTTATAACATAATTAGATTAATTTTTTAGTATGTAAAGGAAAGAATGTCTCCCGAGGCTCAAACTATTTTCAAATTATTTCTTGCCCTTTGGAGCTTAGTTGTCTTTGAGCTTGCAGGCTTTCACATAGAATGTTTTATTTCTGTTTTAACTTTTTTTCTTTTGATTGGAATCCCAGCTTAAGTGCTTATAAATGCAACAATTTTAGTTATTTAACAGAGAAATAATGTGAGATTGACTATAGAAGGGGTATAATGCTGATATGGAAGTTTGGAGAGTGTAATGTGGAATTTTGCTTTCAATCTACAAAAGGCAAAGCCACATCAAATTTGACAGAACTCAATATTTTAAATTCTCCTATTGTCCCTATCTCATCCAGCCAATTATTTCTCAGTCTCATAACCATTATTTTTAATAGAGTCGAACATGAAATTTGATAATACTCATAGGTTATTAAGGCTAATGGTTAAAGGATATTAAATGACCACCCCCTCCTCCAGCCCCTGACAATCACTATTCTACTCTCTGTTATGAATTTGTCTTTTTCTAAAATTTCAAATATAAGTGAGATTATGCAGCATTTGTCTTTCTGCATCTGGCTTGTCTTACTTAGCTTAATGTCCTCCAGATTCATCTATATTGTCACAAATGCCATAATTTCCTTCTTTTTGAAAGATAGATGATATTCTGTCATATGTATTTACTCTGTTTTCTTTATCTATTCATCTGTTGAATGCCACTTAGGTTGTTTCCATATCTTGGCTATTGTGAAAAGTACAATAAATATGAGTGAAATTATCTTTTCGAGGTAATGATTTTATTTCTTTTAGATACATAACCAGAAGTGGGAGTGCTAGATAATATGGAAGTTCTATTTTTAATCTTGGTGATAATTTGTCATACTGTTTATAGTGATTATACCTAAAACTCTACCTTCAACTCGGACTACAACATGCACATAAGAACCCAATGCCTATTGTGCCTAGTATTCAAGGTCCCTTCAGGAATGAAATTTGGACCAACTGATCCCTTTATACCTCAACTATTATTCCTACCTTGTTCCATACTAATTCGCTTTAATTCGTCATCCTTCAACATTTCACTTGTTCCTCATATCTAAAGAAATTTTCCCTCTGTGGTTTTGACACTGGCCCCTGATTGTTTAACTCACTTTTGCATTAGTTCTTCCTTTACTGCCGGCCACCTGGTCAATTAGCTTACCTACTACAACTATAACTCTTAGGACGGAAGCTTAGCATCGGTACACAAGGACATTATCCTTTCTTGTTCTTTTATTGTATCATATAAAGAAAAATCAGGCATCTATAGATCATTCCCTCTTTGTTTAAATACCCAAGGCAAAAGTTGTGTCATTGGTTACTCACTGCCATGGACTGTGGAAGGAACTTCTTAAGTTGTTGTCTCACCTTCAGCTTTACTCCCACTAAAATGTTTATACCACCCAATGTGATCTATAAATTCAATGCAATCCCTATATAATGTTTTGCAGAAATAGAAAAAAACAACATAAAACTCATATAGAACCATATGAAGACCCCTAGTAGCTAAATGAAGACCCCCAATAGCTAACTTCTTAAATGGTTTCCTCACCTTCAACTTTACTCCCATTAAAATGTTCATATCACCCAAAATGATCTACAAATTCAATGCAATCTCTGTAGAAATCCATTTTTTTTAGAAATGGAAAAAGTAGGGTCGGGAGCGGTGGCTCACGCCTGTAATCTCAGCACTTTGGGAGGCCGAGGCGGGCGGATCATGAGGTCAGGAGATCGAGACCATCCTGGCTAACACGGTGAAACCCCGTCTCTACTAAAATACAAAAAAATTAGCCGTGCATAGTGGTGGGCACCTGTAGTCTCAGCTACTCTGGAGGCTGAAGCAGGAGAATGGCGTGAACCCGGGAGGCGCAGCTTGCATTAAGCCGAGATCGCGCCACTGCACTCCAGCCTGGGCGACAGAGCGAGACTCCGTCTCAAAAAAAAAAAAAAAAAGGAAAAAATCACGTAAAACTCTTATGAATACCCCTAGTAGCTAAATCGATCTTGAGAAAAAAAGAACAAATCTGCGTCATGCTTTCTGATTTTCTAACATACCACAAAGCTACAATAATTAAAATAGTTTATCAGAGACATAAGAACAGGCATATAGACTAATGAGTAGAATAAAGCCCAGAAATAAACTTACACATATACAGTCAGCTGGCCTTTGACAATGGCGCCAAGAATCACCATGGAGGTAAGAATAGTCTAACAAATGATGCTGGAAAAACCTGAAGATCACATGTGAACAGATAAAAGTGGGCCTTATCTTACACAAAACACAAAACTAGAGTCAAAATGTACTGAAGACTTAAATGTAAAACCTTAAACTGTAAAATTCTGGAAAAACACATAGGGGAAAATCTTTATCACAGTCTATTTACAATAATATCTTGGCTATGACACCATATAACATAGCGAACGTAAAAGCAAACATAGACAAGTAGAACCGTGTGTGTGTGTGTGTGTGTGTGTGTGCGTGCACGCTTAATTTTAAAGTTCTGCAGAAATCTGTTTAATATGCTGATGTCTTCTCTTTTGAATATATACCTAGCAGTGGGATTACTGGATCATATGCTTGTTCTATTTTTAATTTTTGAAGGACCTCCATACTGTTATCCATAGTGGCTGCACTATTGTACATTCCCACCAACAGGGTAAGAGGGTTTCCCTTTTTCCACATCCTTACCAGCATTCATTATTGTCTGTCTTTTGGACTCCACGTCCTTATCAGCATTCATTATTGTCTGTCTTTTGGATAAAAGCCATTTTAATTAGGGTGAGAGGATATCTCATAGTTGTTTTCTAACAGTTCTCTGATGTCTAGTGATGTTGAACAATTTGTTCATATACCTGTTGGCAATTTGTATGTGTTTTTTGAGAAATGTCTATTCAGATCTTTTTTCCCATTTTAAAAATCGGATTTAATTTTTTCCTATTGAGTTATTTGAGCACCTTATATATTCTGGTTTTTAATCCCTTGTCAGATGGGTAATTTGCAAATATTTTCTCCCATTCTGTGGGTTTTCTTTTAATTTTATTGACTGTTTCCTTTGCCATGCAGAAGATTTTTAGTTTGATGTGATTCCATTTGATCATTTGGTTGCTTTGGTTGCCTGTGCTTTTGAGATATTACTGAAGATATCTTTGCCTAGACCAACGTCCTGAAGAGTTTCCCCAATGTTTTCTTTTAGTAATTTCACAGTTTGAGGTCTTGAATTTTATCCATTTGATCTGATTTCTGTATATGATGAGAGATAGGGGCCTAGATGTGTTCAGTTTCCCCAGCACCATTTACTGAAGATGCCATCCATTCCCCAGTGCATGTTTTTAGCACCTTTGTTAAAAATGAGTTTCCTATAAGTGTGTGGATTTATTTCTGAATTCTACATTTAGTTCCATTGGTATATGAAACTGTTTTTATGACAGTTCCATGTTGCTTTGGTTATTAATGCTCCGTAGTATAATTTGAAGTAAGAGAATGTGATTCCTTCAGTTTTCCCCCACTCGGGATGATTTTAGCTATTCTTCTATTTTTTGTGGTTCCACAAAATTTTAGGATTATTATTTCTATTCCCATGAAAACTGTCATTGGTATTTTGACAGGAATTGCATTTAATCTGTAGATTACTTTTGGTAATATAGACATTTAAACAATATTGGCTCTTGCAATTCATGAATAATCTAGCAATTTTACTGGTAAGTATGTATTAAAAATAAAGAAAATTATACTGTATATATACATACTGAGTATACTGAGGAGATAGCAGCACTGCCATATTTATTGCATCACTATTCACAATAACCAAGATTTGGGATCAACCTAAATGTCCATCAACAGATGAATGAATAAAGAAAAGGTAGTACATATACACAATGGAATATTATTCAAACATAAAAAGAATGAAATTCTGTCATTTGCAAATAACATGAATGGAACTCGAGGACATTACGTTAAGTGAAATAAGCGAGACACAGAAAGACAAATTTCACATGCTGAAAGCATATGTGGGACCTAAAAATTAAAATTATTGAACTCAGATGGAGAGTAGAATGATGGTTACCATAGGCTGGGAAGGGTCATGGAAAGAAAGTAAAATTGGGAATGGTTAATAAGTGTAAAAATATAATTAGATGGAAATGATAAAATCTAGTATTTGATAATACAATATGGTGACTATATTCAATAATAATTTATTGTATATTTTAAAATAACTTAAAGAGTGGAATTGGAATTTTTCTAACATAAATGACAAATGCTTGAGGTAATGGATACTCCAGTTACCCTGGTGTGATTACATACTAAAGCATCACACATACCTATAAATATATACAGCTATTAGAGGACTGTAATAATTGAAAATAATGAAGCTTTAAAGAGTAAAATAAATAACTTGACAATAACAACAATAGCAGCTCTCTTTAGCAAGAAAAACAATCAACAGTGAAAAGATAACCTATGGAATAAGAGTAAATTGCAAACATCTGATAAGGTGATAACTTTCAAAGAAACTCCTACAACGCAACAGTAAAAAAAAAAAAAAAGTATAAAGAGACCTGTCAGATTAGTTTTTTAAAAATAGAGTTAAATGTAGCTATTTTCAATGACTCTACATTCTTTAACTAGATCAATTAACATTAAATTACAAAATGTATAGAAATTATTTTTGAATTTGCATTTAAAATATTTTATCATCATGTCCCATATTACCTTTCCAGATATAAATATCCATAAATGGGCCAGAACAAAATATAAAAATTATAATTATAAACTTTCCAGAAGAAAATACAGAAGGTGTTTTATTATATTTTTGACCAGGTACAAATATTATAAAATGTAAAAGAAGTAAAAAAGACTAATTTTATTTCATTTAAATTAAAATATTTTCTCTTGTATATGGCATTATTTAAAGCTTGTAAAGCTATTTCCCAAAGGGAATACATAGCTCTGCCAAATGCCTGCTAAGGAGCATGAGATAATTTTATGAGTGATGGAAATATGGTTCATAAAAAATGGGTAAAGTGTACATAGATGTACATATTTGTCAAAATTCATCAAATGGTATATGTAAAATGGATGCATTTATTGTGTAAATTATACTTCAATGATGTTAAAAATAGAAGTGATTGTAATAATAAAAATAACATCATTACCCACACTTAAAGAGCTGAGGATGCAAAAAGAAATGTATTTTAAGATGAATATTGAAACTGGTACTGTGGTTGCTGATTTGACTATACTTCTGAACAGATTTTCATTTATCTTGCTCTTTTGGCTCAAATAGTCTTGCCAACCTACAAATTAGTTGCTAATCCTCCCCCACTTTGTACCCTTCAAGACTCCCCATTCAGCATATTATTGAATTTTCCAAATAATATAACCTCAGCCTTTGGCTCTGTTCAAACATGCCGCTGTTTACTTTTACAACTCAGAGTTCTGTGTACTATCTATGGCTTAGATACACGACGGCTTTCAACTCTGCATTTTGAGATCTGCTTCTTCCTTAAACATACTTTAACTTTCTCTTGTGTTCTAACACCTACTCTTCATTCTATAAACTTGGTAATTTCCACTTAATTTGTTACTTCCTTATATTTCCATCCCTAATTTTCCCAAGCTCATTAGAAATTGTTACCAAGTACAATGTAAAATTACTTGTTGCTCCTTTGACACTTTTCTTGACTGTAGACCAAAGGCCAATAGCCACCACCTTTATGTTTTGTTTTCTGAGTACTTAACTTGTGAAAAATAGCACACATGAACAGTTTAACAAAGTGTTCTTGAAGAAAACCTAGTAATCCAAGTTAGCAACTGTAGGAACCAGATTCTTGATATACATGTAAACTTGACCTGAATATATACATCTAATAATACCTAGAGAAGTTTCTAACTTTTGAAATTTATATTCACAACAAATAGATTTATAAAATTTACTAATTGCTAGTTTGGCATGAGATTACATGTAAAACATTAACAATGATACAGTTGACTACTGAAAAAAACTTTATAGAAGGGATCTGGAAGACTTTCATGTTCTTATTATCTGGATGCTAGTAAAGCCCCGTGCAAGCCTCAGGAAGTGATTTCTGTTGTGCCCTCCTCCCAAATTTTATTTTCTTTGCTTTATACTTGTCTCTCTAATTCTCTTCTATATGAATAGGCCATGGGTTCTTACATAATGTTGACTCTGTTCTGGGCTGCTATGTTTCCATTTTAGGATACTGTTGAAGACTATTAGTAAAACCACACAAACTCAAAGTTATTTTAAAATAACCAGGTATCAGGTAAATGGCTGCTGAGTGGGTATTGCAAAATGCCAGATCCTTTTTTCTTTCTCTTTTTCATGAGGAATGGATTCAAGGTCTTTTACCTAGACTACCTTTGCTGGGAGATTTCTCTGTCCTCTGGATTCTGTGTATAATAATCAATATGATTCACCAAGGACTGGGCAGAGCTATCTAAAAGGTGGCTTTCTCTTAATCCTTCTAAAAAACTCCCTATGGCTTCTTATTCCCAATTTGAGAATCTATTACAGACTTTTTTGTGTGTGGGAAATCATTTATAAATTTTCTTATGTCATCTCAACTGGGCTTTTTCATTCATCAAAACCTGCATCCTTGCCTGGAGCTGACATGCCTGGGAAACCTGAGTCAGTCATAAGGTAGAAGGAGAGATTTCTGTATTCTTCTGAAGCAATTTTTCTTTTCTTATTTAAAATTCTCTCTGTAAATCTAAGCTATTAAACTTCTCTCTAAAGTTTCAGCCAATGTATGTCTTGAGATTTCCCCATAATTCCAATTTTCTAGGATTTTTTTCTTTTCAGTAATGGTAATTCATTTGATAAACCAAAATTGATTTTGTATTTATCTATTTGTAAAATTTCAATCCAAATGAATTCATAGCTCATATTGAAAAAAAATTCCTTTGTCACATCAAGCCTTTCAATTTGGGATTCAAAGACTCTGGTCATATCTCGAGGATATATTCTCCAGTACAAAAAAAAAATGAAGTTGATTTTCTTGGATACTTGCTTTTTGATGAAAGTACAGTGCAATAATAGCTCTTAAATTCCAGAACTGATTTGGTTTTCAAAATATACAGGATTATTCCCTGGACATGAAAGACATTGTAAGTGTACTAATTACAATAAAAAAATGGAAGGATGACCTTTCTGTTTTAGCATGTCAAGCAATAAGCATCCTTGACTCACTGCCTAGACAGAATTGGCCAAAAAAAGGCTTTAAGGGCACTGACATATAATCTTAATTAGATAAATCACATCAAATTTCCAGCAATTCAAAAGGGAACTACAAAGTCAATGCTTCCTTGGAAACATACTCTACCTGTTTAAATGACAACTATGAAGCCTAGAGGTTATGTCAATGTGTTAGTTGCAGATGGCTACCTTCTCTCTGTGTCAAAGCACAGTCTTTCATCTATGAAAGTCTGTGTCCTCATCTAGTCTTCTTATAAGAATGCCAGTCATAATTGGATTAGCACCCACTCCAGTAACCTCACGTTGATATGATTAGCTCTTTAAAGGTCTTATCTCCAAATACAGTGACATTTTGAGGAACTGGATTTAGGACTCCAATATATGAATTTTGTAGGATACCATTCAGCCCCTAACAGTCCTCTCTAGGGTCAGTTCCCTTGCCTAGTAGTTGAGCAAAGGGAATTTTCTGAGTCACTTAGAAACTCTATACTACCTCTTTAATGGCAATGACCTGTATAGTTCAGAGCTTCATGAGACTTCCAGTCTATTTAAATTGTATCTGAGAGAGGCTTCTGTCTTTTAACATTTATCTTTTTTTTTTTTTTTTTTTCTGAACTTACCATCCCCAGTCAAGATGAAAATCATCACAAATGCAGCAACTTTTAAATTAGAAGAGCTGGGTTGCCTATAGAGGGCGCCATAACAGTGCATCATGATGATGGAATGTTCTTTGTATTCTAGAAGATATTTGACACCAGAGTTCCATCAGCACTCACAGAGTGTTTCAGGAAAAAAACAAACAGACAAACAAACAAAACTATGGATTAGTTATTTTTCTTACATGTGTAATTTTCTGTTAACTTTAAACATGATTTGCACATCTCTAATACTAGACTACACTATACTGCTATACCTAAAAATAAAATCTTTAAATAATGTTAGTGTTATATTCTTATATAATAATTAAAGAGTAACAACTGGATGATGTGGCATTCAGAAACAGCAGATACTGACCAACTAAAATTTTCGTTTTAATCTAGGTAGAGGTTTGTTTCTACCTGGCTGACTTACATATTTTGGAAAGTACACAAAAACACAACAGAAAGTCGAATAAATACTTAGATATTCAGACAATTTGTATTATTTTCTTAGAAAGAAATAGTTTATAAATGGTGTTAAGGATGCCAAAATGTTTTCACACCTTTTATTGTGCCCAGTAACTATAGGCCAGGAAAATGTGTTTAGAAAAAACCATTATCATTTGAGCTAGGGACAGTAGTGAATTTCATTATTTATAGACACTCTCTTTGACATTTCAATGTGTTTTGTATTTTGTAATTATCTAAGAGCTTCATTATTTACCCATTTTCTTGGCAAGATTAAAAAAATCTACGTATGTATTTGAAAAAAAATGCTGGCAGTAATCAGAGCCAGAATTACGTATGCAATGCTGAAATCACAATTCACATTCAGGAAATATTTGTAACATTGGATTTGAAAATTGCCTATAAATACCACTTTAAACTCCAGAGGGCAATATTTCTCAACCTGAGCCAGAATCCTTTAGAATTTCTGGAGGTGAGTGGAGTTCATAAAATAATTTTTAACTAGCTCCTCAGGAAAATATTCCTTCCCACTAAAGTTCAAGAATTTTATTGAAGAATTTTATAATGTTAGATGAACCACACAATTATGCCCCTGAAAGTTATTTCAACTCCCCTATCTCCCATCATAATCCTAAACCCAGTCAGTCACTATGTATGACAAGTTCTATTATCCTCAAATTTAATGATATTCCTTCCTTCTACTCTTTTTTCCCCCTTTATTTTATTTTATTTTAATTTTATTTTAAGCTCCGGGATACATGTGCAGGATATATAGGATCGTTACATAGTAAACATGTGCCATGGTGGTTTGTTGCATCTGTCAACCCATCACCTATGTATTAAGCCCAGAATGCATTTTTTTTTCCTGATGGACTCCTTCCTCCCACCCTCCTCTGTCAGGCATCAATGTAATGTGTGTTGTTCCCCCTCCTTGTGTATATGTGTTCGCATTGTTCATGTGTTTTTTTCCCACTTATAAGTGAGAACATGTGGTGTTGGTTTTCTGTTCCTGCATTAGTTTGCTGAGGCTAGTGGCTTCCAGCTTTATCCATGTCCCTGCAAAGGACATTATCTCATTTCTTTTTATGGCTGCATGGTATTCCATGGTGTATATGTACCACATTTTCTGTATCCAGTCTATCATTGATGGGCATTTGGGTTGATTCCATGTCTTTACTATCGTGAATAGTGCTGCAATAAACACATGTGTGCATGTATCTTTATAATAGAATAATTTATATTCCTTTTGGTATATACCCAGTAATGGGATTGCTGGGTCAAATGGTATTTCTGCTTCTAGATCTTTGAGCAATTCCCACACTGTCTTCCACAATGGTTGAACTAATTTACATTCCCAACAACAGTGTAAAAGCATTCCTATTTCTTCACAGCCTCACCAGCATCAGTTGTTTCCTTACTTTTAAATAATTGCCATTCTGACTGGCATGAGATAGTATCTCATTGTGGTTTTGATTTGCATGTCTCTAATTATCAGTGATGTTGAGCTTTTTTTCATATGCCTGTTGGTTGCATAAATGTCTTCTTTTGAGAAGTGTCTGTTCATGTCCTTTGCTACTTTTTAATGGGCTTGTTTTTTTCTTGTAAATTTGTTTAAGTTCCATGTAGATTCCAGATATTAGACCTTTGTTAGATGGATAGATTACAAAAATTTTCTGTCATTCTATAAGGTGTCTGTTCACTCTGTTGATAGTTTCTCTTGCTGTGCAGAAGCTCTTGGGTTTCATTATATCCCAATTGTCAATTTTTGCTTTCATTGCAATTGCTTTTGGTGTTTTAATCATGAAATCTTTACCTGTTCCTATGTCCTAAATTGTATTGCCTAGATTTTCTTCTATGTTTTTATAGTTTTGGTTGTTATGTTTAAGTCTTTAATCCATCTTGAGTTAATTTTTGCAAAAGGTGTGAGGAAGGGGTCCAGATTCAGTTTTCTGCATGTGGCTAGCCAGTTCTCCCAGCACCATTTATTTAATAGGGAATTTATTCCCCATTGTTTGTTTTTGTCAGATTTGTCAAAGACCAGATGGTTATAGATGTGTGGTCTTGTTTCTGAGTTCTCTATTCTGTTTCATTGGTCTATGTCTCTGTCCCTGTACCAATACCATGCTGTTTTAGTTACTGTAGACTTGTAGTATAGTTTGAAGTCAGGTAGCATGATGCTTCCAGCTTTGTTCTTTTTGCTTAGTATTGTCTTGGCTATATAGGCTCTTTTTTGGCTTCCTTTGAATTTTAAAGTAGTTTTTTTCTAATTCTGTGAAGAATGGGATTAGGATTTGGTGTTCTATCCTTCCTTTTTTCTAACACCATTGCTGGTGCTATAATTCAGGCTCTCTGGATTTCTATTTTGATTCTAAAATAATTTTCTAATTAGACTGTTTTCATCTCACTTTAATGTCTCATTAATCTACTTTTCATTCAGGACCTAAATTCTCCTAAAGGGCAAATCAAATCCAGCCAAACAGCCATTGCAATTGAAATGAAAAAATGACTGTTCTTCCTGTGTTGGAAGGAGACAGGACAGGGAAGATTCTCAGAGCAACCCACTCAAGTAGTATGGTGGTTGTTTATTCTCCTGAGTCGTCAATTCAATGAAATAGAAAGTGAAGCCTCTAGGGGTGGTCAGGTGCTCAGGTGTGTGTTAATTCCTAGAGAGAAATTCTACAGCTCTCACTGTGGGAGCTCTCCATGATCCTCATGATGAATCCAAAGTTTGTCTCACTGTACATGAAATCTGTCCAAATCTGACCCCTGTTACATCTCCATTATTCTTGTCTTTGGGTCAAGTAAATATTACTTATAACTGCATTTTAATTTTTCTGTTAAATTTTACTCAATGCCTGTTTGCATTGTTTTATTTTATTTTACTTTAATTAATTCATTTTATTTTAGTGGTTGTTCTAGGAATGAAGATGTATTTTCCTAAATTTTTGCAATCTATTTATAATTAATATATAATAATACCACTTTACCTCAAATGTAAAATCTTTGAAAATGCACTTACATACTAATATGGTTAGGCTTTGTGTTCCCACCCAAATCTCATCTTGAATTCTAATCCCCAGGTGTTTAGGGAGAGATTTGGTTGGGAAGTGATTGGATTATGGGGGTGGTTTGTCCCATGCTGTTCTGATGATAGTGAGTGAGTTCTCATGAGGTCTAATGATTTTATGAGCATCTGGCATTTCCCGTTTGTACCTCTCTCTGTCCTGCTGCCATGTAAGGTGTGCCTGCTTCCCCTTCCACCATAATTATAAGTTACCTGAGGCCTCTCAGTCATGTGGAACTGTGAGTCGATATATCTTTTTTGTGTATAAATTACCCAGTCTCACATAGTATCTTCATAGCAATGTGAAAACAGATTAATACAGATACTCTCTATTCTTTGTGGCATGTTTCTTATATGCACTATATCTACATATGCTGTAAAATTGACAAGACAATGTCATATTTTTTTATTTATTAGTATGTATTTTAAAGAAATAAATAGAAAACATATTATATCTACACATTTGTTTTTACTTCTGAAAGTCTGATTTTCCTTTTTATGTTGTTCCCCTGACAAGCTTTATTTATTATTTTGTGTAGTGTAGATTTGTTAGCACCAAATCCTTGCATTATTTATGACATTATTATTTGAAAGTTATGTACACTGTGTATACAAATCTGTTGGAAACACACATATACATGTGTATGTGTGCGTATTTCATATACACATATATATATGTATACACATACACACACACACCGTACAGTTTTCCCTGGATCTTTGGGTCTTCATTTCTGAGGGCTCTCATGTCATATAAAACTTTGACTGAATATATTTGTTACGATATTCTTTTGTAGAACTCTCTTTCATTATATGGGTGTCAGCTATGAACCTTACAATGGATGAGGATAAGATATTACTTACTCTACCCAAAACTGCCAGCATTGCAATTATTTTTGTTAATAGGTTTATGTTACAAACAAGGTTTATAGTGAAATAAGCAGAATGTGAAGTTACACCAACAATATGGCCATGACTTTATCAAAAGTTGATGTAAGCCACTCACCCCCTGCATCCCACAACACACATATACTACAGAGAAAGGATTTAAATTAAATGCACTAAAATCTCAACAGTGGATCTATAGATGTTGGAATATCAGTGACTTCTTATCTTTCACTTTTTATAGGGATTTTGATTGTCAGGGTTGGCAAAATCACTGTAATTTGCCCTGCAGTGGTGAGCAAAGACAATTCTTGCTTTGTGTGGACTCTAGGACTACAAGTCCCTGGAAAACACCCTATGTCTCTTTTGTGTGAGCAAGTACTTTCTTTTTTATTGCCATTTTCCTATGAAAAGAAGGAAGCCAAGCTGACTTTTCCAAGGTCATTCCTTGAAGTTTCCAAGACACTTGAGTCTCATAGTAACCAAAAGTGGATCTAGAATTATCCACCTGATGATAGAAATCGCTTTATGAAAAGTCCTTCTACCACTGTGTCAATAGTACTCCAAGGTAAAAATGTGAACTATTAATACATTTATAGAAAAGGACACGGAGAGATCTTCTTAGCAAAGATGGCTTACTAGAGTCAGCCAGAAAGAGCTTCTCTCACAGAGACCAGACCACCAAGAAGACTAGAACATCCTGAACAGATTCTAGGAAAGGAGGCATTGAGAGTAAATGGAGGAAGGATGCAGACCCTGGGCTGAAAGGAGAGGAAGCCGGGAATGCTGTATGGGATTGCCTACTACTAAGACTCATTTCTGGCCTTGACTGGCTCCCGGGGAAGGGCTGAGTAAAATAGGCATGGAGTGGCCCACTCTCACCATAGACCTCCAGAATACTACATATATGGCACCCCACAACCACCACAAACATTTGAGCTGAAAGGGAAAACTTCCAGGTCAGTTGTCAGAGACAGAACTCCAGCCTGCATAGAGCCCATTGGGTTTGGTGTGGAAATGGCTTCAGTGAAGCATAGCCATGGATGCCCATCCCTCAAGGCTTGCCATACTCCCGCACGTAGGTTTAGCCTTTGTTGAGTGACAAATCTGAACAAAGAAGGGATATCTTGCCTTTGGGATGCAGCCAGTCTGATCTGAGTGTCCCTCTGTCTGCTGGTCTCTCCCAGGGTCTCTGCCTGGCTGCACCCACTTGCAAGGCATCCTTAGTTGCCCCACTGAAGCATGTGCCAGTGGCTACGACCATGGCTTTTTCAGAGGCAGACCTTGCCTTGTTTTGCAGACAGAGCCTTACTGGCATGCACCTACCCACACCCTTCCTCCATCATTTTGCCACCATGCACAGAAGCACGGACCCCACCGCTGCCTCAGTGCCAGTGCATACTGCACACAGGACCTACTGCCTCCCTACCAGCAGTGCACTAAAACACTTTTGACAGAATGTTGTTGCCAGAGAACTGGGAATACCTTGGCCCCTTCAAGACAACAGGTGCTTAACATTCATGGCCAGAGAAAAAAGCTTTTCTCTAGCCTCAATGGGACAGAGAAAAAATGTGGGCCTTGTCTCAGCCTCCCAGAGATAGAATATGCAGTCCGAGCAGGCTGAGCTGAATTTTGGCCCTCTGAAATAATTACCCAGAAATGAAGCAAATTACAAAACCCAACTTGTACTACAGTTAAACACTAAAGGGCACCAAATAATATAAAAGTAAAAAGGTCCATACAAAGGACAGCAATTTCAAATGTTAAAGGAACATCAGTCCACACAGATAAGAAAGAACCAATGTGAGAACTCAGGCAATTCTAAAAGCCAGAGTATCTTCTGTCCTACCTCCAAAAGACTGCACTAGCTCACCAGCAATGGCCTTAACCAGACTGAAATGGTTAAAATGACAGACATAGAATTCAGAATCGGGATGGCAATGAAGCTCACAGAGCTTCAGGAGAAAGTTGAACCCCAATACAAGGAAACTAAGGAATCCGATAAAATGATAGAAGAGCTAAAAGATGAAATAGCCATTTTACGAAAGAACCAAAATGATATTATAGAGCTCAAAACCTTACTACAAGAATTTCATAATAGAATTGGAAGTATTAATAGCAGAATAGACCAAGCTGTGGAAAGAATATCACAGCTTCAAGACTAGTTTTTCAAATCAACCCAGTCACACCAAAAAAATGAAAAAAAAATTAAAAATGAACAAAATATCTGAGAAACATAGAATCATGTAAACAGACCAAACCTATGACTCACTGACATTCCAGAAGGAGAGAGAGAGAGAGAGAGAACGAGAACCAACAACTTGGAAGACATATTTGAGGATATTGTCCACAAAAATTTTCCAACCTAGCTACACAGGTCATTGTGCAAATTCAGGAAATTCAGAGAACCCCTGTTAGATAGTATATACCATGACCATCCCCAAAACACGTAATCAGTAGATTCTCCAAGGTTAATCTGAAAGAAAAAAAATTTACAGGCAGATGGGGAGAAGGGACAGGTCACCTTCAAATGGAACGCCATCAAGCTAACAGAAAAACTTTTAGCAGAAACCTTACAAACCAAAAGAAATTGAGGCCTCTATATAGCATCTTTAATGAAAAGAAACTCCAACTAATAATTTCATATCCAGCCAAACTAAGTGAAGGAGCAATAAAACTATTTTCAGACAAGCAAATGCCTAGGGAATTCATTACCACTGGATCTGCCTTATAAGATGTCCTTCAGAGAATGCTAAACATGGAAACAAAAGACTGTTAACTGCCACCACAAAACACACTGAAGTACATAGCCCACTGACACTATAAAGCAACTATACAATCAAGTCTATATAACAACCAGCTGACAGCATGAGGACATGATCAAATCCTTACCTATCAATAATCTCTTAGAATGTAAATAGGCAAAATGCCCCACTTAAAAGGCACAGCGTGGCAAATTGTATAAAAAAAAGCAGATCCAGCTGTATGCTGTCTTCACGAGATTCACCTCACATGCAGTGACACATACAGGCTCAAAGTAAAGGGATGGAGAAAGATCTATAAAGCAGACAGAAAACAAAAGAAGCAGGAGTTTTTAATTCTTATTTGTCTTTTATAAAGACAAACCAGACTTTAAGAATGATCAAAAAGGAAAAAGAAGGGCATTACATAATGATAAATGGTTCAATTAAACAAGAAGACTTAACTATCCTAAACATACATGCACCCAACACTGGAGCACCCACATTCATAAAACAAGTTCTTAAAGACCTACAAAGAGACTTAGATAACCACACAATAGTAGGGGGAGACTTCAACACCTCACTGACAGTTTTAGACAGATCACTGAGGCAGAAGACTAACAGATATTCAGGACCTAAACTCAACACTTGACCAAATAGACCTATAAGATATCTACAGAACACTTCACCCAAAACAACAGAATATATAATATTATCATCTGTAAATGGCACATACTCTAAGATTGACCACACTCTGCCACAAAGCAATTCTAAGGAAACTTCACAAAGGAAAATTACATCAACCACACTATTGAGCCACAGCATAATAAAAATAGACATTAATACCAAGAAGATCTCTCAAAACTATACAATTACATGGAAATTATACAACCTGCTCTCGAATGGCTTTTGGGTAAATGACAAAATTAAAGCAGAAATCAAGAAATTATTTGAAACTAATGAAAACAAAGGTACATCATACAAAGAATCTCTGGGACACAGCTAAAGCAGTGTTAAGATCAAAGATCATAGCATTAAATGCCAATATCAAAAATTTAGAAATATCTTTAATTAGAAACTTAACATCACACCGAAAGGAACTAGGAAAACAAGAGCCAACCAACCTCAAAGCTAGCAGAAGAAAATAAATAACCCAAATCAGAATTGTACTGAACAAACTTGAGACACAAAAATCCATACAAAAGTTCAATGAAAGCAAAAGTTTGTTTTTTGAAAAAATAAATAAGATTGATAAACTGCTAGCTAGGCTAAAAAAGAAAAAAGAGAGAAGCTCTAAATAAACATAATCAGAAATGACAAGGGTGACATTACCAATGAACCCAAAGAAATACAAGAAGTCCTCAGGGACTATTACAAACGCCTCTGTGCACACAAATTAGAAAACATAGAATAAATGAGTAAGTTCCCGGAAACATAAAACCTCCCAAGATTGAACCATGAAGAAATTGAATACTTGAAGACATCAATAATAATTTCCAAAATTGAATCAGTAATAAAAAAGCTACCAGGCCGGGCACAGTGGCTCACGCCTGTAATCCCAGCACTTTGGGAGGCTGAGGAGGGCGGATCACAAGGTCAGGAGATCCAGACCACAGTGAAACACCGTCTCTACTAAAAATACAAAAAATTAGCTGATCACGCTGGCAGGCACCTGTAGTCCCAGCTACTCGGGAGGCTAAGGCAGGAGAATGGCGTAAACCCAGAAGGCAAAGCTTGCAGTGAGCCCAGATCACGCAACTGCACTCCAGCCTGGGTGACAGAGCGAGACTCCACCTCAAAAAAAAAAAACAAAAAAACAAAAAAACAAAAAAACTACCAACCAAAAAAGTCTTGGAGTAGACAAATTCACAGCCAAATTCTACTAGATGTATAATGGAAACCTGGTACCAATCCTCCTGAAACTATGCCAAAAAGCTGAGGAGAGACTTTTTCCTAATTCATTCTATAAGGCCAGAATCATTCTGATACCAAAACCTGGTAGAGACACAATGAAAAACACAAACTTCATGACAATATACCTGATGAACTTAGACACAAAAATCCTCAATAAAATACTAGCAAATCAAAGTCAGCAGGATATCAAAAAGTTAATCCACCATGAGAAAGTAGGCTTTATTTCTGATAGGTGAGGTTGGTTCAATATATGCAAATCAATAAATATGATTTATCACATGAACAGAACTAAAAACAAAAACCACATGATCTTCTCAAAAGATGCATAAAGGGTTTTGATAAAATTTAACATCCATTCATATTAAAACCATCAACAAACTAGGCATTGAAGGAATATACCTCAAAATAATGACAGCCATCTATGACAGACCCACAGCTAATGTCATACTGAATGGGAAAAAGCTGAAAGCATTTCACTTGAGAAATGGAATAAGACAAGTATGTTCACTCTCACCACCCCTATTCAACATAATACTGGAAGTCCTAGCCAGAACAATCAGGCATGAGAAAAATACAAAAGGCATCCAAACAGGAAGAGATGAAATCAAATTCTCTCTCTTCTCAAATGATACAATTCCCTACACAGAAAACCCATGGTGTCTACACAATGACCACTAGAACTAATAAACAAGGTCAGTAAAGCTTCAGGATACTAAATTAATGTACAAAGAGCAGTAGCATTTGTACACACTGATAATGTCCAAGCTAGGAGCCAAATCAAGCATGCAATATCCTTCACAATAGTCACAAAAACAATAAAATACTTCGGAATACAGCCAACCAGGGAGATGAGAGATCTCTACAATTAGAATTACAAAAGACTGGGTGGAGCCAAGATGGCCGAATAGGAACAGCTCCAGTCTAGAGCTCCCAGTGTGAGCAACGCAGAAGATGGGTGATTTCTGCATTTCCAACTGAGGTACCAGGCTCATCTCACTGGGGAGTGACACTGGGGAGTGTTGGAAAGTGGGTGCAGGACAGTGGGTGCACTGCACCCAGCGTGAGCAGAAGCAGGGCGAGACATTGCCTCACCCGGGAAGCGCAAGGGGTCAGGGAATTCCCTTTCCTAGTCAAAGAAAGGGGTGACAGATGGCACCTGGAAAATCAGGTCACTCCCACCCTAATACTGCGCTTTTCCAATGGTCTTAGCAAACAGCACACCAGGAGATTATACCCCATGCCTGGCTTGGAGGGTCCTAAGCCCATGGAGCCTTGCTTATTGCTAGCACAGCAGTCTGAGATCAAACTGCAAGGAGGCAGCGAGGCTCGGGGAGGGGCACCTGCCATTGCTGAGGCTTGAGTAGGTAAACAAAGTGGCCAGGAAGCTCGAACTGGGTGGAGCTCACCACAGCTCAAGGAGGCCTGCCTGCCTCTGTAGACTCCACCTCTGGGGGCAGGGAACAGCCAAACAAAAGGCAGCAAAATCCTCTGCAGACTTAAATGTCCCTGTCTGATAGCTTTGAAGAGAGTAGTGGTTCTCCCAGCATGCAGCTGGAGATCTGAGAACAGACAGACTGCCTCCTCAAGTGGGCCCCTGACCCCCGAAAAGCCTAACTGGGAGGCACCCCCCAGTAGGGGCAGACTGACACCTCACACAGCTGGGTACTCCTCTGGGACAAAACTTCCAGAGGAATGATCAGGCAGCAACATTTGCTGCTCACCAGTATCCGCTGTTCTGCAGCCTCCGCTGCTGATACCCAGGCAAACAGGGTCTGGAGTGGACCTCCAGCAAACTCCAACAGACCTGCAGCTGAGAGTTCTGACTGTTAGAAGGAAAACTAACAAACAGAAAGGACATCCACACCAAAACCCCATCTGTACGTCACCATCATCAAAGACCAAAGGTAGATAAAACCACAAAGATGGGGAAAAAACAGAGCAGAAAAACTGGAAACTCTAAAAATCAGAGCGCCTCTCCTCCTCCAAAGGAATGCAGCTCCTCACCAGCAACGGAACAAAGCTGGATGGAGAATGACTTTGATGAGTTGAGAGAAGGCTTCAGACGAACAAACTACTCCGAGCTAAAGGAGGAATTTCGAACCCATGGCAAAGAAGTTAAAAACCTTGAAAAAAAATTAGACGAATGGCTAACTAGAATAACTAATCCAGAGAAGTCCTTAAAGGACCTGATGGAGCTGAAAACCAAGGCACAAGAACTACATGATGAATGCACAAGCCTCAGTAGCCAATTCGATCAACTGGAGAAAGGGTATCAGTGATGGAAGACCAAATGAATGAAATGGAGCGAGAAGAGAAGTTTAGAGAAAAAAGAATAAAGAGAAACGAACAAAGCCTCCAAGAAATATGGGACTATGTGAAAAGACCAAATCTACGTCTGATTGGTGTACCTGAAAGTGACAGGGAGAATGGAACCAAGTTGGAAAACACTCTGCAGGATATTATCCAGGAGAACTTCCCCAATCTAGGAAGGCAGGCCAACATTCAAATTCAGGAAATACAGAGAACGCCACAAAGATATTCCTCGAGAAGAGCAACTCCAAGACATATAATTGTCAGATTCACCAAAGTTGAAATGAAAGAAAAAATGTTAAGGGCAGCCAGAGAGAAAGGTCGGGTTACCCACAAAGGGAAGCCCATTAGACTAACAGCTGATCTCTCAGCAAAACTCTACAAGCCAGAAGAGAGTGGGGGCCAATATTCAACATTCTTAAAGAAAAGAATTTTCAACCCAGAATTTCATATCCAGACAAACTAAGTTTCATAAGTGAAGGAGAAATAAAATACTTTACAGACAAGCAAATGCTGAGAGATTTTGCCACCACCAGGCCTGCCCTAAAGGATCTCCTGAGGTAAGCACTAAACATGGAAAGGAACAACTGGTACCAGCCACTGCAAAAACATGCCAAATTGTAAAGACCATCAAGGCTAGGAAGAAACTGCGTCAACCAACGAGCAAAATAACCAGCTAACATCATAATGACAGGATCAAATTCACACATAACAATATTAACCTTAAGTGTAAATGGGCTAAATGCTCCAATTAAAAGACACAGACTGGCAAATTGGATAAAGAGTCAAGACCCATCAGTGTGCTGTATTCAGGAAACCCATCTCATGTGCAGAGACACACATAGGCTCAAAATAAAGGGATAGAGGAAGACCTACCAAGCCAATGGAAAACAAAAAAAGGCAGGGGTTGCAATCCTAGTCTCTGATAAAACAGACTTTAAACCAACAAAGATCAAAAGAGACAAAGAAGGCCATTAAATAATGGTAAAGGGATCAATTCTACAAGAGGAGCTAACGATCCTAAATATATATTCACCCAATACAGGAGCACCCAGATTCATAAAGCAAGTCCTCAAAGACTTAGAAAGAGACTTAGACTCCCAGACAATAATAATGGGAGACTTTAACACCCCACTGTCAACATTAGACAGATCAATGAGACAGAAAGTTCACAAGGATATCCAGGAATTGAACTCAGCTCTGCACCAAGCAGACCTAATAGATATCTACAGAACTCTCCACCCCAAATCAACAGCATATACATTCTTCTCAGCATCACACCACACTTATTCCAAAATTGACCACATAGTTGGAAGTAAAGCGCTCCTCAGCAAATGTAAAAGAACACAAATTATAACAAACTGTCTCTCAGACCACAGTGCAATCAAACTAGAACTCAGGATTAAGAAACTCACTCAAAACCGCTCAACTACATGGAAACTGAACAACGTGCTGCTGAATGACTACTGGGTACATAACGAAATGAAGGCAGAAATAAAGATGTTCTTTGAAACCAACGAGAGTAAAGACACAACATACCAGAATCTCTGGGATGCATTCAAAGCAGTGTGTAGAGGGAAATTTATAGTACTAAATGCCCACAAGAGAAAGCAGGAAAGATCTAAAATTGACACCTTAAGATCACAATTAAAAGAACTAGAGAAGCAAGAGCAAACACATTCAAAAGCTAGCAGAAGGCAAGAAATAACTGAGATCAGAGCAGAAATGAAGGAAATAGAGACACAAAAAATCCTTCAAAAAATCAATGAATCCAGGAGCTGGTTTTTTGAAAAGATCAACAAAATTGATAGACCACTAGCAAGACTAATAAAAAAGAAAAGAGAGAAGAATCAAATAGATGCAATAAAAAATGATAAAGGGGATATCACCACAGATCCCACAGAAATACAAAATACCATCAGAGAATACTATAAACACCTCTACGCAAACAACCTAGAAAATCTAGAAGAAATGCATAAATTCCTTAACACATACACCCTCCCAAGACTAAACCAGGAAGAAGTTGAATCTCTGAATAGACCAATAACAGACTCTGAAATTGACGCAATAATTAATAGCTTACCCACCAAAACAAGTCCAGGACCAGATGGATTTACAGCCGAATTCTACCAGAGGTACAAGGAGGAGCTGGTACCATTCCTTCTGAAACTATTGCAATCAATAGAAAAGAGGGAATACTCCCTAACTCATTTTATGAGGCCAGCATCATGCTGATACCAAAGCCTGGCAGAGACACAACCAAAAAAGAGAATTGTAGACCAATATTCCTGATGAACATCGTTGCAAAAATCCTCAGTAAAATACTGGCAAACCGAATCTAGCAGCACATCAAAAAGCTTATCCACCATGATCAAGTGGGCTTCATCCCTGGGATGCAAGGCTGGTTCAACATACACAAATCAATAAATGTAATCCAGCATATAAACAGAACCAACGACAAAAACCACATGATTATCTCAATAGATGCCTTTGACAAAATTCAACAACCCTTCATGCTAAAAACCCTCAATAAATTAGGTATTGATGGGACGTATCTCAAAATAATAAGAGCTATCTATGACAAACCCACAGCCAATATCACACTGAATGGGCAAAAACTGGAGGCATTCCCTTTGAAAACTGGCACAAGACAGGGGTGCCCTCTCTCACCACTCCTATTCAACATAGTGTTGGAAGTTCTGGCCAGGGCAATCAGGCAGCAGAAGGAAATAAAGGGTATTCAATTATGAAAAGAGGAAGTCAAATTGTCCCTGTTTGCAGATGACATGATTTTATATCTAGAAAACCCCATCATCTCAGCCCCAAATCTCCTTTAGCTGATAGGCAACTTTAGCAGAGTCTCAGGATACAAAATCAATGTGCAAAAACACAAGCATTCTTATACACCAATAACAGACAAACAGAGAGCCAAATCCTGAGTGAACTCCCATTCACAATTGCTTCAAAGAGAATAAAATACCTAGGAATCCAACTTACAAGGGACCTGAAGAACCTCTTCAAGGAGAACTACAAACCACTGCTCAAGGAAATAAAAGAGGATACAAACAAATGGAAGAACATTCCATGCTCATGGGTAGGAAGTATCAATATTGTGAAAATGGCAATACTGCCCAAGGTAATTTATAGATTCAATGCCATCCCCATCAAGCTACCAATGACTTTCTTCACAGAAATGGAAAAACTACTTTAAAGTTCATATGGAACCAAAAAAGAGCCCACATTGTCAAGTCAATCCTAAGCCAAAAGAACAAAGCTGGAGGCATCATGCTACCTGACTTCAAACTATACTACAAGGCTACAGTAACCAAAACAGCACGGTACTGGTACCACAACTGAGATATAGACCAATGGAACAGAATAGAGCCCTCAGAAATAATGCCACATATCTACAACCGTCTGATCTTTGACAAACCTGACAAAAACAAGAAATGGGGAAAGGATTCCCTATTTAATAAATGGTACTGGGAAAACTGGCTAGCTATATGTAGAAAGCTGAAACTGGATCCCTTCCTTACACCTTATACAAAAATTAATTCAAGATGGATTAGAGACTTAAATGTTAGACCTGAAACCATAAATACCCTAGAAGAAAACCTAGGCAACACCATTCAGGACATAGGCATGGGCAAGGACTTCATGTCTAAAACACCAAAAGCAATGGCAACAAAAGCCAAAATTGACAAATGGGATCTAATTAAACTAAAGAGCTTCTGCACAGCAAAAGAAACTACCATCAGAGTGAACAGGCAACCTACAGAATGGGAGAAAAGTTTTGCAATCTACTCATCTGATAAAGGGCTAATATCCAGAATCTACAATGAACTCCAACAAATTTACAAGAAAAAAGCAAACAACTCCATCAAAAAATGGGCCAAGGATATGAACAGACACTTCTCAAAAGAAGACATTTTTGCAGCCAAAAGACACATGAAAAAATGCTCATCATCACTGGCCATCAGAGAAATGCAAATCAAAACCACAATGAGATACCATCTCACACCAGTTAGAATGGCAATCATTAAAAAGTCAGGAAACAACAGGTGCTGGAGAGGATGTGGAGAAATAGGAACACTTTTACACTGTTTGTGGGACTGTAAACTAATTCAACCATTGTGGAAGACAGTGTGGCGATTCCTCAAGGATCTAGAACTAGAAATACCATTTGACCCAGCCATCCCATTACTGGGTATATACCCAAAGGATTATAAATCATGCTGCTATAAAGACACATGCACACGTATATTTATTGTGGCACTGTTCACAATAGCAAAGACTTGGAAACAAGCCAAATGTCCAACATTGGTAGACTGGATTAAGAAATTGTGGCACATATATTAGTAGATATACCTAATGCTAAACGACGAGTTAATGGGTGCAGCACACCAACATGGCACATGTATACATATGTAACAAAACTGCACATTGTGCACATGTACCCTAAAACTGAAAGTATAATAATAATACAATAATAAAAAAAGAAAATGTGACACATATACACCATGGAATACTATGCAGCCATAAAAAATGATGAGTTGATGTCCTTTGTAGGGACATGGATGAAACTGGAAACCATCATTCTCAGCAAACTATCGCAAGGGCAAAAAATCAAACACTGCATGTTCTCACTCATAGGTGGGAATTGAGCAATGAGAACACGTGGACAGAGGAAGGGGAACATC
This sequence comes from Homo sapiens, assembly GCF_000001405.40. NCBI lineage: Eukaryota > Metazoa > Chordata > Mammalia > Primates > Hominidae > Homo > Homo sapiens. The sequence continues at coordinate 25,718,769 of NC_000011.10, read as the reverse complement.
ACACACTGGGGCCTGTTGTGGGGTGAGGGGAAGGGGAGGGATAGCATTAGGAGATATACTTAATGTTAAATGACGAGTTAATGGGTGCAGCACACCAACATGGGACACGTATACATATGTAAGTAACATGCATGTTGTGCACACGTACCCTAAAACTTAAAGTATATATAAAAAAAGAAGAACTACAAAACACTGCTGAAAGAAATCAGAGATTATATAAACAAATGGAAAAACATGCCGTGTTCATATGTAGGGAGAATCAATATTGTTAAAATGGACATACTTCCCAAAGCAATTTTCAGATTCAGTGCTATTTGTATCAAACTTCCAACATCGTTTTTCACAGAATTGGAAAAATAATATTTGAAAATGTATATGAAACCAAAAATGAGCCCGAATACCCAGAGTGATCCTAAGCAAACAGAAAAAAGCCAGAGGCATTACACTACCAACTTCAAACTATACTGCATAGCTACAGTAAACAAAACATCATGATAGTGCTACAAAACCAGACACATAGACCAATGCAACAGGTTGGAGAAATCAGAAATAAATCCACATACCTACAACCCATCTGACTTTTTCCAAAGTCAACCATACCAAGAAATGGGGAAAGTACTCCCTATGTCAAAAATTGTGCTGGGAGAACTGGCTAGCTATATGTAGAATATTGAAACTGGACTCCTTCCTTTTACCATGTACAATAATCTACTCAAGATGGTTTAAAAACTGAAATCTAAAACCTAAAGCTATAAAAGCCCTAAAAGAAAACACAGGAAATACCATTCTGGACATAGGCCTTTACAAAGATTTCATGACAATGTCCTCAAAAGCAATTTTAACAAAAAACAAATAAATAGACAACTGGGACTTAATTAAGCTAAAGAGTTTCTGGACAGAAAAATAAATTGTCAACAGAGTAAACAACTTACAGAATAAGAGAATATATTTGCAAACTATGCATCTGACAAAGGTCTAATATCCAGAAATTAAGAAACTTAGTAAGCAAAAACAAACAACTTATTAAAAATGGGCAAAGGACACAAACAGGCACTTGTCAGAAAAGGACATATGCATGGCCAACAAGCACATGAAAAATGCTCAACATCACTAATCATTAGAAAAATGCAAACCAAAACCACAGTGAGATACCATCTCACACTAGTCACAATAGCTATGATTAAGAAGTCAGAAAATAACAGATGCTGATAAGGCTGTGGAGGAAAGGGGACTCTTGTATACTGCTGTTGAGAATGTAATCAATTCAGCCAATTTGGAAAATGCTTTGTCAACTTCTCAAACAACTTATACAGAACTCCCATTCAACCCAGCAATCTCATTATTGGGTATATGCCCAAAGGAATGAAAATTGTTATTACATAAGACATGTGCACATGTATGTTCATTGCAGCACTACTTGCAGTAGCAAAGACATGGAATCAATGTAGATGCTCATCAGTGGTGGACTGGATAAAGAAAATGTGGTACATTCTCACCAAAGATTACTATGCAGCCATAAAAAGGAAATCACGTCCTTTGCAGTAACATGGACGCAGCTGGAGGCCATTATTCAGGCAAATTTATGCAGGAACAGAAAACCAAATCCCACAATTTCTCACTTATAAGTGGGAGCTAAACACTGAGTACACATGGATGCAAAGAGGGTAACAAGAGGCCATGGGGCCTACTTGAGGCTGGAAGATGGGAGGAAAGGAGGATTGAAAAACTCCCTATGCTCACTACCTGGGTGATGAAATTATTTGTACATCAAAACCCAGCAACACACAATTGACCCATGTAACAAACCTGTACATGTACCCCTGAACCTAAAATAAAAGTTGAAAAGAAAAATAAAGAAAATGACACAGAAAGCCAATTAGTTCCATAATTACCTACATAATATTATTTTTAGTTGCTTAATGTAATTACAAAGTATAAAGGCTATAAATGTCCAGGGAGGCATTCCATCAAACACTACATTTACATTTCAGTTTTACAGATTTCAGTTTTACAGGGAGTAAATGGCATGCCTCATATTTCTTAACACCTATTGTCCACTTGACCAAGAAGTCGTGTGGGCTTAGAAAGAAAGATCCTTTCTGAAAACTAAGAGAATCTCATACCAGCCAGAATCCTTCCCAAAGCCACACCAGAAGTCCCCTTTTCGTCTCGTTGTGACTTTATAGAATTTGTTTTTCTTTAAGGTGGTTGCCACCTCCCCAGTCTTTGTGCTCCTAATCAACCAGTATTACGTATCACATGGAGGGAACAGCATATTGCAAGGATGTTATTGTTCTTGCTAAGAAACACCTTCTTCACCCAAGATGGACAAAACAAGGTAGGGTGATACCACAACCAACCAACCAACCAACAAACAAATGCCTTCTTATTTCCAGGTAGCCCCCTTTCCCCTTGGAAGGGGACAGGACAGGAAAGCCTCTCTTGGAACCATCCACTCAAGTGGCATCATTGTTTTCCCTTCTCCTGTGCTCTCTTGTCAATAGAATTGACAGTGAAGCCCCTGGGTGTGGCTGGGTGTTTGTTACCAAGTATAATTCCTAGCCAGGAATTCTTCAGCTTCCACTGGTTCATCATTTAGCCATCACCTTGTTCCTCCAGGGGACTGTTGAGATACTAAGAGAGGATGGTTTGTGGATTCCATCAGTTTACTGGCTACCAAAATGAGTAATGTTTCTGAACCACAGAAATATTAGAGACATAAGTGAGATGCTGCTGGCACCCCCTTCTGAGATTTTTGCTGTCAATATATTATACCATCTAAATGAGTCCCCAGTGCAGAAGGCAGTGAAAGCGATTGGAAATATGATCAGCTTTTAGTGACACAGACACCAGGTTTGCAGTGCCAGCTCTGCTGTTTACAGACTGTGTAATCCTAGGCAAGTCAATCTTTCAGAGCCCCTATTTCCTCTTCTTTTAAAAATTGGGTATTTTCTCCTAGCAATTGGCTCAACAGAATGTTTGCACAACGATATATGTAATTGTTTGTAATAGCAACAACAAAACAAAACAAAATGGCTATCATTAATAAGGGAATAATATTACTTTGGCATATCTGTATAATTAAATAGTATATAGGCATTATGAAAATAAAAGGTGACTCTATGTACATGGACATAAAAGGAAAGCCAAGATAATTTATAAAATGAGCAAATAAAGTAAAAACACATTATAGAAATCTATGTGTGAATAGACATGTGCCTATGATACTTATGTAATGTATATACATACGAATTTATAGAAGTCTGAAAAAGTATAACAGTGTGTAACTGTAAACAGCTGTAATCTAATATCTAGTCTGTGTTCAATTTATTATGCTTGCATTAAAAAAGGGCATTTATATTACTGATTTGTTTAAATCTGGGTCCAAGCAAGGTTCACACCAACACACACACACACATGCAAACACAAACATGTGGCTGACACATCTCCTAAGTACCTTTTAGCTTAAAAGCAATTCTATTCTGTTATTTTATGCAACATATTTGTTGAAGAAATCCAGTTATTTGTTCTGGGGAGTTTCTTGCATGCTGGATTAGCCTGTTTGTATCTTTAAGGTGTTGTGTAAATTCCTGTTATTGCCACTCAAGACCCTGCAGTGGGAGACGTACAGGTGGAAGACAGTGATATTGATGATCCTGACCCTGCGTAGGCCTAGGCTAATGTGTAGGGGACTTAATTTTTAACATAAAAGTTTAAAAAGTAAAAGGAAATACATAATTTTAAAAACAGGCAAACTTATTGAATAAGGATGTAAAGAAAGAAAATATTTTTGCACAGTTGTACTATGTGCTTGTGTTTTAAGCTATGTATTGTTACAAAAGAGGAAAAAGATTAAAAATTTACAGTTTACAGAGTAAAAAATACACAGTAAGATAAGGTTAATTTATTACTGAAGAAAGAGAAGTCATTTTAAATTAATTTAGTGTCACTTACGTGTACAGTGTTTATAAAGTCTCCAAGCCAGACGCAGTGGCTCATGCCTGTAATTCCCACATGTTAGCAAGCTGAGGTGGGAGATTAACTTGAGGCCAGGAGTCCAAGACCACCCTGGGAAACATAATGAGACATCGTCTCTACCAAAAATGTAAGAAGACATTAGCTGAGTGTGTTGGCACAGGCCTGTAGTTCCAGCTACTCCAGGAGCTGAGGTGGGTGGATCACTTGAACCCAGGTAGTTCAGGCTGCAGTAAGCCATGATCACACCACTGCACTCCAGCCTGAGTGACAGAATGTCTCAAAAGACAAACAAACAAAAAGTCTCCAGTAACGTCCTAGCCTCTCTCATCAATTCACTGACTCACCCAGAGCAACTTCCAATTCTATGAGCTCCATTCATGGTAAATGCTCTATACAGGTATACCTTTGCTTTATTTATTTTTCTCTTTTTTTTTTTTTTAAACAGAGTCTTATTCTAATGCCCAGGCTGAAGAGCAGTGTCTCGATCTCAGCACATTGCAACTCTGTCTCCCGGGTTCAAGTGATTCTCCTGCCTCAGCCTCCCAAGTAGCTGGGACCACAGGCATGTGCCACCACACCCAGCCTTTTTTATTTTTTTTTTAAATTTTGACCATATTTTTACTGTACCTTGTCTGTTTAGATACACAGACACTTACCATTATGTTACCATTGCCTATAGTATTCAGTACAGTAATGGGCTGTGCAGGTTTGTAGCCAAGAGCACAAACCCATATTGTAGTTAACCATACCATCTACATTTGTGTAACTATACTCTATGGTGTTTGCATGGTGAGTAAATTGCCTAACTACACATTGCTTAGAATTTATCCCCATTGTTAAGCAATGCGTTACTGTACCTTTTATGTCACAAATATTAGAGTAATCATGAGAAAGGCATATACAGGAATATGCTGGGGGCAATGAGTAAGAGAGTCCACTAAAATTAATTATAACTGAAATGTTTTTATAAGTAGATGTAAATAAGTAAACCTAGGAAACTATATCCTGCAATTTTATATTTAGAGAGAAAAATATTTGGCTTTGGATAAAGACATGTGGTTTTTGGCTATATAAATGTTGCAGAAATCTTTAAGTACTTAACTCTTTCAAATTTTGCTGGAATTGTAACCAGTTCATTAAGTAAGATAATTTCCTCTTCGATTTTCCTTAATAACAGTCGTCTTCAGTTTCTTCTTATTTTAACCTTGGATTAATCAATGTTTTACCTTTTTATTCTACAACTTTATGCAAAAAGAGGATGAAATGGAGAGAATGGGGAAAATTACCAACTAGATTTCACTTCATTTATTGCACATTCATTAAAGCACTTAGCAAATAAAAGGCTCAAGTCACAAAGATGTACTCATCTTAATTGTTAGTTTACCTAATACTTTATACTGCTTCTCTGACACCATCTCCTTACCCATCATTTCACCATCAAATTGAACAGTTTCTTTAGGTTACTGTAGATCTACTTCATTGGTTTGCCCTAAGGTTTTACTCAGGTCTTTTCAGTAATTCCATAAAATTCTTCTAATAGCAGTCAATTAAAAAAACACACATGCAAATAAGCTTTATTGAAAAATAATTTCAATACTTACCATAACATTTTAAAATTATAATGTACAAATTGGCACATTTTTGTATATTTGTAGGGTTGCACAACTGTTATTGCTATTTAATTTTAGAACATTTTCATTGACTCATAAAGAAACCTTGCACCAATTTAGTAGTCATTCTCTATTCTCTCCTCCTCCCAGTTCCTGAAAATCTCTAATCTACTATCTGTTTATATGGAATTACCTCTTCTGAGCACCTTATTAAACATTTTATTAAAACAGAGTTGTACATGTTGTGTTTTATGACCAATTTCTATCATTTACCATAATATTTTCAAGGATTAGAAATGTTATAGCATATATTCTTCAGTTCTGTTTTTTGCTGAATATATTACATTCTGTGGATATATCACATTGTATCCATTTATTCATCAGTTGGTGAACATTTATTTTGTTTTATTTTTAGCTATTATGAATAATTCCGCTATATGCCATTCACATATAAATTTTTTGTGGATGTAGGTTTTCATTTAAATTGAGCATATACCTGCAGTATCATTAGGTTATGTGATAACTCTATGTTTAACATTATGTGAAACTGTCATACTTTTTTCCAAAGCAGATGCAATTGTTTTAAATCTTGACCAGCAATGTATGAGGTTTTAATTTATTCACATCCTTGCCAGCAATTGTAGTTGTTCATGTCTTTTTTATTTGAGAAATCTTAGCGAGTATGAAGTAGTGTATGATTGTGGTTTTCTTTTTTCTTTTTTTTTTTTTTTTAGATGGAGTTTCGCTCTTGTTGCCCAGGCTGGCATGCAATGGCACAATCTCGGCTTACCACAACCTCTGCCTCCCGGGTTCAAGTGATTCCCTGCCTCAGCCTCCCGAGTAGCTGGGATTACAGGCAAGTACCACCAAACCTGGCTAATTTTATATTTTTAGTAGAGATGGGGTTTCTTCATGTTGGTCAGGCTGGTCTCGAATTCTTGACCGCAGATGATCCACCCGCCTTGGCCTCCCAAAGTGCTGGGATTACAGATGTGAGCCACCGCTCCTGGCCATCATTGTGGTTTCCTTGCAATTTCTCTGATAACTAATATTGTTAGGCACCATTTCATGTGCATATTGCTCATTGTGTTTTATAATTAGAGATTCAGTGGGTACATGTGCAGGTTTCTTATATGTGTATACTGTGTAATGCTATGGTTTGGGCTTCCAGTGAACCCATCATCCAAAAAGAGAACACGGTGATTTGTGGGTTTTCTAGAGGTACTCTTGATATGGTTTGGCTGTGTCCACACCCAAATCTCATCTTGACTAGTAGCCCCCATAATTCCCTCATGTTGTGGAAGGCACCCAGTGGGAGATAATTGAATCATAGGGGTAGTTTCCCCCATACTGTTCTCATGGTAGTGAATAAGTATCAAGAGATCTGATGGTTCTATAAGAGGAAACCCCCTTCACTTGGCTCTTATTCTCTCTTGTCTGCCACCATGTAAGAAGTGCCTTTCACCTTCCACCTTCTGCCATGATTGTGAGGCACCCTCAGCCATGTGGAACTGTGAGTTCATGAAACCTCTTTTTGTTAATAAATTACCCAGTCTCAGTTGTGTCTTTATCAGCAGCGTGAAAACGGACTAATACAACTTTTCCAGGTTGAGGAAGCTCTTTACTGTTCTTACTTTTTTTGAAAGTTTTAATCATGAAAGTGTGCTCAATTTTTACAAACATTTCATTTTTTCTCTTAAGATGGCAATTTGATTTTGTCCTTCATTCTATTGATATGATATGTTACATTGATTGATATTTAACTGTAAAACCAAATATATACCAATATATAATAATATTTATTCTCTAAACAAGTGGGCAGGGATAAAATCAGCTTTAAAATAACAGATTCTTCTTATTATGAAATTTAAAGTCTCAGAAGTATGGGGTATGATTATTCTGTTATGCAGGGTGTAATGTAACAAATTTCCAAAGAAACTATGAATCATTAGAGATAGGAGAGATCATCTGGCTAAGGCTGATGTAATCAGGGAAATTTTGGTGAAAAAAATAACAACTAAGATGGAGTTTATACATAGTGTTGCATAAGTTAGGGAGAGGTAAGACTGGAAAGTAGATTGGAGTAAAATCTTAAAATTTTTCACATCTAAGCTGAAAACATTTTGTGTATTGGACAATAAGCAGTTGTGAAGGTCTCAGAGTAAAAGCTAGGTATAATCAGAGTTGTAAGAAACAAAAGTCAACCTGACTTCTGTGAGAGATACAGAAAACTAATGAGAAGAAAGGGCCAGTTAAGAGACCACCAAGACAGTGGACGTCCAGCCAAGAATAAATAAGAAGGCAATCACCAGGGAGAACATCAGATCAATTTGAACGGAAGCTTTCTGTTGACTTTCATCAGACTATTGAAACGGATATATGATGTAGGACTCTGACAGAAGAAAGGTAAGATTTTAAATTATTTAATGAAAACACATAGAAATCTGATGTCACACAATCCTGTACTGAATTGTACATAATTAGTTATCCTATTGAAAGTAAGTTTGTACTTCAATCTAACTATAATCTTGTTGAGATCCTTTCAATACTTCTTCCATTTTATCATTACTACAGTTCATGGATATTAGGGATATAACATAAAAAATTTTCCATGCTAAACTTGGTTCACCCTGGAATTATAAAATAGAAGGGCACTAATGATTTCCCTTTTGCACACGGACACATGTTATATCATCATACATAAATTTCAATAAAATATGCGTAATTGAAAAAGGACTATGAAAATGTGTGTTTATACAGAGTATGTGCAGTTCACAGAATGAACAGTTAAACCTAGTAGCATGTGTCTCTTCTTCATGGATAACTCTGGAATTAACATTTCTGTGGAAACAATTCCATTTTTTTTCGCAGAGTTGGGAAAGCAAAATCTAGCAAACATCTAGCTAAAGACAAATCATCCATACTTTTAATGGTCAACTTTCCAGGACATTTGCTTTTCTTTATTTCCATGGTAAAGTCATTCTTGTTTCAAGTATTTCTGGAGCTGGCTAAGAAAATGGTTTCACTGCTGGACATGAAATTACCACCTTCTCCCTTAATCTAATTTTATAGTAACACCTTGGGACGTCATTTTTGTAATGAATAAAATTTCTCATTACACCCAATCATTTAGAATATTAGGGAAATATGTCGTTATGCATAAATTGTCTGCCAAATGTCAGACATTGTGCTTAGTGATTCATATTTGTTGTCCCGCTTACTACATAAGAAAATCCATAGAGAAATATATTGCTGCACTCAATTTACTTACAAAGGAATTAAAACACAGATTATGTCATTTGCCAAAGTCACAGACCCAAGAAATGAAGCAGAAAGGTGGATACATGTAAGTCTGATGGCATAGCCTAGTTGCTTCTATTGTAATAGAATAATTTGAAATAAACTTTTATTGAACATCTCCCAAGATGAGAGTTGAGAGTTAGTCATTGCTAAAGAGAAAGTGATTTTGTATTACTAGTCTCTCTCTTCTAGCAGGATAATAGATACATGAAATTGCATGGCTCTGTGCAGGGTAATCTTTCCAATGAGGTGTATTTTTAAAACCATTCTATCTTCTAAATAAGCAATTCTATTGATTTTTTACCACAGTCTCTCGGCCTTCTAGATTATTTTTTCATCTTTGCCCACTGTAACCATTTTTTGATTGTGATAAGAATATTTAACATAAGATTATCTCTTTTAAAACATTAAGTGTACAATACAGTGTTAACTATAGGCACAGTGCTGTACAGAAGATCTCTAGAACTAATTCATCCTTCATAGCTGAAAATTCATGCTCACTGAACAGCAGGTCCCCATTTCTCCCTTTATTTGGGCCTTGGCAACCACCATTCCACTCTCTGTTTCTATGAGTTCAAGTATTTTAGATACCTCATATAATTGGAATTGTGCATTGTTTGTTCTTCCATGATTTAATTTACTTAGTACGATGTACTCAAAGTTTATGTTGTCACATACTGCAGAATTTCCTTCTTTTTTAGGGCTCAGTGGTATTCCGTTGTGTCTGTGTGAGTATATATCTGAATGCCACATCCTTTCATCACATCAGGGAGATCACAATATGTTTTGTTCACTCCCTTCCCCCCATATTGTCAACTTTTTCCTTCCTGTTGTTAAAATTCATATGAATCTACACATCCTGGATGTACATATGTTCTCTAATACATTTTATATAAAAGAACCAAAAAGAAAAAACAAGAAACAGAAATCTCTTTCAACTCATTTCACTCCCCAAGTATGATCCTCTTTCTTCTCTTTCACAGCCAATACATATATTTATTACTTCTGTGTTTTTATCTTTTATTCATTAATTCATTCCAATTGGGTGTCTTCATCTTCACTCCATGCCAGCAACTCTCACTGATGTCACCATTGGCCTTTTTGCCACTACATCATTGGATAAACTTAATCACCATTTTGTTTACACTTTTAGCAACAATAAACACTACTGTCTAATAGATTAGTGGTGAAAAAATGTTCCTCTGATTTAAACATGCCACATTCTTTTTTATTTCCTCCTACATCTCTAGCTTATTCTTCTACTGAATACTATGAAAGTCATTTAGATACCCTCTCCCTTGACTCCTACAATAAAACCTGGAAACTAAACTAGCCTATTTCTTTAGACTTTTTATAGCTAGCTGTGACTAAGCTATATATTGCTAATATGTTCTGGAAAATATAATTTAGTCAGAAGTCTCTGAGGGAGGTTATATTTTCACTTTGCCCATTATGCTCATCTCTGCTTTTACTTTTACTATCTGACCCACACATTCCATTTTTTGTAGATGGCAGCAGTTACTCTGAACACATGAAGATAGATGGCATATGGTAAGGATTCTAGAGCAGAAAAATAGAAAGTGTCTAGATGCTTGATGACATTATTTGACAACTGCACCAGCCTTGGGCCACATATTCCAAGATTTCTTATTGTGCAAATCAAATTATTATGTGTTTAAGGTTGCTTTTTCAGTTTTCCTTGGTTTACAGCTCAATATATGTCCCTTGATCCTAACATCTTCATTTCATTCCCATCATTCTAAGGATACGTTAAAAAGCCTCAAGCATTGGTTACAAAAGCCTTGTAGGATTAGGCATTTTCTTAGACTTCCACTCTGTTTGTTTCACTACTCTTCATAATTGGCTTCCTTTTTGTTTGTTGCATTTACCATATTCTAGCCTGTCTTTGTATACACTGTTTCTTCTGCCTGCAATTCTTTCCTGTACTCATACCTCAGTTTAATATCAGTCTTTTGGAAAGCACTTCTGCCTCTCGAAGTAAGTTTCCTTGTGTTTCTTTTCATTCACCATTGTATCCTCAGTACATAAAGTTGTGTCTGATATCCAGGACATATTTAATAAATAATTTCTGACAAAATTGAAATAGAGTGATATTGGATTCCCCCCATAGATGTTACTGTTCCATCTTGATTTTCCTATTCTTCAGCTTGCTAACCTTCCCTATGTATCAGTTTTTATAGTGTGATACTGTAAATACTATCGTAAGTTTAGTTCTTCAAGCGGCAGACGACTGAGACTGAATTTAGCAGGTAGGTGTTTTATTAGGGAGTGCCCTTGTAATCATCACCTTCATAAGTGAGTGGAAGGAGGCAGGAATGAGCAGAGGAAGAAGCCAAGTCCAGTTGTGTTTTAAGTCTAATGACTGTCTTGACCTATACTCCAGGTATCTCTGGAGCTAACGTAGCTCATCAAAGTTTTCTCAAGTGGGGCTGAGATGGACCTGCCTTTATCTTTTAACATCAATTAATCATTGGATGCAGACTGGCTATTCGGAGGTATCAGAGCAGGTTATTGTAAAGTCAGAGGGAGCGTCAGTGTTGGTATTTCCAGGTAGCTTTTTGTTTACTTGATGAATTTGATTTTGAATGGTTTCTCTCAAGTTGCATGAACCTCTACTAAATTTAGTTTCTTCACTGAGTTTGCTTTCATTGCAGTAATTATTTTAGGTAGGACAGAAAAAGAGACATGTATTTATTTTATTACATGCTGAAATTGAATAAAATCTATAGCTTTTATCAGTTTCCTAAAAATGGACTGGGAAATGGTGTGTGCAGGAAGATTATGGGAGGTGCATCTAGAACAATACTTATGAAGGAAAGAAGGAAGTGAGATGAGGCAGAGGGAAAATGTGAAATTCTCCCCCCAATCATGGAGATAATGTGAAGTTGCGTGGCTCTCCAGAACTGTCCTGAATAAGGAACAGGGGCTGTGCCTTTCCATCTCCACATCCATCAGTTATTGAATGAGGGCTACCTCCTAGGATGAAACAAAACTTTTGGAGGTAGCTTTTTGAATCCTCTCATACCTTCCATGCTTATTAGACTTTAATGAATATGTCAACCAATATTGTCAAATGTACATTGAATTTTTATTTTCTCTACTTAAAATGTTTGTTTTATTAGCTTCCTTTATAAACTGAAAATAATAATCAAATCCCTCAATACAGTCTATATATGATCTGTGCCACTCTGCCTTAACTCATTTATTTGGATGTGTCAAATTCTTCATATCCATAAGACCTTTAAACCTGCTATATTCTACCAAAAAAAAAGTATTCCATAGGACAGTATTATCCAGAGAGAATTAAGCTGACTCATATTTTAAGCCCAACTTTGCTGCGGTGGTAAAATTGAGTGCCAAGCCAAATCAAGATAGCAAGAATCTCTTGAGATATATATATATATATATATATATATATATATATATATACACACACACACACATATATACACATATATACATATATACACATATATACATATATACACATATATACACATATATACATATATACACATATATATACATATATATACATATATACACATATATACACACATATATATATACATATATATATATTCCATTACTAGGTATATAACCCAAATATTATAAATCATTCTATTATGAAGACACATGCACACTTCTGTTTATTGCAGCACTCTTTACAATAGCAAAGAGTTGGAACCAAACTAAATGCCCATCAATGATATACTGGATAAAGAAAATGTGGCACATATACACCATGGAATACTGTGCACCCACAAACAAAAAAGAATGAAATCATGTCCTTTGCAGGGACATGGATGAAGCTGGAAGCCATCATTCTCAGCAAACTGACACAGGAACAGAAAACCAAACACTGCATGTTCTCACTCATAAGTGGGAGTTGAACAATGAGAACACATGGACATAGGGAGGGGAACATCACACACTGGGGCCTGTTGGGGGTGGAGGTCAAGGGGAAGGAGAGCATTAGGACAAATACGGAATGCATGCGGGGCTTAAAACCTAGATGAAGATTTGATAAGTGCAGCAAACTGCCATAGCACATGCATGCCTGTGTAACAAACTGCACATTCTGCACGTGTATCCCGGAACTTAAAAGTAAAATTTAAAAAAAGAGGAAGAAATACTGAAATAGCATTGTATAAACTTACATTTTGAATTAAATTCAAACATACAAGGAAGTGATTTGTATGGTATGCTAAATATATTTAGAAAAATTGATTCATGAAAATCATAAGCTGTAGATGCATAAAAATTACATTTTAAAATGCTCTATCAGAAACGTATCCCAATATTGTCACAACCTATGAAAATTCTTAACAGCAATTATATTATCGGGAAGATTCTTCTCAAAATTAAAATCGTAGAAAATTATATGTGATCTTACATTTACTAAGATCAACTAATTTTTTCAACTACCTCAATTGAAAATAAATTTCTAGATGCAGAAATATTAATTACCAAAAAATTATTTTAGAAAAAAATCTTAGAAGAATCTTATAATCAATCAAACTATTGAATTACTAAAGTGGAGTTATTTACATTGTAATATAAAAACATGATACCAAAATATGTTTATGCAATTTTTGTTACTAATGTTATTCATATATCACCCTTATGTTTTATAAGGATTGAAGTATTTGTAAAGGAAAAACCTGTGTGCTTAGTAGCTTTTGTGATACTTTATTCTCTCTCTTTAATGAGAGCCTCTGGCTTTTAATTTTATACTGGTCCCTCAAATTATATAGCCAGTCCTCTCTAAATCTTAGGATATAAGTAACTTTTAGTAAAGCCTGAGAGAGAATTTACTAGGCAGACGTAATTTATACTATGGAAATTTCTCATTATGTTGTTGCTTTTTATGGGATTCACAGAGTAAAACAGTAATAATAGGTAGAATTCAAATTCCAAAATCCTACCTTACTCTCATCCATATTATATAACAGTGTAAGTTTAAATACAAGTACATTTGAAGGTCAATTTTTTTTTAATTTAAGAATTTTGCAGGAAGATTTAGAGTGCTGAGCAATATTGTATTTTTTTTCTGAACTTAGGTCTGAGGAAATGTATTGATGTATGTTCTCTGCTTATGAATTCAAGTCATCACCTTTACAGCTTGTAATATGGCCCTCAGATAGAGCCCTAGTTTCAAATTCAAAAATTTCTTTCATTTATTAATTCAGCATATAGCAGACATGCACTAAATATACAAAGATAAATCAAGATGGTGTCAATCTGATGGTGTGCACACAATCTCAGGTGAATAAACTGAGAAGGAAGGCACCGTAATAAAGTGCTGTGACAGAGCTAAGAACATAATCATAGAGGCAGGGAAGCAGTACTCAGTGCACACTGGGATACAGGGAGGGAATCTCAGAAATAACCCTGGTGCTGGGGGCTGAGACTCGAAAGATTGGAAGACGTGATCTAGTTGAAGAAAAGGGAAAACTATACTAGGTAGAATGCCATGTTGTACAAAGGCAGGGCATGGTGCATTCAGGAAGTTATCACCAATCATTACTTTGGTTAGAACACAGCTGTTAAGGGAGGGAGTAGATCTACCTACTACAATAGTTGGGCAGGGATGTGCCCATCTTCTGGTTACTTCTCCTTACCTAGACACCTGATTCCTATATTTCCTGGCCCTCAGCAGTTCCCATCACTCCTGGGGCTTCATTTCCAATTCAGAGAATGTCTGATTCTGGTTCATAAGTTATCTTGAATGTACTGATGATGTCAGGTTTCACACCCTAGTTTTTAACTACTTACTTTGGGTTTCTCTAAATTTAATGTCTGTTCACATTTTCTTAACCAATGACCATGCAGTCCATAAAGAATGGTTTTGGCTAACAAGTGCAGTAATAGAAACTGTAAATAAGAATATCTGTTATTTGGGTATTTTATTCACTTGTTTTGAATCTCACGTGTACAAACTTGGACTAAGTATGATTTTATCTTCATGACACACTCTAAGCATTGATCCTTCCTGGTCCACATTATTCATTTATTGAACGGGAAAAGTAAAACTCAGTCTGAATCAACTTGATTATAATGAAACTGATTATTATCATGAGACACTACAGACAAAAACTGAAGCACAACAATCTTTTGTTTTTAACCCTTATCTTTTTACCTGAAGGGAGTAAACATACACACATTTGACTGGATCATTTTGATATAACATTGGCACAATGATGTTTCAATCATCAATACTACGGTAAATAAATCTTAAAAATAAACATCTTTCTACTTAACTATAACACCATTTGTTTTACAACCAAGAAAAACTTTTAGTATAACATAATAACTAGTCAAACTCAGATTTTCTTAATTTTCTCTTAATTGTTCTTTATAGGTATACAGCAAATGTACACACACATGCACCCTGCCCCCTGCCCCCCGCAACAGGACTGTGTGTTCATCTAAGTGATTCTTGCTCAAGGTAGCCAATATATTTACTGCCATTCAGACTCAGGCCCTGGTGTCATCTGAAGACATTACAGTTTCTACAATAGTTTAATTGGTATGAGTTAAGACTTTAGGCCTAGTCAATTTTGGGCTCTGTATAATCAGAGTCTGTGATAGTCCAAAGTAGACAATAGGTCAAAAGAGGACTTTCTCTTTCCATAGTAGCCTTACGAGCCCTTCAAATTCTATTCACTGATTTATCTAAAGTAAATATATACAAATATATTTTGGTAACATTATACTTTTTATTTTTACAATTGCGAGATATCTTAAAACTCAGAGTTATTATATTTAAAAAAGAACATACCATAAAACAAAATTTAAGCAATTTACTGAGTTTGTAAAATGAAGAAGTAAAAGGAATAAAATTTTTATTTTCCCATTACAGCTAAATGAGTTTTACCACACTCCTGAACTGTTCATGTGCAAAGTAATTTTTAAAGTGCATCTTCAAAGTTAAAGCTGTGACCCATTGGAAAAGGAAATTTCAATCAAAAAGAAAGATATTTTCTGACTCTAATAGGGCTCAAAAACATGGGAAATGGAGATCTATGTCACTTTCTCAGAAAGTGTGTCTTTATTTCTCCACTTAAAAACAGACACCAGAGATGAAGCATTAACCAAGGAACTTGGTGTGCGCTTTAATTTCATTTCAGATCACTCTAGTCAAATTGTACTCCTTCATGTACTATCACTTTGTTCTTTACAGAATATTACTCTTCTGTCACACTTCACTAACTTTATTTTTCAAGGTCAGGCACTTCAAAGAAGTCTAAGATGAGTCACTAATGAGCACAGAGCAAATGAACAGTATTGCTTGAAATCTTCATGCAGGAAGCATGCATAGTGTGGTCAGAGGAATATATCCAAACTACTAGCTGACATCCTTCAGCAGAGAAAACTCACTTCATAGTTTAATTATGACAGTGATTTGACAGGCATTATATCATGAGAGAATTTGTCACTATAAAGTAGAGGTGTTATATATGCGGTTATTTGGCTCTTTTATTTCAAAAATATTTTTTCTATCTCGGTGTATCTTAGGCACATAAAGGGCATGTCTGAAAGGTTGCAAAATACGTGTTTTTCTGAAAGTGGTGTGACATCTTCACTTTATATCAGTTACGACTTCTCTACACATTTCTAAGTATATGTCAAATAATTTGGTCATTCCCTTTGGTTGGACTGCACACACAGAATTTCTATTCACCATTGGAAATGTCTGGAAGTAGCAGTGATATATTGTGCTGAAAGGGAGTCATCAATCACCATGTGTTCTAAATCAGTTCCTTTACCAGACAAGGAAGTTAAAAGGAAAGAAATTGTTGGATGGCATATAACTGTTAATTCTGTAATTTGCAGCCCATTCTCTTAAAAACAAACAGCAAAAACAAAAGGCAACTTTTTCTGCTACTTTGCAATCAATTTGTTAACCATCCTAACACTTACTTCTGTAGCAAGTACATTAGAGCTGTACATTTTGTCCATAGGGATTTCTAAAATGATGGTGAGAAAGACATGAGTCAATTACTTGGGTTAGTATCAAAATCAGTTAATTCTGCATGAAACCAGAGATACTAAATCCTAATCTTTATACATCATACAGAGAATGTGCTGTAGTAGCACATTCAACCATCCCACTGGCTGTGAGGAAATACATTACAAAGACACTAATGGGCGGAGGAATGATTCTCTGAAAAATTTCCAATATTTATTGCCAGGAGGGGTAATTAATTTCTCTTGCTAAAGTCACTGGAATAACTTTAGCTTTTAATTCCAAAGCTTATAGCAGAATGTTCAAAATTTGAGAAGTGTGACAAATTCTCACAATGAACTTACCTCCTGCTCATTAGCTCATTAGCACTATAATTCATCATGATCAGGAAATTTTGCAGCATTTTCTCTTGCAAACCAAATGAGAGTATTCATACATTGCAGCTGTTACTTGGGACCCACACATTGAAACAAAAGCTGTGGCAGTTGAGGTGACAGACTGAAGCATTCCCAAAACAGAAATAGATCAATAAAAACCTCACTTAAAAATAAAAAAAATAAATTTTCATAACAATGTTCAAAGAAATTAGAAATTACCTTCTAAAGAAGGGCAGAGAGAGAGAGAGATGCTCTACTAGTCCCATGATCTCAAACCAAAAGGGATTTCATTCTATGGATCAAATTTAATGGAATAAAGAAGCCTTTAATTATAGCGAGTGATATCTATTAGGACAAAGATTTTTCATTTTTTTAAATAGCTGTCATATTTACATTAGAATTAGTTTATTAAATGTACTCTGTGCATATAGAATATGACAAAGCTATTTGTTTGCATGTATAGTTTGGTGATTAAAATTAAAAGCCTTCTCTCAACCTATGATCATAGAAGACATTCTTTCAATCACTTTACCTCTCTGCTTTTGGGATGTCATAATAAGGCATGTTTTATGCCTCTTTTCTAAGTGAGCCAGTTTTCAAGCTGAAAGCTTCAGAAGGCAGTAGAGGTATATTAAACCACAACAGTCAGCAAACATGTATTCCTGCCAGGGGACTCTCTCTCCAACCATACATAGTGTTGCTGTGGATTTTTATCTTATATAGAATGTCCATGTGACCTCCATATAGGGGGTGAAAAGTTTCTCTCTCTTCTGATCTGTCTACTGAGACTTTTTAGTAGTTATTGGGGGAAAGGGTGGAGTTCAGTATCCATCTCCTTTCCAAATAGCATGCTGATTTTCTTTGGAGAAATTACTCCTGACTCCCATATTTATATAGCATTGCTGGAGAGAACACTTCTCATTTCAGAAACTTACATCTTCACACAACCCTGACAGGGAAAGAGGGCAGGATCCTGACCTACTCTTGCCTAGCCATATATTCCATGTATATATTTTAATCATGAATAAAGAAATATAAAATAGAAGAGGTCTTTCTTCTTAGCTATGGCACCATGGTCAGGGTATTCCCCTATGCATTGTAAACTACAAATTTACTGTCTCACTTCTCAGAAATGCAATCTTCATCTTCAAGTCATAAATAATTATAAATAATCTAGGTCACAAAAATTATAGAATATGAAAAATTTTGATATTACATGTTTTCAATATAAATAACATTTTAAAGAAAAAATTTCTATGATGATATACATTGTACGGCTTATTCTGCCAGTAGGAATGTTCCAGAATCTCTGAGTATATTTTTATTCTACCCTTTATTATAATATTCTTATAACAAATATAAGGCCAAACATTACATAAAGCTAATTTCATTAAAGCCTGGTGATGTGACTCCTCACCCTATTCCCATTGTTAAAACTAAAATATCCCTAGCCATCGCTTAAGACTCTATTAGAGAGTTCAGTTATTACTTTCCCATTTTCAATTATTTTACAATTACTTTGTAAAGGAAATCTTAATCTTGCCATCTAAATAATTAAGGGTCACAAAGGTGAATTGCTAAATTGAGTTAAATAATATATTTTAACCTAGCAACAGGAGTTCTGAAATGTGAAAGGGGTAAAAGAATTGGGGTAAGGGATTACCCAAATGAAGAGGATAGCTTTAAAGTGGCAGATTGTCATTGCAGATTCATAGACAAGAGTTAGACTATGTTTTATCCAAAAACAGAGTTAGGAAGATCATGTAGAAAAACTACCCAGAGATAACATCATAGTCAAAACACAATGTGGGTTTAGGGACAAAGGCCAAGGGGAGATGCGGGAGGACATACGCTAGGGAATGTGATTGTTGGTTTATCAAGATAACAACCTAGCATGACATGGGCATGCCCTCTAAAAATTAAATAAATAGATTTTTTAAACTGCATTGGTATGAAATTAATAAACAAATATCCAGACAGGCCCAGGTCCCCCTGCTGTGTGCTGTACTCAGATTGAATGTTATTGGTATATAGAAATACTACTGATTTTTTATATTGATTGTATATTCTGAAACTTTACTAAAGTATCTTATTAAGTCTGAGTCTTTTGAAAGAGTTCTCAGAGTTTTCTTGTTATAAGATCGTGTCATCAGTGAACAGAGGTAATTTGGCTTCATCTTTTCTAATTTAGATGCTTTTAAAAATTTTATCTCACTTGATTGCTTTGGCTACAGCTTCCAGTAGCATGTTGAATATGAGTGGTGAGAATGAACATCTTTGTCTTTTTCCAGTTCATAGGGAGGAGTCCTTTCAACTTTTCTCTATTCAGTACGATGATAGCTGTCAGTTTGCTATATATGTAATCTTCTTATTTTGAGGTATGTGCCTTCAATGTCTAATTTGTTAATTATTTTTATCATGAAGGGATGTTTAATGAAATGCTTTTTTCCACATCTATAACAATTATTGTAAGTAATAAATGTGGTTTAGTTTTTAAGTCTGTTTTTGTGGTGAATCCCATTTATTGATTTGTAAAGGTTTAACCATCCTTGTATTTGCTGAAATAAAACCCACTTTATCATGATGAATTTTCTTTTTGATATGCTGTTAGATTCTATTTGCTTGTATTTTACTGAGGATCTTTGCATCTATGTTCATCAGGGATATTGGACCGCAGTTGTCTTTTTTGTTGTTGTTGTGTCTGCGACTGTTTTTTCTATCAGGGTAGAACTGGTTTTATAGAATGAGTTGGGGTACAATTCCTCCTCCTTCATTTTTGGGAATATTTTCTGTAGAATTAATACTAGTCCTTCTTTGTACATCTGATAAAATTTGTCTATAAATCCATTGGATCCAAGTCAGTTTGGTTAGAATAATTTTCATTTCTGATTCAATTTCATTGCTTGTTATTGGTCAGTTTCGGATTTCTATTTCTTTGTGATTCAATCTTGGTAGGTTGTATACTTCCAGAAATGTATCAATTTCCTCTAGGTTTTCTAGATTGTGTGCATAGAGATATTCATAGTAATCTCTGAGGATCTCTTATATTTCTCTTTATCAGTTGTAATGTCATCATTTCTGATTGTGTTTTTTGAATCTCCTCTCTTTTTCTCTTGATTAAACTAACTAGTAGTCTATCGATTTTGTTTACCCTTTCAAAGAACCAACTTATACTTTCTTTGATCTTTTGTATTCTTTTTTGGTGTCAGTCTCATTTAGTTCTGTTTTGATCTGTGTTATTTCTTTTCTTCTGTTAACTTTAGATTTGATTTGATTTTGCTTTTCTAGTTCTTTGAGATGTGACATTTGTTTTTTAACTTAAGATTTTTCTATCTTTTTGACATAGGCATTTAAAACTATAAGTTCTCTTCTTAGCACTGCTTTTGCCATATTCCAGAGGTTTTGGTAAGTTCTGTATCTATTTTCATTCATTTCAATTTTTTTTATTTCTGCCTTAATTTTGTTGTTTACTCAAGGTCATTCAGTAACAAGTTGTTTACTTCTCATGTGTTTCTGTGGTTTTGAGAGTTCCTCTTGGCATTGATTTCTAATTTTATTCCACTGTGGTCTAAGAAGATATTTAATATAATTTTGATTTTTGAATTTATTAGGACTTGCTTTGTGGTCAAGAATATAGCCAATTTTGGAGAATATTCCATGTGCAGATGAGAAAAATGTATATTCTGCAGTTGTTGTGTAGAATATTCTATAAATGTGTATTAGGTCCATTTGGTCTAGAGCCCAGTTTAAGACCAGAGTATTTTTGTTGACTTTTTGCCTCAATGATGTTTCTAGTGTTGTCAGTGATGTTGATGTTCCCCACTATTATTGTATTGCTGTCACTCTATTTTCTTAGGTCTAGTTGTATTTGTTTTCTGAATCTGAGTGCTCAAGTGTTGGGTCCATATATATTTAGGATAATTAAATCTTCCTATTGTATTGAACACTTTATAATTATATAATGTCCTTCTGCATGTGATTGTTTGTGTGTGTGTGCCTGTGTGTGTGCATGTGTTTACTGTTGTTGGTTTAAAGTCTGTTTTATCTGATATAAGAATAGTTATTCAGCTTGATTGTGTTTTCCATTGGCTTGATATATCTTTGCCCACCTCTTTACTTTCTCTCTGTAGCCATCTTTAACCATTAGATTCATCTCTTGTAGGTAGCAGACTGTTGGGTCTTATTTTTTTAATTCACTTTTCCAGTTTACATCTTTTAAGTACAGCATTTAGGCAATTTATGTTCAAGGTTAACATTGACATGTGAGGTTTGTTCTTGTCATAGTTTTGTTAGCTAGTTTCCTTGGAGTCTGAATTGTGTAATTGCCTTATAGGATGTGTGAGCTCTCTACCTACATATGCTTTTATGATGGACAATATTGTCTTTTCATTTCATGTTTAGAACTCTTCTGAGCATTTCTTATATGACCAGCCAAACAGTGACACATTCCCTTAGAATTTGCTTGTATGACAAAAACTTTATTTCTCCTTCGTTTAAGAAGCTTAGTTTGGCAGGTATGAAAGGAAAATATCTTGGGCTCCCAAAATCACTAAGCTAAAGGGAAAAGTCAAGCTGGGAACTGCTTAGGAAAAACCTGCCTCCCATTCTATTCAAAGTCATCCCTCTGCTCACTGAGATAAATGCATATCTGATTGCCTCCTCTGGAGAGGCTAATCTGAAACTCAAAACAATGCAACCATTTGTCTCTTATCTACCTAGGACCTGGAAGCCCCTTTCCTGCTTTGAGTTGTCCTGCCTTTCCAGACTGAAACAATGTTCATCTTACATATGTTGACTGATGTCTCGTCTCCCTAATATGTATAAAACCAAACTGTGCTCTGACCACCTTGGGCAAATATCATCAGGACCTCCTGAGTTTGTGTCACAGGCACATGTCTTCAACCTTGGCAACCCTGGCAATTAACTGAGACCTGTCTCAATTTTTGGGAGTTCACACAGAATATAAACTTATTGACTGACATTTGTTTAAGGATGCTAAAAATAGAACCCAAATCTCTTATGGCTTGTAAGGTTTCTGCTGAGAAGTCCACTGTTTGTCTGATGGGATTTTCTTTACAGGTGATTTGACACTTCTCTCTGGCTGCCTTTAAGACTTGTCCTTTCATTTTTGCCCTTGCATAGTCTAATGACAATATGCTTTGGTGATTTTCATCTTGTATAGTATCCTCCAGGTATTTTCTGAAGTTCTTATATCTGGATATCTTCTAGCAAGATCTATTTTTTCTGAATTATTCCCTCAATTGTGTTTTACAAACTTTTTGCTTTTTTTCTACTTCAAGAATACTATAAGTTGTAGACTTGATATATTTACATAGTCCTGTATTTCTTGAAGGCTTTGTTCATTTTTAAAAATTCAACTTGCTTTGTTTTAATCTGCTTGGGTGAATTCAACAAAACAGTCTGCAAACTCTAAATACGTTTCTTCCATCTGATCTGGTAAATTGTTAAAGCTTTCAACTGTGTTTTGAAATGCCTTCAGTAAATTTTTCATTTCTATAAGTTCTATTTTGTTCTGTAAAATATATCTACTACATCTTTCGTCTCCCAAGTTGCTGTCTTGATTTTTTAATGTTAGTTTCTAACTTTCTCTGGGATCTCATTGAGCTTTCTTACAATTCATATCTTGAATTCTTTTTTTCTCATTGGAAAGTTTTCATTTTGTTAGGATCTATTGCTAGAGAGCTAGTGTGTCCCTTTGTGTGTGTGTTGGGGGGGTGCGGTGTATCACAACATTCTATTTCTTTATGCTGCTGGAGTTATTGTGCTGGTTCCTTCTTATCTGTAGAAGCTGTCACTTATTATTTTTTCATTACTTTAATTTGAGTGGAATTTTTTTTTCCTTTCCTTCCTGAAAGTGTCCCTGTCATGCAAGTTAGGTGTCATCCTTTGGCTTTGTACCTATTGGTTTTAGGGATCAAAGGTATTATATGAATTTCTTGGCATGAAGAGCCTTATTGTAATGGTTGTCTCAAATGCTAGTTGTTTGTCCTTTGTAGTAAAGGCATGCTGGACACATGGTCAGGCTCACTGACTTCTACGGAGATGGGGAGGTGGACATCTTGGAAGGCTTATTCCCCAGTGCTGTGCATTGCTGTCAGCAGGAATTATACTGGATTTTTTAGTTCACCTTAAAGGCCAGTAGATGGTTGTTGCAGATTAGAGCCAGGTGAGCACTGTACACTGATATCACCAGATGTTGTAATAGGAAATGCAATTTGATCTTCAGATCAGTAGGTGACACTTGCAAGCAAGAGGCAATTGCATACAAAATAGCAGTGAAATTTTTTACTTGGCCTTTGTTGATTGGAGAAGGTACCAGGGTGTCCCTTGGGACATGGTAACCTGGGGCATTCAGGGATTACATCCTACACTCTACAACCTAAGCAGCTGGAAAGTGCAAAACTGGGTGAGATTGGGTTGGTAAGCCTATGATCAGGCTTTCTGTGGTGGGTATAAGTACCAACCTTGGTGGGTATCTAGTGGTAGACAGAGGATAGTGAGTGAAACGGAGGTTGGTTTGAGATGTGGAGACACAGACAGGATCAAGTTTTACTGGAACCATGTGGACCAGATTTAAGAGTTTGTATGTTATTCTGAGAGGACCAGAAATCCACTGAGGTATTTTAGGCCAGTATGTACATGATGTGATTTGCCTCTAAAAAAGGGCACTCTGGATACAAAATCAATGTGCAAAAATCACAAGCATTCTTATACACCAATAACAGACAAACAGAGAGCCAAATCATGAGTGAACTCACATTCACAATTGCTTCAAAGAGAATAAAATACCTAGGAACTCAACTTACAAGGGACATGAAGGACCTCTTCAACGAGAACTACAAACCACTGCTCAAGGAAATAAAAGAGGATACAAACAAATGGAACAACATTCCATGCTCATGGGTAGGAAGAATCAATATCGTGAAAATGGCCATACTGCCCAAGGTAATTCATAGATTCAGTGCCATCCCCATCAAGCTACCAATGACTTTCTTCACAGAATTGGAAAAAACTACTTTAAAGTTCATATGGAATGAAAAAAGAGCCGCATTGCCAAGTCAATCCTAAGCCAAAAGAACAAAGCTGGAGGCATCACGCTACCTGACTTCAAACTATACTACAAGGCTACAGTAACCAAAACAGCATGGTACTGGTACCAAAACAGAGATATAGACCAATGGAACAGAACAGAGCCCTCAGAAATAATACCACACATCTACAACCATCTGATCTTTGACAAACCTGACAAAAACAAGCAATGGGGAAAGGATTCCCTATTTAATAAATGGTGCTGGGAAAACTGGCTAGCCATACGTAGAAAGCTGAAACCTTACACCTTATACAAAAATTAATTCAAGATGGATTAAAGACTTAAATGTTAGACCTAAACCCATGAAAACCCTAGAAGAAAACCTAGGCAATACCATTCAGGACATAGGCATGGGCAAGGACTTCATGTCTAAAACACCAAAAGCAATGGCAACAAAAGCCAAAATTGACAAATGGGATCTAATTAAACTAAAGAGCTTCTGCACAGCAAAAGAAACTACCATCAGAGTGAACAGGCATCCTACAGAATGGGAGAAAATTTTTGCAATCTACTCATCTGACAAGGGGCTAATATCCAGAATCTACAATGAACTCCAACAAATTTACAAGAAAAAAACAAACAGCCCCATCAAAAAGTGGGCGAAGGATATGAACAGACACTTCTCAAAAGAAGACATTTATGCAGCCAAAAGACACATGAAAAAATGCTCATCATCACTGGCCATCAGAGAAATGCAAATCAAAACCACAATGAGATACCATCTCGCACCAGTTAGAATGGCGATCATTAAAAAGTCAGGAAACAACAAGTGCTAGAGAGGATGTGGAGAAATAGGAACACTTTTACACTGTTGGTGGGACTGTAAACTAGTTCAACCATTGTGGAAGTCAGTATGGCGATTCCTCAGGGATCTTGAACTAGAAATACCATTTGACCTAGCCATCCCATTACTGGGTATATACCCAAAGGATTATAAATCATGCTGCTATAAAGACACATGCACACGTATGTTTATTGTGGCACTATTCACGATAGCAAAGACTTGGAACCTACCCAAATGTCCAACGATAGACTGGATTAAGAAAATGTAGCACATATACACCATGGAATACTATGCAGCCATAAAAAATGATGAGTTCATGTCCTTTGTAGGGACATGGATGAAGCTGGAAACCATCATTCTCAGCAAACTATCGCAAGGACAAAAAACCAAACACCGCATGTTCTCACTCATAGGTGGGAATTGAACAATGAGAACACATGTACACAGAAAGGGGAACATCATACACCGGGGCCTGTTGTGGGGTGGGGGAGGGGGGAGGGATAGCATTAACATGTTAAATGAGGAGTTAATGAGTGCAGCACACCAACATGGCACATGTATACATATGTAACAAACCTGCATGTTGTGCACATGTACCCTAAAACTTAAAGTATAATCAAAATCAATAAATAAATAAAAAAGGGCACTCTGGCAGCTGTATTCAGAATAGATTGATCAAAAAGTTACTGGAAAGCAATTTGGCAATATGTATCAAGATCCCTTGCAAAGGCATAAGAATGATACAATAGACTTTGGGGACTGAGGGAAAGGGTGGAAGGGGGGCTGTGTATATAGGGGACTGTGTACACTGCTTGGGTGATGGGTGGACCAAAATTTCAGGAATCACCGCTAAAGAACTTATTCATGTAACCAAACACCACCTGTTCCCCCAAAACCTATTGAAATAAAAAAAAGATACCTAAAATAATTACTATACATATAGTAGTATAGAACAAAAACTGGTAAAGTAGAAAAAGATTTCTATTAATTTCGATAAGAAATATGAACAATTTCAAATTGTTATTCTATTATTATTATTATTATTATTATTATTATTATTATTATTTTTGAGGTGGAGTCTCGCTCTGTGGCCCAGGCTGGAGTGCAGTGGCGTGACCTCGGCTCACTGCAAGCTCCGACTCCCGGGTTCATGCCATTCTCCTGCCTCAGCCTCTGGAGTAGCTGGGACTACAGGCGCCCGCCACCACGCCAGGCTAATTTTTTTGCATTTTTACTAGAGACGGCGTTTCACCGTGTTAGCCAGGATGGTATGGTCTCCATCTCCTGACCTCGTGATCCGCCCGCCTCGGCCTCACAAAGTGCTGGGATTACAGATGTGAGCCACCGCGCCAGGCCTATTCATTTATTTTTTGCCCAAGATTCAAATAGTCACAGGTATGATTTATCTCCTACTTCGGTTTTTGTTCCTGCACTACGTTTAGTCATGCCCAGTCTTCACTGGAATGACATATTGCAGAACTGGCCCAACCAGCCAAACACAGGTGCATTTTCATTGTCAAAGTTGATTGAAGTATTATGTAAATGAACTCAAAGGAGTAGTGAAGGCAAAAGAGACATATCTATGAGATTAAAATGTCTCTAAGTCTACACACACAGAAAATAACAATGTTTGAGTACATATACATATATATGCTGAATTAGGAGAGCTGAACTTTTAAGTCTTGTTTTAAAGTTGTATCTGTATGTAAATTTAGCATGTTCTTTCCTCTCCCTGGACCTGTTTCTTCAGTCTGTAATAGGGCAGATCTGTATGATACCTTCCTATTTAGTTAGACACAAAATAAGAACATATGGGCTTGTGAAACCAAAAGGAAAAGCTCTTTAATTAGGCATTACATTCATCAACACATATATTAAATCTAATCACTTTAGCAATTGGAAAGCAATTAGGGATATTTAAATGAATAGTTTATTTAATGGTGCTCTAACAGAGAAAACAGGTTTTCTTTTCATCACTTGTGTTCCAGAACCTTTTCTCTATTTCTTTTGATATGTGTTATCTTTGTTTTGCTACTGTACTTATTTATATTTTACAGTAAACAAATTTATTATATTTCAAAACGTGTCTGTATTATTTGCATTTGGTATAGTAGAAGAAATATATAGTCAGTGTTTTCCAAAAGTGATTTCAAGGAAATATAAACTGGTTGGGCCCCTGAATATACCTTTTAATGCCATTCAAAATATGTTTTTTCTTTCATTTTTATTTTTCCCTTTAACCGTTTTAAGCCTAGACAATGAGACAGTGGCATCATGGAAAACTCCAAACATGTGTTGATGGAAAAGAATGTTGTTTCTTTGCTTTTTTCCTTTTAAATGTACTATTGAAAACAACTAACTACTAAACACAGAACATGCTTAAATGAACCTTCTGTACTTGGTGCTGAATTTTGAAAAAGTACATGAATATGAAGAGGCAATTAACATAAGAAAGGCAGATACTAAATTACCCTTGTGATTGATCAAATAAATATGTATTAAAATAATCTCCCAGCACCCGGTTTTATCCTAACCAAATAAGCATAATTAAAATGATAACACCCATTGGGCCATAGATTTATTGTGATTGCCATGGTAAATTGTTATATTCTCTTGAAAAGGCAAAAGGGTAACATGTAACAATATGTATACAGGCATTTATATACTCAAATCTAGAAACCTGACTCTAGGAATTTATAATTATAACTCAATAAAAGCCCAACAATTTAATCTGGAGATGAATTCTCTATGATTAAAAATTTTATAAAATGCAATTAAAACGTACTTGTACTATATTATGAAAATGATACATTAATACAAACAGCCATTATATTGTCATTAAATGTTTAATTATTATGAAGTCAAAGCAGAACAGTGAGAGGAAGCGTGGGCTTTTAAAATGCTATCTAAAATCATAAATAAATTTATATGAATATAATGATTATGCTTACATAAATGTACATCCCTGTGTGTAGGCTTGACTCACCTTATCCTTCTAAATATAGGGGTAAAATTGTATCTAAATTCTGGGTTTGTTGTGAGAATTAAATGTGATGATACGTACAACATACTCAGAGTAGTATCTGACTCATAGCAAGCCTTCAACAGATGCTACCTATTACTGTTATTATTATAGTGAACTGATTTAAGTCAGTTTGATCTTCACAGGATTTAGGTCCTTTGTGGTAGATATTATGGGTTTCTTATAATGACTAGTAGATGACTGGCTGCTGTATGCAAACTGATCAACTGTATAAAGTATCATGAAGTTGCTCTCACATGGTAAGTCATAAATACATTAAATAATAATTACAGTTTTATAACAGCATAGAAGGATGGTCGGAAGATATGACCACAGTCGTATTACTAGGTAAAATTGTTTTAATTAATTCAAATTTCAGTTTAAATTCTGCTGTAAATACAATATTTATTAGCAAATAAAGCACACATCTGAACAAGTATTTATACAACCTCTTCTTGTAAAATTGAGAGGGAATCTCATTTTCTGGCCTAATCTGAACCCTTGGGTAAAAGATCCACTCTTAGGGTATAAGCTGCTAAACTCACCTGATTCTTATATCCTTGGCTATATAAGAACACAATATATGTTCTTCTTATATTTTGGTTATATAAGAACACAAAATGTGTGCTATTTCTATGTACACAACAAACTTTATACCACTAATAGCACCAATTTTTTTTTAAAAGTACTGCTATCATATCTACAGCAATTGCCAAACGTTCTAGGGAAGACCTTATAAGCCATAGTTGAATGTCCTCATAGTACAAATGATTAAAGAGGTTATCTGTCAGCTAACTGCTGCTAACATAGAGATCAGAACCAATTAACACACTTAGAAATATTGTACTGACTACATTAAAATGCTTTAAAGCAATTTACAGATTATATAATTGTCATGATCATTTTAATAATGATTATTATTGTAATTATTTTCATAGAGCAATATCTGATTGCAGTGGGAGATCTTAATAGCAATTAAGTCAGTTAATTCTGTATAGTAAAACCTCCATGAAAAGATTATTATATTTACCTATAATGGTGCTAAAAATTTGCATGAATACTGCTAAGCTTCAAAGAAGTTGGTGCAGAGAGCACTTACAAATATTTTTGAAGAAAAGAAACTCCTAAATTTCAGCCCTGCATAAACGCAATATTTGGAATCAGGATAGAGAAAGCAATATAAGTACCTGACGAAGATGCTGCTTGTGCTGCTATAGACCCAGACACAAAGATTTCTTTATAATTAGCATAAAATCCCCAGGACACCAGCCCCCCTCAATACCTACTTTCACACAAAATATACAAGAGTCAGAAGATCATCCATAGGTAGCACAGAATGAGGTTAAGTTAGAGAAAAGAAGTCTGGGCAGGGTGAGTTCCATGCTGTTTTCTTCTGTATACCTACACACTAGACTCACCACTTATGTTTCAAGAGGGACCTGGGGATTGATTATCATGTTAGAACTCAGTGTTGTTTTCAAAATTTAGGGTCCATCTACATAATATTGTAAAATGTGTTCATTCTAATTCTACAGAACAAATTCAATTATTCATATAGTGCTTTCTGGTGATTTTATATGCTATTGAGTCAAATATTCCCTTCTGGTGGTTTTAGTGATAAATACTTAAGTTTCTATCTATCTCCTTTTGGGAGTGATATTCTGGTGCCTCCAGAGGCTGGTCAGTCAGCTTATTTTTTGCAAAGAGTGGCTATTTATCTGCCTTTTATTACATTTTTCTAATGTAGGTGAGAAGTGCCACCTTAACTGACTTGTCATAGGGAACTTCATTTCAGTCACCAGCCAGGCTTCCTCAACCTGCAGGTGCCCTTTTCCCTCCTCACTTTCTGAGGTTCAGGCACCTCACCCCATCCCCAGAATTTCAATGTTTTGTGAAGCAATGTAGATAAGCCTCTGAGTGGTGCTTTCACTCTCATCCAATATATTCTGATTCTAAGTTAATTTAGATAATCATGTTAGTGTAAGAGATTTGTGGTCCATTTTCCCTTAAAACAACTTCATCTCTCTCATTTAAAAAGGTATTATGGGAATAATATTTAAGTGAAACTTTCTGTTATGGAAGATAGAAACTCCTGCACTCTTGAGAGTTCTTGTTCTGCTTACATAAGTTTGAGGATGGATGTTCTTTTTAAGCTAACAATGTGTTACCTACAGGATGACACAGCGTGGTGTTAAGAATAGAAAGTTTTGTGCTAGAGAGGCTGGGGTTAGAATCCTGGTGCTGTCACTACAAGCCTGGGGACTTTGGGAGAGTTACTTGTTTTATTTTGTGCCTTAGTTTCTTCATCTATAAGTTGAAAATGGAAAGATGCTTCTTTCTTTTTTCGAATCAGAGTCTTGCTCTGGGGCCCAGGCTGGAGTGCAGGAGGCACAATGTTGGCTCACTGCACCCTCGACCTCACAGGCTCAAGCAATCCTCCCACCTCAGCCTCCCAAGTAACTGAGACTACAAGCATGTGCCACAGCACCTGGTTAACTTTTTTCATTTTTGTAGAGATGTAGTCTCGCCATGTTTCCCAGGCTGGTCTCCAAATCCTGAGTTCAAGCGATCTGCCCGCCTTGGCCTCCCAAAGTGCTGGGATTATAGGCATGAGCAACCTTGCCCGGCCAATGATGCTTATTTCATTAGATTATTAATATTAAAAAGTATATAATTTCCTGGCACATAGTAATTACTTTTAAAGTAATACCTTCAATTTGTATTGAAAATAATTTTTATAATATTATTTTGGTACAAAAGTTATTGCAGTTTTTCCCACTGAAAGTAGTAGCAAAAACTGCAAAAACTTTTGCACGAACCTAATAATATCTTTAATAATATCTTATTTGAATACATTAAAACATATATTGAAAATGCAGTTTCCAAATTCTTTGTAGTAAACTCCTTTTGTGTTTTCTAACATAACTATTCTACATAATTATAGTCCTTATCAGCGACATGAAGATCAAGCTGATTAATAATTTTAATTATATTGATCACAGACTAGTAAGAAATCCTGTGGGAACATGGTAGTAAGAGGCAAAGCAATGAATTAATCATTTTATTTAATCAAAAATCATTTAAGTAGATTCCTTTATTTAAAAAATACAATAAAATCAAATTAAATTTGTGCATATATATATGGCTATCTGAAGTTATGCTGAGAAAATATCTATACTCAAATTATGTTCTAGATAGGTCTTATGGTCAAGAAAAATAAAAAGGTTACAATAACAACTTAATTCTCAGCTCTGCATTTTGTATTATGTCAAAGGCATGACTTTGGTTGGCATAGTTAAAAAGCAGAGATATGATCACATCAAGAATAACAACATTCATTTAATAAAAATCAGTAGAAACCACTTCTGTTATCATTTGTTCTCAAATTCTGGAAAGTACAGGAGTGACTTGGAATAAGGAACACTGTCTCCCTACCCCATCAGTATTCCACTCAGCAGTCTCACAATTCATAAAATGTATCTTTGCTCAGCCATCCCAGAAAATATGAAACATTGCCCATTTTCAAATAGAATTTATATTTATTATGTGTTTCAAATGAAATTTGTACTTATTACTGTGTTTATATAAATATCCCATTTTCTTTAAATTGAAATGTTTTGAAGCAGTTTACAAGACAAACTCAATGGGGATAAAAAGTGCTATTAGGGATAAAATCAGAAAGGAAGCCCTGGAAGGTGATGTGAGAAGTCAGAAGGTGATTTCAATATCCTCTCCATGGAGAGTCTGATAGTTAGAACTCCATAATGGAAACCAACCTCACGGTTTCCTGGCAGATGAAGTAAAATGGGCAGAGCTGTGGTTTCTTGCTCTCATTTCCTGACTGGCAAGATGAAAATAGAAAAATTGATCAAGTCAGAAGCGGTGATGGGGTGTGGAGACTCAGGGAGACACACATTACTCTCATTCGCACCAGCCAATGAGAAATTCTAGTGTCCCAGCCATCTGCCGTTCTTATATGGCTTTTATGATTGGGAATAATTATAACAATGATGCACTTAGCACTTTGTGATAACTTAGTGCTGCTGCCTATAATTGAGCGTGTAATGTGCTGCGCAACACTGGCACTCTGTTGACATTATATTTACTTAAATTCATACATTAAATAATTTTTTTTCTGGAAACAGGGTCTGGCTCTGTCACCCCAGGTTGGAGTGCAGTGGCATGACCTCAGCTCACTGCAACCTCCACCTCTTGGTTTCAAGCAATCCTCCCACCTCAGCCTCCCAGGTAGCTGGGACTATGGGAGCATGCCACCACACCCTGCTATTTTTTTTTTTTTTTTTTTTTTGGAGAGACAGGGCTTCACCAAGTTGCCCTGGCTGTTCTTGAACTATTGAGCTCAAGTGATCCACCTGCCTCGACCTCCCAGAGTTTTAGGATTATAGGTGTGAGCCACAGCATCTGGCTTAAATACTTTTTTAAAAAAACAAAATGTCAATAAGATGCTTTGAGGAAGATTATGTGTTTTTATTAACATGAAGACAACACAGGGGTAAATAATGGCTCTGACATGTGCTAAGAAGGTGAAATGTATTATCTACCTTATAAACTCTTTGGAATGCATCTTCATTTTATTGAAGAAGAAATCAACACTAACAAAGATTGAAACTTGTCCTGTGTGTCGATGACTGATGGTCATCAGTAATGTGACCCAGCACCTCCACCAGGAGGACAGTTCTCTCTCAGCAGAAATCAGTTGTTTTATATTATTTATTCTACGGAGATTTTATTTTCAGTGGAGGACATTGTGAAAATGCATGTCGATGTCTTTTATAAAATGTGATTTTTAAAATTTATAACCTACAGATTTGGATGATTATGTTAGGATTTTTACTAACACAATACTCACGTAGGCTATAAAGTCAAATTATCTTAACTCAAGAACATGTTGATTAGGAAAATTATTTTGAATGGATTTTTGTTGCCAGTCCAGTGTGTTTAATGTTCATTTATGAATGCATCTGCATTTTTATATCTGATCTATAATTGAGTATTTTCATTCTAAATCAGCTGAATTCTGAGCAATGACGACTCAATTTGCTGAATGCTTTTGCAAGCACAATCCATATTTTTAAAAGCCAGGAATGGTATCCTGATAAATTCAAACCAGCCAGTCTGCTGTGTTAATACGTAACTAACTCTCAGACTCTGTGATTTGACTGCAGAATAATACTTGGATTTCAAGCATCACACAATTTTCTTTCTTATGTAACTCATTGTTCTATGGTCATTTTTTTTCCAATACAATTCAGTAACATGTGACTAGCCACATTATCTAACATTATAATTAACAAGTCCATTCAAATTTCTTTATCAATTTTAGCATGTATTTAAATGAATTAGTATTGGCTATAATCTTATGATTCATTTAATAACACAATAAATCCTTAGTCATTTTAATTATCTCTTTTTTTTTGATGAGGAATCCAAAGACTTAGAAAAGCACATAACTTGTCCAAGGTCATACAATTAAGAAATGTATGAGCCAGAAACTCTGCTCAAATTATTCTAAAACCAGACCCCTTGATGTGATGCCTCTTCATATTTATCTTTCATTGTTGAACCAAATTATGTATGAAATCCTAAAGAATAAAGTTCTAAAATTTATCTTTCATTGTTGAACCAAATTATGTATGAAATCCTAAAGAATAAAGTTCTAAAATATATCTTGCACCTGTGTTTTCCCACCCATTTCTGTAGTAATGGCTCTAGTTCAAGCCATCGACCTTATCTGAGCTGTACACAGAACCTCCTTAACGGTTTCGCTGTTTCTTTTTTCCCCTTTTCCATATTGACTTAAAGATAGCAAACGGAATATTCTTTTTAATTCATGACATTTTCCTCCTGAAGAAACGTCTTTCTCCCTATTTCCATTAACCTTTGCTTAGAGGTCTCAAATCTTAATGCCCATAATAATTGTCAGGGTAAGTGTTAGAAATGAAAATTGCCAAGGTATGCCTCCAAAACTTTCTGTCCAAGAACTTTATTTTGAGCTTAAATTCACTTCACTTCAATACATTTAAATGCTATGTTAAATATTCATAAAAATCTTTAAAAATCTGGCCTATATTCTTTCCTCTACATACCAGCTCAACCTACCCATGTCTCTGGTTATCTATATTTGGTTCAGTTCTTGGCTTCCGGTGAAAACACTTAACAAATGTTACTTTGGCTTCTGAATTCATTTTCATTTCCGATAAACCCATCCAGCCAGATGCATATAGTTTTTTTTCACTTGGTCTTTCCTCTTTCTTCTTTCCTGGGGAAGAAATTAAGACAGCTAGCTGGCAATCCATATACTCTTTTTTTCCCAGGTTATGCCCTCAGATGAAACTATAAAAGGAAAGTGACTGCATTAGTGGAGGTTCTTCTGAGAAATAGATCCAATAGGATATATATTAGAGATATATGAAAGATGATTTGCTGTAAGAATTGGCTCACATGGTTATGGAGGCTGAGAAGTCCCGTGGTATGCCATCTGCAAGCTGGAGGGCCAGGAAAGCTGACGGTGTAGTTCAGTCCAAGTCCAAATCCCTGAGAATCAAGAGGTCATATGATGTAACTTTCAGTCTGAGGCCAAAGGTCTGAGAAACATGGAGTTGCTGGTGCAAATTCTAAGGTCAAAATGCCTCAGAACCTGGAGTTCTGATGTCCAAGAGCAGGTAAAGATGGTTGTCCCTGCTCTAGAAGAGAGAGTGAATTCGCTTTTCCTTTACCTTTCTGGCCTATCTGAACCCTCAGCGAATTCAGTGGTGCCCACCCACACTGGGTGAGGGCAGATCTTCTTTATTCATTTCACTGATTAAAACGTCAGTGTCTTCCAGAAACAATCTCAAGTAATACCCAGAAATAACGTTTACCAGCTACCTGCGTATCCCTTACTTTAGCACAGACAACATCTAAAATTAACCATCACAGAGACCAAGTCCAATGTCTTTGTGGAGACAATCTCTGGGTAAATGGACTAATGGAATTTACTAGGAGAAATAGACTTTATTGAACGCTCTTAGGAAGATACTTCTGACTAATGCATTACTTATGGAAAAGAAACTCAGAGTCTATGAGGCATACACTGGAGAGTGTCTTGTAAATTATACATCTCTCAGGAAACAAAAAGTAAGAT
Source organism: Homo sapiens (assembly GCF_000001405.40). Taxonomy (NCBI): domain Eukaryota; kingdom Metazoa; phylum Chordata; class Mammalia; order Primates; family Hominidae; genus Homo; species Homo sapiens. The sequence continues at coordinate 25,683,450 of NC_000011.10, read as the reverse complement.
CTTCCGTAATTCGAATGCTCTACACTGTATGAGATAACCTGAAAATATCACTTAGCATTTTCATCATATTGAGGAACATGCATGATATTGGAGGGAAGGTATTGGGAGCCACCTTCATGTTCCAGGCCTTTTGCTGCCTTGCTGCCTTGTCTATACCTCTTGATTTCCTATGTTCTTGAAATTGCCACTGAAGAATCTGTGATTCTCATCCTTTCCTATTCATAATGTTATTATGTATATTGGCTCAACTTTCTTATTTTGCTTTCTGCTTTCTTTTCACTAGTTCAAATAAAACTGTTATTCTGTGGTTGCCACCAAAACTGTACATTGCAAAAACCACTAATTTATGCATGACCGTTTACTACACATATTCGTAGTCATGCACTGCCCTGTCTCGTTTTTCCTCTTTAGCGAGAATGCAGTTAGATCCTCCTCTATCTTAGGATCTCTCGTTTCCAAGCAAAAATTCCATAGGTCTATTAAAATGATAATCCTGTTAATTTTTCTTCTTGAAAATGTCTTCATTCAAACTCAACTGTCACGTTACACTTAAAGCCATCTCAGTTATCACATTATTTTTGGGAACAGTGTTTAATTTGTCCCTCAGAAAGTCCAAGTTGTGTGACGGTGGTTTTCTTTCTCTTATTAAATATATAAATCCAAAGAGATGTTATTGCAAGTATTAATAGCTTTCCTAGCCATATCCTCTAGTCCATAACTGTAATACATGATAAATTCATATTCTTCCCATTTAAGAAACATTGGTTATATTTTGGATAATTGATATGATAATCATCAAATATTATTATTTGCAACTAACAGACCTTAATGTTCTAAGGTCAAAGCTGACCTCTTGGCTGTTTTAGAATATTCAATGGTAGATCTAGTTTCTTTCACCAGAGTAGGCAATCTATTTAAATTAACTACATATTTCAGGACACAGAGATGAAGAATTGTACATTATTAACATCTTCCCTTGTTTTGATTGTTGATCACTGTTATTTATGGATGACATCTTTTATTCTAAACTGATTTCAACATAACATTTTATTTATACTGAACCAAGGAGATTGCCAATGACATGTATTACATATGAAGTTAACATTTTAGTCATATCTGTAGAATCTTGTCATATATAGTTTATATTTGGCTGAGTAAGAGTAGGGTTCTGAGAGCTTAAAAGCAGGTCTAGGGACTTGTCCTATTTATAAATAGCCACACAGACATCTGTAAAAGTTACTCTCCCTAAATTTAAACTTAACAATATTGAGCATCTTTCATGCCTTGTAAAGCCACTCAAATTATATGTTGTACAAGCCCATAGGAAATGTGATTCCCTAAAATACAACAATGCATCACTTTGATAGAAACAAATAGTTGTCAGTGAATCTTAGAGAATATGGCTACCATATGTCTATGGTGCCATTTGTCTTTACACAATTTCGTCAAAACAGATGCCCAAGGTAAGAAGAAGGTAAAACTGAATTCTGGCTAAACATAGCATTATTCTGTCTCCTGAACTGAAACAGAAACTGAGCATTTCTGTTATGAAAAAATGCAATGTTTATTGGTTTTCCTACAATATTCACCAGCAATACAAAGACATAATTAACAATTGCGCATTTAGAAACTATTGAATAAGGATAGAATTGATATGTTAAAGAAAAACTTGCACTGGACAAAGTAAATAGGAAAAGAAGGCTTCATTTAAGGCTTTTGCAAGAGGGGAGTGATACCAGACTTGGTCTGAGCTCAACTCTGCTGAAATAAAGAGAAAATTTGTATGAGCTGGGATGAGAGGATCATTGTCATCTATGTTTACTAGCTGACTTTACCTAAAGGAAAATTAAACTTTCACATATCTTCACAGCAGGAGATAGTTTTACAACTTGAGAGAAGTGCCCATCAAAGTTAGGCTCCTACTCTCCTAGAAAGACTAGGAGATAAAGGTGCTATCTATCTTCCTTGATGAACATATTTTAAAGGAACAGCTCCCAGGTCTTTTATTAAGAAAGATATCCCTGGGCTGTAAAACCTACCAGAAACTTTTTGAAAGACTTACATCTCATGGGGAACAGAGAAAGAATGTAGAATTTTAAGTTTTCTAAAGTACATGATGTTACAAAAGGGAGGTTAATATCCTACAGTTAGGGAAATCCCTATGTAAAGCTCAGTCAAGCTTACAGGAACTTAAAGTCCCTCATAGTCACATAGATTCATATCCGTGCAGCTATTTGATGAATAGCCTATTAGTGATACTGTTTCTCTTCTTGCCTCCCCTTCCCACCCCTGCTCTCCCCTTCCCTTCTCTCTCTTTCTCTCTCACTGTCTCTCGTGCACACACACACTCTTTTTCACTCTCTGAATACACACACACACAAACACATATATATCCATCTCTATATATCTATTTCTTTTCAAAGATCAAACTGAGGGGTTCTCAAATTGAGTCTCACATGTTTTATTGTAAACTTATGGCAAATTGGATTCAAATTCCTTATTTGTCAATCACCTGTGTGACCCTTGGCAAAGTACATAAACCATTCTGATTAAGCTTCCCAACTTCTTCCTCTGAAATACTGTCAAAAGGATTGACCAGGAAAACAAACAACAGCTAGCCAGCACCAGGCTGCAACTGACATCTCTTAAAGTATTTGCTGAGCTAACAGTGACACGCTTTCTCTGAAGACTTCCCCGCAATGGGAAGATCCTGAAATTCATGAACCTACAACCCATGGCAACATCTGAATGGAGACTGATGGACAAATGGCCCAAATCTCCCTGTGTTTGGAACCTGGGACTCCAAGATACTGTATGACGGATACAGGGAGATGTCAATTTTTGTATTGTGTGTATGGAAAAGAAAAACTATATATATAAAATGTATATATATATACATATAGAAATATATGTATATATGTAAAAAGAGAGATAGCAATAATGAAGCAGTCCTAGAAACATAAAGAGCATAGAAGTGGAGAAGTAACAATGTGAGAGTTCCTGATGCTTTTGAAGCTGCTGATTTCTATTAATAGTTAAATATAGCAATTCTTATTTCTTCAAAATATCCCATACTCTCCAGTAAATATTCCATTTTTCTGTAAGCAAGTTCAATTCGTTTCTGTTAGTGGAAATCAAAACAGTTTCAACCAGAACAAATACCTAGAGCAGAGTGGACACTCAATACATGTCAGTACACCCATCACATAGTCTACTAATAACCAGCTTTAGAACATTATGACCTTGAACTGCATTGTTCAATTTTTTTCAAAAAAGATTCTTATTGCTTCATTCCATCATGAGGCTCAGATGCAGATTTCCTCAGTATGCTCAGGAAGTGTGTGTGTGTGTGTGTGTGTGTGTGTGTGTGTGGTTTTCTTGACTCCTACCCTGTTTGCATTTTCATTCCCAGACCACTATGTTTACTGAAACAAGTACCAGGTTCGAGTCATATTTTTGACTTTGGTTCTCTATAATTTCTTCTCATTTGCAACAAAAATATAATTTTAGAAGAATTTTATGTTGCTAGTGTGACCAGTTCATAGTTTTTGTTTACAAAATGAATGATCAAATAGCTTTGATTGAAATTAGCTTGGATCTTCAGTCCCCCTTAGAGTTTAAGGAATTCAATCACTTCATGTTTAACTATAGCCTCTTAGAATTCTCATGCATACCCCTTCTGATCTAGGTTTAGTGTATTAATATCTTTCTCCTGTGTGTTTGCTTATCAGCTCTCTGCAGTTTTGTTCAGGTTCTTTGCTTCAGCCTCAACCCTCACTTTACTCACAAGGTTCGTGCATTCTATTGTCCTTCTTCTGAGTCCAGACTTCTTTGTGCCCTCTCTCCTTTATCAAAACACTGTATTTCTCCCAGAGGGCCATGGGAAACTTGCCGATGCTCCCCTAATTCCCCATGAGACTTTAAGGAGCAATATTCACACCCATGTCTCCAAGTCTTTCATATTATTCAGACATTATTAGGTATCATGATACACTTTATCTCCCCTCAGGAAAACACTTCAGAAATGAGATGTGATACTATTGGTAAAATAGAAACCATTGGCTTTATTTTATACCATTAAACAGACTTCTACCTATATTTTCCTGGTAACTTATACAATTTATATTTCCCTCGGACAATATCATGTTAAACTTATTCATATTATTTCACAGTTAATTGATACAAAACTGTTGCACCTAAGAATATATTGCTTGAGGCAAGCAGAAATGCAAAGAAACAGTTGGGAATGTTCCCAGGACACCAGGGAAGCTAAATGGCATTATATTTTAGATTTTAGCAAAGTAAGTAGGCAATTCTCTTTAGTCGTCATTACTTTATTTTAAGTTGATCCTATGGAAAGAAAATACTGACAAACATCTAGTAATCAACCAAAAGTGCCTGGGAGCAGAAGTTCTGGGTTAAATTGTTTTGGATTACCAGGTGACACTTTGGGCAAGACAGCTTAGTTTTTTTTCCATTTTTGTAATCAATGGATAAAACTCACTCTTAAGGTTCTTAATACTTTTCGTGAAAATTGGCCTAAATTAAATATTCCATTATATCACTTTATTTATTTATTTACATTAAAAATGCTATATAGGCTAAGCACAATGGCTCACTCCTGCAGTCCCAGAACTTTGGGAGGTCAAGGCAGGAGGATCACTTCAGCTCAGGAGTTTGAGCCCATTCTGGGTAACATGGAAAGTCCTCATTTCGACAAAAATGTAAAAACAAATTAGCTGGGCTTGATGGTGTGCCTATGGTCCCAGCTACCCTAGAGGCTGAGGTGGGGTAATCGCATAAGCCCAGGAGGTTGAGGCTGCAGTGAGTCGTGTTTGTGCCACTGCACTCCAGCCTTGGCAATAGAGTGAGATCTTGTCTCAAGAATAAATAAATAATAAAAATTTTGTACATAATTAATGTATAACACAACCTAATGAGCTTAGGGATTGTGTGAACCCATCACCACAATCAATGCCATAAACTTAATCATTACCTCCAAAAGTTTCTTCACACTCTTATTTATTATTATAATAATGTTTTTGTAACAGGAATACTTAACTAAGATTTACCCTCTTAGCAATTTTTTTCTCTTCCTGATTTTTTTATTTTTTGTTGATATATCCTAGTTTATAGAATATGTGTGATATTTTGATACAGGTATACAATGTGGAATTATCAAATCAGTATAATTGGGATATCCATCATCTCAAACATTAATCTTTTCTTTGTGTTGGGAGAACTACAATTATTCTCTTCTATTATTTTGAAATATAGAAGAGATTTTTGTTAACTATAATTACCCTACTGTACTGTACTATATTGAATAGAATAACTTATTTATTATTTCTAACTGTATTTTTGAAGTAGCCAGCTTTTCATACCCATTCTCCTCTTTTCTCCCCAGCCCCTGGTAAATGTCATTCTACTCACTACCTCCGTGAGATAGTTTTTTTTTATTTTAGCTCCAACATGTAGGTAAGAACATGTAATATTTGTCTTTCTATGCCTGTTTTATTTCATTTAACATAATGACCCAGTTCTATGCATGTTGCTGCAAATGAAAAGATCTTATTCTTGGTATGGATGAATAATGTTCTATTTTGTATATATACCATATTTTCACTATCTATTTATCTGTTGATAGACACTTAGGTTAATTCCATATTTTGGATAGCGTGAATAGTGCTGCAACAGTAAACATGAGAGTACAGATGTCCCTTCAATACTCTGATTTCCTTGCTTTTGGATATATACGCAGCAGTGGGATTGTTGGATGATATGGTAGTTCTATACTTATTAGGCTGGTACAAAAGTAATTGTGGCTTCAGCCATGAAAAGTAGTAGTAAAACCGTAATTACTTTTGTAACAACCCTAATAGATTTTCCAGAAACTTCTCTACTGTTTTCTACATGGCTGTACTACTTTACATTTCCACCAACAGAATGTGAGTAGGCCAAGTGCGGTGGCTCACACCTGTAATGTCAGCATTTTGGGAGGCTGAGGCAGGCGGATCACCTGAGGACAGGAGTTCAAGACCAGCCTGGCCAATATGGTGAAACCCCATCTCTACTAAACATACAAAAATTAGCCAGGCGTGGTGGTGGGCACCTGTAATCCCAGCTAAAAAGAGCAGCAAAGAAGCAACAGTATAATAGTGTTCTACCTTATTCACATCCTCATCATTACTTGTTACTTTTTGTCCTTTGACAAAAGTTATTTTAACTGGGATGAGATATCTTATCATAGTTTTGATTTGCATTTCCCTTATGATTAGTGATGTTGGACATTTTCTCATATACCTGTTGGATATTTGTTCATCTTCTTTTGAGAAATATCTATTCAGGTGTTTTGCTCATTGTTTAATGTGATTATTTGTTATTTTGCCATAAAGTTCCTTACATATTCTGGTTACTAATCCTTTGTTGAATGGATAGCTTGCTAATGCTTTCTCCCATTCTGTAGGTTTTCTCTTCACTTTGTTAATTGTTTCCTTTGTTATCTAGAAGCTTTTTAGCTTAATCACATTTGTTAGTTTTTGCTTTTGTTGCCTTTTTTTTTTAGGTCTTACCCAAAACATTGCCCAGACCAATGTCCTATAATGTTTCCTCAAGGTTTTCTGTTAGTAGTGTTATAGTTTCGGGTCATACATTTATATCTTTAATCAATTTTGAATCGATTTTTGCGTATAGTGAAAGATGGGGATCTAGATTCATTTTTCTGCATATGAATATCCACTTTTCACGCAAAATTTATTAAAGAAACTTTTTTCTCCAATGTATGTTCTTGATGCCTTTGTCAAAAATCACTTGATTGTTAAGTGTGTGGATTTATTTCTGGGCTCTTTCTTCTGTTCCATCAGTCTATGTCTGCTTTTATGACAGTACCATGGTATTCTGGTTACTGGAACTTGGTAGTATAATCTGGAATCAGGTAGTGTGATTCCCCCAGCTTTGTTCTTTTTGCTCAGGATTACTTTATTCGAGGTCTGTTTTGGTTTCATGTGAATTTTAGGATTTTTTTTTTTCTATTTCTCTTAAGAATGCTATTGGTAGACATTGGGAATCTAATTGTAATCTCTATTAGTAATAGAGATTACATTTAATCTGTAGACCATTTTTAATTGTGTAGACATTTTAACACTATTATCTCAATCCATGAGCATGATGTGTATTTTATTTTTCTGTTATATTTAATTTCTTCCATTAATGTTTTATAGTTTTCCTTTTAGATATCTGTCACTTCTTTGTTTCAATTTATTTCTAGGTATGTTTGTAGCTATTTTAAGAGGAACTGCTTTCTTGATTTATCTTTTAGATTGATCAAATAACTTTTAGAGTATAGAAACACTACCTTTTTATATTAATTTGTATCCTGTAGCTTTACTGAATATAATAATCAGTTCTAAGAGATTTTGTGTAGTCTTTAGGGTTTTCTAAAAATAAGATTATATAGTCTGCCAACTACGATAATTTGACTTCTTCCTTTATAATAAGGATGCATTGTACTGCTTTTGCTTGCTTAATTGCTCTGGCTAAGACTTCCAGTTCTATGCTGAGTTAAATTGGTATAATTGGATATCCTTGTCTTATTTCAGATTTTAGTGGGAAGGCTTTCAATTTATTTTCCCATTCACTCTGACATTACCTATGGGCTTACCATACATAATCTTTGTCATGCTCAGATATGTTCCTTCTTCTATACTTATTTTTTAAGGGTTTTTATCATGAAAGGATGTTGAATTTTATCAATAATTTTTAGCAGCTATTAAAATGATCATGTGATTTTTGTCCTCAATTCTGTTGATGTGATGTTTCACAATTATTGATTTGTATATTTCGAGCCATGTTTCCATCCCTGGGGTCAATCCCACTGGATCATGGTACCTGATCTTTTTGACGTGTTGTTAAATTCTTTTTGCTAGTATTTTCTAGAGGATTTTTACATCTATGATTTTTCAGGAATATTGGCTCGTACTTTTACTTTTTTGTTGTGTATTTGTCTGCTTTTGTATCAGAGTAATGCTGGCTTCATAGAATAAGTTTGAATGTATTCTTTGCTCTTCAATATTTCAAAATAGATTTATTAGAATTGGCAGTATATAACACATTATTAACAATTCCAGGCACTATGATGTATGGTAGATCTCCAGGACTTTTGTAACCATAACTTTATGCCCTTTGAAATATATCACCCTCTTTTGCTCTACTTCCAGCCTATATCAATCATCATTCCACTCTCTGCTTCTATGAGTTTGACTATTTTGGAGTCATATAATTGTATAAAATGGTATTTTTTCTTCTGTGTCTTAATTATTTCCCTTAGAATAATGTCCTGAAGATTCATCCATGTCTTCACAAATGACAGGCTTTTTCTCTTTTCTATAGGCTAAATATTCCATTGTTTCTATGTACCACATTTTTAAAATTACATCATCTGTTGATGGTCATTTAAACTGTTTCCAAGCCTTGGCTACTGTGAATATTGCTGCAATGAATATGGAAATGAGGGTATTTCTTCAAGACCCTGAATTCAATTTTTTTGAATATATACCCAGAAGTGGGATTGCTGGATCATATGGTAGTTCCAATTTTAACTTTTTGAGGAATCTCTATAGTGTTTTTAATAGTCTCTGCACTATTTTACATTTCCATATACAGTACCCAAGAGTTCCCTTTTCATCACGTCCTTGATAATATTAGGCTGTTCTTATGCAGCTGTAAGAAATACCTGAGACTAGGTAATTTATAAGAAAACAGGTTTAATTGGCTAACAGTTCTGGAGGCTGTACAGAAAATATAGTAGCATCTGCTTTGGGGGAGACTCCGAAAGCTTCCAATTATGGCAGATGGTGAAGGAGGAGAAAGCTTATCAAGCGGCAGAAGCAGGAGCAAGAAAGTGAGAGTGGGGAGGTGCCACATGATTTTAAACAACCAAATATCATGAGAACTCATTCATTATTTCAAGGACAACACCAAGCGAATGATATTAAACCATTCATGAGAAATTCACTCCATGATCCAGTCACCTTCCACCAGGTCCCACCTCCAACATTGGGGGTTACATTTCCAGGTGAGATTTGGGCAGAGACAACATCCAAACTATATCACTTGACAACATTTATCTTTTATTTTACAAATAAAAGGCATTCTAAAGGATGTGAGGTGATACTCATTGTGGTTTTTTCATTTCACTGATCATTAGTAATGTTGAGCATTTTTCATATGCTCAACAGCCTGTTGTCCATTTGTATGTCATCTTCGGAGAAATGTCTAGTTTTTTAATTATTTTTTTTCTCCTGAGTTTGAGTTCTGTATACCTTGGATATGAACTGTTTATCCTATGTATAATTTTCAAATATTTTCTCTCATTCTGTAGGTTGCATTTTTATTTTGGTGATTTTTTCCCCTTGCTTTGAAGAAACTTTATTTTCACATCATCCCACTGCTCCATTTTTGTTTATGCTGTCTGTGCTTTGGTGTTGTATCCAAAGAAGTTTTTTTTATTTTTTTTCTAGGAGTTTTATGTTTTCAAGCTAGAGTCATCATACTTCCTTATTTCAAAATATATTTTGATGTTACAGTAACAAAACAATAAGGTAGTGACACAAAAATAGACTTATGGACCAAGAAAGCAAAATAGAGATCCCAGACATAAAACAAGCATATATGATCAACTAATCTTTGACAGTGGTGCCAAGAACACACAAGGAGGAAAGGATAGTCTGTTCAGTAAATGGTGTTGGGAAACCTGACATCCACATGCAAAAGAATAAACTTGGGCTCTTGCCTGACACTATCCAAAAAAGTCAACTCAAAATGGGTTAAATACTTAAACATATGATCTGAAACTGTCAATTATTTCTTGAACATGTCCCTTAAGATCCCACATGTATTTTATTAAACTACAAATGGCAAAGACAACTCAATAGAGTTTTATGAAAAAATTTAAATAATATAAAATATATTAACTAACTGAAATTGTTTTGAGGTTAAGTAAGCAATCACTATTATTAGTTTGTCTGTGTCTCTCTTAAGATCACAATTCCAGAGTATATGTTTTGTATGAGAGATTTCATATAAACTTAGATTCAAGCCTGAAGACAAATAATACAAACAGACGGGCAAAATATATTTTCATTTACTGTGTTCTCATTATCTTTAGTTAATTATTTTGTGTTGTGTATAATGTTAACACTTTGGAATGAAAAGAATATGGAGAATGAGACTCAGAAAGCTTAATTCATTTTCCCAATAATTATGCTACACGTTTCAGTAGTGAATATGTCATAATTTATGCAAAGCACTTAAAAATATTTTCTTAATTAATCCTTAATATTGTAACCTTAATATGTATGTCTTCAGGTTATCCAGCTTTTGTGATCACCTTTGCTTTAATATTTATTAACACATATAAAACTGTTAAGAGTTCTCATCTACAATTGGGAAGTCCAGGCTAATTGCTAATAGATCTGGGAACTCACAGTGCATGAAGCCCATTGGAACCCTGACATTGATTTCTGTTACTTTTGAACTTTTGGTTTATTTTACCTCAACTTTTATGAATGCTCTCTTCCCTCGGCTCAATATAAATCTACATAAGGATTTCCCTATGACTTTCCCAAATACTAAGAAACTCAAGGCAGTTATAAAGAGTGTATTGCTACAGAGACTTCAGGATAATGCTAGAATGCTCATATTGAATCCTATGCAGCCCTGAAAATATACGTAAGCCATAAGATATATTTTATTATATATCCCTGCCTGAAGTCCTTAACTACTCCTGACCCCAGGAAATTCTATTTTGTTAAGCCCCTGCAAAACTCCCAGGTCTCTCTGTAAACCAGGTGGTGGCTTATTACATGTTGACTGAATTACTGTAATAGATATGAAGCCTCTACTCACACCTGCTTCCTTCTCCCTTTCCCCAAAATGTTATTCTTCACTGCTACTATGGTGTTCATTCTTACACAAGTACATTCATACAACTCCTTTGTTTAAATAGTTTTATGGCTTCTCATTGTTTTCAAGACCAAATCCATACCTTTATGCCATATACATAAAACATGTCTGTCTATCTGACCAGTATTAGCTTTGGTTTCTTTCCCCTTAAACATAGATAGTACACTTTCTTTCTATACATAATTCTGTCTGAACCTAATAAGACTATAAAGTATGCTATAAATTGAGCATATAATTTTAAGTTAATTAATTACCTGTCAGTGGATGCCTGAAGCTTGAGTTTTGTCCCTGTTTCAGCCATGGTTAATGCAGAGGCAGGATTTGGTCAAGTCAAGAGTCCAGGTCTTAAAAAGATATTTCATGATAGCAAATTGTACACTTCACTTAGCATATAGCGGTAGCATGACCTTAGTCACAAACGAGTTATATGGTTAGTCATTAAAAATTAAATTGTATGAGATCAGTGATCAATTCAAATGATTCAACCTGTGAAATAGAATGAGGAGTATAAACACAAAAATGTGTAAAACAAACTGTTAATGATGAAATAAAAATTATAACCATTGACTTTGTGATTATAAAATTAAATAAATCATCTCAGAAAATTACTATTCTCTAGAATAGATACTAATATTAAATTATTGATATTAAATGTTTAGCTAGAAAAGACTTACTCCCTCACATCCTTTAGAAAATACCTATCACCTGGCTGGGCGCTGTGGCTCATGCCTGTAATCCCAACACTTTGGGAGGCCAAGGTGGGCGAACCACGAGGTCAGAAGTTCAAGACCAGCCTGGCCAAAATGGTGAAAACCTGTCTCTACTAAAAATATAAAAAATTAGCTGGGCGTGGTGGTGGGTGCCTGTAAACCCAGCCACTTGGGAGGCTGAGGCAGGAGAATTGCTTGAACCCCTGAGGCAGAGGTTGCAGTTAGCTGATATTGCGCCACTGCACTACAGCCTGGGCGACAGTTGCAAGACTCCATCTCAAAAAAGAAAGAAAGAAAGAAAGAAAGAAAATATCACCCATTCATCTCCACAGCAAAAAACACAAAAGCTAAGTAACATTTGCTATGAGTGGTTAATAGTAACAGAGTTTTTGTTTGAGATGATGAAAATGTTCTGGAATTAAAAAGCTATATGGTTGTACAATATTGTAACACAGTGTCACTGAACTGTTTATTTTAGATTTTTCAGTAGTAAGTATGTTGTAAATATATTTTACCACAATGAAAATAAATAATTGGAAAAGAGAACCAACCAAACAAAAAGGCATGTTGCTAGAGCTGTTGCTAATAACCACGTAGTCAATGGTGTTATATAGAGTGAATAAAGACAACACTCCACAGGTACAAAATTCTATATTTAGTTGGACCATATTGTGAAAGTAACTACCTCTATAGTAGCATTATATGAGTCAAAGGGCAGAATTTAGACTAACACAAAAAAATGGAGGCAAAACAACAGTAAGAGGTGAGACAAAATTTGTATCAGAGTGCATAGCAAAGCTGACATTTTGATGAGTGTATTAGAGAAAAGCAAAACTTTCTTATAAACCAAATGATAAGATAGTAATTAAAGTAACTATTGAACAATGATCAATGAAAAGATGGACAATTTACAAATAAAAAGTCTCTTCAATGAAAATGTTAAGAAGCCCTGCACAGATAAGTGAGTGTAGATTAAGAATTGTGAGGATTCACAATAGCCAAAAGATGAAAGCAACCTGTATCTATCCATTGATAGATAAACAAAATGTGAAGTATTTTTTTGGGTGTGTGTGTGTGTACTGCCTTTTTATATATAATGCCTTTTTATGTTCTGTATGTTCTACTGTCATCTGGGGACTAACTGATTCTGGAGAGACTGTGCCTCCCAGGATTAGTGAATTTCTAGAGGTAGTAAAATACTTGCCTACAAGTGCACCTTTTATATGCAAACCAACCAATACAAAGATTCTTTAGAAGATAGCTATCAACCAACCAATTTATACCAACCAATCGAAAGACTCTTCCCCCTCTACTCTTTTGTCTAGCTGTTATACTCTGGGCTACTAACTGTCCCAATCTTCCCAGGACCAAATAAATACTTGACACTAGAGACAGCCCTTGTACCTGGGAGCCCTCTGAAATTATTTAAAGTAGACAATCTTAAACCTCCTTAGCCTGCTTACCCTTTTTTGCTAGCCCTCTGAAATTATTTAAAATAGCCAATCTTAAACTTCCTTAGCCTGCTTACCCTTTTTTGCTCACTCCTTCCCATGAAAATCATAACTAAGGTTCTGGATCCCCATTTTCCCCCTTGCTTCTGCCTCCTAACTATCCCAGTCCTTCCCCATGTGGCCCTGTGTGGCTGGCATGCCCTGTCTTCTGTTTCTAGGAAGCTATGAGTGGGATTTTATTCCTTTATGACAAGCATTTCCATATCTACATATCTCACATGGTTTGGCTGTGTCCCCACCCAAATTTCATCTTGAATTATAATCCCCATACTCCCCACGTTTGGAGGGAGGGACCTGGTGGGAGGTGATTTGATCATGGGGGCAGTTTCCCCCATGCTGTTCTCATGACAGTGGTGAGTCCTCAGGAGATCTTGTGGTTTTATAAGTGTCTGGCATTTCCCCTGCTTGCTCTTCTCTCTCCTGCCGCCATGTGAAGAAAGAGCCTACTTTCTTTTCTGCCATGATTGTAAGTTTCCTGAGGCCTCCCAAGACATGTGGAACTGTGGGTCAATTAAACCTCTTTTCTTTATAAATTACCCAGCATCAGGTATTTCTTTATAGCGGTGTGAGAATACACTAATACGATATCTTACTATACTTATTTAAAACAAATCCTGGGTATATTTTAAAACAACATACAATATTATTCAGCCTTACATAGGTAGGAAAATGTGACACACACATACAACATTTATAGACCTTAAAGGCATTAGGATAAATAAAATAAGCCAGTCACATAAGGACTCTATGCTTTCACTTACATGCGATCCCTAGAGTAGTAAACTTCAGAGACACAGAAAGTAGAAAGGTAGTTACCACAGGCTGGGTGGGGGGATTGTAAAATGGGGATTATTATTTAATAGGTGCAGAGTTTCAGTTTGTGGAGAAAAACGTTCTGGAGGTGGATTGTGGTGATGACTGCACAACAATGTGAATGCATTTAGTGCCATAGAATTATAAACCTAACGGTGGCTAAAATGATAAATGTTGAATAATATATATTTTCCACTATTAGAAAAAGTAAAGAGCCCAAAAGAGTCTCAGAAAATTTCAAAGAACAGGTATCTAAATCAGCCCAAATCAGAGGCTATTCTTTTTGTAGCAGAACAAACTATGCATATGCAATGTGAGTGACATGGGTGTGTTTGTTTGTGTCTGGGTAGGGTATGGATTTAGTGTATAACATGCTGCCTGGCCCATAGCAGGTACTTAATAAGTGGTAGTTATAGAAACAATATTGCTGCTTTTTTTTTTTTTTTTTTGGACAGGGTCTCACTGTGTCACCCAAGCTGGAGTACAGTGGTGTGATCCCAGTTCACTGTAACCTTGAACTCTTGGGCTGAAGCAATCTTCTTGTTTCAGCTTCCTGGCTAATTTTTAAATTTTTTATGGAGATGGTATCTCACTATGTTGCCCAGGCTGCTCTCAAAGTCCTTACCTTAAGACACCCTCCCATCTCAGCCTCCAATGTACTGGGATTACAGCACTGTGCCTGGCCTGAAGCTCAGTTTTCTAACTCTCTAGAATGATCTGACCTGGTTAAATCTGTTCTACTCTCCCTGCAGTGTGTTTATATAAATTCATATTTCCCAAGCTCCTAATCTTTTGGCTTAAAAAAACATAATTACTACATGTGTTTGATTTGTAAACTGCCTCTAAGATTTATTTATCAAAGAGAGGCACATGAACACATATATTAATTAGTTAGAAAAAAAAGAGCCAAGATTAATCTCTTTCTTTATTTAATAATAAAGATAAAAGAAATGTCAAACTCAAAAAGAGAGAGATAGCCATAATACAAAGGGATAAAAGGGACTTAAGAGACTTCCCTAAACTTCTGGCAAATGGGCTCTAATCACAAGAGGTTTTCAGCAGCTCTATTACCAGAGTTGATGTAAATTCAAAGACAAGTCACAATCCACACAAGTTTAAGACGAAAATGACCTCTGAGATCAGACAATCAATTATTTTTTAGAAGAGTGTGCTTGCTTTGCTTTACAATATTTTCACCCATCTAGTTTTAAATGTCAGACAATATAAATGAACAGACCTATATAAATATCATAAGGGACATTTATAAAAGTTTTCTCTGTGAATTATCCACCCAAATTGTCTGCTGTCATACACCAGCTACTGAGAAGCCCAAGAGATTGTGTAGCCACTGAGATGTCTTCATAGATAAGAGGTAATTGTTCACTTATGATAATAAAAGCATTGGGTTGACAGTATTCAGTAAGTCAAGAAGGTCTAATTACAGTAAATGAAATTCAGAGTGACAGAGAAACACTAGAGACGTATATATATGTAAGTATACAATATGTATATTTATACACATTATACATCTCTAGCATTTCTTTGCCTCTTCAACACACTTTAAGGTTTTCTTTTGTTTGTTTGTTTTTAATTTATAGGTCTTCTGTCAATATTGTAATGCCTATTTATGTCACTGACTTTTTCAAAATTAATAGCGTAATTCTTCCATAAGATAATCCACCCACTGTTTTCTGCTTTTTTTCTAGTAAACCCTCTTTGGCCTCCTGAGCTTACCACTCAGTATATTATTTATGTTTAAATGAGTTTGGGTTTTGAGATCACCTCAAATCTCAGCACCCTAACTTAGTCTCCCTCAGTGCCATTATTCCCATCTCCTAACACCTCCCCCCGGAAAAATATCTGAAAATATATTTTGGAAATATATTTAGTTGCAAGTAACAATAAAAACAAACACTGGTTTTTAGGAAAATGTTTATGACATGCTATGATTTATAGTTTTTATCAAATTGGGAGAAAATGTCCATTATTTCTTCAATTATCTTTATTGACACTCTCCCCAGTATCACCACTGCATTATGAGAATCCAGTTACTCACGTGTTTGAGTTTAGCTTGGTATTGTAGCCCCACAGGTCAGTGAGGACTGAGGCTGTGTTATTGTATATTTTTTCCTGCCTCTCTCTTCTCCATGTTTCAGTTTAAATATTTTGTATGGTCCTACGATGACTGATTAGAACTCACAAGTGTACAAGCTTTGCTTGATTTCTGGGGATTGTTTGGCCTTCAGGTCTCTATGCTGTTTATTAACCTGTCTATAGAGTTTTGCTTTGTTCATGTACAGCATATTTTTCAGCAACAGATTAAAGTGGGAACCTAGTGAAGGTTTATGGAACCCTTTCTTAGAGTAGCTGTGTCTCTTGGGATATTGTGTTCTACACATTTAGCCACTTCAGGCTCCCCGTACTTTAATCTCTCTCTTCAATTTAGTAAAACTACTATGTTCTGCTTGGATTCTTCTCCCTGTGCTATGATTCAGAAAGCACTTTTAGACAGAAAGCCAGAGTTAATCATATAGACTCACATCAATTCTCCTCCTCCCCCTTCTCTTATTAATGACAGCCCTGCAGTACCTACTATTAATAGTCTGAAGGAAAAAAAATCTCAGATATTTTTTCTACTCTGTTTTCAATATAAGATATCAGATCTGTTTCCAGTCAGATATAATGAAAACTATACTTTAATTTTGCTTCTTCCTTTTAGTGCTTATTTGTATCCAAATTCTAAATCGTGGTGCATTTTATTTAACCATGTGTCATCTCCCCATCACAAACGCAAGGTATTTGGGTATTTGTTGCAAGCGGAAAGCGAGTGGTTAAGGGTTCTCTCTAATCTGGAAAGAGGTTCTCCAAAAGTACTAATGCAAACATTTGCACAGTAACTTTGTATGGATTATCCTTCAAAATCAGCCACAGAATCTGCCAGGACAATCAAAGTTGATTAATTATTGGGTCCAGGAGGCCACAGGACATTAAAGTCACTGTAAAGTCACATAAAATGACTCTGGGCCACTTTGAAGTGACTTCAATAATAAATAAAATACACATTGTAGTTTTAGCTTGTTAATAAATTACCAACAAATCAATCTCTAATATTCTCAAGCATATAAAAAATGAAACTTAATATGATGTTAGCAAATGCTGCTTGACCACTGTATATGTTGAAGCATTTTCTCTATTTATGAAATATATTGAAGAAGACTGTATAGATTATAACTTTTATAACAACTAATAAAAAAATCTATATTCAAAGCTACCGAAGGTTGATTATTCATTCTTAGATCATAAATTCACCTCCATTCTATGATTATTTATCCTCTACTGTGTACTTGTACAAAGTAGATATTTAATTTTTTAAAGTATTATTACTTGCTTTAAAAATATAAACAGTTAAACTTCAACTATTTAGGCTAGCATCCTGTCAATTTTGGAAATAGTTATATACTTAAAACTATGATAAAATAATTATGTTTTCATGAGGTAAGAGAGTGATTAAAACATTTTTAGAGTCTCATATTCAAATCTTTGACGAGCTCATGAAAATTATGAATTCCTTGCTGGAGAAAACACATGTATAAACTCACATATCATTTGCCTGTCATTGAAGAGAAGTGTAAGTATATTTCTACTTAGTCATGAAGAAAGTGATACATCAAATATATGTAAAGATAGGGCAGATCATGTTGGTATTTGTTAAATAGAAGGAGTCCAAGACACAACAACACTTTGTCTTTACTACAATATGTGGACAACTGGAGATATATTAGTTTGTTTTCTATTATTGAGAGAGTAATAAATAATAAAATAATAATAAATCATAATAAGTATTTGGGCATGGTGACTATTTTATTTCATTTATTTAATCAATTTTATAAATATTTACTGCAGATTTACTACATGGTAGACTCTGCAGTAGGTATTATGGGTATTGTCATGAATATAACAAAAAGTTTTGCTTTTATAATTTTTGAATTCTAGTTTAAGGAGGTAATTAATGTAGAAGTGAGCAAATAAATATGATATATGCATTTTTATTAAAAAGATTATAAAAAAAATATAGCAATGAAATAGAAAATGGCTATGGAGACCTGAGGAATGTGAATATGACAGGTAAATCATATATAACAGAAGAGTATTCCAGGAAGAGAGACCAGAAAAACTAGAGGACCCAAAGTTTGATAAAACCTGACATGTTTCAGTAACACAGTATTGAGCATGGGAGCTCTCCACATAGTTCAAAAGTAGATCAGAGATGGAGGCCAGAGTGAGATCACAGAGTAACATATGTCATGATAAAAGATTTGCTGTATTCAAAATCAAAGAAACTAAAAGAATGAACACATAACAATGGAAGTTGAAACTATAAGTTCCCAATAAAGAAATAAGTGATAATGAATCATGCATGAACTCAAGTTAGGAGAGAACAATTGAGTAGAATAGACCAGAAAGGAGAAGTAAAGAAACTGAAAGAGAGAAGCCATGTGGCACAGAGGTACATAGCATGTTTAGAATGATTACTGACATACTAGAAGTACTTCATAGGTATTATTATTAGTATTGATATTATTATGTAAATACTATAATCTCCATTTTAATTATACGAATAAGTAGGCTCAGGAAAGTTAGAAGGACCCTCTGAATATTACACTGTTTGTGCTTGGTAGATGCCAAGAATCAAATTCAGGTCTTCCAGTTCCAGAACCTAAGGTCTTTCCCATAATCCCTTGTTGTCTCAGGCTGGTATGACTCAATGAGTAGATGTGGTACCAAGAGATGAAATTTTTATTCAAGTAAAACTGCCAAAAATAGCTTGAGAAGCAATTATATATATATATATATATAGAGAGAGAGAGAGAGAGAGAGAGAGAATTATAACCCTACACACAGTTCTGTCTTGCAACCTAGGTCGAAGAGGTACAAAGGGATAATTAAAATACTATCCCTAAAGATCATATTTGAAAGAAAAATTGTGATGCACAGTAATGGCAAAGACAGTTGCTTTTTTTCCAGCTAGGCACAGTGGCTCACATCTGTAATGGCTCACATCTGTAATCCTGGCATTTTGGGAAGCCAAGGTGGGAAGATTGCTTGAGTCCAGGAGTTCAAGACTGACCTGGGCAACATAATGAGATCCTGTCTCTACAAAAAAAAATTTTTTTTTTTAATTTGCTGGGTGTGGTGGCACATGACTGTGGTACCAGATATTTGGCTGGGGCAGGAGGATCTGCTGAACCCAGGTTGTCAAGGCTGCAGAGAGCTGAGATCATGACAGTGCTCTCCAGTCTGGGTGACAGAGCGAGACCCTGTATCAATGTATCAAAAAAAAAATTGCTCTTTTCCAAACTACATTTCTGTGTTGGCCTCACTGCAGCCTAGGATCTGTGCTACAATTCTTCAGAGTTCAAAAATCAGATTTTGCAGCACCTAAAAAGTAGGTTTGGTTCTCAGGCTTGGGACAAACTCATAGTGATTAAAGCATAGAGATATATGGGAATCAATCTCAAACCTCCAGGAAAGCTTCTTTGAAATATTAAATGTACTTCCAACAAACTGCTCCTTAGTTCTTTGGCAAAGGTAAGGGGGAGAAAATGCGATTGCTGTAAATTACACATTATTACAAGGAATACCGAATTTCAATGGAAGAAAGATATTTTCAAGGTATTTCAAGACTATTTTTTTTTTAATTTTGGTGGGTACATAGTATGTATATATTTTAAGGAGTACATGTGATTCTTTGATACAGGCATGAAATATGAAATAAGCACATCATGTAGGATGGGACATCAATAACCTCAAACATTTATCCATTAAGTTACAAACAATCCAACTACATCCTTAAAGTTATTTTAAAATCTACGGTTATTTTTGACTAGTCACCTTGTTGTGCTATCAAATAGTAGGCCTTATCCATTTTTTCTATTCAATATATTTTTAATAAAATAATCTGTGGAACCAATTATAGCATTTACATTTTGGCCTTGTGTTTATATATCAGAAGGTTGTAAGATAAATCTCTTTACAAGAATATTGGGAGATCATTTTTATATGTTCCTTTAAAAACTCAACACGATCTGCTAATCTGATAAGTTATCATTAAAAGATTGCTGAAATTTATAGGGAAATTCCATACCTATGACAAATTTAAACACTGAACCAGTTAACAAATTCCAAAATGAGGAATGCCAAAATCTCATTCTTCTAATGACTTTTGATTGGGAATCTAGTATAAAAGACATTCATAGCACAAGATCATCCAAGGACAATTAATTTTGCGTTAAATGTTAATGACCCCATTTGTTAAATGCATAAACCATTTTGAAAATCTATAATAATTTCAAAATCAATGGTCTAATATCAAACTGTCAGGACAGCAAAAAGCAACACAGAGCGAATCATATTAGTGCTTCACAAATCATCAATAAAAAACATGTGGGCTGGGCACGATATCTCATGCCTGTAATACCAGCACTTTGGGAGGCCTAGGCAGGCGGATTACATGAGCCCTGGAGTTCGAGACCAGGTTGAGCAACATGGCAAGACCCCGTCTCTACAAAAACTACAAAAATTAGCTCGCGTGGTGGTGAGCACCTGTAGTCAGTTACACAGGAGGCTGTGGTAGGAGGATCTTTTGAGCTCAGAAGGTCCAGGCTGCAGTGAGCTGAGATGACACCACTGCACTACAGCCTGGGTGACACAGTGGGATCCTGTCTCAAAACAAACAAAAAAAAATTGCACACACATGTAACCACATGTGTGTATTTGTAAAACTTTTCATAGCCACACATATTGAACAAAGTTATTAGAAATACAATTACTTCACTTTGTGGAAAAGGGTGGTGGAGAAAAAAAAAACCACTGGTGCTAGTTATTATGTTTTAAACAACTCTCTTTAACATGTCTCTGTTAGACAAATGTATTTAAAAATATAATCTGATTTACACCATGTTGTTATAGTATGTTAACCTAATATATACTATATAATTATTTCCACGAAGAGAGATAGCAAATTAAAATTTTTTTCTAAGATATTGTAAAGTAATTTTTAATTATCTGCCCAGTTTAAAGATAGCATAATAAATTAAGACTTGGATATGTAAAGGTGTGCTTTCATCCAGAAATCCAGAAATATTTTATCTTAAAACTACATTTCTGATAGAGGCCAGAACAACAACAATAGAAAAAATGCACAGGATGTCCAAGTATCAAAGAGTCCTAAAATGTGTATTGCCATGAAAATCATTATTCATGAGTACCATAATGTGATTTTAATAGGTTATTTTAACTAAAGGTGTTTCCAAATAATTTACCTATTTCATTGGAAATTGTTTAGTGAGAGACACAAGAAAAAAGAATGAGATGTTATTTAAAACTTTCCCAGCTATTGATTTTATTTCTTTTTTCTTCTGATGTATTTATTTGTATATTTGTAGAATACAAGTAGAATTTTGTTATTTGCGTAGATCGTGTAGTGCTTTTATGTATTTCTATTTCTCTTCTGCATAGTTTTGTTAATACAATTGCTTTCTTTGTTTTGAGTATGTAATTTGATAGGTCTCTATTATCTGAGTAAAACAATTCCTAAACCAAGATAGGAAAAACAAATGCTCTGTTCAGGTTACCTGAAGGTAAGATTAAAATCACTTTGAAAATGACATTCAGGCCAGGCGCGGTGGCTCACGCCTGTAATCCCAGCACTTTGGGAGGCCCAGACAGGTGGATCACGAGGTCAGGAGATCGAGACCATCCTGGCTAACACGGTGAAAGGCCGTCTCTACTAAAAATACAAAAAATTAGCCGGGTGTGGTGGCGGGCGCCTGTAGTCCCAGCTACTCAGGAGGCTGAGGCAGGAGAATGGAGTGAACCTGGGAGGCAGAGCTTGCAGTGAGCCGAGACAGCGCCACTGCACTCCAGCCTGGGCGAAAGAGCGAGACTCTGTCTCAAAAAAAAAAAAAAAAAAAAAAAGAAAAGAAAAAGAAAAAAGAAAATGACATTCAGTTTAATTATTTTCCAAGATTTTAAAGAGTTCATATTTACCAATTCTTTTGATGGAGCAACCAAATGATACATCTTTCCCACTCTCACCAATTGCTTATTTTTCTTCCTGCTTCTGATGTGTGGTGTTAGCTGCTTATTGATGGAATTCATTAGTCTAATAAACCTTTTCATGTAAAGTACTGCAGGAGATTTTTAACCAATGAGATTAGAGCATAAAGTGGTTCGATTAAGAAAAAACTGTTAAAGCACAGAACCATTAAAATCATACATGTGTGTATATGCATACCATGCCTGTTTCCTTTTCACGTAAATCATATACTTGTACATAAAATTGGCATCCACATCAGAGCTCTGCATCACCTTTCCGGCATGACCACACCCATAATGCATTCTGATCTCTTTCAACTGAAGCAAATCACAAGGGAAGGGTTTCAAGATGGCTGACTAAAAGCATTTCATGCCCACCTTCTCCACTATGTGGAACCGTTTAACTGAAGTAAGAATTAAAAGACACTTGAAAAACAATCTGAATGCAAAATATTTCTAAATTGCTAAAATCCCTCTAAAACTTCGTATCAAACTTCTATAATAAAAATCAATCATTTTAATGATTTGCTTTTAATAATCCTTCCATGCATTCACAGAAATTCCCACTTTATTTCTTTAACTTATTTCTTGCATAATAATTTTATTTAATTGCATAATTAAAATAAAAAGCACAAATTATGTCATATCTATGGAAACAAGCAGTTCAACTTTCATGTGAATAAATGCACCAGTATGCTAGAGAGTAGTCGAATAGAGTTCAGTGTGTTGTGGACATCAGCCACTAAGGTTTAGAGATGGGAAAGATTTGGTTCATCAATGAACCGAGTGTGTCAGGGTAAAGGCTTTATGTTTAAATGAGTCTGCTCGATTATTGAAAATTTTTAATGTCGAATAATAATTTATGTTTCAAAAGGTGAACATGTTATACAGAAGTAAGGCATATTTTAAAATATGCCTTAATTTTTTTGAAATATTTCAAGATATGCCTTACTTCTGTTTAGTGTAATGTAGTATTTCATCTTGAATCAATAACACAACCAAGATGGTTTATTCCTCATAATATTTGAAATAACTAAATAGAATAGCATTATCTTGAGTTTTCTCTGATGTATTCCTAATATTAATAATTTACACTACTGTTTATGGTTTATCTGTATTTTAGATAAAAATGTTACATTTAATCTTTAAGTTTAAAGATTTGTTACCATATAGTCTCATATTTTGTATGCATAAGGAATGAATTATTAGATAAGGAATGAATCACAAAAAATGTTAATCACTGACCAGTCTAGTTGTCATTAGACAAACCTCAGTAAACAAATAAGACTACATGTCTACAGAAAAACACAGAATGTTGCCCTTAGTTCTTATAATCAATGATACATACTGAATAGGGGCATTTATGCATAAATGTGTGCTTTTAATAATTAGGCAGCACCATATCTGGTGGTAATTGGAGCATGAAGTTCAGTGAGCTGGAGAGATTTCTTTTTCATTATTTTTCTCCATATGTCTATTTTTTTAAAAGCTGACAGCATTGGAGAGAAAAGATACGTTAAGCAATTTGTTGTGGAGTAGCGTGCAGACAACATTCTTTGGTGTTCTAGTAGTCCCTGAAAACGTTTCACTGTCCTCAGTTGGTGGATGGAGTATGGATTAGTAGGGGAGAGCCTGGCAGTGGAGGCTGGAGTACCCCTTCATCCCCTTAAAACAGAAAAGACTGGCATTTCCATGAATATAGAGTAGACTACTAGATAAATTTTCCTTTGAAAAAGAAAGAGAGAGACAGAAAGAGAAAACTTTTCATATTTTAAACTACTGGGATCTTACTCTTTTTATGTATGAGAAAATTAATTAAAGGCCAAAAAGTTTTAAGATTCATTTAAATTCACAGACCTAGTAAGACTCAGAGCTGGTCCTTTATTTACACAGTTTCAAATGTGTCTCTCTGTCTCTCTCTGTCTTTCTGTTTATCTTTGTCTCTCCCTCACCCCGCAAAACTCACACAAACCTGTATTTGCTTTTATCAAAATAAAATTGAAAGAAACAATTAGAAAAAGCATTGTAGAGAATCCACTCTGCAGCAGAAGTACACACTGAATATCACACAAAGCTCGGGTAGTTTCACTGGAAGTGTTATCTCTGAAAGTTTTCTAATTGCTTCTGGTATTCTTTGTTATGAAGACTTTTAAGGCTGGATTTGAGCTGATGAATGAAGTACACTGTGATAAATTACACAGTTACAGCAGCCCTGACCCCAGTTATTTTGGTTATTGCTGATGTAACAAATAATCAAACATTTAGTGGCTTAAAATGACATCCATTTATCTCACACATTTGTAGGTCACAAGTCTAGGTGTAGCATGACACAGCTAAGGCCTTGGTTTAGGTATGTCTTACAAGGCTAAAATCAAGGTGTCAGGTGGGCTTCATTCCTTTTAAATTGTTGGAGGAATTCAGTTTTGGAACTCGGACTGGCTGTCCTTGCTCCTCAGCCTGCAGACAGCCTACTGTGGGACCTTGTGATTGTGTGAGTTAATACTTAAAAAACTCCCATTTATGTATATACATACATATATTCCATTACTTCTGTCCTTCTAGA
Source organism: Homo sapiens (assembly GCF_000001405.40). Lineage (NCBI taxonomy): Eukaryota > Metazoa > Chordata > Mammalia > Primates > Hominidae > Homo > Homo sapiens. The sequence continues at coordinate 25,658,794 of NC_000011.10, read as the reverse complement.
GAAAACCCTGACTAATGCAATGTTTATTTACTAAAGGTATGGTATTTATATATCAGTCTGCAAGGAAAACACATTTTAACCCATAAATCCCCAAAGTAGCATATTTCAATTCACACATTTTTAAGAACTCTTTTATAAGATTAATATATCAGAATCTTAGTCTTTCAGGCATGATGGCTGGTGGTATAATATATTAGAAAATTAAACTGGAAGGAATGACAAATTCATGAAATGCAAAGTCATAATCTAAATCATATCAACTGGAAGGAATGACAAATTCATGAAATGCAAAGTCATAATCTAAATCATATCAATTGGATCAGTCGACATACTCAGCATAATTTTAGAGAAATGAAGGGAAGAAATACAGTTAACAGTATTTGTAGTAGTTGTTGCAGATAAGCTGTTTCAATGAGAAGGCAGAAAAATGTCAGTCTTTAAATTTTCTGCTTCTTAAATGCTTCACCTGATACAAATAATCAATCTGACATGAGTAATAAAGAAGAAGACACATTGTCATAAGTAGAAAATAACTAGGATTCTAGAGATTTGTAACCTCAGTATAAGTTTACAAGATACTATCCCCCCTTCTCTACAGAAAATAAATTTGGCTATATTAATAGAGGTCAAATATGGAGAGTAAGTGAGGAGACAATCATTTTAAATTCTGCAAATTTCAGACTGTACAAAGAATATTGCATTCAATTCTGGAAGTCATACTTTCATGGGAAAAAAAATAAGGCAGATTTTAGAATAGAGCACCAACATGTTGAGGGATAGTAAATATTATGACCTTAGAAAAGTGATTGAAGTAACTGGAGGTGAGTAAGAAGACAAAGGTTCTATTTGCAATTATCTAAAATATTTTGCTAAAAGAGAAAAACTGAATTTATTCTGAATGACTTAAGGGGAAGAATCTTGACAAATTAGCTGGAAGTAACAGAGAAGCTGATCTTTAATTAATGTAAGAAAAGACTTCATTACTGTGAGAGCTGTTCACCACCACTATAAAAGCTTCCCTAGAGAGTGATTTTTTTCCTAAATGGGGAAGTTTAAATAGGTCTTGATGAGTAATGGGAGGTGATATTATAAAACAGCAGTGCTTCTCAAACTTTAATGCACATAACAACCACCTGTTATGTGCTGGGATGTTATGAAAATGCAGCTTCGGGTATTTCTAGTTCTAGATCCCTGAGGAATCGCCACACTGTCTTCCACAATGGTTGAACTAGTTTACAGTCCCACCAACGGTGTAAAAGCGTTCCTATCTCTCCACATCCTCTCCAGCACCTGTTGTTTCCTGACTTTTTAATGATCGCCATTCTAACTGGTGTGAGATGGTATCTCATTGTGGTTTTGATTTGTGTTTCTCTGATGGCCAGTGATGATGAGCATTTTTTCATGTGTCTGTTGGCTGCATAAATGTCTTCTTTTGAGAAGTGTCTGTTCATATCCTTCACCCACTTTTTGATGGGGTTGTTTGTTTTTTTCTTGTAAATTTGTTTGAGTTCTTTGTAGATTCTGGATATTACCCTTTGTAAGATGAGTAGATTGCAAACAATTTCTCCCATTCTGTAGGCTGCCTGTTCACTCTGATGGTAGTTTCTTTTGCTGTGCAGAAGCTCTTTAGTTTAATTAGATCCCATTTGTCAATTTTGGTTTTTGTTGCCATTGCTTACCCAGCCATCCCATTACTGGGTCTACACCCAAAGGATTATAAATCATGCTGCTATAAAGACACATGCACACGTATGTTTATTGCAGCACTACTCACAATAGCAAAGACTTGGAACCAACCCAAATGTCCAACAATGATAGACTGGATTAAGAAAATGTGGCACATATACACCATGGAATACTATGCAACCATGAAAAATGATGAGTTAATGTCCTTTGTAGGGACATGGATGAAGCTGGAAACCATCATTCTCAGCAAACTATCGCAAGGACAAAAAACCAAACACCGCATGTTGTCACTCATAGGTGGGAATTGAACAATGAGAACACTAGGACACAGGAAGGGGAACATCGCACATTGAGGCCTGTTGTGGGGTGGGGGGAGGGGGGAAGGATAGCATTAGGAGATACACCTAATGTAAATGACAAGTTAATGGGTGCAACACACCAACATGGCACATGTATACATATATAACAAACCTGCATGTTGTACACATGTACCCTAGAACTTAAAGTATAATAAAATATACATATAAAAAATAAAAATAAAATAAAAAATAAATAAATAAATAAATAGGCCAAGCATGGTGGCCTCATGCCTGTAATCCCAGCATTTTGGGAGGCCAAGGTGGGAGGATCCCAAAAAAAAAAAAAAAAGAAAAAAAGAAAAGAAAATGCAGCTTCTGAATCAGGAGGGTGGGCTTAAATTTCTGCATTTCTAACAAATCCCAGGTATGCAGACTGCTGTTGTTCCTCAGATCACACTCTGAGTAGCAATACTGTAGAGGGATTACATGCACTTTATAGCAGAATGAATTGGTGATCTGTGACTCCTTTCATTCCAATACTTAATTAAATCCTATTGGATGTACCAGGAACACAGTTGCCTTCTTGATTAAGGAATTTCTGTCACCCTTCTCACATTGGCAAGAGAAATAGGCCAACCTTTATAAGGAAGAGTCATCAGAGAAAGTGAGATTACCTTGCCTAAAAAAGGATATCTGGGATTCCATGCACTTCTCATTACCCTCATTATTTGTCAAAACCTCATTAAGGTTTTGACAACAAATGATAATTGGAAACAGTTTTCTGGCTCCTTTAGTAGTAGCATGTCATTTTATCTGCTTCTTGGCCTTAGTATGTTTGAAGTGAAACTGTTTACTGAGATGTTTGTATTTGGTTCAAGCTTAAATGCCAAATGAATCTTGGCAAATTCCATGTGGCAAGCAAGAAGCTGAAACTCTATTCAACTTCCAAAGCTTGTTGTTGTTATTTTATTCCTTCTATGTTCTAGCTGTTAAAGGAGGGCCATGAAAGTTTCAGTCACTTGACTCTGAAGCAGAAGCATGTGAACTGAATTGTGTAAATCTTCTGGGTAGAAATGTTCTAGCACTTTATCTTCGTTAACACATGGATTATAAACTATATTTAGTTTGACTATAATTAAATCTTGTTTCTAAAGATGCAAGGCAGTTTCCGCTGCATTGAGAAAGTTTTCCTTGAAAATAGTAGTGATGGTTTTACTGCTACATGATGGATTCTAGTTACTTGTTTCAGTATTGTATAGGAAATCTAAAAATAAACAAACAAAACCAATATGATTTTCAAATATTTTTCAAAGCCTGTTGTGAAACAGAACCCTCCTCTTTATATTTTAATTTGAATTATGTTAATAATTTGTATTAATAGTATAGTTCAATTTTTAGCTCCTAGTGCCTACATCCAAGCTAGAACTCTGCTAAAATGCAAAGAAAGACGTTGGGAGTCTCCCATCAATTCCTGAAAGCTAAATAAATAAATAAATAAAAATACTGAGAAATGTTTTAATTTTTGGCATTTGATTCCAATGTGTTGTCTACCATTCATTAGAGAGTAAAAGGAGGAAACAATGTAATGGGTTTATTCCAAATTATGTAAAAAATTGTAATAAATTGGTGTAAGGAGCCAGACTTCAAGTTTGTGCTCTGATTAATTGAAACCATTCTCTTACTTTAAGAGGATGAAAGGAATAGTGAACTTAGGAGAATTAGGTTGACAGATTTGGTTTCTCATACTGGGAGAAAAGGCAACCATAAGTTCTTTGCATTTAGGTTTCAATCATTGAAAAATCAATCCCTATAAATAATTTTTTGTTATCTGTCTTCCTGTCTGCTTTAAAAGGACACTGTCACAAAATAATTTTAGAATAACAATTTTGGCACAGGACCACGTCTCAGAGGCCCAAAATGTTTTGTCAAAAACATATTTTGTAGAAAAAAATTTAAGTTTTAAAAAATTGGAAAAATATAATCACCACAGAACACAACTCCAAGGATGGGTGAATCGGGGAAGGGGGCAGTTCTAATTGACTTGGAGCCATTGAGACAGATACATACATACATATATATATATATATATATACACTACCATAATGTACACATTGGTTGATGGTAAGTTTGTATACAATGCTTATATGCTAACATTTTATTTGGGGATAATATGCTAACATTTTATTTGGGGATAAGGTGTGATAGCAAAGAATGTTATTAAAGGAAGGTGATTTCCAGGGGAAAACAGAAGAGACTCTAGAAATAGGAGGCTGGAACAAGATGCTGATAGTGGAGTGGATCATGGGGGAAGAAAAAGGAAAAACATGAAAAGAGAAAAAATTAGAACATTTCCACAAAAATTATTCAAAGGTAGCATCATTTATATTTTAACTCATTTCTTATATTTTTGTCTATGGAAATAAATAAAAAGATGGCAAATTTAAACATCATTTTGACTCCAAAGGGGTTTCATCTCCTTTTAAGAAATGTTACTGCATGAAAGAAAGATAAATATTCACCATTAACATGAAAGCAATTAGCTTGCTCAAAACAACATATTTACACCCCACATATCCCTTAATATTTTATATACATATACAATATTATAACTGTATTCTGTATTTTATTTCATTTGTACTTTTCTTTTGATGTATCAATATCACAGTTTTTTTATAGTATTTGGTTTTTAAATATTAATTAGGCCATGTCACATGTTTTATCTATCTACCTGCCTTTTTATCTACCTAGAAACACACTAAAAATTTTATGACTATTTGAACCAGACAGATATGAGTTGACTTATAGAAGCCAATATAATGTCTTAAAAAAAAAAAAAAAGGAAAATGAAGTCTAGTTAGGAATTGAGATTGCAATGAAATAATAAATAATTTAATTCCTAGATTCATTTAAGCTAATTTCATCTTGATTGTATAGTAATAAAAATACATCAGACACCTGAAAATCTTACTTGTTCTCAAAATAGTTTAATAACCTTCTGCATGTTTTCATTCATGGCTTTCATAGCTCATGTTAAAATGCACTCAGAGTTTATATGCCCTTTAAATTCCTTCATATATATATATATATATATATATATATATATATATACACACACACGCACACACACACACAGAGAGAGTCGAATGCTTAAATTTAGGTAATTAATAAGCGCATTACCTCATATAGTCATAATTTCTGTGGTAAGAATACTTAACATCCACTCTCTTGGCATTTTTCAAGAAGGCACAGGAAAAGACAAATACTGCGTGTTCTCACTCATATTTGGAATAAAAAAAAAGATCTCACAGAAGTAGAGAGTAAAATGATGTTTTATTTTTGTTTCTTCTTTTTTTTTTCAATTGAATAAAACAATGTAGGTGTTCCTATCAATCCTCTGAGATCTTCCTACAAGTGATGCAACAGACAGGTCAAACTTAAAACCTGCTCATCTTTTCTGGAAGGGAAGTAGAAGCCAGAATCAAGTAAATCAGTGCCTTTCTTTGGGCCACAGCCTTTATTCTAGGCTTCACCACTAGTTAAATGCCAGAAGAATTTTTGAGAAGAAGATGTTCATGTCTTCTACCAGAAAGTAATTGCCCTTGTGTCATTTTATTCAGCTCTTCTATTTGCTCCTCAGGTAAGCTATGGCCTAAAAGATTAGTACAAACCCACAAATTCTAAAACTATTTATAGCAGAAGACAAATGCAAGAAACACAATTTTGTGTTTAAGTTAAGTTGAATAGAATGTTAACAGGAGTAGTCAGTGTGTACTTGTTTTACTTTACAAATCCAGCCCCAAGAAATTGAAAATATAATTTGTTTGTCCCTCATTTATTTACAAGCTTGTGTCTTATCTTCTACCTCTAAGGAAGACATTCATCCATAATCTCTATTAATGTTTTGTATTGCAATTACAAAAGAAAATATTTCATCCAGTGCCTTTACTAAGTACTCAGGCAATCTGTCTGCTTTTATTTAGAGCCATATACTCTTCTCAAAAGATCGCTCTGCTTATTACTTCACAGCTTAAAGGAGTATACTTACTGCAGAATTGGTATCAACAAAGGGGATTAGGAAGGAAAGAATGAGGGTTAATTATATTTCAAAATCAAAGACAATACAGCAGCCATGTGTGGCTCATTAATCACCTGGAATTCAGCACTTACTAAGAGTCATCTGCAATGTTATACATTAGGGATACAGCAGAAAACAGGAAATAAAATACTGACTTCATAGGACTGTCAGGTGAAGAAAAAGTGTAGAAATTAGGACCTCATAAAAGTCATCAACTAGCTTATTTAAACTTTGACAAATGCTCTAAGGAAATATAGGTAGTCTTGAGATTAAATACTGGAGATGACTAATCTGTCTGAAGTCAGGGAAATCTTCCTAAAAAAAGCAAAATTTGAGGTAAAATGAGAGATACAGGTTAGCTGGAGAAGAGTGTACTGCGTAGAATAAATGAGTTGTATAAAAGTCCTGTGGTGGGCAGCTTATGGAGTTATCAACATCTACATGAGAGTGTTGTATTGCTTGAGTAGCAGCAGTAGAAATGATGAGGCATGGACAGATTCAAAGCACATGGAATTTTGTATCTAGGAAGGCAGAATTTTCTCTATTTATTCACAAGCTTGTGTCTTAACTTCTACCTCTAAGAAAGATGTTTATGCAGAAGCTAGCTTCCGAATTTTATAAAACTACGAAGCTAGCTCCCAGGAAGTGCTTAAGTCTAGGTACCACAGAGAGCTCTCCTTGTCATGTCTCCTTAGTCTGCTCTTAACAAATGTAGCAAATGGTAATGCTTCCTCAATAACATATTTCTTACTTTATTCTCTCTGTATACGTATATGTATCTGCACATACATAAATACACATACTTGTACATATGTACATATATACACATAAGTGTACAAATGTATATATGTGTACATATGTGTATACATGTATATATGTGTATATGTGTATATACACATATGGGTGCATATGTGTATATACACATATGGGTGCATATGTGTATATACACATATGGGTGCATATGTGTATATACACATATGGGTGCATATGTGTATATACACATATGGGTGCATATGTGTATATACACATATGGGTGCATAGGTATATTTGTATATATGCATACATATGTATATATGTATATATGTGTTTATATGTATATGTATGTATATGTATATGTGTATATATGTGTATAAGTATATACAATAATCTCAATACTATCTTAATTTTCTCTGTATATATATACATATTTATGTAAATATACACAAATCTATATAAATACATATATGTATATATACACATCTATATACATAAATATATATACATATCTATATACCTAGTTATGTATATACATACGTATGTATATACATATGTATATACATAAATATGTATATACATATGTATACATATATACATACGTATACATATATGTATACAGAGAAAAAGATATTGAGATTGTATACACATATATACATATATGCATATACATATATACATAAACATACATATCTAACATACAGTTAGAATGTCATGCTGTCTTATGAAATATTTCATTTTATATATATGTATCTATTTATGTACATGTATACTTATATACGTATATATACGTATATACATGTATAAATATGTATGTATACACATATACACACATGTGCACACGTATGTACACGTATATACATACGTGTGTACACGTATATATCTACGAATATGCACGTATACGTGTACACGTATATATATATCAATATGCACGTATACATGTGTACATATATAAATATACGTATTTATATGTATACGTATATGCATACATATATACACATATGTATACATATACGCATATGCATACATATATATGCATACGTATACACATGCACACATGTGTATACATACATACACATGTGTACATATACATACACATACATGTATATATACATACACATAAATGTATGCAAACACACATATGCATATGCATACATATACGTATGCATACACACATATACATATGCATACATATATACATATGCATACATATATACATATATCTGTATATATGTATACGTGTATACATATGTGTATGCATATAAGCATATATGTATGCGTACATATATGTGTATATGTATATGGATGTATGTATATGTGCGTATATGCATATATGCGTACACGTATATACATATATGTATACGTATGCACACCTATACACATATGTATACATACACATATATACATATAGGCATATAGATATATACATATACGTATACAGATATATACGTATATAAGTATCCATATATACGTAATACGTATACACGTATCATATATACGTATACAGATATACATATGTATCCATATACACTTATACATGCATATATGTACACATATACATACATATATACATGTATACACATATACATGTATACATATATACACATACACATGTATGCATATATACACATACACATACAGGTATGCATATATACATATACGGATACATGTATGCATATATACACATATGCATACGTGTATGCATATATACACATATGTATACGTGTATGCATATATACACATATGTATACGTGTATGCATATATACACATACGCATAGGTGTATGCATATATACACATGCATTATGTATACATATGTACATATATATAAAATGAAATATTTCATAAGACTTACAGCATGACATTCTGCCCATTTGCTTGTCTATACTTTCCATTAGTCAGCGTGACCTCAGAATATTATTCAATGAATAGCTCTCTGACCCAATCCAGGGTCTGCATTTTCATTTCACGACAGAAACCATGGACAGTTTTCTCTATCACTTTCCCTGTGAGAATAAGAAGGAATTCACTGTGGTGCCTAAAGTTTAGGTGAACCACTCATGTTTGTCCCTTGGAAAAACATCTGCCATTAGTTGATTCCACTGATATGTCAATTTTGTCAGTGATTTCTATTTAGTCACATTTGCCATTCTCCAATATTGTGTTCTTGGTGACACTTAAGAAGTAATAACATTGAAGATGGCCGAATAGGAGCAGCTCCGGTCTACAGCTCCCAGCGTGAGCGACGCAGAAGACGGGTGATTTCTGCATTTCCATCTGAGTAACTGGGTTCATCTCACTAGGGAGTGCCAGACAGTGGGTGCAGGTCAGTGGGTGCAAGCACAGTCAGCGAGCCAAAACAGGGCGAGGCATTGCCTCACTTGGGAAGTGCAAGGGGTCAGGGAGTTCCCTTTCCTAGTCAAAGAAAGTGGTGACAGATGGCACCTGGAAAATCGGGTCACTCCCACCCGAATACTGCGATTTTCCCACAGGCTTAAAAAACGGCGCACCAGGAGATTAAATCCCGCACCTGGCTCGGAGGGTCCTATGCCCACGGAGTCTCGCTGATTCCTAGCACAGCAGTCTGAGATCAAAATGCAAGGCGGCAGTGAGGCTGAGGGAGGGGCGCCCACCATTGCCAAGGCTTGCTTAGGTAAACAAAGCAGCTGGGAAGCTCAAACTGGGTGGAGCCCACCACAGCTCAAGGAGGCCTGCCTGCCTCTGTAGGCTCCACCTCTGGGGGCAGGGCACAGACAAAAAGACAGCAGTAATCTCTGCAGACTTAAATGTCCCTGTCTGACAGCTTTGAAGAGAGCAGTGGTTCTCCCAGCATGCAGCTGGAGATCTGAGAATAGGCAGACTGCCTCCTCAAGTGGGTCCCTGATGCCTGACCCCCGAGCAGCCTAACTGGGAGGCACCCCCCAGAAGGGGCAGATTGACACGTCACAGGGCTGGGTACTCCAACAGACCTGCAGCTGAGGGTCCTGTCTATTAGAAGGAAAACTAACAAACAAAAAGGACATGCACACCAAAAACCCATCTGTACATCACCATCATCAAAGACCAAAAGTAGATAAAACCACAAAGATGGGGAAAAAACAGAGCAGAAAAACTGGAAACTCTAAAAACCAGAGCACCTCTCCTCCTCCAAAGGAATGCAGTTCCTCACCAGCAACGGAACAAAGCTGGACAGAGAATGACTTTGACGAGCTGAGAGAAGAAGGCTTCAGAGGATCAAATTACTCCGAGCTATGGGAGGACATTCAAACCAAAGGCAAAGACGTTGAAAACTTTGAAAAAAATTTAGAAGAATGTATAACTAGAATAACCAATACAGGGATGTGCTTAAAGGAGCTGATGGAGCTGAAAAGCAAGGCTCGAGAACTACGTGAAGAATGCAGAAGCCTCAGGAGCCGATGCGATCAACTGGAAGAAACGGTATCAGCGATGGAAGATGAAATGAATGGAATGAAGCAAGAAGGGAAGTTTAGAGAAAAAAGAAAAAAAAGAAACGAGCAAAGCCTCCAAGAAATATGGGACTATGTGAAAAGACCAAATCTACGTCTGATTGGTGTACCTGAAAGTGACGGGGAGAATGGAACCAAGTTGGAAAAAACTCTGCAGGATATTATCCAGGAGAACTTCCCCAATCTAGCAAAGACAAGCCAACATTCAGATTCAGCAAATAAAGAGAACGCCAAAAAGATACTCCTTGAGAAGAACAACACCAAGACACATGATTGTCAGACTCACCAAAGTTGAAATGAAGGAAAAAATGTTAAGGGCAGCCAGGGAGAAAGGTTGGGTTACCCTCAAAGAGAAGCCCATCAGACTAACAGCAGATCTCTCAGCAGAAACTCTACAAGCCAGAAGAGAGTGGGGGCCAATATTCAACATTCTTAAAGAAAAGAATTTTCAACGCAGAATTTCACATCCAGCCAAACTAAGCTTCATAAGTGAAGGGGAAATAAAATCCTTTAAAGACAAGAAAATGCTGAGAGATTTTGTCTCCACCAGGCCTGCCCTAAAAGAGAAACTGAAGGAAGCGCTAAACATGGAAAGGAACAACCGGTACCAGGAACTGCAAAATCATGCCAAAATGTAAAGACCATCGAGACTAGGAAGAAACTGCATCAACTAACGAGCAAAATAACCAGCTAAAATCATAATGATAGGATCAAATTCACACATAACAATATTAACTTTAAATGTAAATGGACTAAATGCTCCAATTAAAAGACACAGACTGGCAAATTGGATAAAGAGTCAAGACCCATCAGTGTGCTGTATTCAGGAAACCCATCTCACGGGCAGAGACACATATAGGCTCAAAATAAAAGGATGGAGAAAGATCTACCAAGTAAATGGAAAACAAAAAAAGGCAGGGGTTGCAATCCTAGTCTCTCATAAAACAGACTTTAAACAAACAAAGTTCATAAGAGACAAAGAAGGCCATTACTTAATGGTAAACGGATCAATTCAACAAGAAGAGCTAACTATCCTAAATATATATGCACCCAATACAGGAGCACCCAGATTCATAAAGCAAGTCCTGAGTGACCTATAAAGAGACTTACACTCCCACACATTAATAATGGGAGATTTTGACACACCACTGTCAACATTAGATAGATCAACAAGACAGAAAGTCAACAAGGATACCCAGGAATTGAACTCAGCTCTGCACCAAGCGGACCTAATAGACATCTACAGAACTCTCCACCCCAAATCAACAGAATATACATTTTTTTCAGCACCACACCACACCTATTCCAAAATTGACCACATACTTGGAAGTAAAGCTCTCCTCAGCAAATGTAAAAGAACACAAATTATAACAAACTATCTCTCAGACCACAGTGCAATCAAACTAGAACTCAGGATTAAGAATCTCACTCAAAACCGCTCAACTACATGGAAACTGAACAACCTGCTCCTGAATGACTACTGGGTACATAACGAAATGAAGGCAGAAATAAAGATGTTCTTTGAAACCAATGAGAACAAAGACACAACATACCAGAATCTCTGGGACACATTCAAAGCACTGTGTAGAGGGAAATTTATAGCACTAAATGCCCACAAGAGAAAGCAGGAAAGATCCAAAATTGACACCCTAACATCACAATTAAAAGAACTAGAAAAGCAAGAGCAAACACATTCAAAAGCTAGCAGAAGGCAAGAAATAACTAAAATCGGAGCAGAACTGAAGGAAATAGAGACACAAAAAACCCTTCAAAAAATTAACGAATCCAGGAGCTGGTTTTTTGAAAGGATCAACAAAATTGATAGACCGCTAGCAAGACTAATAAAGAAAAAAAGAGATAAGAATCAAATAGATGCAATAAAAAATGATAAAGGGGATATCACCACCGATCCCACAGAAATACAAACTACCATCAGAGAATACTACAAACACCTCTACGAAAATACACTAGAAAATCTAGAAGAAATGGATAAATTCCTCGACACATACACTCTCCCAAGACTAAACCAGGAAGAAGTTGAATCTCTGAATAGACCAATAACAGGAGCTGAAATTGTGGCAATAATCAATAGCTTACCAACCAAAAAGAGTCCAGGACCAGATGGATTCACAGTTGAATTCTACCAGAGGTACAAGGAGGAACTGGTACCATTTCTTCTGAAACTATTCCAATCAATAGAAAAAGAGGGAATCCTCCCTAACTCATTTTATGAGGCCAGCATCATCCTGATACCAAAGCCGGGCAGAGACACAACCAAAAAAGAGAATTTTATACAAATATCCTTGATGAATGTTGACACAAAAATCTTCAATAAAATACTCGCAAACTGAATCCAGCAGCACATCAAAAAGCTTATCCACCATGATCAAGTGGGCTTCATCCCTGGGATGCAAGGCTGGTTCAATATACGCAAATCAATAAATGTAATCCAGCATATAAACAGAACCAAAGACAAAAACCACATGATTATCTCAATAGATGCAGAAAAGGCCTTTGACAAAATTCAATAACCTTCATGCTAAAAACTCTCAATAAATTACGTATTGATGGGACATATCTCAAAATAATAAGAGCTATCTATGACAAACACACAGCCAATATCATACTGAATGGGCAAAAACTGGAAGCATTCCCTTTGAAAACTGGCACAAGACAGGGATGCCCTCTCTCACCACTCCTATTCAACATAGTGTTGGAAGTTCTGGCCAGGGCAATTAGGCAGGAGGAGGAAATAAAGGGTATTCAATTAGGAAAAGAGGAAGTCAAATTGTCCCTGTTTGCAGATGACATGATTGTATATCTAGAAAACCCCATTGTCTCAGCCCAAAATCTCCTTAAGATGATAAGCAACTTCAGCAGTCTCAGGATACAAAGTCAATGTACAAAAAATCACAAGCATTCTTATACACCAACAACAGACAAACAGAGAGCCAAATCATGAGTGAACTCCCATTCACAACTGCTTCAAAGAGAATAAAATACCTAGGAATCCAACTTACAAGGGATGTGAAGGACCTCTTCAAGGAGAACTACAAACCACTGCTCAAGGAAATAAAAGAGGATACAAACAAATGGAAGAATATTCCATGCTCATGGGTAGGAAGAATCAATATGAAAATGGCCATACTGACCAAGGTAATTTATAGATTCAATGCCATCCCCATCAAGCTACCAATGACTTTCTTCACAGAATTGGAAAAAACTACTTTAAAGTTCATATGGAGCCAAAAAAGAGCCTGCATCGCCAATTCAATCCTGAGCCAAAAGAACAAAGCTGGAGGCATCACACTACCTGACTTCAAACTATACTACAAGACTACTGTAACCCAAACAGCATGTTACTGGTATCAAAACAGAGATATAGATCAATGGAACAGAACAGAGCCCTCAGAAATAACGCCGCATATCTACAACTATCTGATCTTTGACAAACCTGAGAAAAACAAGCAATGGGGAAAGGATTCCCTATTTAATAAATGGTGCTGGGAAAACTGGCTAGCCATATGTAGAAAGCTGAAACTGGATCCCTTCCTTACACCTTATACAAAAATCAATTCAAGATGAATTAAAGACTTAAATGTTAGACCTAAAACCATAAAAACCCTAGAAGAAAACCTAGGCATTACCATTCAGGACATAGGCATGGGCAAGGACTTCATGTCTAAAACACCAAAAGCAATGGCAATAAAAGCTAAAATTGACAAATGGGATCTAGTTAAACTAAAGAGCTTCTGCACAGCAAAAGAAACTACCATCAGAGTGAACAGGCAACCTACAAAATGGGAGAAAATTTTCGCAACCTACTCATCTGACAAAGGACTAACATCCAGAATCTACAATGAACTCAAACAAATTTACAAGACAAAAAACAAACAACCCCATCAAAAAGTGGGCAAAGGACATGAACAGACACTTCTCAAAAGAAGACATTTATGCAGCCAAAAAACACATGAAAAAATGCTCACCATCACTGGCCATCAGAGAAATGCAAATCAAAACCACAATGAGATACCATCTCACACCAGTTAGAATGGCAATCATTAAAAAGTCAGGAAACAACAGGTGCTGGAGAGGATGTGGAGAAACAGGAACACTTTTACACTGTTGGTGGGACTGTAAATTAGTTCAACCATTGTGGAAGTCAGTTTGGCGACTCCTCAGTGATCTAGAACTAGAAATACCATTTGACCCAGCCATCCCATTACTGGGTATCTACCCAAAGGACTATAAATCATGCTGCTATAAAGACACATGCACACGTATGTTTATTGTGGCACTATTCACAATAGCAAAGACTTGGAACCAACCCAAATGTCCAACAATGATAGACTGGATTAAGAAAAGGTGGCACATATACACCATGGAATACTATGCAGCCATAAAAAACGATGAGTTCATGTCCTTTGTAGGGACATGGATGAAATTGGAAATCATTCTCAGTAAACTATCGCAAGAACAAAAAACCAGACACTGCATGTTCTCACTCATAAGTGGGAATTGAAAAATGAGAACACATGGACACAGGAAGGGGAACATCACACTCTGGGGACTGTTGTGGGGTGGGGAGAGGGGGGAGGCATAGCACTGGGAGATATACCTAATGCTAGATGACGAGTTAGTGGGTGCAGCGCACCAGCATGGCACATGTATACATAGGTAACTAACCTGCACATTGTGCACATGTACCCTAAAACTTAAAGTAAAAAAAAAAATAGCAGCTAATGAAACAATAAAAAAAAAGAATTAATAACATTGTATTAGAGTATGGGTAAGTCAATTGGCCAAGAAGGATTTACATGATTGGGCTTTGTGTAGAAAAAACCCTCAAGCTATTTTTCCTCTACTCTCACACCACCAGAACAACAATGTGTGAGAAGACTTCTATGACCAAATGTGTGAGATTTTTTTTCTCACACCCCAAGCAGCAGTTACCAGTTGGATGTCCTCCAATTTAATTTTGATGCTGTCTACTGGGAGATACTGTTACATCCCTTGGGTTGAGGGCTCAGTCCTCAAGACTGTCCACCCCTACCTACACACACACCCCTTCAGATACCAGTGTCAAATGGTGGAAAATAGTCTGGAACTTCTGATTGACTGGCTTCAAGTTGGTAATCCCATGAACCTCTTTGGGTTCATTTAATTTGCTGGAGCAGCTGACCATTTAATTTGCTGGAGCAGAAATCAAGGAAACAATTATTTACATTTACCCATTTATTATGAAGGATATTGTAATGGATAGAGATGTAGAAATAAATAGAGTGAGATATGGGGGAAGGGATGCAGATCTTTCATGCTCTCCCTAGGCCAATCATCCTAGAGCCTCCACATTGAGCAGATGGATATTCAGAAGGTCCCTGAACCCAGTCCTTTGGATTTTTATAGAAACTTCCTGATGTCAGCATTCCTTCTCCCAGGGCAAGGCAGGACCCTCTCTGGGGATGGTAGTAAGACCCAAAATTAGAAAGGCAGGGTAAGATTAGAGTCCAGCTTTGAGGCAGGTGAAAGGAGAGCAGAGGAAGGTCAGAGAGATTGTTTTCTGAGACCTTCGCCTAAGGCCTAACAAACTCAATATTATAACAAATGACTATAACAAGGGCCATGGGAGCTTTGAGCCAGAAACTGTGGACAAAAATACATATATGGTGTGTTTTCATATATATATATATATATTTATATATATATACACACACACACACACACTCTATATATATTCATACATATATATGCTATATATATATACATGTATATATGTATATATACACTTTTTATATATATAATATATTATAAAGTACAGAAACTTTTCCTATTATATTTCCAGAGTTTCCACAACATTATACCGTCTTCCACTTCTGAGATAGTGAAGAAGTTTGAGGCAGGACACTGTTCTTGCTGTACTATCTTTATTTCCCTTTCACCAACTACATTATCAGAATCACAGGACTTTTTAAATGTTCTTATTATATCACTCACTGATACAAAAAAGAAAGTATGAAGTCACTCAAACCATATGGTTTCATGGCTAAGGCCATATATGTGTTTCCATAATAAGATTCAAATTTTCATCTAGATTCAACTTAACGAATATTGATCCAGTTAATTAAATAATTAATAATTAGGTTTACTTATAGGAGTTTTAATTGTAAAAACATGTGGAATAAAACGCTGGCTCACTTGTTTAATCTTGGAATTAAGCCAGGAAAATCACCTGCCAAACACATACAAGTGTTTAGTCTAGAGACCAGGGCTGAAGGGGTACAATCATATTTTAATATTTTCATACCTGAGATAACACAAAGAGCCATATTATTAAACCAGAGACATATGAATCAGAATTCTTACCAAGTATCCAGCTTTACTTCAAATTTTTAGGATACAGGGCACCTTCTGCTACTTTCCCCATTTTTTTTGCCACATTAGTATGTATCTGGCTCAGATTTTACATCTGAGGTCTGTAAGTGATACATGATGAGCATCAAATGTACACAAGGAATCTATTTAAGTAATGAAATCTCTCCACTTTTATGCTAATATGTCCATAGCTTAAGTAATATTTCCATATAACCACACACAACAAATCCATCAATTTTAGGTATGTTTCCCATAAGGAATCCTAGACAGACTATGTACATCATGGTAAAAGCATTCTATAGAGGACTTCCAGTTAGTAATATCATAAGTGTGTTTATCAGGATGTCTGTTAGTGGTATGTATATAAGGAGTTTTGATCAAGTCCTTTTCTTCTCCTCCTGGACCACCTCCTGTTAAAGCTGGAGAATGGGCTGCAGGCAGGTGCCTGTTTTGCCACCATGAAGATTTGCATTGTAAAAGTTCTTAAAAATGCTTTTATGTAATGAAACTTGTGTAGATGTGAAAATTGAAAAAAAATATTACTTGAATCTTAAACATTGAGGAGGAGAGTTTTGAAGAGAGCTGGAAAGGAGGCAAGGGGAAATTGTTTTTATTTTTCTAATGATGATTAAAGTGAGCCTGATCTAAGGCAGTGATCAGGCTCACTTTTTTTTGTATTAAAAAAGAAGAAAAGAAAAGCCAGAGAAAAAACATTTAATGCATGAGAAAATTTGCATCTATTGGATGTGAAATGGGAAGAAAAAAATTACTTCTAATTTCTTGAATGGACATCACAGGTTCTATTTGATAAGAAATTTTAAAAAGTATATGTATTTTCATTAACATTGATTTCACTCATTATTAGAGGCCCTTTTATACTGCATGAAGGAATACAATTTATATGGGCCTACCTTAGTCACTACAGATGAAAGATATTTACACACTGGCTTCTTCACCAAAAATTTATCTAGATATGCATAAAAGGAAATTATCTATCATTTAAAAAAGAAAAATGTTGGACATTTAGCAACAAAGACATTAGAAACTTTTACACTTATTTTACAGACTCGAAACATATTTCATATTTGCAAATTGTATTAATTGAAAATTAAAAATAAGCAATTTATTCTATCATTAAAAACACTACTGATACATGTCTCTTTTCATTCTGTGAAATCATCTGTTTTATATATCAGTTGCACTATGGAGAAATTAATTTTAATTTTAATTTTACTGAACTACTTAAACTCCTTTGTTAGGCCTATAACTATTCATTCTTCAAATAGCTCAAAGAGAGTTCGCTGGAGAGTAATTAGAGAAGAATAACATATTATACAAATCCTGGGAAATATTAATTCATGTAATTAACTTCCAGACAGAATAAAAGTCATATTTTTTCTTTAGTCATGTTCATTTACATACATGTTGCTAATATCTTAAAACACATACTTTTTTTATATTTTAGTTAAATATTACAGATGACATTTTTAATTTTAAAAAGTCATTTCATCTAATTTCTTTATCATAGTTTATTTGATGTTATAATAGTCTCTGCAATTGATGTTGCCCTCCTGTTACACCATTGTCCCTGCTTCTACCTAAATAAACACTGGGCTCTGTTGTTTCTTTTTTTAACTCATGAACTTTCCCTCAACAACTATCTGCTGTGTTTCCTGAATTATTATATGTTTATTCTTTTAAAGCATTTTCTGTGTCAGTTGAGTCCCTGAAGAACAGGCATGAATACAAAGGAGTGTAAAAGCTCTTTGGCAGATGCTTCCTATGAAAGATAAAAGTGGGAGAAAGCCATACTGAACAAGAAAGGTCTTCAGACAATGACAGAGTTGTGAAATTAAAGGGAGAAATTGGAATGGGTGAGGAGAGCCTCTTATGATGATGTCGATCTGAAAATGTGTTGGTCAATTCAACATGGAGCTCTAGAGAAAAGTTAGCCTATTAGAGAAGGTATAGGATAGAAATGGTGCAGGGCTGCCTGGAATGACAATGCCCTTGGCTAGAATATGGAGGTGGATTTTGAATTCCAGCTGGAGACTGCCAACTAACTGCATTACTGGAACAGCACAGATTATTTCTTAAAGAATATAAAAATGTGGGTCTTCTCCAATGCTACCATTCACCTGTTGCATTGAATTAATTCACTTTTCTAAAAATATTTGGGCATAAGCTCCTTCAGACTTTCTTGGCTTTTTTTTCTGAGGAGATACTTAGAGATGAGTGGGCTGAACTACAGCCTTCTCACTGTGGTTGATTTGGGGGCCATAATTTGTACCTGTTATTCTTTTCATCCACTTTTCATTCTTAATTTCTATAAACATTGAGAGTTTATAGAAATTAAAACATTAAACCAACATTCTGTTGGTTTAAATAAATATTTTGGTGATGTGGCTCAAATCCTCATTCTGGAAAATTCTGAGAAACTGTTCATCATACTTTTTATTTTCTCTAGATTGTTATATCTACCATTCTGTCTCAGTTGGACAAAGGATTACCATGAGGTACCCAGGTGAACAACCTGTTTTCTAGATATAGTCTTCTCAGACCCCATTATGTAATAGAAACTCTAACTTCTCTGGCTTATCTGGGTCAATTATTCTTACAACAATGGTGATTCCTTGCATGCTGCTTCTCTGATTAAAGGAGTCTAAATTGCTTAAGTAGTAATCGTAGATTTCTAGTTGAAGGAATCTTTCTTGTGTTTCCTAGAAAATGTATGTTTCGTTTGTGACCAGAACCTGTAATCCTGAAGTCCCCAGAATTTTAGGGATAGAGAGTACATCATTCCCCATTAGTCACTGAGAATGATGGGAAGTCATGCCACTCTTTGACTCATTGGTCTTTGGACTCTTATGTACTTTCTATTGTGCACACACCACCAAGTAGAGGTTTCTGACTTACTGTATATACTGCACCCTGTAGGACAGTCTTCTCTGAACTGCCACTTCATCTGTGCCTTTAGAAATTCATTCAAACACTCATTCTTTAAACACGGTGGCATTATGTAGACAGAGTGGCATTTCTACGCTATAAATCCTATCAGTGTCTTGCTTAAAACTGAGCAATCTTCTCAATTTGACCATAGTAAAACCAAAATTTCTAACCACAAGGGATATTTCATGGTTTGTCTTTTTCAGCAAAATTTCTACTGATCAAGGTCAGTGCTTTTCACATCATGATAATCTATAAATATTAGCAATCTGATTGCTTACCTATTCTTTTGTTGGCCATATTCTCTTCTTTCCAAAATTTCATTATTATGACATAATTATTTACATATTAGGAAGGACTATTTATTTACATGATATTGAATTACAAGAGACAGTCCCCAACTTATAACCAAAAGGGGAATTTATAGTTTAATAATTCAGAAATATAGGGATTCACATGTTTTATATCTTAGGGTCCTCAGAGCAAAGTGATAGTATATTCAAATTTGATAATTTATAAAAAAGTTTAATAAAGGGATTTTTACAAATGTGTAGGCAGGATTTAGGGACATTTACAAGGAACATGGCAGGGAGCAGTTACCATATCCCACTGAAATTTTGAATTAAGACTGCCGCTTGGCACTAGCTGTGAACTTTAATAAAAAACCCTTAGTGATCCAGGAGGAATGGAATAGAGGGGAAACTTAGCTTGACCTCATGCTTCCTACCTTCCTGTCTCTGGTTGCTAGCTTGTTTGACTAAATCCAATTAGAAGCCATGTGAAAAATAAGTGCATTAATGTAGTCTGTACAAGTGAGCCTCTTGAAGTAGAAAAGCAAAGGGAGGGATGGCAATGAATGGATATGTGAGAGCTAACAGAAAATATCCATAACCTTTTATTTCAGATATTGCTAGATCTAAGGGCTCAATTGTTTCCGGGCTTTTAACTTTCCATTTTTCCCTCGACTCCGCTTTCCTCTAGGTATTAATTAATGGATGCAATCATTTCCTCCTTGAGTTCAGGAAAGATGAATGTGAGAAGCTTCAGCTTAGAATGTATCCACAGCTCATAACTCTAGAAAAGAAACAGATCATTTCTTTTCCAGCATCTGAATATTAAATATGAAAGTTTATTCTGTTGGGGTAACATTTTCATGCTCAGTTTGATAATGACACTACAAGGATGGATACTATTATGCACAAGTCCAGATAAATTTGTATGTTAGGGTAGAGGGAATTCTCCAAGATAGATTGCTTTACCAGCATAAAAGAATTTATAATTAGTTCTCTAAAGTTAATTCTGGAAATATATCCTAATAAAGAACTGGAGAGTCTATATATATATATAATATATATATATATATATATCATTAGCATTTTATTGAATATTTTACTGTTTTTGAAATATTTCATTAGGATACTTTTTTTAGTATAATCATAGACATAATACATATGTATATATTTATATACGCTAATGTGTTGATGTCTAAATGATTAGTATGTCATATGCCATGTATGAATATATCAGTTTTACTTTAATTTCACAATTATTTATTATCTTTTTTCTAAAATACTGTATGGAAAATAGTACTTCATTTACAACTTTTTAAAGTTTTTTAATTGTTAGAGTGGTTGAAGCTTGCTTTATAAATTTGTTTATTTTGCATTACTATATCTTGTATTAATTATTTATTTATGCCTTTTATTTGCCTATTGTAGGCTTGGCAATGTTTTACATTCTGTCAGTATATTCTGTCCATATATTAATATCAGCAGAACTTCTGTAGTTTTAAATGAAAAAATTCATCATTCCTGTTTCTCTTGTGAATGGCTTGATGGTTAACTATTTGGATTCATTCAACAGAGAGTAAGTAATTATTAAGTAAGCTATATTCTAGATATTTATATTGAACAAAAAGTCATGGCTATTAACTCCATAAAGTGTATTTTGAATTAAGATCTTTTACATTCCCCAAAATTCGTATGCATTCATTTTCAAATCTACTAAGTGTTGTTTTGATTTTTTTCAATAACTGTGATTGTTGGTTTAAAGTCTGTTTTATCTGAGACTAGGATTGCAACCCCTGCCTTTTTTTGTTTTCCATTTTCTTGGTAGATCTTCTTCCATCCTTTTATTTTGAGCCTATGTGTGTCTCTGCATGTGAGATGGGTTTCCTGAATACAGCACACTGATGGGTCTTGACTCTTTATCCAATTTGCCAGTCTGTGTCTTTTAATTGGAGCATTTAGTCCATTTACATTTAAAGTTAATATTGTTATGTGTGAATTTGATCCTGTCATTATGATGTTAGCTGGTTATTTTGTTCGTTAGTTGATGCAGTTTCTTCCTAGTCTCGATGGTCTTTACATTTTGGCATGATTTTGCAGTGGCTGGTACTGGTTGTTCCTTTCCATATTTAGTGCTTCCTTCAGGAGCTCTTTTAGGGCAGGCCTGGTGGTGACAAAATCTCCCAGCATTACTACAAGGGATGTGAAGGACCTCTTCAAGGAGAACTACAAACCACTGCTCAAGGAAATAAAAGAGGATACAAACAAATGGAAGAACATTCCATGCTCATGGGTAGGAAGAATCAATATCGTGAAAATGGCCATACTGCCCAAGGTAATTTACAGATTCAATGCCATCCCCATCAAGCTACCAATGCCGTTCTTCACAGAATTGGAAAAAACTACTTTAAAGTTCATATGGAACCAAACAAAGAGCCCGCATTGCCAAGTCAATCGTAAGCCAAAAGAACAAAGCTGGAGGCATCACACTACCTGACTTCAAACTATACTACAAGGTTACAGTAACCAAAACAGCATGGTACTGGTACCAAAACAGAGATATAGATCAATGGAACAGAACAGAGCCCTCAGAAATAATGCCGCATATCTACAACTATCTGATCTTTGACAAACCTGAGAAAAACAAGCAATGGGGAAAGGATTCCCTATTTAATAAATGGTGCTGGGAAAACTGGCTAGCCATATGTAGAAAGCTGAAACTGGATCCCTTCCTTACACCTTATACAAAAATCAATTCATGATGGATTAAAGACTTAAACGTTAGACCTAAAACCATAAAAACCCTAGAAGAAAACCTAGGCATTACCATTCAGGACATAGGCATAGGCAAAGACTTCATGTCTAAAACACCAAAAGCAATGGCAACAAAAGCCAAAATTGACAAATGGGATCTAATTAAACTAAAGAGCTTCTGCACAGCAAAAGAAACTACCATCAGAGTGAACAGGCAACCTACAAAATGGGAGAAAATTTTCGCAACCTACTCATCTGACAAAGGACTAATATCCAGAATCTACAATGAACTCAAACAAATTTACAAGAAAAAAACAACAACCCCATCAAAAAGTGGGTGAAGGACATGAACAGACACTTCTCAAAAGAAGACATTTATGCAGCCAAAAAACACATGAAAAAATGCTCATCATCACTGGCCATCAGAGAAATGCAAATCAAAAGCACAATGAGATACCATCTCACACCAGTTAGAATGGCAATCATTAAGAAGTCAGGAAACAACAGGTGCTGGAGAGGATGTGGAGAAATAGGAACACTTTTACACTGTTGGTGGGACTGTAAACTAGTTCAACCATTGTGGAAGTCAGTATGGCGATTCCTCAGGGATCTAGAACTGGAAATACCATTTGACCCAGCCATCCCATTACTGGGTATATACCCAAAGGACTATAAATCATGCTGCTATAAAGACACATGCACACGTATGTTTATTGTGGCATTATTCACAATAGCAAAGACTTGGAACCAACCCAAATGTCCAACAATGATAGACTGGATTAAGAAAATGTGGCACATATACACCATGGAATACTATGCAGCCATAAAAAATGATGAGTTCATGTCCTTTGTAGGGACATGGATGAAATTGGAAATCATCATTCTCAGTAAACTATCGCAAGAACAAAAAACCAAACACCGCATATTCTCACTCATAGGTGGGAACTGAACAATGAGATCACATGGACACAGGAAGGGGAATATCACACTCTGGGGACTGTTGTGGGGTGGGGGGAGGCAGGAGGGATAGCACTGGGAGATATACCTAATGCTAGATGATGAGTTAGTGGGTGCAGTGCACCAGCACGGCACATGTATACATATGTAACTAACCTGCACAATGTGCACATGTACCCTAAAACTTAAAAGTATAATAATAAAAAAAATTAAAAAAAGAATAAAAAAAAACTGTGATTGTACTTCTAGTTTAATATTTCTCAAATATTGTTTTTCTTGATACTTGCAACAAAACAAGATAAATGTAATGAAAAAGTGTACTATAAATATGTTGTGAGAGGATAAACAAAACTAAATATTTGTATTTGTATTTGTATTCTCCTCTTCTTTAGTATGTTGTAGTACGCTGTGAATTTCTGAGAGTTATAGTAGTATTTTCAAAGCATTTCCCCAGTGATTTTTTCATTCTGTAGCACCAATTAGGACCAGTATACAATATTTCAATTTAAAAAATTCTGCTGTAGAATATCTCTACAGCTATCTACCTGTCATCTATCCACCTTGATTAACTGTCTCTATATGTTAAAAATACTTATTCTTCAAACCCACCTAAATCTTCTTTTGAATGGGGCAGAAATTGTAGCTCTAAATTACCTTCCCCACCTTATCCAGCTACACTAGAACACTTATTACATTTTTTCCTTTTTAGAGTTTTTATTCTTTTTACCAATTTTCTGTTAATTTTCCATGTAAATTTGGGTATTTCAAGAATCTGTATCCTAATACATACGTCTATACTTCTTTTAGTATCATCAACAAATTGTTTTGCTGCTTCTCTATTCTTTAATTAAAAATTACATTGAGGCTAGTATATTTTTTTAAATTTTGTTTTGTTTCATTTTTCGGCTTCTTTTTAATCTATTTTTCAATTTGATTTTATGTTTTGTTATTAAATTAATAAAATATTATTCTGATTGAATTTATATTGTGTTATGTTGACTAAGAAAGCTGAAGAAATTAATAAACATCAATATTTAACCATCTCTTCCAGGAACATGATTTGCTTTTTCTTTAAGTATGTTAAAATACTTACATTTAAATATTGCTGATAAACTATATACTATTTGATAATATTTAAGATTTCTGCATCAGTACACGTAGATAAGATCACTCTATAATTTTTTACAAAGTTATCCTTATTAGATTTTGGGACAGTCTCACTCATGCAAGTTTTAAAAATATCTGTACAAAGTAAATCATTTATGTGTAACTCAATAGTGTTGACACATTTTATTTCTGATAAGAAAATTAGATGCATATAAATAGAAAAAATAATTTGGGTATAAGACTGTGTTTAAGATTAATGACAATGATTTATAGTTACATATTTAAAAACATTTTCTAATACATGTTTTTGAAATAAATTTCAGATGATTTTTAAGACACAAAAATATTTTTATTAAAGTAATTAATTTCCTTCTATTTTGAGTATTGAATCAAACATAAGTCAAACATAATACTCCTACTGAATATTGAGATCGAACATAATCTTACTCTTTTAACTGACTTTTAATTGTTCTAAAAGCATTGATCATAAATTATTACATTTCCTTCCCAAAACTGAATGGTTTTATTGTGATATTAGGTGTTTAAAAAATCTCTATGACAGACACATTGGGATAATGAAAAGCTTAATGGCATAAATGTAATGACATCATCTACCTTCTGTAAGTAAACTCACTTTGTGATCTAAGGCAAATCTCTTCATCTTTCTGGCCCTCTGCTTCCTTGTATATAAAATTAAGTTGTGAAATCACAGCACCAACCAAAACCGGCCAAACTTTATTGCTAAAAGAATGTCAAGTTATCTTCTAGGTATAACAGCCAAAATTGCAAGTCTTGTAGCCTGGGCATGTACAATAGAAAAAGCTTTGACATCTAACAACATCCAGAAACTAGGTAACCTCCCCAAGAAATTCACCTCAACACACTTTACTGTAAATGATCAAATTTGAAGCCTTCCAATCACATCCTCCCAAGCCAACATTTCTAAATCCTTTCCCTTGCCCTCTGACCCCTTAAAACTTGTGCTAGACCCAAAATCAGGGAGACAGATTTGAGCCATATCTCCTGTCTCCCTGCTGGCCAGTCTCACAATGAAACCTTTCTCTTCTCCACAGCTAGTGCTACAGTATTGGCTTCTATGCACATTGTTCAGCTATCTCATTTGCTCAGTAACAGGCATCCATAACTGACATTAGTTTACTATATATGCAGCATTCATTTTCGGATCCACTTTTCAGTTTATTTGGTTTTGCTGAGGTTGAGCCTCCCCCCAGTCTGCTTGATGTTGAAGTTGATCTAGAACTGGTCAATAAGAATTATATCTCTATAGTTATATTATTATTTGGTAGTAATGGTGAAATGAGGACAATCTAAATTGATTCTAAAAATTTTGCTAGAATTGTTGAGGAAGAAGTACTCACTTTTTACCTTGCTTATAAAGGTAGTGAGAAGTAAGAGGTAGTAGACATCTTTGTCACAACTCTAGATAAGTGCACTTCAGAAAAAGTTGATAGAGAAAAAGGCAATGTAAAGAAACATAAATACAAAGTTGAAAATAAAAATTTCATGACATCCTTGCTACTTTGAATCCAACTGAGCTTGAAGTTGGTTCTCCCCCTGGAAATTTATATTATGTATGTCAATATCCTTGCCCCTTTTTGTATGAACTAATTTGTGATGTGTCTGTCACATATAACACAATGTTATAACATAAAATATAGTCTTGATTTAAATAAACTTTATAAATTAGTATTCTAATGTTTTTAAATGCTAAAGTCGTTTATGGAAAGAAACAAAAAAACAATGTTCAAAACTTGTTTGAAGAAAGACACTATTCCCCTATAAAATTTACTATTTGAAAGCTAGCATTTTTTTGAATAAGTTTTGAATGTTTACTTAACATGTTGACCAAAATTATCTTATAGGTACACTTAAAACCTTCATTAATAAAGTCAAGATAAATATTACATAACACAAGATACTTTTAAAAATACTTATAAATTAGACATGTTGCCCTGTGCCTGCAATCCTAGTGACTCAGGAGGCTGAGGAAAGAAGATTTCTTGTGCCCAGGAGATGGAAGCTGCAGTGAGTTATGATCCTGCCATTGCACTCCAGCCTGGGTGATAGAATGAGGCCCTGAGATTCCATCTGTCTCTCTTTTTTTTGCATGACAGAGTCTTGACTTTTGAATGATGATCAGTACACAAAGTAATAACATGTAACAAGTTCCTGAATTCTATCATCTAATAATTTGATTAAGAGAAATTAAAAGCAGCCCAATCATATTAGTATTCATTGTTCTAGCCATTAGTAGGAATTAACAACTTTAAGGCTGGCTGCTGCTTCACACAGGTTACAAAAACCTATTTACTAGTTTTACACAGATAAAGTTCTTGACCTTCAAGAAAGCTTTAGAGAGAAAAAATTAATCTCTTTCTTTCTTCAAAGAATTCCTTTTACTAAATCTAAGAAACAGAAAGTCAACATCATTATATATGTTGCTTGAGCAAAAAGGCATAGGAAAACAGACAACATATACCCATTAAATTTCTAAGAAACAAGAGATAAAAAGACTAAATCTTGCTGGGTGCAGTTGCTCACAACTGTAATTTCAGCACTTTGAGAGGCTGAGACGGGTGGATCAGTTAAGGTCAAGAGTTCAAGACCAGCCTGGCCAACATGGTGAAACCCTATCTCTACTAAAAATACAAAGAAAAAAAAAATTAGCTGGGCATTGTGGTGTGTGCCTGTAATCCCAGCTACTCTGGAGGCTGAGGCAGGAGAATTGCTTGAACCCATGAGGCGGAGGTTACAGTGAGCTGAGATTGAGTCACTGCACTCCAGCCTGGACAACAGAGCAAGACTCTATCTCAAAGAAAAAAAAAAGAGATTAAATCTCTAAATAAGTTCCAAGTCTGTACAGAGGCTAGATTTGATACTCTTTGAAGAATGATGGGACCTACTATAAAATACAGAAATAATTTAATGCCTTTTCATAAGAATAAAACTCAAGCTGTGCTCAAGCATCATATTCCATGAGGACATCTAAAATGACAATCTATGGAAGAGATGCATCTTTCTTCTCTTATCCATTTATGGAGTAGATTTCATGGATTTTTGGCTGGATGTCTCAAAGACCAACAAGTGACCCAAGCCTTCATCCCTGTTCTGCCTGAAGTAGTTCTGGAAGATGATCATCTTCTCCTAGGTCTCCTCCACTTCAGTGCTGCAACTGCCCTATGATCCCAGTGAATGGGTTTCTTGGCCTTTAACTCTTCTCCCTCTGCAGGAGGTACTGTTCAATTTCAGCCTTAGCTTCTTTGGCCTGGGTCAGCCTCTGTTTATTTGGCTTGTGGGCCTCCATCACCTCTGCCTGCAACAGCTACTGGATCACCTGCAACTGACTTGCCATGGCAGCAGCCTGAGATACCATCTCTTAAAAATAAAATAATAATAATGAAAAAAAAGCTTATAAATGACCTTCTTATTGGCTTAGTCCAATTCTCTGGCATATTTTACCTGGATTATTATAATAGCCTTCTAACTGTTCTTTCCATTTTTACATGTTTCTTATTAGTCTGTTCTCAATACATCCGTTGAAGTTACTGCTTTAGAATACAACTAACATCACCCTTGGTTCAGAACATTTTAATGGCGTGTTCAAAGGGAATTTAAAAAGCTCTAATGGCCTGAATGGCCCTCCATGATATCATCTCCAAGATCTCACTGACATCAAATGTTATCACTCTCCCTCCACAAACCATACCATAGGGCACTCCTTGCTTTTTCTCATATATTAAACATATTCCTCTCCCAAGTGTCTACATTATTCCTCCTACAAATATATCTGTGGCTTCTTTCAAATTTCTATTCCCTTTCCTTGCTCAGTTTTTCTGTTTCACTTAGCTCTAATCAATTACTTATTTATTTTTCTCTTTTACCCTTGTTCCAACCTCAGTCAGAAATTCAGCTTCTTATGACCATGAGATATAGATTTAAAAAAATAATTATTTTATTCATTAATGGGCACTCAGTGTTCAGAACAATGCTTGCAAATAGTTGGAGTCAAAAAGTATGTTGAATTAAGAGATTAGTAAATGTGCTGGTTTATGAATGACAATAAATGTAATACAGTTGTTGATCAATAGCTATTTTTTGAATTGAAGGACAAATGAATGATTAAATGAATTAAAATAAAGTGACAAGTATATTTCTGATATACTCTGGCCATATCAAACAAAAAGCAGTACATTGTACGCTACAAAGACTTTGCAGTTGAATGGCAGACAGATAATGCCATCTTACATTTATAACTATCCTTGTAATTTTCAAAGTCTCTTATTATCTTTGATTTATAAAAACATCCTTTTGAGATGGAGAGCTAGTTACCAATTTATTCTTTGATCCAAATTTGACCTCCTTTTCTTGGCTTTGTGATACCAGACCTGGACTTTATAAACGGTTCTCCTTTGCCGGATGGCACAATATTGTGCTTTGTTATTAAAGGGTAAAGAGGAAACATTGAAGAAGAAAAGGGTTTGTCTTACTACCTCAAATGTGCTCCTCTCTTCTAGGGGCTGCATAATTCAGTAGCCAGTGGTGTGTGGAGCATCTTGTATCACCCATTTCCAGCAGGCAGTGTCTCAATGAGTTCCTCTGGCATCACAATGAGCGGTTTGCTGCTTGCCAGGCCCACTTTTTTTGGATCTTCCTAAACTTCTCCACTATTCAGTGGGCACATTCTATCCAACAAGCTGTTTATTTATCGAGGGTGGTCCTCTGGACGTTTGTTTCTCTCTTGGGCCCTCTGCCTCAGCCATCACAGTGTTGGCTGCCCTCTGTCTCTGCTATTCTTGTCATATATTTATTTTTACTTCCTAGGAATTAATGACTTGATACTACTTAATACTACTTTATAT
This sequence comes from Homo sapiens, assembly GCF_000001405.40. Taxonomy (NCBI): domain Eukaryota; kingdom Metazoa; phylum Chordata; class Mammalia; order Primates; family Hominidae; genus Homo; species Homo sapiens. The sequence goes on along the minus strand of NC_000011.10, from coordinate 25,629,212 downwards.
TAATTTTTCTTAAATTATGGAGTACTTCTGTCTTCTGACTGTACCCTCCCTAATACAAATAGACATAAAATGTCCTATCTTATTAATAAGGAAAATTGTATCAGTCCATTCTCATGATGCTGATAAAGACATACCCAAGACTGGGTAATTTTTTAAAAAAAGGAGATTTAATGGACTCTCAGTTCCATGTGGCTGGGGAGGCCTCACAATTATGGTGGAAGGCAAAAGGCACATCTTACTTGGTGGCAGACAAGAGAGAATTTATGCAGGAAAACTCCCTCTTATAAAACCATCAGATCAGCCAGGCGCAGTGGCTCACGCCTGTAATCCCAGCACTTTGGGAGGCCGAGGCGGGCGGATCACGAGGTCAGGAGATCGAGACCATCCTGGCTAACACAGTGAAACCCCGTCTCTACTAAAAAACACAAAAAATTAGCCGGGCGTGGTGGCGGGCGCCTGTAGTCCCAGCTACGCAGGAGGCTGAGGCAGGAGAATGGCGTGAACCCGGGAGGCGGAGCTTGCAGTGAGCCGAGATCGCGCCACTGCACTCCAGCCTGGGCAACAGAGCGAGACTCCGTCTCAAAAAAAAAAAAAAAAAAAAAAAGAATTCAAGACCAGCCTGACCAACATGGTGAAACCCCATCTCTACTAAAGAAGAAAAATTAGCTGGGTGTGGTGGCAGGTGCCTATAATCCCAGCTACTTGGGACGCTGAGGGAGGAGAATCGATTGAGCCCAGGAGAAGGTTGCAGTGAGCTGAGATTGCACCACTGCACTCCAGCCTGGGTGACAGAGCAAGACTCCCTCTCAAAAGAAACAAAACAAAACAAAAAACCCACCAGATCTTGTGAAACTTATTCACTATCATGAGAACATCATAGGAAAGACCTGTTACTGGAGGGTCTTTTTTCTTAGAGCTACCAACTCCCAAGATGGTGGCTGGCCGCTCCCAAGATGGTGGCAAGCCGCTTCCAAGACGGTGGTGGGCCGAGATGGTGGTGGGCCACTCCCAAGATGGTGGCAGGATGCTCCCAAGATGATGGCAGCTGCTCCCAAGATGGCAGCAAGCCTTTTGTTCTCTAACCGGGGCTTCTTGGCCTCACAGATTCCAAGGAATGAAACCTTGGGCCATGCAGTGAATGGTATAGCTCTATTAGAAGCTGTGGGTCACAGAAGAGAACCTTGAAATCCAGTGACTAGTGTTCAGCTCAATTAGGACAAACCCAGGCACTTAGCCACGTAGGAACCATGGCGAGCCTCTAGCGCAATCGGGAGTGGCAATGGGTGCCTTGCTGGATGAGAAGCACAGCAGACAGAGAGCAAAAGCTCAGCTTGAGCCTGAACAAATACAGACCGGAAGAGTGTGCAGTTGCAAGATTTAACAGAGTGAAAACAGAGCTCCCATACAATGGGAAGGGACCCAAAGAGGGCTGTCCGAACTGGCTTGAATGCCTGGGTTTATATCCCAATCATTGTTCCTCCCTCTGTGCTCTCAGGTGATAGATGATTTGACTATTTCTTTACTTCCTGCTTTTAGCTAATTGGTATTTCAGTGAGCTCTCTTTAGTACCTGATTGGTAGGGTGTGAGCTGAGTTACAAGTCCCGTGTTTAAGGTGGGTGTGGTCACCTTCCACAGCTAGGCTTAGGAATTCTTAGCCTAGGAAATGCAGCTAGTCCTGTTTCTCAATATTAGTTCTCTGAACACCTCAAATTTTGGGGTAAGTGGCAGTATCTTGGTAATTTATCCACATTTACATTCTGAGTTATCCTGCCAGTGAGGTAGTACAGGTACTTTGAGAGAGCATAACTGCTGATAGACAAGAAAATAAATGAAGAAACACAGCTCACTTGAATAAAGTAAACTATTATTATCAGTCTGTTTGAGTGTGCTCTTTTGGATATAAATAGCATTTGATTATTCCATACAGCCTGGAGAGTGATTCAAACATCAGGTTGCTTTTCAACAGCCTATCTGATGCAGATTCAAATAATTTCATAGAATGCCCTTTTTTCCAAATGTTAATTTTTACAATGCTCATTTAAAACTGGATAAAATAGGTTCACACTGATACAATTTTCTCAGCTGTAATTTCCAAAAGAATTGGGTATATGAAAGTTATTCCAAAAAAAGTGGCTGTAATACTCAACAATTTTCTCTAAATACAGTTTTTAAAATACAGTTTTAAATCATTGTTTGTTTCTTTATTGACTCACATCTGTATTGCCATTTATAGCTTTGGCAATTTTTTATAGAGCATCTCCTAACTATTAAAGTTCTACTTCCAGGAAATTTCAGGTTCCTTTGTGTAGAATGAAAGCAATTAAAGACCCCCAGTCTGACATGATACTCAAGTTTATTCGCCTCAAGTTCTCTTTCTAAATGTCCAAATCACTTTGCAAGTAAAATTAAATTAACTTTTAAATAAAATTCCCTTTGAATTGTAAAGTTTTATTGTGTGTAGGGCTTAAGGAAATAACAATCAACATCACTGTAGATAGAAAACTTTTTACTGTTTTAAAAGTAAAATAAAACTTGAAATGAGCTGTTCTAACTTCAAGTCACTATTCTGCCATTTGTAAGTGTTATGGCCATTAGGGCCATGAGAATTAATTTGCCATTTTTGCATTGCAGTTTTATTATTAAACAAAAGGATATCAATATTATACATTATGCAAGAAAATAATATAATTAATGCAACACTGTTTTAGTCATATGATGTAAAATGTTCCTGGTTCCTAAGCGTTATAAAATACACAGCTTCTTTCACATATTATGACTGCATTATATGTATGTATATATAATATACACACACACTACTAATTCACCCACCATGTATTAATAATTTATGACTATCTAGTATGAACCATTCTAATTTATAAAATAATTCTTGACAAATAATATTATATGCTAAGTTAATTAATTTCTTACATGCTATCAAAAGTCTCAGATGAAATCATAAATTACTATTTGGAATGACAATAAGTGAAAAAACTCTAGTTTCATAAGAGAAGCTAGAGCAGAAGTGCCTCACACAGTTGGTATAGTTATTAGATATTTGGTATTGAAGACACAGAAATGATATGAATTTCAAGCAAAAAATATTCTAGGCTTAGAATTGAATCTGTGTCCAGCATGGAGTGGAATGTAAAGTGTTTTGGTCCCTTCATGTTAGTTGAAACAAGACACATTGAAAGTGTTATTGTACAGGCTGCAACAATTTATTTTTATTACCCAATGGGGTCACAGCTCTACAGTACTGGCAAGGAGAAGTATGGCTGGAGCATACAGGATCCACTGGCCATATTGTAGTACATTTATTTCTAAACAATAATTGTCAATGGGGTCTACAGTTCCCCCAAAGAGACAACACAACTAGGTGTAGGATTAACGATGATTTGTGACGTCCTACTAAGAAAGTTATGAAGCCAACCTGCAATAGGTAAGAGTAAAGTGAAATGAGTAGTGGAAAAAAGAAGCTGATGATCTAATTCAGCCTAATGTCCTGCTAGAGATGAAGAATCAGAGCAGCTATAATTTTGTTGTTGCCATTATTCATTTGAATGATTTTTCTGTAATTTTATATGAAAAGTATTTGTGGCATTTCATTTTATCATTTAAATTCTAGCTGTAACTGTGACTGAATTGACATCATCCCATCATAATTGTGGTTGCTGATGGGACTTCATGTTTCCTTGTTTGGAGGACAGAAGAACTGGTAGTTTCTTCTCCCAAGTAAAGGACATAAATGTATGCTGACTGGCAAAACAGGATTAGATACACTACTTTTTCTCTGTTTACACTGCATATTTATTTACCAACCTCTCTAACTTGCTCTAACTTCTATACTTTGCATTATCTGGGCTCCATCACCCTCTGGATGCAAGCAGTCAAAGGGAAAGACTGGCAGGATATCAGAAGTGGAGAGAGAGAAATATTGACACAATGATTCGCATGCTCTGTCCCTGCCGTTTCCTTCTTGATTTACTGTGGGTTTGACAGTGTCTGTGTGTCTAATGCGTGATGACTTATTTTCCATAATTTCTCTCTTTTCTACATTTACTGTGTTCTCACATCCCTTTTCCTTTAGTTCTAGATGTGGTAATGAAGTCTTGATGATTCCTGCTATTATCCACTTCACACTGCCTGTTGGTTCTCTTTCACTTGATTACAACAGTGTGTGTCTAACTTTAACCTGAGACCTTGTATGCACTTCTGTGAGCAGTCCCTTCAGGAAACCTTCAGAGAAAACTTTAAGTGTTGCCTCTGTTGTCTGCTGTGTACTTGAATACTAAACCAATCAATGGAGCTCCACCTTGACAAATATTTTCTTTCTACCAATATTATCTCCTTTAGCCTTTGTTCATTTCTGTTGAGACTCAAATTTTCTTTAGAGGAGAGTTTTAGCCTGTACTATTGCTTAAATGTCATGGAACCCAGCGACTAGTGTTCAGCTCAATTAGGATGAACCCAGGCACTTAGCCACACATCAACAATCATGAGCCTCTAGCCCAATCAGGAGCGGCAATGGGCGCCTTGCCGGATTAGAAGAGCAGGGGCTTTGAGCAAACTGCACTAATAGAGTCTTGTAAATTTCCAGGATAGTAGACAGCCTGGAAAAAAGCAACAAAACAAAACAAACAAAACCCCACATACTACAGAGATTAGGAAAAGCAGAGGGAAGTGACCCGATAGGAGGTTTCGATTTGTTACAGATTAATTATGTGAGCAAAATTTAAAATGTGGAACAACTTTATATTTTAAACTTTGTCCAATGTGTAAGGGCAAAGGAGACTAAAACCATTGATTTAGGTAAAATTAAACACAAAACCGAAGAATAAAATCGGTTCTGATTTTATTTGTCCTCTGGCAGCAACATCTAACTCCTTGCTTCACAGTGGATGCCATAGGAGTTATAGGAGCCTAGCACAGGAGCAGGATGGAGGGGAGTTACTTAAGGAAGGTATTAAAGGAATCATTACATGAATGGAAGGTTGATGTCACATACATTGCATACCAACATGAAAACACTACAAATCATGGAGATATCTATCTGCAACATCAAGAAGATGCCCCAGAACTTTGCGAGGGCCTTATAGACAGTATTACTATTCTACAGTTTATGGTTTGGAAAAATTATTCAGTTTTGTCTTCCCTTCTACTTTCTCACCTTCTGCAAACATATAGTCAATAAAAAACAGTTTTGTTGCAATCATTTATTATTCTTAAGGGATTAAATGGGCCAAGTGAATTAGAACAGGCCATTCAGAGTTGTTGAAATGTGAGATTATTTCACTTTCTTTCTGACATTATAGATCCCTTACCTCTGTATGAACTGACCTGTGACCCTCAATGGAAAAGACATCACTCAAAATAGGCAGGTAGTAATTCTAAGTGTAATGTAGTTATAAAAAATATTTTCAAAAACATGTTAAGTTAAAAAAATAGATTTGTCTGGACTCTTGATATAGTAGATTTACATGCTTTTGTGTTTTATTCAATTACATTCTGTTAATTTAAGGCCATGACCCATATGACAAATCTGTAAACTTTGCCATAGTCTGAATGTGTGTGCTATCCACAATTTAAATGTTGAAATTGTAGTCCCCAAGATGATGATATTAGGAGAAGGGGGGTCTTCGGGAGATGATTAAGTCATAAGGGCAGACCTCTGGTAATGGGATTAGTGTCCTTATAAACGAAGCTCAAGAGAGACCCATCTCTCCTTCTTCCACATGAAGACAAAGTCAAGAAGGTGCTGTCAACTAACCAGGAAGTTGACTCTCACCAGACACAGAATCTGCCAACAACTTGATCTTGGACTTCCTAGCCTCTAGACTGTCAGAGATAAATTTCTGTTGTTTATAAGCCACTCACTTTATGGTATTTTGTTATAGTAGTCCAAACATACTAAAACACTTGTTAAAGAGGAAAACATTTTGAGGAAAATCTCAAATAAACATATTTTCAAAGAAAATGTAATACAGGCAACTTCAGCAAAGCCTCAGGATACAAAATCAATATGCAAAAATCACAGGCATTCCTATACACCAATAACAGACAAACAGGAAGCCTAATCATGAGTGAACTCCCATTCACAATTGCTAGGAAGAGAATAAAATACCTAGGGATACAACTTACAAGGGATGTGAAGGACCTCTTCAAGGAGAACTACAAACCACTACTAAAGGAAATAAGAGAGGACACAAATAAATGGAAAAACATTTCATGCTCATTAATAGGAAGAATCAATATTGTGAAAATGGCCATACTGCCCAAAGTAATTTGTAGATTCAATGCTATCCCCATCAAGCTACCATTGACTTTCTTCACAAAATTAGAAAAAACAACTTTAAATTTCATATGGAACCAAAAAGGAGCATGCATAGCCAACACAATCCTAAGGAAAAAGAACAAAGCTGGAGGCATCATGCTACCTGACTTTAATACTACAAGGCTACAATAACCAAAAGAGCATGGTACTGGTACCAAAACAGATATATAGACTAATGGAACAGAACAGAGGCCTCAGAAATAACACCACACATCTACAACCATCTGATTTTTGACAAACCTGACAAAAACAAGCAATGGGAAAAGATTCCCTATTTAATAAATGGTGCTGGGAAAATTGGCTAGCCGTATGCAGAAAACTGAAACTGGACCCCTTACATACACCTTACAAAAAATTAACTCATGATGGATTAAAGACTTAAGTGTTAGACCTAAAACCATAAAAACCCTAGAAGAAAACCTAGGCAATAGCATTCTGTCAATAGGCATGGGCAAATACCTCATGACTAAAACACCAAAAGCAATGGCAACAAAAGACAAAATTGACAAATGGAATCTAATTAAACTAAAGAGCTTCTGCACAACAACAGCAACAAAAAAACTATCATCAGAGTGAACAGAATGGGAGAAAAATTGTGAAATCTATCCACCTGACAAAGAGCCAATATCCAGAATCTACAAAGAACTTAAACAAATTTACAAGAAAAAACAAACAACCCCATCAAAATGTGGGCAAAGGATATGAACAGACACTTCTCAAAAGAAGACATTTATGCAGCCAACAAACATATGAAAAAATGCTCATCATCACTGGTCATTAGAGAAACACAAATCAAAACCACAATGAGATACCATCTCATGCCAGTTAGAATGGTGATCATTAAACAGTCAGGAAACAACAGATGCAGGAGAGGATGTGGAGAAATAGGAACGCTTTTACACTGTTTGTGGGAGTGTAAATTAGTTCAATCATTGTGGAAGACAGTATGGCGATTTATCAAGGATCTAGGTCCAGAAATACCTTTTGATCCAACAATTCCATCACTGGGTATATAGGCAAAGGATTATAAATCATTCTACCATAAAGACACATGCACACGTATGTTTATTGCAGCACTATTAACAATAGCAAAGACTTGGAACCAACCCAAATGCCCATCAATGATAGACTCGATAAAGAAGATGTGGCACATATACACCACGGAATACTATGTAGCCATAAAAAAGGATGAGTTCATGTCCTTTGCAGGGACATGGCCGAAGCTGGAAACCATCATTCTCAGCAAACTAACACAAGAACAGAAAATCAAACACTGCATGTTCTCACTCATAAGTGGGAGCTGAACAATGAGAATACATGGACACAGGGAGGGGAACATCACACACCGGGGCCTGTTTGGGGGTGGGGGTTAGGGGAGGGGTATCATTAGGAGAAATACCTAATGTAGATGATGGGTTGATGGGCACAGCAAACCACCATGGCACATGTATACCTATGTAACAAACCTGCACGTTCTGCACATGTACCCCAGAACTTAAAGTATAATAATAAAAAAAAGAAAATATAAAATACCATACTTGCCTTCAGAGAAGAATTTACAGTGTAATTAAATGAGCCAATATCAAGGTGTTTTTCATAACTTAAAACATTATTTTTATATACCCTGCACTTAAAATACTTGGCAGGAATCTAACAAATAAAATGTAAACCTTTCCTATATTTATTTTACATACTATCAATATAGCTTACTACTATTTTGCTTCCTATACTCACACACTTAAGAAGGAAGTACTATCTCAAAGCAGAAGAAAAATAAAGGCTCACCAAATATGAAACAAAAGAAAATGTTGTATAAAAGAAATATGTAAATATGATATAAATTTTAATTCACCATTACACTTTCAAAAATACTTTATAGTAATGCATTTATGTTCACATTAAATGTACAGTATTTCCTAATTTTGATTAATCTTAACTAGTATTTATAATACTCTTAACTATTCATGAAGTCTGTTGAATGGTTGTATAATGGACTTGTATTGTAGTAGAATCTTTTATTGACACATGTCAAATTTTTGGTTAGATGCTTACAAAATTGCTCAATTTGAGGGCCATGGCTCAGAGTAGTAAGTTTTAATCCATGATCCTAGAGAGGAATATGAAACAAAGCAAAACAAAAATTCTCATTATAGTTCAAGCTGAGAAGAGGAGTAGGCTTTATTGCTCTATTATACTATTTTTTAGGCTTTTGGTAGGAGCATAGATTTTTATATAATAGTCAATGTTCTTTTGAATGTAAAATACTACAAAATGCCCCCCAGAATTAACATAGATTTATATTTATTCTTAATGGTAATCCCACAATTTCAAAATTGCATACAAATATTTTATGCATTATTTTAATACAGTGTAAATGTGGTTAATATTTAGAAATCATGATTATGTATTAATGACAGAAGAAAATATCTTCCTTATATTAAATGAATTTATTTGCTTATGCTAAAAATTTCCATATACAGTTTTAACAGAGTAATAAAAGCAGCTTTACCACACACACACACACACACAAAACTCTGAGTGTAGGAAAACAATCTGCTCTGAGACACCTATGAAAATACAGACTCAGGTAGCATAGAGGCATATGAAGAGATTTTTTTCTCACATAATATAAGAGTAGATCAAAAGTAAGATATATGGTATTAACAAGTAAATAAATTACAAATAAGCTTATGGTAGGGTAATCTAACATAGACTGATGGAACTAGACAAGGCCTCCGGGATAAATGATGGCTGAATAACAACTTAGGAAATGGCTATCAGTATCCCATGGAAGAAAATTTCATTGAACACAGGCACATGAGAATATGGAGAATCCTGTAAAACACATATTCAGCTAGAACACAGGCTTTCCTTTATTATTTTCCAGCACAGTACCTGGCATAAGTCAACTCTCAATGAATTGAAGTCTACTAAAGTTTGGTGACCAGCTTTTTGCCCTGTATCCATAAACCTGCCTCCACTTTTTAACCTGCATTCACACGCTAGTTACATAATTTGCTCAGTAGAGTGCCTCATATTGTGTGAAAGTATGAAACACAGAAATGAATAAAGAAGAAGAGAAAAAGACAAAAGGCATGAGAAAGGTACACAGAAATAAAAGTAAAAAGGAAAAAAAATATATATATATAAATAGAAATGTATATATATTTTTTCATACATATATGGCAAGACATATTCCTCGAAATTTATTCATACAGGAAAATTTATTCAATGTTGATTGTTCCCTGTCCTAACAGACATTGATCCACCTCCTTAAACTAAGTTGATTTAAAGGCATAAGGGGAATAAGTGGTTATTAGGATTGTTTTATCATCTGCTCTTTTATTATCAAAATGTTCTGACAACCTTTTCCATTGGTAGGAAATATATGCCCTGAAGACCCTGAGAGTGATTCTTCTTAGTTAATGAACAACCTATTCATAACTGAAGCACAAAATGAAATGTTTTGCTTATATGTAATCCAAACACCACTTGTTCAAATCCATATCTGTATTTTTACCAAGCTCATAATAACAGAACACAATTTCTTAGCAAGGATTCATAAATACTAGATATAATTGGAAAAGATCATAGCATAACTATGAATTATATGTTTAAATAAGTCTTCTTTGTTGCTGAAATGATATTTCCTTATTTCCCCACCACATCCCCACACAAACTGAGTGAGTTGGTGAGTTGGACTCTACTTTCCATACACAAAGTTCAATCAAATTATATTTCCTGGAGGACACATTATTTGGGGCATGTTGAATCATAACCTACAAAATGAAGATGATCTGTATCACTTTTCACACTTTGCCAGTAATAAGAAATGCAATACTCATTGTGTCTGTTTGAGTTTTGGAAACAATGATTCACATAAGAGTGTGCTACTCCAGTTAATTAACTTAATCATTTTAAGATTGTGAGAGAGATCTGAAAGAAATCAAAAAAAAAAAAAAAAAGATTCTTCCACAGGATTTTTAATTAAAGCCTTTCTATATTTAACAACAACTATTCTCTGGGTGAATGGAACACTGTCAAGAAAGACTAGCTAAATTATCTTCCCAGTTTAGCCCTCATTCAAAGGAGGTCTATTTTTTCAATATCTAGTCCATGTTTGGTATTTCATTTAGCCCATGTCCCTAATCCCTCTTTATAAGTAATAAAACAACAGAAAATTCTGTATGCTCTTAGTTCCTTTATTTCCCATAACTAGCTTTACATCTTGAAAATCTGTTTATGTAATTGGATCTCTTTTAAATGAACAGAAATAAAGAGAATAAATGAAATCTATAATACTGTAGTCTGGTGATTTATATTCAGTTACTGTTTAACAGTCAATAATTGACCTCAGGAAAGACAAAAGGAGAAAATTACCACTTTTGTTAACTAACCTTTTATTAATTCATTTTATCATTATTTAGCACCTACCACGTGTTTAAGGCACTGAAAAAAGTTTATCGTTATATTCTGCATGTCTTTGAAGCAAAAGGAATACTTAATCTATGTCAGGTTTCTTTATGACTATTCATTGTACACCAAAACATATATTTTTATTATGATATTGATTGATTTTATTTTAAATTATTTTATTCAGTGAAGACTGCATTTTTTTAAATTGTTTTCTGCCACTTCCACAACTCAACATTAAAGTCCTTTAACTTGGATTTTCTTCTGTTGATCCCCACCAATTTCAAGATTAGAAATTTTCATGGCTATTTTCATGTTATTTGTTTACACATTTCAACTAAATTCTGTATAATAGTATCTGCTGTAATTAAAAATAGAATTGAATCAAACATTAATATGGAGGACAGATGGATATTGACAGTTCAAAGATTAATAATGTTGACTGGTAGAGGTTGGTGTTGGTATTTCATGGATTAATAATTAATTTTGATATTTTGTCTCTCTATACTAAAAAAATGCCACCTCACCTCAAAGAAAGCAAGCTCTCAGGATCACTGAGACTATTTTTGACCAAATACTCATTTGTTGCATCTTAGTATATGTGGCTATCTAGGAGGTCGGGGACAAACGTCTGTTTCAGACAAGTTTAACATGTACATGTCATGATTAATACACAGGCTGCATGAGTCTCTGTGTTACAAAATGGCAATTTTTAAAGGAAAAAAATAAAATATCAATATTATTTACAATGAATAAAATGGCTATGGATTAAACTGATTCACTAAAATTCATTATTAATTAAGCTTTCACTTATACAACAATGGTCAAAATCAAGGCAACCTGTACACTTTTTATTATACTGTAACTTCTAGGGTACATGTGCACATGTGCAAGTTTGTTACATATGTATACATGTGCCATGTTGGTGTGCTGCACCCATTAACTTGCCATTTACATTAGGTATATCTCCTAATGCTTTCCCTCTCCCCTCCCCCCTACCCCATGACAGGCCCCAGTGTGTGATGTTCCCCTTCCTATGTCCAAGTGTTCTCACTGTTCAATTCCCACCTATGAGTGAGAACACGTGGTGTTTGGTTTTTTGTCCTTGCGATAGTTTACTGAGAATGATGATTTCCAATTTCATCCATGTCCCTAACAAAGGAATGAACTCATCATTTTTTATGGCTGCATAGTATTCCATGGCGTATACATGCCACATTTTCTTAATCCAGTCTATCATTGTTGGACATTTGGGTTGGTTCCAAGTCTTTGCTATTGTGAATAGTGCTGCAATAAACAAATCTGTGAATGTGCCTTTATAGCAGCATGATTTATAATCCTTTGGGTATATACCCAGTAATGGGATGGCTGGGTCAAATGGTATTTCTAGTTCTAGATCCTTGAGGAATTGCCACACTGTCTTCCACAATGGTTGAAGTAGTTTACAGTCCCACCAACAGTGTAAAAGTGTTCCTATTTCTCCACATCCTCTCCAGCACCTGTTGTTTCCTGACTTTTTAATGATTGCCATTCTAACTGGTGTGAGATGGTATCTCATTGTGGTTTTGATTCGCATTTCTCTGATGGCCAGTGATGATGAGCATTTTTTCAAGTGTCTGTTTGCTGCATAAATGTCTTCTTTTGAGAAGTGTCTGTTCATATCCTTTGCCCACTTGTTGATGGGGTTGTTTTTTTCTTGTAAATTTATTTGAGTTCATTGTAGATTCTGGATATTAGCCCTTTGTCAGCTGAGTAGATTGCAAAAATTTTCTCCCATTCTGTAGGTTGCCTGTTCACTCTGATGGTAGTTTCTTTTGCTGTGCAGAAGCTCTTTAGTTTAATTAGATCCCATTTGTCAATTTTGGGTTTTGTTGCCATTGCTTTTGGTGTTTTAGACATGAAGTCCTTGCCCATGCCTATGTCCTGAATGGTATTGCCTAGGTTTTCTTCTAGGGTTTTTATGGTTTTAGGTCTAACATTTAAGTCTTTAATGTTCAATGGTCAAAATCAAGCCAACCTGTACCTTTTTTTAAAAAATGAAATATAATCTAGTGGTCAAAAGCTTTGATTCTTGGGTCAAACTGTGTTTGATTATTAACTGCATTGATTCATATTAGCATTTAGATATTAGAATAATCCCTGCTTAATGGCCAAGTGCCTGAACCTCTTTGTGACACAGTTTCAGCATCAGAAAATGTGATATTAGAAACTATATCATAGAGTTGATGTGAGGATTAAGTAATTTGCTATGTGGAAACCACTTAGAACAATACCTCGCACATACTAAGTGCCACTTGAGGGTTTGTTCTATAAACTGTTTTTGTCTGAATCTGAATCTACACTTTACTAACTTAGAAGAATAATCACAGAATTCAAAAGGAGTGAGCGAGACAGGCATGTAGGTGGTTTGCATTTATATGAGGCTGAGTAGGAAAGCCTCCCTAAGGTGACAAAGGAGTCATGGCTTGAATAAACTGTGGAAATAAGTTATGTAATTCTCCACAGGAGAAGCATTACTGGCAGGAAGATCTGCAAGTGTAAAAGCAACAGACAGAAGCTCCTTGATCTTATAGGAAAAGCTTCTCATTCTCACCACTGAGTATGATATAAGATATGAGCTTTTCATATATGACTTTTATTATGTTGAGATAATTTCCTTCTATCATTAATTTGTGTTTTTTATCATGAAAAGCTGTTAAATTGTGTTAAATGCTTTTTCTCTATGTGATTTTTGTTCTTTATCCTGTTAATGTTGTGTACTATTGATGGTTGAGCAAACACATTTCTAAGCATATTGTGAATATTAATCAATTCAAACCTTCAATAACACCATGCAGTAAGTAATAACACTACCCCTTCTATACAAATGAAGGAAGTGAAGCAAAAGGACATGCCATATTATATATCTGATAAGAAGTTAATATGCAAAATATACAAAAAATTCCTATAGGTTAGTAGTAAATTAAATACATAAATAAATAAATAAAGGGTAAAGGACTTGGATAGATATTTCCCCCCAAAAGACATTAAAATAACCCACAGGTATAAAAAAAAGTCCAACTGTCATGAATCATTATGGAAATGTAAGTCAAAAAATGAAATATTGCCTCACATCTGTTAGAATGACGATTCTCTAAAAAGCCCAGAAAATAACAACTGTTGATAGGAATGTGAGCCATTGTAACCCTTGTGCAATGTTGGTAGGAATGCAAAATAATGCAGCTGTTAGGAAAAACAGTATTGAGGTTTTCTAGAATTACTGTATGATCCATCCACCTCACTTCTGGGTATTTATCCAAAGAATTGAAGTCAGAATCTCAACAAAATATCTGCAGCCTCATGTTCATTGCAGCACTGTGCAGGATAGTCAAGATATGGAAACAACTTAAATGTCCACCGATGGATAAATGAATGAAGAAAATGTGGTAGATATATACAATGGAATATTATTAGGCTCCAGAAAAAAAGAAAATTCTGCCATTTATGAAAGAAAGCATAGCTGAAACTTGAGGAAATTATGTTAAGTGAAATAAGCCAGTTTCAAAAACACTTCATGATTTCCCTTACATGAGTAACTTAAGTAGTCAACAAAGTAGAATGGTGATTACAAGATGAGGGGAAGGGGAAATGAGGAGCTGCTGGTTCAATGATTACTGAGTATCAATCATGCAAGAAGAAAAAGTTGTAGGTCTCTAGGACTTATCTGTCTTGTATAACTGAAACTTTGCACCCTTTGGTTAATATTGAGGTATAGTTAACAATATTGTATTGTATACTTAAAAATTTGCTAAGATGGGAGACCTTATGTTAACCATTCTTATCAGTAATAATAATAATAAATAGGACAGGTGGAAACTTTTACAGATGATGGAGAGCTTTATGGCATAGATTGTAGTCATGATTTCACAGGTGTATACTTATCTCCAAACTCATCAAGTTGTATACATTAAAAATGTACAGCTTTAAAAAATTGGATATTGACAAATTATGACTGTATTTATGGGGCAGAAAGTGGTGCTATAATATATGTACATACTGTGGAATTATCGAATTAAGCTAATTAATATATCCATTACCTCAAATACTTATTATTGATTCTTTCTGTTTAAATGAAATATTGACTTTTTTATATCAATCATGCTTTAGTAAATTATGTAAAACAAAAAATTCTGAAGATGTGTCAAACAACACTGTGACTATAGTTAACAATACTGTACTATACACTTAAACATTTGTTAAAAGGGTACATATCATGTTATGTGTTTTCTACCACACTTAAAAAAAAAAAAAAGAAATGTGTGGTTCAGAGTGAAACTGTCTTAGGAGCAATTGCGGTAGCGTATTTTTAAAGCGTGTACTCAGCCACTGTGGCTGAAGGGCAATGAGAGCAGTAAATGAGAGGAGATGAGGCCAGAAAAAGATCCAGAAGCAAGATCCTGCAGGGTTTTATGTCAGCCTTGGGGAGCAGTTTGAATTTTAAGTGTTGGGGAGCCTCTTGAATTGTAATAACAACGAGTTACATTATCTGATTTTTCATTTTATTTTCTTTACTTCTCCATCCCTTTGTAAATATTTAAGTTAGTTTCAACTCCAAGTTGCCAATTTATTTGGCTTCTCAGAAAGTAGTTTCTAATGGTAAAATGAGAATCACTTGTGCAGTCTAGCTTTTTCTTAAAGAATAGAAAACAGAATTTCTCCTCTGATTTTTACCTAGCTGTACTTAATCTTTCTTGTGGACACAGAAGGGCCTGAAGCAACTCCTATGTTACATTCAAGAAATCATCCAAATTTCGGTCCTTTAATGATCTAAGGAACAGCTGGCTCATTGCAAATGGTCTCTGTGTCATCTCTTTCACAATTGATATTGGCCCATTACTTCACAATTTACACTGAATTAGATGAAGATAAACTTTAAGATCCACAAAATTACCTCCTCCTGTCAGGAAAATTATCTGTAACTTAAAAATAGGCAAAGAGATTACTGGGTGTTTTTTGTTGTTGTTTTTCCAATGCAATTCCAGGCTTGCAATTTTGATATAATTTATATTGATTGGACTATTTTAAAATTCTGCAAAAATAAATATATACTTGCTAATTTTTGTCAAGTAGAGATGCAAATAATTTCTTTCTGGTACAACAGATAACCTTCAAAGTTATGGTTTTGGGCTCTGCTGGACAAAAACTACATTTGTACATAAGCCAACATCCTAAACCATTTCTTGGTTAAATTTTCTATATATAAAAGGGAAAAAATGCAAGATAGGGGACAGGACTGTCTTTCAGCTCCAACTTGGAGGGATAGAGCAGGGCATGGAGACCGACATCATGAACTTTATCTCCAAAAACTACCACAGGAACATATCAGGAAAGCCGAGAGAATCCAAAGACACTTTGAAGGTGGTGAGTTGCCACTGCAGGCACCCTGGGACAGCCAAAGAACTGTGAGTCAGCTGCTTTCTCTGCTAGGAAGCTTGTAGCCTGGAACAAGTTCTCAGCCCTGTTCACTGGCTGCCTGGCAATAAACTTGGTGCTGTTGCAGGGGCACAATGAGAGATCAGCATTTTGGGCTGCATGCTGCACTGTACCTTGGTGAGGCCTGTGGCTGCCAGCTTTCCCCTACATTCTTGGTAACCTGTGTGACACAGCCGAGACAGCCAGAATTCCCTGGGTACATAATTCCATTGGCCTGAGAACCACACCCCCAACCCCAAGAGCAGCTTCAGCAAGTCCTGCCCAGTGAGAGTCTGAGCTCAGACACACCTAACTTTACCCCCACCAGATGGTCCTTCTCTACCCACCCTGGTAGCTGAAGACAAAGGACATAATCTTTTGGGAGCTCTATGGCCATGCCACTGCCTGAAATACCTGAATACTTATCCAAAGGTAACTCTAGGGCAAACTTGTATCCTCCCTATATGATCACAGCTGATGCACTCTTGAAAGCATCACCTCCGGGTTCCAGGTCAACCAATACAAAACCAGCACACTTAAAAAAATGCAAGCAAGGACCCTCAGAGAGTCCACTTCACTCACCTGCTTCCTCCACAAGAGTAGGTTCCAGTGTCCACAGCTGAGAGATCTGAAGATGGATCACATCACAGTACTCTTTAAAGACACTCCCCAGTAAAAGCCAAGAGCCCGGTAGTTACACTGGGTGGATAGATCCTGTAAAGAGATAATAATCACTGCAGTTCAGCTCTCAGGAATTCCCATCCCTAGGGGAAACAGGAGAGTACCACATCACAGGAGCACCCTCGTGGGACAAAAGAATCTGAACAGCAGCACTTGAGTCCCAGACCCTCCCTCTGACATAGTCTACTCAAATGAGAAGGAACCTGGAAAACAGTTCTGGTAATATGACAAAACAAGGTTCTTTAACACCCTCAAAATATCACACTAGCTCACCAGCAATGGATCCAAACCAAGCCAAAATCTCTGAAACATCAGAAAAAGAATTCAGAGGGTAGATTATAAAACCACTCAAGGAGGCAAAAGAGAAATGTGAAGTCCAACTTGAAATAAAATAAAAATAATACAAGATATAAAAGGAAAAATCTCCAGTGAAATAGATAGCATAGATAAAAAACAATCACAACTTTTGGAAATGAAGGACACACTTAAAGAAATGCAAAATGCACAGGAAAGTCTCAGAAAATAAAATCTAACAAGTAGAAGAAAGAACTTCAGAGCTTGAAAACAAGGCTTTTTAATTAACCCAATGATATGGTTTGTCTGTGTTGCCACCCAAATCATCTTGAATTGTAACTCCCACAATTCCCAGTGTCATGGGAGGAACCTGGTGGAGGGTGATTTGATTATGTTGGCAGGTCTTTCCTGCACTGTTCTTGTGTTAGTCAATGAGTCTCATGAGATCTGATGATTTTAAAAAGGAAAGTTTCCCTGCACAAGCTCTCTTCTCTTGTCTGCCACCATGTGAGACATGCCTTCCATCTTCCACTATGATTGTGAGGTCTCCCCGGCCACTCGAAACTGTGAGTCCAATAAATCTCTTTCTTGTGTAAATTGCCCAGTTTGTGGTATGTCTTTATCAGCAGCATGAAAATGGACTAATACAGTAGAGTGTGGCACTGCTGAAAAGATACCCCAAAATGTGGAAGTGACTTTGGAACTGCGTAACAAGCAGAGGTTGGAACAGTTAGGAGGACTCAGAAGAAGATGACAGGAAAATGTAGAAAAGTTTAGAAGTCCCTAGAGACTTGTTGAATGGCTTTGACCAAAATGCTGATAATGATATGAACAATAAAATCCAGTCTAAGTTGGTCTCAGATCGAGATGAGGAACTTGTTGGGAACTGGTGCAAAGGTTAACTCTTTTTCTGTTTTAGCAAAGAGACTGGTGGCATTTTGCCATGGTCCTAGAGATTTGTGAAACTTTGAACTTGAGAGAGATGATTTAGGGTATCTGGCAGAAGAAATTTCTAAGCAGCAATGCATTCTAGAGGTGATTTGGGTGCTGTTAAAAGCATTTAGTTTTAAAAGAGAAACAGAGCATACAAGTTTGGAAAATTTGCAGCCTGACAATGCAATAGAAAAGAAAAATCCCACTTTCTGAGTAGAAATTCAAGCCAGCTACAGAAATCTGCATAAGTAATGAGGAGTCAAAAGTTAATTACAAAGACAATGAAGAAAATGTCTTCAGGGTATGCCAGAGGCCTTTGTGGCCGCCACTCCCATCACACACCTGGAGGTTTAGGGGGAAAAAATGGTTTTGTGGCCTGGGCCCAGGATCCCTCTGCTGTGTAGAGTGTAGAGACTTTGTTCCCTGCATCCCAGCTGCTCTAGCCATGACTAAAAAGGGCCAATGTACAGCTTGGGCTGTTTCTTCAGAGGGTGGAAGCCCCACGTTTTGGCAGCTTTCACATGGTGTTGAGCTTGCAGGTGCACAGAAGTGAAGAATTGAGGTTTGGAAACCTCTGCCTAGATTTCAGAGGATGTATGGAAATGCCTGGATGCTCAGGAAGAAGTTTGCTGCAGGAGTGGGGCCCTCATGGACAACCTCTGGTAGGGCAGTGTGGAAGAGAAATGTAAGTTTGGAGCCCCTACACAGAGTCCCTACTGGGGCACTGCCTAGTGGAGGTGTGAGAAGAGAGCCACCATCCTCTAGATCCACTGACGGCTTGCACTATGCACCTGGAAAAGCCACAGAAACTCAATACCAGCCCATGAAAGCAGCCAGGAGGAGGGCTACACCCTTTCACAGGGCCAGAGCTGCCTAAGACCATGGGAACCTACCTCATGCATGACCTGGGTGTGAGACATGGAGTCAAATGAGATCATTTTGGAGCTTTAATATTTGCCCTGTTGGTTTTTGTATCTGCATGGGGACTGTAGCCCCTTTGTTTTGGCCAATTTCTCCCATTTGGAATGGTTGTATTTACCCAATGCCTGTACCACCACTGTATCTAGGAAGTAACTAACTTGTTTTTGATTTTACAGGCTCATAGGTGGCAGGGACTTGCCTTGTCTCAGATGAGACATTGGACTGTAGACTTTGAGTTAATGCTGAAATGAGTTAAGACTTGGGGGACTATTGGGAAGGCATGAGTGGTTTTGAAATGAGAGGGCATGAGATTTGGAAGGGGCCAGGGGTGGAATGATATGGTTTGGCTATGTCCCCACCCAAATCTCATCTTGAGTTGTAACTCCCACGATTCTCATGTGTTGTGGGAGTAACCTAGTGTTAGTTGATTGAATTATTGGGGTAGTTTTTTGGCACTGTTCTTGTAATAGCGAATGAGTCTCACGAGATCTCATGGTTTTAAAAAGGGGAGTTTCCCTGCACAAACTCTCTTCTCTTGTTTGTCACCATGTGAGACATACCTTTCATCTTCTACCATGATTGTGAGGCCTCCCCAGCTACATGGAACTGTGAGTGCAATATACCTCTTTAAAAAAAAAATGCCCAGCATCAGGTATGTCTGTATCAGCAGTGTGAAAATGAACTAATACACCCAATCTGACAAAGGCAGAAAAAAAAGAATAAAGAAAAATAAACAAAGCCTCCAAGAAGTTTGGGATTATGTTAAATGACCAAACCTATGAATAACTAGTTTTTCAAGGAAGAAGAGAAATCTAAAAGTTTGGAAAACATACTTGAGGGAATAATTGATGAAAACTTCCTCAGCCTTGCTAGAGTTCTAGACATTGAAATATCAGAAGTTGTAAGAACACCTGGGAAATTGATCACGAAAAGTTGTCAGGTTATCTAAAGCCAAGACAAAGGAAAGAATCTTAAAAGCTGTAAGGCCAAAGCATCAGCTAACCTATAAAGGAAAAACTATCAGATTAATAGCAGATTTCTCAGTGGATATGCTACAAGCTAGAAGCATTTAGGGTCCTGTCTTTAGCCTCCTAAGACAAACAATTATCAGCCCAAAATTTTGTATTCACTCAAACTGAGGTGCATAATTGAAGGAAAGATACGGCCTTTTTAGGCAAACAAATGCTGAGAAAAGTAACCACTACCAAGCCAGCACTACAAAAATTGCTGAAAGGAGCTCTAAGTCTTGAAAAAAAATCCTCAAAACACCCCAAAATAGAATCTCCTTAAAGTATAAATCTCACTGGTCCTATAAAACTATAACACAATGAAAAACATAAAACAGTGTATTCAGGCAACAAATACCACAATGAATAGATTAGTACTCACATCTGAATACTTACATTGGAGATAAATGGCCTAAACGCTCCACTTAAAAGATGCAGAATGGTGCAGTGAATAAGAAGTCAGTAACCAAGTATCTGGTGTCTTCAAGAGACTCACCTGACACATAAGGACTCACATAAACTTAAGGTAAAGATGTGGAAAAAATATTCCATGCAATGGATGCCAAAAGTGAGCAGCAGTATCTATTCTATATAAGCTGAAACAAACTTTAAACTAACAGCAGTTAAAAAATACAAAGAGGGACATTATATAATGATAAAAGGACCAGTCCAACATGAAAATATCACAGTCCTCAATATATATGCACCTAACAGGGGAGCTTTCAAATTTATAAAGCAATTACTACTAGACCTAAGAAATGAGATAGACAGCAACAAAATAATAGTGGGGGACTTCAATACTCCACTGACAGCGGTGGACAGGTCATCAAAACAGAAAGTCAATAAAGAAACAATAGACTTAAACTATACCTTGGAACAAATGGATCTAACAGATATTTACAGAACATTCTACCTAACAATTGCAGAACATACATTCTTATCCATCAGCACATGAAACTTTCTCCAAGATAGACCATATGATACGCCATAAATCAAGTCTCAACAAATTTAAGAAAATCCGAATTTTATCAAGTGTCTTCTCCTACTACAGAAGAATAAAATTGGAAATCAACTCTAAAAGGAACCCTCAAAACCATGCAAATACATGGAAATTAAATAGCCTGTTCCTGAATGATCCTTGGGTCAACAATGAAATCAAGATGGAAATGAAAAATTCTTTTAAGTGAATGATAATAATGACACAACCAGCGGAATAAAAACAAACCAAACCTAAAACAGCAGAAGTAATAAAAAGTAATAGAGATTAGAGCAGAACTAAATTAAATTGAAAGAAATAAATACAAAAGATAAATTAAACGAAGAGCTGATTCTTTGAAAAGATAAATATAATAGAATATCAGTGAGATTAACCAAGAAAAGAAGAGAGTAGATCCAAATAAGCTCAATTAGAAGCAAAATAAGAGATATTACTACCGATACCACAGAAATACAGATTATTCAAGGCTACCATGAACACCTTTATATGTGCATAAACTGGAAAACCTAGAGGAGATGCATAAATTCCTGAAAACATACAACCCTCCTAGATTAAACCAGGAAAAACTAGAAACTCTGAACAGACCAATAACAAGCAGCAAGATCGAAATGGTAATTAAAATGTTACCAAGAATAAAAGTCCAGTATCAGATGGATTCACAGATGAATTCTATCAGACATTCAAAGAAGAATTGATACCAATCTTATTGACACTATTCCACAAGGGAAAGAAAGAAGAAATCCTCCCTATATCATTCTATGAAGCCAGTATCAGCCTAATACCCAAACCAGGAAAGGCCATAACAACAACAAAAACATGACAGACCAATATCCCTGACGAACATAGATGCAAACATTCTCAACAAAATATGAGGTAACAGAATCCAACAGCATATCAAAAAGATAATCTGCAATTATTAAGTGGGTTTCATAACAGGGATGTAGGGATGGTTTAACATTCACAAGTCAATAAATGGGATACACCATATAAATAGAATTTTTAAAAAATTCACATGATCATCTCAATAGACACAGAAAAAGCATTTGACAAAATCCAGCATGTCTTTATGATTAAAACGCTCAGCCAAATCGGCATACAAAGGACATACCTTAATGTAATAAGAGCTGTCTATGACAAACCCACAGCCAACATTATATTAAATGGGGAAAATTTGAAAGCAGTTCCCCTGATAAATGGAACAAGACAAGGATGCACACTTTCACCACTTCTGTGCAATCAGTACTGGAAGTCCTAGCCAAAGCAATCAGACAAGACAAATAAATAAAGGGCTTCCAAATTGGTAAAAGAGGGTCAAACTGTTGCTGTTTGCTTATGACATAATTGTATATGCAGACAACCCTAAAGACTCATCCAAAACGACCCTAGAACTTAGGAGGATGAAAGGTAAATAAATACAGCAAAGTTTAAGGATACAAAAATTAATGTACACCAATTAGTAGCTCTGCTATATACCAACAGAGACCAAGCTGAGAATCAAATCAAGAACACAACACCTTTTATAATAACTGCAAAACAAATACTTAGGAATATACTTAACCAAGGAGATGAGAGACCACAACAAGCGAAACTACAAAACACTGCTGAAAGAAATCATAGACAACACAAACAAATCAAAACATTGATGGGTAGAATCAATATTGTGAAAATGACCATACTGCCAAAAGCAATCTACAAATTAAATGCAATGCCCATCAAAATACCACCATCATTCTTCACAGAACTAGAAAAAAAATCCCAAAATGCATATGGAACCAAAAAGAACCCGCATAGCCAATACAAGACTAAGAAAAAAGAACAAATTTGGAGGCATCACATTACCCGACTTCAAACTATATTATAATATCATAGTCAGCATGGTACTGGTATAAAAATAGGCATATACATCAATGGAACAGAATAGAGAACCTAGAAATAAAGCCAAATACTTACAGTCAACTGATCTTCATCAAAGCAAACAAAAACAAAGAGTAGGGAAAGGATACACTATTCAATAATTGGTGCTGGGATAATTGGAAAGCTACATTTAGAAGAATGAAACTGGATACTCATCTGTCACCTTATGCAAAAATCAACTCAGGATGAATCAAAGACTTAAATCTAAGATCTGAAACCATAAAAATTCTAGAAGATAACATTGTGAAAACCCTTTTAGACACTGGCTTAGGCAAAGACTTCATGAACAAGTACCCAAAAGCAAATGCAACAAAAACAGGTAAATAGATGTGACTGAATTAAACTAAAAAGCTTCTGCACAACAAAAGAAATAATAAGAATTTATAACCCCTAGAGTGGGAGAAATTCTTCACAATCTGTGCATCTGACCAAGAACAAACATCTACAGTCTACAAGGAACTCAAACTAATCGGCAAGAAAAAACCAAACAATCCCTTTAAAAACTGGGCTAAGGACATGAATAGACAATTCTCAAAGGAGGATACACAAATGGCCAACAAAAGTATGAAAAAGTACTCAAAATCACTAATTATCAGGGAAATGCAAGTAAAAACCAAAATGTGATACCATCTCACTCCTGCAAGAATGGCCATTAAAAAAAATCCCAAAATAGCAGATGTTGGCGTGGATGTGGTGAAAATAGAACAGTTTTATACTGTTTGTGAGAAGATAAACTAGTACGACCACTATGGAAAACAGTATGGAGAACTAAAAGTAGATCTGCCATTTGATCCAGCATCCCCACTCATGGGTATCTACCCAGAGGATAAGAAGTCATTATAAGAAAAGGGTACTTGCACATGAATGTTTCTAGCAGCACAATTAGCAATCACAAAAATATGGAACCAGCCCAAATACCCATCAATGAATGACTGTATATGAAAATGTGATACAGACACACACACACACACACACACACACACACACACACACCCCATGGAATACTACTCAGTCATAAAAAAGAATGAAAGAATGGCATTCACAGCAACTTGGATGGAATTGAACACCACTATTCTAAGTGAAGAAATGGACAATCAAACATTGTGTGTTCTCACTCACAAGAGGGAGCTAAGGTATGACGACACAAAGGCATAAGAAAGCTACAATGGACTTTGGGGACTTGGGGAAAGGATGGGAGGGGGCTGAGGGATGAAAGAAGCCATTGGATAAAGTGTACACTGCTTGGGTGAGGGGTGCACCAAAATCTCATAAATCACCACTAAAGAATTTATTCATGTAACAAAACACCACCTGTTCCCCAAAACCTACTGAAATAAAAAATTTTAAAAAATTAAAAATTCTGTATACACTTGGCTTTCCAACTGCTCTTTGGACTGTTAGTAACATATTACTGTTCATTTTTAAATTGATAACTTGAATAAAATCTTTGATATGCATACATTTGATATTTGGATGGAATTATGATTTTGCCATTTGACGATTAGACTTTAATGGTCTGATATCTCTTTTCTCATGATTAAGGCTCAAGTTTCTTCTTCTTACCACCCCCAAGAGATGTCCCTAGATGTCTGTAATCATTACAAATACAAGTCAAATTCAAAACTTTTTGTTTTTAAGAGAAAATAAAATCAAAGTTTATTATGATTTACAAAAGCATAGAAAAAAATGAAAACAGTAAATTCCAAAAAACGTCTTTGCTACAAAGATCATATCACAGACATTCTGCATGGAGGCTGACTAAATGACTATCAGAATGATTACATTCCGATCATTCTAATAATAATCATCTAATAATTGGCCATTACTATTTTAAATATTATCATACATTCAGGTAGGAAGAGGATATAAGTTGCCCATAGGAAGACTTGGTGACACATTCTGGCATACTGTTTGCTACATAAAAGACAGGGTACAGGAATGAGGAAAAAAGCAAATTTGCTTTAATACTAGCTGAAAAAATAAAAAAAAAATACTGCCATTACTGAGGAGTGAACAGATCTTCTTTTTAAGAAGCTTGTGATTCCACTGCTTTTTACTTGGAGCAAGTTTAACAAGGTAGACTTCATACAAAGGAAAAATACCAAAAAATACTGATTATGTAGGCAGTATTTTATATATATACTATATATACTATATATTTATATAGTATATACTATATATAGTATACTATATAAATATATAGTATATATTTATATACTATATATAGTATATATAATATATAGTGTATATAGTATATATGTAGTGTATTATATATAGTATATATAATGTATAGTATATATAGTGTATTTTATATATACTACATACAGAATATATAGTATAGATACTACATACAGAATATATAGTATAGATACTACATACAGAATATATAGTATAGATACTATATACAGAATATGTAGTATAGATACTATATACAGAATATATATAGAATATATAGAATATATAGTATATATAGAATATACAGTATATATAGAATATATAGTATATACACTATATATAGAATATATAGTATAATATATACACTATATATAGAATATATAGTATAATATATACACTATATATAGAATATATAGTATAATATATACACTATATATAGAATATATAGTATAATATATACACTATATATAGAATATATAGTATAATATATACACTATATATAGAATATATAGTATAATATATACACTATATATACTATATATTACATATATACTATATATACTACATATACACACTATATATAGTATAGTGTATAGTGTATATAGCGTATATATAGTATATATAGTGTGTATATATAGTGTATAGTATATATATAGTGTATATAGTGTATATATATAGTGTGTATATATATATAGTGTGTATATATATATATAGTGTGTATATATATAGTGTATATGTATGGCTGGTACCTTAAAATTGAGTGTGCAGTGGTTTGAGTATATAATTAAAAAGCAGCTTCCTAGGATTTAGCTGAAGGACATATTTTGTGGTAAATCTACTATGCGACACAAAAATCCATATTTGTATTGTGAACCTCTGATTAGTCACATGCGGATGTCATAGCTAACACCTCTTTACTAGGGTATCACCTAAATTATTTGTGTGGGTAGCCTGAATAATGTAGTAATGTGAAATATATCTAATATGTCTCTATCTATGTCAATATCTATCTATTTATATAACTGTCTATTTACTGACCTATCTTTATTTCAAATCCTTGCATCATTCTCATTAGGATAATTTATAGTTCTTCTTAAGTAGCCAGACTATTTAATTTTGTCCATTTTATTAATACTTCTGTCTGGTGATTTGGAAGGAAAGAATAAATTGTCAACACTCATGTTCTGAAAATGTTAAATATCTATCTCAAAAACCCACAGCTTGTCTGAATACTCTTTCATGCAACAAAAATTTACTCTCTGTTTTGTTGGCATGTAACCTTAAGTTTTTAACTACATCAGTTTGTTGTTAAACTAGATGTATCTGACATGAAACAAACAAAAAAACATCTAAAGAAGAGCTGTTGGTGTGGGCACTCACATATACACAAACATCGTTAAATACACTGGAATATAAATGTCAAAATAGACCATTAATTACACTAAAAAAAATTATTCTTAATTGTTCCCAGAAAATTGGTATTAAAAAGAGCACTGCTCCTAAGTAAAATTATGCAGTGTATTAAACTATGTATTTAAATTAACAAGGTGTTAAACTAAATCTAAAACCAAGCTATCAGACACGTCTTTTAATTTTATCCCTTAAGAACTGTGCTTAGAAGTTTACAATGCATTTTTACCTTTGTTATCCCATTTTGTCCTCATAGCAATCCTGTGAGGTAAGGAGGGCAAGTGTCTTTCTCCTTGGTTGATAGGCAAGGCTCATTCACTTCAGGAAGACTGAATACTCTCCTCAGTTCACACGCATAATTAGCTTGCAAAGGGCAGAGCCAGGACTTAAACAGAAAACATTTTAAGCCAATTTCAGTGTCACTATAGGGCTATGACAAAGAAGGAAGGAGGCCAGTGAGAAAGTGAATTTTTCATTTATTCATTCCATCATTTTTTGTTAAGCCCCTACTTTGTGCCAAACTTTGGATATGCAGTCATGAAAATCAGAGATAAAATTTCTACTTTAAAGGAGATGATATTTTAGATAGCCACAAGTCAGTATGGAATAATGTCAAGAAGTAATAAATGTTAGGAAAACAAATAAAGAAATGGAGATAAATGATGGAATTGGGGCATCTGAGTGGAGATGATATTTTAGATCAGATAATCAGTATGCACTTCTGTGATAAGGTGGTATTTGAGAAAAGCCCCAAAAAAGTGAGAAATTTGATACTGAAGGCATAGCAACCCCAGAATAGCAGTCTAAAGAGGAATAGAAAGACCCTGAGAGGAGGTATAGAGACAAGCTGCTGAGTGAGACTTTGGTAGAGTAGTAGGAGATAAGGACAAGAAACGCACAATAGGGGCTGGGTGCCATGGCTCACACCTGTAATCCCAGCACTTTGGGAGGGTGAGGCTGGCGGATCACTTGAGGTCAGGAATTCAAGACCAGCCTGGACAACACGGGGAAACCCCATCTCTACTAAAAATACAAATATTAGCTGGGCGGGGTGGTGCATGCCTGTAATCTCGGCTACTGGGGAGGCTGCGGCAGCAGAATCACTTGAGCCCGGGAGGCAGAGGTTGCAGTGAGCTGAGATCTTGCCACTGCACTCCAGCCTGGTCAACAAAGGGACCATGATGAGAATATTGTATCAAATTAGAAGCCATAAGAACATTTTTGGGGAGAGGTTCCACGATCTATGTTTTAAATGAGCTGTTACGGCCTTTTTGTGGTGTACAGACTACAGGTGCAAGGGTGAAATACAGTGACACTTTATGAGGCAAGTATAATAGTTGTAGAAGTTTAAAAAGGTTTTATTTTAATATTTTGATAGATTTTGTGAGGTCTAGGTCTTTCCTGAGTCATTCAGTTTCACAGAGACATGTCTTATTTCTTTAAAAGAAATTTTAATGTAGATTAGAAAATTTTCTATTCTCAAGCCATCCTGTAAAAAGTGAAAGGATAAGAAATATAATAGTCTACTAGGTTTTGAAACTTTGATGTTGGAATAAAGAAAGATTGAAACGCAAGTGCTCATTTCTCCAATAAGAATAAAATTGCATTTGGAAAAATACATGAGAGCTAGTACAATCGTTTCCATCATAAAATTTGAAATATGGTTCTCTTGATTGTTTCATTGGTGTTTTAAAGATCTCTTGCTTTTCCATAAAATGCCAAATAAAGCCTATAATTTTAAAATTTTATACCTATATCTAATTAAAAAAACCTTTTCCATTTCTCTTTGCAATTGTGTGTTAATGAATACAGAATAAAATAAAAAGGAATAATAAATATTATAATTGCTAACTTTAAAAGTTTACATTAAAACAGTAAGTATAATTGGTAACAATTCCTATCTTTTTAGCAGTATTTCAAAAATGAGAAGGAAAGAATGTCTTAACTCTGAAAACACAGGGGAGAAAAATCACTATGTTATCATTATATGTATTTTTTAATGCCTTGTTTTCTATAATACAAATACGAAATGTGGAAAATTTTACCACAAGCAACACCCTTCTGTCAATCAGTGTTTGGGAAACACAGACTTAACCTTTCTCTCATTTATAAGTTGAGATAAATGACACTTATTCTTAATGTTGATATCACAGTAAAATGTGATGACATGTGCAACACAACTCAGGAAGTAAATACAGTTGCTCAACAATGATATTAATAATTTCTCATCTCTTTATAGGTAGCACAGTATAATAGAAAGAGGTGTGTTAGGCCATTTCAGGTTAGAAATCCTTTAACATTTGTTGTGTAGATTTGAAAAAGTTGTGTCATCTCATTGGAAATATGATTCCTCAACTGCAAACCAAGCAAAACATTATTCACTTAAAAGGGTGTTGGAAGGCTTAAACAAACAAAAAACATGTGTTGTTTCCTTATATGAAGAGTTTTTCCACATGGTAGGTGCTTAATTAAGTTTAGTTTTTTTCCTCCTACCCCTCCCCAGCATCTCTTCTCTTCCATGAAAATTTCTTTTATAATAGTTAATGTATATAAGAGAAATGGCAACATTTGTTGTATTTTTTACAATCCCTGATGCCAGCATACTGATTGTTGTCTTCACGTTATCTTAACATTATCGAAGTATTTGCTATCGTTTTTCCTCTGAGCTCGTGGTGGTTCATCTCTCTCTCTCTCGCTCTCTCTCTCTCTCATTTTATATGATTCACAGCAAGAAAAAAATGTCTTCACTCAAGTACCTTGCCCTCTTGGATCCTTTAAAAGGTGTATTTTCTTATTTTTTAAAATTTATTTATAACTATGTTTTAATTTCAGAACAAATCATTTTGTTTTTTTTAATAAAAAAGATGAAGTGGTTATTCAATTTGTTATCACAAAGCCATTTGAATTTGCTTCTCTCTGTCCATTGCTCTTATCTTGTTTTTGTATTTATTGCTTTGTTCTACATTATAAAAGAGACAAGTTTAATTTCTTATGCCACCTCTCAAACACATTTAAATACCTCAAGATAGTTAAGTCAGATGTATAATTAAGCAACCAGTAGTTCTAGTACACAGAAAATATATATAACAAGGAAAAACAAAATGAAATTAAAAAATCCAGCCACTCCAATCCCCCCATCTCATTTAATTAAGAGATGAGAAAGGTTGAAGACCAGAAACAAACATCCTATTTAGAATATTCCAAAGGGACATAACCATAATCAAGAACCAGCTTGCTTAGAAATACATTTGCATTTTGAGCAAGTTTTTCTTCAATATTAGCACTTGTACCAAATGGAATTTTCACATTAAAATGATTTAATTCAGTGTTACTATTCAGAAAAAGCCAGAAATTGGCAATAAATAAAAAGATTAAAATTCACAAGATGGAATACTACATGCTTACCTAAACAATGACTAAACCCAGTTGTAGAACTGTATGAGTGTTATACGCAGAGACAGTACAAGCCATGTGGATTCTGATATAAATTAACTACTAGGCCGGGTGCATTGGCTCATGCCTGTAATCCTAGCACTTTGGGAGGCCAAGGCGGGTGGATTGTCTGAGCGCAAGAGTTTGAGACCAGCCTCGGCAACACAGTGAAACCCCATCTCTAGTAAAATACGAAAGAAATTAGCTGGGTGTGGTGGCAGGCGCCTGTAATCCCAGGTACTCAGGAGGCTGAGGCATGAGAATTGCTTGAACCTAGGAAGTGGAGGTTGCAGTGAGCCGAGATCACGCCACTGCATTCAGGTAAACATAGGCAAATTGGATTCCTCTTTGAATAGTAATTCCTCATCTCAAGTGAAAGAGTTAACTGTATTACAATCTACAATGCCATCTAACTTGAAAATTGTGTAATTATAGTCAACAAATATTACTGAATGTATGTTACAAGCAAATATTTTGGTAGGTGGTAAAATTAATACAATATGGACATGCTAACTGATGATGAATTGCTAACCATCTAATGCAAAAAGAGAAGTCTTAAAAAGTAAGTAAATCCTATACAAGTAATCACATACACTGTGACACTGGCTCTAGTACTGCTATAAAGGAAATACTCCAGAGACACAAAGAAGGCAGCCATCACGAGTACGGTAGTGGGGTTTAGGGTGTGAGCATTCACAGAGTTATGGATTAAATATAGCTTTGTACTGTATTTGTACATAGTTGTTTTGGCCATCTTCTGACTATACATTTTAATGTGGCTTATATTTCCCATTTTATTTCCTCAAATTAACCCTAATTACCAATACAAAAATAAAATTAGAGTAATATTATGACATACTCTAAATTCAGGTATTATATGACAGATACCCGTGAGAAAACAGCCAATTGATTCAAAGACCTTGGAAATTACACATTCAGTTTTATAATATCTGGAGGTAAGCCTGCTTATTGAAAAATGCCATTTATAAGAATGCTGTATATGAAGCCAACTTGTTCAGATGGCGCGATGAAGTGTTGCCCAAGTAACAATGGTATGTGGTCTCTGTCCAGCTCACCAAGGCATGAATAGCCTACGGTTTTTTAAAATTTATTTAACAAAATGTCTGTTAACAGTTAATTTAAGCCTGCAAATATCACACAATAAACATGGAAAATAACAAGCAAGGATTTCACAAATCTCTGCCAAAATTCAGTTCTAACTTGAAAAGGCTGGCAAACGTTTCTCAACTCTAAGACTTACTACTTTCTACACATTTTTTCCTCCCATTGTCCCTAGACAATGCCATTCTGTTGAATAAACTCCCTTTAGTCAAGGACAGGCAAGCAAGTGTAACAACAGAAAACTGAGTAGGGCTCCCTGTGCTAAGCAAAGCAAAAGGCATTGTTGCTTTTCATTTCCTCAGTGCATTACGACAAATTAAATGGTTTTTACCTCTGAGTTGGAAACATTGCAAAACTCATTTAAATAGAGGACTGAATCTTAATCCTTAAATTAAAATAAAATGCACAATTTGTTTAATTATAGATATGCTATAAAACAGTATCAGGCACATTTAGAAGCTGGAGGAAATGAGATGGGAAAAGGTATATGTATTTTTTTCTCTTGTTTGACTTCAATGTTGTCATTTAAGCAAAACTGCTGAGAATACCAAGTCATTCTAAAGTAATTTAAATATATTTTGAACTGAAAATTTAATATATCTCTAAGGTCTTGATGAGCCATTTCAAATTTTCTACATCTATTAAAACGAATCAAAGGACCAATGCTAATTCTTATATTCCTTGAAGAGGGTACAGGGAGCATGAGAACATAGAAAGGTATCTATGAATAAACATGATCCCTGACAGCAACCTAGGGACTGTGTCCTTGGTTCACAAATCTTTGACATTAAAATTTCAGACAACTTTTATGAGAAATATTTAATAACTGTGATGCATATAATTATTGTTATAATCGTGAAAGACATCAGTGTCAGTTTCTTAAAGTATGAACATAAAACTTTTATAGAAGAATAATCAAAGTTTATTTCTTAAGATGTTTTAGATTCCTGTGTCTTACTCGAGGCCTGCCCACATCCTAAAAGGAATGAATGGAACCTGCATATATGGTTTTAAAAAAATATGTTGGGGAGTTTTAAAGCACCAAAAAGTTTGAGAACCATTCTTTTATATTCTATAGATGGAGATAAATTTAGAATATCAAAGCTACTTGTCTAAGATAACAAAATTAGGAATCAGCAAAAGCAGGAGTAAAGTTTATGTCTTCTTGAGTACCAGGCTAAGTGTTCTCCCTCATATAAATCCATCTCAGGTGTGAGTAATTGGTCTGGTGACTCGCTTTCTTCTTTATCCACTGAGAACTCAGGTATGCTTCTCTCATAGGAGAAAGTACTCAGTGTAGTCACCTACCCACGAATAGGGTTGTTTTGTTTATTTATTTTTTTCTTTGTCAAGGATATTTTTCTCATATTGAAACTTCGTAAATACATTTATTAATTGACTTGTGTAAATTGAAGGTGATCAGGACAGTTGAACATCTTGAGGAAAAACACCCATGATAGTTGTAATTTGAAATGGGGACCAGATGAGTCCTGTACTTCCACTCAGAATCAAAAACAACCATTTTTTCACTAAGTGATCAGGTGCGTTTCTACTGCTGTTCATTGAGTTTCTGATGGTTATAGAATCCTAGAGTTGAAAAGGTTTCTCTAACATTACA
Source organism: Homo sapiens (assembly GCF_000001405.40). Classification (NCBI taxonomy): domain Eukaryota; kingdom Metazoa; phylum Chordata; class Mammalia; order Primates; family Hominidae; genus Homo; species Homo sapiens. The sequence continues at coordinate 25,596,512 of NC_000011.10, read as the reverse complement.
TTGTTGTCACCCTCTTCACCAGTGTTTCAGTGCCTGAAAACATCCCATTCAGTTGCTTTTTATTATTTGGTAATACATTCTCTTATTACAGCCCCTCCAATACTATCCCCCTCAAAAAATAACATAAAATATAAGCAAAAATAGAAAAAAATTAGCAAAAGCACCCACTCCAAACAATAATATGAGATCTTTTTTTTCCTCCCAATCTCGTTTTTCCACTATACTTCGATTCCATTGAGTATTTTTGTAGCTTAACCACGGTGAGTTAGCACTGAGCAAGTGGAAATGCAAGAAAATTTCCATTTATTCACTAACTGTTTCTCTCTGACTGTAATCTCTGTGGTCTCTATTACTTTGTCATGAATACAGTTTTGGTTTCCTTGCCTTGTAGAAAAATGCAAACTCTGCTTTGTGATTAAGGCAGGGAGTTAGTAAAGAGGCTCCGGAGACAGACTCCCATGTTTAGCTCCCAGCAGAGTTGTTTCTAATACGAGGCTTTAGGCACACTTCTTAATCTCTTTATGTATCTATTTTCTCACAGGACATACTGGGGTTGTTGTGAGGCACAGAAGAGACAGTTTGTGTAAAACAAAATGCTGAATAGAATAATACCTCAGTATGTGAGGGTTATAGTGTTATTAGGACTGTTATGATTGCAGTTAATATCACACTTGTGACCTTGAGCATATGGCTTAAGGAAACTCTGAAGTTGAGTTTCCTTGTATTTTAGAAAAAATAAAATGGGATTTCTTTTATGGTTGTCTGTTGATAAAAGGAAATTAAATGTGATATCCAGCAATATACCTGGGAACGAACAGACACTGAAGTGCTGCATTTGCCCATGTTCCAGATGCCTGGTGGTTCCTCTTACCCTATTATGCTTTTTACTCATGTAAGAGCTAATCTGAACATGCTGCTCTGTTGTACTTAATATAAAACAAGAAGGCCATCTATGGCCCTGCCCAGGAGATACCATCTTCCTCCTGAACTTAATTTTGTTTCTTAAAGCATTAGGTAAGTGATAAATAATTCTCTTGATAAGGTTATACAAGATTTGTATCTCATACCAGCTTTTTTTCTTTTTTTTTTTTTTTTTTTTTTTGAGATGGAGTCTTGCTCTGTTGCCCAGGCTGGAGTGCAGTGGCATAATCTCAGCTCAATGAAACCTTCGCTTCCCGGTTTCAAGCGATTCTCCTGCCTCAGCCTCCCAAGTAGCTGGAATTACAGGCACCTGCCACCACACCTGGCTAATTTTTGTGTTTTTAGTAGAGATAGGGTTTTGCCATATTAACCAGGCTGGTCTCGAAATCCTGACCTCAAGGGATCCGCCCGCCTCGGCCTCCCAAAGTACTGGGATTACAGGCATGAGCCACTCTGCCCAGCCTCATACCAGCTTTTTGATGAGTCTCACAACCTCAGAATAGAGCATACCTTATATACAGTTACATAACAATTAAAAGAGCTAAGATCAGTCCATCTACCCACTATCAAAACTCATATTACAGTCTATCATCTCCAACTATATACCCACCATTTAGGAGGCTTATTAGAACTTTAACCTCATTAAAATGCAAATATATCAGAGTAGGGTAATGCAGAATACTTATTCAGTATTATGCTAGAAAAGAGGTTTTAAAATCTCAAACAGTGAATCTGAGATTTTCGTCGATAAACCCTCTGAATCTAAACGACCCAGCATGTGTAATAGTGGGGAGGCATTGCTAAAATGATGATTTCTGAGAATTACATTTTTTTCACTGAGAATTTCCTGAGAAATTGTCGGGGTAATCTTCATTTATAAAACCCTTTCAGGTAGTTCTTATGCTCATTTACATTTAAGAACAATTGATTATGATTTTCTAACCTTACCTGCACATCTGCTCTCTTGGATAACTTTAAAAAAATACTATGCCCTGACTCTAATAACAACGATTCTCATTTAGTTGTTCTTGAATTGTTTCTGGATCAGTATATTGTAAAAATCCTCCCAGGTGATACCACCTTAGAGTCAAAGAGAGATAAAGACTGCTGACCCCAGCTTTGCAAGGAGATTCAACATAGTCCCTACTGATAGCTTCCTTCTTATTCACAGCTCATTTCATTCAATTTCATTGCTCATTTTGTCCCTTAAGCATATTTGATTTTGTAAGCTCTGAATATTGAACATTTTCTATGTTAGAAGGTATAGATTCTTGGAAGTAGAAACAGAAAAGACAGCAATTTCCTGGGGAATGTTTAGAAAGAGAACCTCTACATGGTGTGTTAGTGAAATGACTCAGAATGGAATTGTGGAATCTGGTGATGGGAAAGGAGACAAGACAGATAGAGAGAGAGAGAAAGAGAAAGAGAGAGAGAGAGAGAGAGAGACATCTGAAGGAAAAAGAAAGTGAATGAATTGGGGAGAATACTGCAATTTGGAGCAGGATTACTCTTTAAACCTAAAACAGAAACTGAAAATCCTTTAAGATAGACACAGCAGACAGCAAATCCCTTCTAAGGTGTTACAGTTAGCAGTCTTACAGTCTTACGCATTTTTTGGAAGTTTAATAAAAGTAGGACAAAACACAAACACATCTTCCTTAAATATTACCAGCTACTTAATTTGTGGGGCCAAGTGCAAACCTAACATATGAGGAACCCTTGTATAAAGAGCTGAGAAATTGTGCTGTTAAAGGTGCTACATAGAAAATTTTTCCTTCTCAATTTGGTATGGTGGTTTTTGTTGTTGTTTTTCTTGTTTTGTTTTGATGCTTTTATATTAAATTGTTAAATGTAGAGATAATTATAGATTCACATGCAGGTATAAGAAATAATACAGAGATCCATGTATGCTTTAACCAATATGCCTCAATGGTAACAACTTGGAAAACTATAGTATACTATCACAGCAAGGCTATGAAATTGACACAAAGTATAGAACATTGCCATCATCGTAAGAATTCCTCATCTTGGCCTTTTACGGCCGTATGCACTTTTTTTTTTTTTTCGCAAACTTACCCTTCCTAGTACTTAATGCCTGGCAACCACTAATCGCTACCTCATTGCTAAAATCTTATCATTTTATGAAGGTTAGATAAGTGGAAACAGATGTAGCCTTTTGAGATTGACCTTCTTTTTTCTATTTAACATAATTCTTTCAATGTCCATTCAAGTTGTGTATCAGTAGTTCACTGCTACTTAGAGCTGACTGGTATTCCATGGTATGAATGTGCCATGGTTTGTTTAACCATTTATCCCTTGAAGGACATCTGGGCTGTTTCCAGTTTTTGGCAATTATAAATAAAATTGCTGTGACCATTCATGGACAGGATTTTGTATAAGTATATGTTTTTATTTCTCTGAGATAAATGCTGAAGAGTGTGACTGATTAGTCACATGGGAATTGCAGGTATAGGTGTTTAAGAAACTACCAAATATTTTTCCAAAGTGGTTTTCATCTTACACTACCACCAACATTACATGTGTGTTTAAATTTCTTCATATCCTTGCCAGCATTTGGTATTGGCCTTATGTTTCTTTTTTAATTGTTATCTTAGCTACTGTGATAAGTATGCAATCATATCTCTTTATAGTTTTAATTTGCATTTCATAGATGGCTAAAGGTGTTTAACATCTTTTCATGTTCTTGTTAGCCATCTCCATATTCCTCAAAAGATCTGTTCTTGCCTTTTGCCCATTTTCAAATGGATGGTTTGGATGGTTTGGATCTTTACAGTTGAGTTTTCAGTGTTCGGTATTTTATATAGCAGTATTCACTGAAATATGTGGCTTGCAAATATTTTCTGTCAGACTTTAGCTTGTCTTCTCATCCACTCTTAATAGGGTTTTTCAGAGAACAAAAGTTTTAAATTTTGATGAAGTTCAATTTATCAATTTTTTGTTTTATGGATCGTGTTTTTGTGTCAAGCATATGAACTCTCCATAATATAGATCCCAAAGATATTGTTGAGATTCTTGTTTTAAATAATTTTTTTATTGAACAGTGGATATTTTGGCTATATGATATGGACTTACAGTTCATGTAGCTGGGGAGGCCTCACAATTATGGTGGAAGGCAAGGAGAAGCAAGCCATATCTTATATGGATGGTGGCAGGCAAACAGAGGAGAGGCTGTTCAGGGAAACTCCCCTTTAGAAACTCATCAGATCTCCTGATACTTATACACTATCATAAGAATAGCATGGGAAAGACCTGCCCCCATGATTCAAGTACCTCTTATCAGGTCTCTCCCACAAGAGGTGAAAATTCAAAGTTGCTTCCACATTTTCAGGTATCTTTTCACCAGTGCTCTACTCTACTGGTACCAATTTACTGTATTAGTCCATTTTCATGCTGCTGATAAAGACATATACAAAATTGGGCAATTTACAAAAGAAAATTGGACTTACAGTTCACTTGGCTGAGGAGGCCTCACAATCATGGAGGAAGGCAAGGAGGAGCAAGTCATGTCTTACATGGATGGAGGTGGGTAAAGAGAGGAGAGCTCTCTTATAAACCCATCAATGGGCTTATAAAAGGGAGTTTTATAATTCCATCAGATCTCCTGAGACTTACTCACTTTCACAAGAATAACACAGGAAAGTTACCCATGATTCAGTTACCTCCCACTGGGTCCCTCCCACAACACATGGGAATTCAAGATGACATTTGGGTGGGGACACAACCAAACAATATCAACTAAGAACCCAAAAACAAATGCAAAACAACACAACAACGACAACAAAAATCAAAGATAAATAGATGGGACTTAATTAAACTAAAAAGCTGCAGAGCAAAAGAAATAATCAGCCGAGTAACCAGATAACCCATATAGTGGGAGACAATTTGCACAATCTGTACAACCGACAAAGGACTAATGTCCAGAATCTACAAGGAACTCAAACAAATCAGCAAGAAAAAAAAAATAATCCATCAAAAGTGGGCTAAGAATATGAATACACAGTTCTGAAAAGAAGATATACAAATGGCCAACAAACATGAAAAAATGCTGAATATCACTAATGATCAGGGAAATGCAAATCAAAACCACAATGTGATACCATCTTGCTCTTGCAAAACTGGACATAATCAAATGATCAAAAATAATAATTGTTGATGTGGTGAAAAGGGAACACTTCTACACTGTTGGTAGGGATGTAAACTAGTACAACCACTGTGGAAAACAGTGTGGAGATTACTTAAAGAACTAAAAGTAGATCTACCATTTGATCCAGCAATCCCACTACTAGATATTTACCCAGAGGAAAAGAAGTCATTATACAAAAAAGATGCTTGCACATGCATGTTTATAGCAGCATAATTAGCAATTGCAAAAATATGGAACCAGCCCAAGTGCTCATCAATCAACAAGTGGGTAAAGAAAGCGTGGTATATGTATACCATGGAATACTACTCAGCCATAAAAAGGAATGGAATAATGGCATTTGCAGCAACCTGGATGGAACTGGAGACTATTATTCTAAGTGAAGTAACTCAGGAATGGAAAACCAAACATCATGTTCTCACTCATATTTGGGAGCTAAGCTATGAGAACACAAGGCATAAGATTGATATAATGGATTTTGGGGACTCGGGGAAAGGGTGTTGGGGGGTGAGGGACAAAAGACTACACATTGGGTACAGTGCACACTGCTTGGGTGATGGGTGCACCAAAATCTCAGAAATCACCACTAAAGTACTTATGCATGTAACCAAACACCACCTGTTTCCCAAAACACTATTGAAATAAATAATAATAAAATAAAAATAATAATGTACTTTAAAAAGGAACTAAACGTTTCTACCTCACTTATTTTATCTTTTTAGCATTTCCTATCTTTTACAGTGCTCTTGCTTTTCGTCTTTTTTGTATCTTTTCTCTAAATATATACAAAATTAAACGGAAATTTAAATTTCTTTTGCCTTGCAAGTGAATTTCTTTAATGTTTTGGAACTATAACTTTAGTTTAACAAAACCACCAATCCAGGGTACTGAGATAGTATTGTTGGAGGATACAAAGATAGGTAAGGTTTGTCTTTGTGCTCAGTATATACTTTCTAATTATTTAGATAAATCACTACCCTACAATAGAGACTCTGATTGTAAAAAGTTTGTAAGCAGTGTTGTATTTAGACTGAAATAACAGGTAACAAATTTATTTGTAATAACAAGAAAAGACACCAACAAAATCAATATCTTTGATATGATTATTTAAGGAGTGGTGGACTTTGGAATTATTATGGAAAACATTGAAGAAGGGCATTTCAGATAAAGGAAACAGCATGAACAAAAACATAAGTAAAGTGATCCAGGAACAAGTCAGCCAGTTTGATTGGCTTTAGTGTAGGGTAGAATAGTCAGGGAATATGATGCTACAAGGGTTAGCAAGGAATTCAAAGATTGAACTTCACAGCATGTAGTTAAGTGAAAAATTCATGAGGAGCCCTTAGATTTTCCAAGATATGGGTATGACTTGATTTGAGCTCTTGTTAACATGATGTGGCAGCAGTGGGTGGGCAGAGCACAAAGTCTTTTTAGGGCAATGAAACTATTCTCTATGATACTATAATGATGGATACATGTTACATCATTACATATTTGCGGAAACCCATGGAATACATAACACTAAGAATGAACTCTAATATAAACCATAAACTTTGGGTGATAATGATGTGTTAATATTGATTCATCAATGCCAAAATATGTATTACTACCACAGTGCTGAGGCATGTTGATAGTAGAAGAGGTTGTGAGTGTGTAGGGGCAGAAGATAAATGGAAACTCTGTGTACTTTCCGTTCAGTTTTACTATGAACCCAAAACTGGTCTGAAAACAGAGGCTATTAAACAAACCAATAATAGAACAGATTGGGGTAACAAAGGAATGCACTAAATTATCAATGGAAATAAAATCTACAGAAAATAGGCATAATGTTCAAAAAAAGGTTAGAAACTACATGATTTGGAGAATTTAGTAGAAATGGAGAATGCATGATAAATGAAAAAAAATAGAAAGAGAAGGATGGTGTTAGTTTAGATAAAGAGAGTTTAAAACTTTGGGATGCCTAGATACGGATGTACTATGAATGTGCTATAAAAACCAAAACCTTAGCAAGAGTCAAGAGTAGTCTTTTACTTAAGTAGCTAAAATCTAATCAATGTCCAACACTTTTCCATAGTTTCTCAACTACAGGTGATTCCAGAGAACAAATGATCTTTCCTGATGCAAGGCTTTCAGAAGCATTGTTCTGCCTACCTTTTTCTTCTCTTTTTACCTAATACATTTTTATTCATTCTTCAAAGTTAAGCTGAAATTTTACTTCAAAGAATGATTCCCTGGGTACGGCTACTATACATATTTGGTGAGTCTCCAATATTACCCTTTGATTTAACATGGCATTTTTCCCTTTGTAACACTGCTCATAATTGAAATGTAAAATTTAAAAAATACTATCCTTTTATTTAGTCCATGAAATCTATGCAGTTTGGGCAGTGTATATCTTACTGACTGCTTTATCGTTACTACTTGACACACTGAAATATCCATAGGAAGTAATTGCTATGTTTGTTCCTACAGAAACTTACGTTGAAATTTGATCTCCAATGTGACAGCATTCAGGAGGTGGAGCCTAGTAGAAAGCATTTGACCTTTTCCTGTTAGGCAAGAGCTGCGTGAGGCGAGGGTCTCAGATGCCTTTTCTCATTTTCATCATATAGACAGAACAGCTCTGATGCAAAGGTGGTCAATGTACCTAAAACCCGAATAACCTTCTGTAAGAAATGTGGCAAGCATCAACCTCACAAAGTGACGCAGTATAAGAAGGGCAAGGATTCCTTGTATGCCCAGGGAAAGAGGCGCTATGATCAGAAGCAGAGTGGCTATGGTAGGCAGACAAAGCCAATTTTCCAGAAGAAGGCTAAGACCACAAAGAAGATTGTGCTAAGGCTGGAATGTGTTGAATCTAACTGCAGATTCAGGAGGATGCTGACCATTAAGAGATACAAGCATTTTAAACTGGGAGGAGATAAGAAGAGAAAGGGACAAGTGATCCAGTTCTAAACTTTGGGATGTTTTTCTTTTAATTTTGAAGAGAAAATGTTGAAGCCACAGAAAAATTACCTGTAGGAAAATAAATACATTGATATTCTTATGCAAAAAAAAAAAGAAAGTGTTTTGATTGTGGGAAAAAATTATTGATAGATTAATGTTCTTCTATGGAATAAGTTCTTTGTTTCCTGGGAATGGATTAGTTCTCTTCAGAGTGTGTTGTTAAAAAAATGTATGGTTTTCTTAGTTCTATCTCGCTTGCTTTCTCTTTCTCCATGTCATCTCTTAGCACAACTCTGCTTCCTTTCTGCTTTTCACCATGACTAGAAGCAACGTGAGGCCCCCACCAGACGGAACTGCCCAATCTTGGACTTTTCAGCTACCAGAATCATGAGCCAAATAAGCCTTGTTTCTTTATAAGTTACACAGCTTCAAGTATCCTCTCATAGCAACATAAAATGAACTGAGACAGTGATGATAAATATTTGTTGAGAAAAAGTTGAAAGAAACCAGGGACTGGAAAAAGAGAAAGTTTTAGAGTCTAGAAATATATTTCTATTTTTAAAGAATTCATACAATATAAAAAGCCCTGCATGTTCTGAGAGGGGATAGCTTTACATGTTTTAGATAGTGAAACACTAGGTTGAGAACTATTAGGGATAAATGGTTTATGTCTCTTTTGTTTGAAAATGCAGAAAAGTAGAAAAATGACTCATTTTTATGCTGCCAGAGCTTAGTTTACATCTATTGTTCTACTAGTTGTGAGACATCAGGCATATTTCTTAACCTCACAGTGTTAAGCTAAGCAACTTGAGCAAGTTCAGCAGTACATCCCTTTGAGTAAGCACTTACAGATCAAAGTCTAGAAATACCAGGTACTTAGCCTCACAGGATTCTAGACACCCATATGCTTAATTCCCAATTTTTCTCTTTAAATAATATAGGGAGAAAACTTTATATCATAGATGTATACAGATATAAATAGATAGATGATCATGATAGAGAGATATAGAAGTGTAGATATATCAACACTTCCTTAAAGACTTTTGTGTATATCATAGATGTGTAAGTATTTTATATACATATTAGGTTGGTGCAAATGTAATTGCAGCTTTTTGTACTGTTGAATTTTGCTGTTTGATATTGGAATATACTCTTAAATAAATGTGGTTATGTTATATCATATTTTAATGGGCATTTCTTGCTTTATGACTTTTTGCTAATGACTTATTACTTGCTGTTTATTTTATGTTTATTTTAGACTATGGAAGTGATGTTAGGCAAAAAGCAAATTTGAGCAATTTTCTTATTCGAAAAGCAGCAGAAACAACTTGCAACATCAACAATGCATTTGGCCCAGGAACTTCTAATGAACATGCAGTGCACTGTTGGCTCAAGAGGTTTTGCAAAGGAGACAACAGCCTTGAAGATGAGGAGTGTAGTGGCCAGCCATCAGAAGTTGACAACAACCAATTAAGAGCAATCATAGCAGCGGATCCCCTTACAACTACATGAGAATTTGCTGAAGAACTCAACGTTGACCATCCTGTGGTCATTTGGCATTTGAAGCAAGTTGGAAAAGTGAAAAAGCTCAGTAAGTGGATGCCTCATGAGCTGAGTGAAAAAAAAAATTGTCATTTTGAAGTGTCATCTTCTCCTATTCTACGCAATAACAACAAAAAATTTCTCGATTGGATTGTGAAGTGCGATGAAAAGATTTTATACAACAACTGGCAACACCCAGCTCAGTGGTTGGATTGAGAAGAAGCTCCAAAACACTTCTCAAAGCCAAACTTGCACCAAAAAAGAGGTCATGCTCACTGTTTGGTGGTCTGCTGCCAGTCTGATCCACTACAGCTTTTTTGAATCCCAGTGAAACCATTACATCTGAGAAGTATGCTCAGCAAATTGAAGAGATGCACCAAAAACTGAAATGCCTGCAGCCAGCATTGGTCAAAAGAAAGGGCCCGATTCTTTTCCATGACCACGCCCGACTACATGTTACACAACCAATGCTAACAAAGGAACAGAAAATCAAACACTGCATGTTCTCACTCATAAGTGGGAGTTGAAAAATGACAACACATGGACACAAGGAGGGGAACAACACACACCCGGGCCTGTTGGGAGTGGGAGGCAAGGGGAGGGAGAGCACTAGAACAAATACCTCATGTATGCGGGGCTTAAAACCTAGAGAACAGGTTGATAGGTGCAGCAAACCACCATGGCACATGAATACCTGTGTTAGGAACCTGCACATTCTGCACATGCATCCCAGAACTTAAAGTAAAATAAAATAAAAATTAAAAAGTTGAAGGAATTGGGCTACGAAGTTTTGCCTCATCAGCTATATTCACCTGACCACTCACCAACCAACTACCACTTCTCCAAGCCTCTCAACAACTTTTTATAGGGAAAATACTTCCACAACCAGCAGGATAATGAAAAATGCTTTCCAAGAGTTTGTCGAATCCGGAAACATGGATTTTTACGCTACAGGAATAAACAAACTAATATCTCATTGGCAAAAATGTGCTGATTGTAATTGTTCCTATTTTGATTAATAAAGATGTGTTTGAATCAGCTATAATGATTTGAAATTTACAGTCTGAAACCACAATTACTTTTGCACCAACCTAAATATATATGCTTCAACATATATATATATATATATATGTTACATTGGAAAATGTTAGGTATGTATGAACATACATATGTATCATGGTAACACTGACAAGAAGAAAAACTATATACCACATCTGCCTTCATATGGAAGACAATCTATGTGGAGTATATTGAACTATTTTGAACTAAAAATAAAGGGCCTCAAGGTTAATGTCACCTAATTGCCCATTCTATTGGCAGATGCAACTGTGGAACAATGTAAATAGTAGTGTCAAACCAAACCAGAAAGATATAGTCTAGATGTATCTATGACTTGGAGTCACATTCTGGCAAATAGGTCAGAACATTAAAAAATCGAAGGGAGAGAGTGGTGAAAACTCTAAAAATAATAGCAAAATACAGTCCAACAGTCTAGAGGAGATATGCTCTGAGCCCCTAGTTCCCTGCTTGTAAAAGAACAATGCTATTAGACCAACCTCATGCAGTCATTTTGAAGACTAAGTGATATTGTGTGCATCCTGAACCTGGCACATGGAAAGAACTCTACAGATGGTAACCTGTGAGAGCATATGAAGCACTAAATATATTTAATTTTCACTGTTACATTTTTAACTACCTGTCTTTATTTAAGACACAACTTCTGTGTTCTTTATTGCTTTAATGTTCAATATTATTTAGTGTACATCTCTTGAACATATTCCTTCTCTCTGACTGTAGTTAACAATATGTTATATCTTTGAAAAATGCTAAGGGAGTGAATTTTTATGTGTTGTTACCTCAAAAATGATAACTATGTGTGGTAATGTATATGTTAGTTAGCTAGATTTAGTCATTCCATAATGTACATATACTTCAAAATATCATGTTTTTCTTGATAAAAACATATAATTTTATTTGTCAATTAAAAAATAAAAAAGGCTATTGAGTGCTATTTTGACAGACTTTATATTACAATTTTCATTGCATAAAAATGTTAAGGATGTATAAGATAAAATGGACAGTACCCTAGCTGAACGTAGTTAACAGAAAAAGTAAATTAAAGGCCTATATTCCTAGTTCTGGAATATACCTAAAAATATTTGCATAATGACTGTGGTTGCATATGTCTTCTTCATTTTCAACTCTTTACCTCTGGCGCGCACACACACACACACACACACACACACACACACACACATATATATACACAGTGTCATACACATAAATATATGTGTGTATGTATATCTATATTCTGACTGTGAATTCGTATATATATTCATATACATATACTCATATATACTCATATACTATATATATCTGAGTATATATAGATTGAATATATATGAATGTATACTAATTATATAAATTCGCATGTATTAATATATAACATATATTAATATATGATTTTTGTATTATGAATCGACAGAATTAAATCTTTCTTCTTAATTGTTTTTGGCTCTCCAAATATGTCACTAAATTTCTAAACAATTTTTATTAATTAATCAATATTTGTCTGTTCTAAGCATTTTACACACATTTACTCATGCAATCTTCATAATGACCATAAAAAAGTCACACTGTCCTCCTTACTTTACAAATGAGAAATCTAAAGCAGAAATTGTATCTGTTTTCTTTTGCATACAGCTAGTAACTGGCAGAACTGAGATTACAATCCAGGTATCATAGCTCCGAGTCTGCTCCTAACCACTAGCCGAGCTACCTGCCAGAAACTGTGTTAGAAATGTAACATATACATCCTGTTCTATTATGTGCAATGTGTTTGTATTGTCACCTGCATTTCATAGATAAGGCATCAGTTTTAGGTAAATTCTCCAAAGTCTTACATACCAAGGAGTAAAATAGCAAAAAAACAGTATGCGAATACAGTCTGTCATACTCCAAAATCTACACTCTGATGCATGTTGCTTGGCACCAGCATTGTTTTAATAATGTCAAATTATTTAGTGTCATAGCAGAAAAGGCATTTGATGGCAATTTCCAACACAATTATCCAGGGCAATAATGTATAAAAGAGAATCTAGTATAGTGAGGGTGACCTCACTAACGTGGCTTGTAAATGTCATGCAAGCACAGCGGTAACTCATCAGCAGCCAGAAATGAAAAGGCAGTTTTAGTTTCTCTCTGCCTACATACCACGTTATTTACATAGATCTAATAAGAAACAAACCCTGTCTTTAGGAAGATGACATTTGAGGACTCAAGAAAGTAATGAATTTCAGGTGAGTTTAATTTCATAATGTATGCTCTTCAGAATTTTGTGCTCATAATTAACTAAGTTCCTTTTAAATCTATTTTTGAAATGTAATCTTTATAATCTCTTGGTATTATGATTACTTTAAAAATACTCCTTGTTTGAAGCCGCATTTCATTACATCGCTTCTCATCTATCCTGCCATTCACTCTCTTGTGGAAAAATTGTGCTTTCTCATACTTATTTTTTTAAGAATTTGAGGACAAAGAAGGTGAATAACTACTTGAAAAAAAGAAAAATGCTATAGGGTGAATTTTAATTGCAGAGTTAGAGTGTCATGGGTGAGGGTTATCTTGAGATCTTCAATGTTTTTTTCTCAACATCTAAAGGCTTCCATCAGTCCATAGGAATGCATTTTTTTTTTTCCGCTGAGAAAAACAGTACATCCATGTGTCTGTGTATTTTTTTTTTATTTTTCTAAATTATGGATCCATGGCCAATGTGGTGGCTCACACCTGTGATCTCAGACTTTGGGAGGTCAACGCTCCCAAATGTGCTCATAATTTAACTTACTAAGCTCCTTTTAAATCTTTTTTAAAAATTTAATCTTTATAATCTCTTGGTATTATGATTACTTTAAAAAATACTCCTTGTTTGAAGATGCATTCATTTCAAGTCGGATTGCTTGAGCTCAGGAGTTTGACACCAGCCTGGGCAACATAGTGAAACCCCATCTCTACGAAAGATACAAAAAAATTGCCAGGCATTGTGGAGTGCACCTGTGGCCCCAGTTGCTTAGAAGGCTGAGGCAGGAGGATCACTTGAGTCCAGGAGGTTGAGCCAAGATAGGGACATTGCACTCTAGACTGGGTGACAGAGTGAGACCCTGTCTCAAAAATAAACTAGAATAACATAAAATTATAGACCCACGGGGTACATGTGCAGGTATTGTACATGAGTGTATTGCATAGTGATGAGGTTTGAGTTTCTAGTGTACCCATCATCCAAATATTGAACATTGTACCCAACAGGTAATTTTTCAACCCTCACCAACCTCCCAACCTCTCCCATTTTGGAGTCCCTGGTGTCTATTATTTTATTTTTATGTCCATATGTACTCTTTGATTGGTTCCCATGTATAACTGAGAACATGTATTTGATTTCCTGTTTCTGAGATATTTCACTTAGGATAATGATCTCCAGCTTCATCCATGTTGCTGCAAAAGACATGATTTTATTCTTTTTGAAGATGCATTATATTCCATAGTGTATATATACCACATTTTTTATTCACTCATCAGTTGATATTCACCTAGGTGGATTCCATGATTTTGTTATTGTGAATAGTGTTGCAATAAATGTATTGGTGCAGGTATCATTTTGATGCAAAGATGTGTTTTTCTCTTTTGGTAGATACCTAATAGTGGAATTGCTGGGTTGAATTATAGTTTTGTTTTTAGTTCTTTGAATAATCTCCAAACTACTTTCCACTTTGACTGAGCTAATTTAGTTTCCCACCAAACATTCCCTTTTCTCTACATTCTCAGCAAGATCTCTTGTTGTTTTATTTTTAAATAATAGCCATTCTTATTACTGTAAGATGGTATCTCACTGCAAATTTTCTTTGCATTTCTATAATGGTTAGTGATGTTGAACATTTTTTCAGATACCTGTTGGCCATAGATATGTCGTTTTCTTTTCACAAATATCTATTAAGATCGTTTGCTCATTTTTAATAGAATTGTTATTATTATTTTTTTTTACTGTTGAGTTGTTTGAGTTTCTTGTATTTTCAGGATATTAGTCCCCTGTTGGGTGAGTAATTTGAAAATATTTTCTCTCATTCAAGAGGCTGTCACTTCACTCTGTTTACTGTTTCTTTTGCTTTACAGGAGCGCTTTAGTTTAATATGATCTCATTTGTCTATTTTTGCTTTTGTTGCCTGTGCTTTTGGGGTCTTAGTAATAAAATATTTTCCTAGACCAATTACTTGAAGAGTTTTCTTTATGTTTTTTTCTAATAGTTTTATAGTTTTGGGTCTTACATTTAAGCCTTTAATCCATCTTGAATTGATTTTTGTATGTGAAGAGAAATGGGGCTCCATTTTTGTTCTTCTGGATATGGTTAACCAGTTTTCCCAGCACAATTTATTGAAAAAGGTGTCCTTACCCCAATGTATATTACTGACAGTTTTGTAGAAGATCAGTTGGCTGTACATATATGGCTTTATTTTGGGGTTCCCTATTCTGTTTCATGTGTCTATGTGTCTATTTTTATATCAATTACACGCTATTTTGGTTACTAGAGCTTTGTAATGTATTTTTAAGTCAGATAGTGTAATGCTTTGTTCTTTGTGCTCAGGATTGTTTTGGTTATTCTGTCTCTTTTATTGTTCTACACAAATTTTGGGATTGTTTTTACTGTTTCTATGAAAATTACATTGGTGTTTGATAGGGATTGAATTAAATCTGTAGATTGCTTTCAGTGGTATGGTCATTTTAACAATATTAAATCTTCTGATTGATGAGCCTAGGATGTTTTTCCATTTGTTTGTATGCTCTTCAATTATTTTCATCAATGATTTTGGTTTTCCTTGTAGAGATCTTTCACCTCTTTGCTTAAATTTATTCCTGTATTTTATTCATTTTTTGTGGCCATTTTAAATGGAATTGCCTTCTTGATTTTTTCAACTCTTTTATTATTTATTTATGGAAATGCTAGTGATTTGTTATGCTGATTTTATATGCAGTAACTTTCCTGAATTTGATTATGAATTCTAAAAGTTTTGTGGCAGAGTATTTTGGCTTTTCTAAATATAGAATTATGTTATTTGCCAAAAGGGAGAATCTGACTTCCTCTTTTCCAATTTGGATGCCTTTTATTATTTTCTATTGCATAATTGCCCTGTCTAAAACTTCAATGCTATACTAAATAGGCATGGTGACAGTAGACATTCTTGTCTTGTTTCAGTTATTAGAGAAAAGACTTTTAACTTTTCCGCATTAAGTATGATGTTAGCTGTGGGCTTGTTATATATGGCCTTTTATTTTTTTGAGTTATGTTCCTTTTTCTGCCTAGCTTGCTGAGAGTTTTACTGTAAAAGGAATGTTGAATTTTATCAAGTGTTTTTTATGCATGTATTGAGATAATTACATGTTTTTTGTCCTTCATTCTCTCGACATAATGTATCATATTTATTGATTTGCATATTTTGAATCATCCTTGCATCCATGGTATAAATCGGACTTGATCATACTATGTGACTTTGTTGACATGCTGTTGGATTCTGTTTCCTAGTATTTTGTGGAGAATTTTTGCATCTGTGTTCACCAGATAAATTACCAGCTAGAATAACCAAGAAGTGAAGAGGAAAGACCCAAACAAACAAAATCAGAAATGAAAAAGGAGACATTACAACTGACACCACATAAATACAAAAGATAACCAGAGACTATTTTGAACAACTATATGCTAACAAACTGGAAAGCCTAGAGCAAATGAAAAAATTCCTGGAAACATACAGTGTACTAATATTTAATCAGGAAAAGATAGAAAATTTGAACAGACCAATATCAAGTAGCAAGATTGAATCAGTAATAAAAAGTCTCCCCCATCAAAAACAAACAAACAAACAAAAAACCTAGAACTGGATAAATTTGCTGCCAAATTCTGCAAAACATATGAAGAAGAACTAATACCAATCTTCCTCAAACTATTTCAAAAAATTAAAAAGCAAGAAATCATCTCTAACTCAATCTAAGAGGCCAGTATTATTTTGATACTGAAACCTACCAGGGTTATCACATTAAAAGAAAACTACAGTTTAATATTCCTGATGAACCTAGACCCTATTTGTCAGACCTCTGAGCCCAAGCTAAGCCATCATATCCCGTGATTTGCACGTACACATCCAGATGGTACACATCCAGATGGCCAGTTCCTGCCTTAACTGATGACATTCCACCACAAAAGAAATGAAAATGGCCTGTTCCTGCCTTAATTGATGACATTATCTTGTGAAATTCCTTCTCCTGGCTCATCCTGGCTCAAAAGCTCCCCTACTGAGCACCTTGTGACCCCCACTCCTGCCTGCCAGAGAACAACCCCCCTTTGACTGTAATTTTCCTTTACCTACCCAAATCCTATAAAACGGCCCCACCCCTATCTCCCTTCGCTGACTCTCTTTTCAGACTCAGCCCGCCTGTACGCAGGTGATTAAAAGCTTTATTGCTCACACAAAGCCTGTTTGGTGGTCTCTTCACACGGACACGCATGAAACTATTATATCTCTTAAGGGAAGAATCTTTTTTTTTTCTGCCTCCACATTTGCCTTCACAACTTCCTGCCAACATTATTACATTTGCATTTCTCAAATTTATCCCCTCCCTCTTTTTCAGCTACCATGTCACTTGCCAAAATGACACTATTGCTCACTTAGAATATGGCAATAGTCTTCTAATGACTCTCCCTGTCTCCAGCTTTTTTGCCCTCCCTTTTAACTACTTGCGGAATCTTTCTAAAATTCGAATCTGGTAAGTGTTTCCTTTTCTTAGACACTTTAATCAATTTGCCAGTGGCTTCATGGTACAGATTACATAACAGGCTGAGAGATAAGCCTAAGAAAGAAAAAAATTACCACACTGAATGTCCTTTTAAACATATTACAAAGAAATAAAATGTTATGCTTGGCATTTATATGCTTAATGATTTTATGGGAGAAAAATAAATGAAAGAATAGTGGATCAATAATTTCTATCTTCAAAGCGAAAATTGCCCTTAGTTTTGATAAAACTAAGTCTTAAGATGATATGAGCATCTTTCTAACTTATGCCTATATATGTGGCAAGCAAAATTTATTTCAAAATATTTTTATGATTGCTTAGTATTTGCTACTTTGGGGTCACCTTTGGGAGCAGCAAGAAAACCATTACTACTGAGAGGCGTGTTTTAAGAATAACATGTTAAAAGGAAATGGAACCAGATAGGTCTGTGTGTGTGTGTGTGTGTGTGTGTGTGTGTGTGTGTATGTGTGTGTGTGTGTGTGTGTGTTATAAACTTGACGGAGAATCAGTTAATTTTGTCTTCACATTTCTACAAATGCCTTTGAAAAGAATTCAAAGATATATGTCAGGAAATCAAGATCTATAAGTAATGTTATTATTTGATATTCATTAAGGAAGATGAACTAGTACAAATTTATTAGGATATTATTTCAGATCATTCTAGGATGCTAACCAATGCAGCAGCATCAAAATATCATAAAGTTAGTTTAGGCTGACATTTTTAACCAATTCCATAATGTACCCTAATGTTTATACACATAAACTTTAAAAAGCATATACTGACCTACAAATAAAGTATTTTAAGTTTAGAAATATGTTTTTATTTTTTGCCCTTTAAATGCCATGATGCTGACATATAGGTGAGACATCAAAATCTGCCTGAATAAAATTCTTAGATTTATGTAATACCTTGTAAATGTTCTGAATACCTTGTGCTCATTGTCATCTGCAAAATTACTCTAGTCATCTCAGGTAATTATTTAAATGTATGTATTTAGCAATATAATGGAGACAATATAAATAAAGAAATGATAGAATATAGAAAGAATGGAGTGATTAGCTAACAGCAAACAACTGGTCAGAAAGAGATGTATGGAATACTGATAACCATTATCTGGGCTAGTGAAGGGGGATTCATCTTATCAAGAAGCAAGAAAATGGTGAACATAAATAGACCTTTTCTTAGAGTCTGCTTTTGTTCCTAGGTTAAGAATATCCATTGTTCATAATGTTGGCTATAAAGTCATATACCTAGGGGCTCTTATAAAGCTCATTTCCCATAATGAAATCCAGGCCAATTAAATCAGTACCTCTGGAGATGGAACTTTGGCATGAGAATATTTACAGTTCCATAGTTATTAAAATGCATGGCACAGGTTGAGAACCACTGATCTATGATGTTTCCAGGTGTACTTATTGAGGGTTCTTGGAAAATTTTCTGCAACAGATTTCTGGCAAAGAAAATAAAAATAATAAAAAAAACCCTCTTTGCTTTAAACCTGCAGATACCGAGCAGAATACAATTTGCATTCAGATGTCTTCAAGCTCCTGGGTAGGGCCTGTTGCCATAAATGACTTTAGCATTTCCAAACAAATATGAAATATTGACAAATAACCCTTGTCCAATTATGGAGGTCCAACAGCCATAGCCTTTAAGTTGTAAAGTTTAATTAAGTCTAAGTCAGTGATTTATATGGAAATAAACAGCCTGGAGTTGAGGTTGGGGGTGGAATTCTGTTTTCTAGTATACAATGCCATTACTTTTGTAAATCTTCATTTCTTTTCTGAATAGCTTTTTATTATTTCATTTCTGATGTACCTATTGCATTTGATGCTATAATTTCTAAAGTTAAATGTACTCTGAGAATTCTGCTGTGCTTTTAAGAAAACTGCAGTCATACATAACTGATTAGATAGGTTCTCACATAAACAAGAAAATGTAGTAAGAGTTAAATTTGAGAAAACTTTTATCCTATCAAATAACCTTATTTATATCTTTTTATAGTATTACCCAGGTTCCCTAATAGTAACATAATACTGATTTTGTACATTTATCACTTGCTTTCTTGATGCTGGTCACTTCATATATTCAATATGATCATCTTAAGTTTGATCATATTCAGACTAATTTTTCAATAAGAACAGATAACTTTGTGGCATTTTAACTTATCCCAGACTCATTCCCTTCTTCCCAACTCAGCAGTAACTGTGAAATTAGCCTACATTCCTGGTACTGGAGGGGAGAGAACAGAGCTCATTCTCAAATAATGATAATTATTTGAATAAATAAATTAAGAAAAAAGACAAATTCCATATGCACATCAATTTCAAATTTCATGTAGAGGCTCTGTCCTCAAAGAGGTGGAACATAAATATAGGTTGTGCATAATGACTCATTCCCAAAAAGTACAATATGAAAAGTGGAATAAAAAAGTAACTTTGATGTAAAGAAACCAAATTATCATTACTTCAGCCACAAAACATCAAGATCAATATCCAGTCATAATAATAGTATGCACATTCAACAAAATACCCAATTCTTTAAAACTGCCAAGGTTATAAAAAATGAGGAAAGTATGTGAAAAATTTATATGGGAGAGCCGCCTAAGGAGGTAATGATGACTAAATGTAATGTGGAATCCTGGATGGTACCCTGGAGCAGAAAAAGCACAGTGAGTACAAACTAAGAAAATGTGAAAACAATATGGACTTTGTTTAGTAATAATCTGTCAACATTAGTTAATTAATTATATTAAATGCACCATCCAAATATGTTCATAGAAGGGGAATCTGAGTGTGGACTATATGGGAATTATCTATATTGTCTTTGAAATTTTTCTGTGAATGTAAAACTATTTTTTAAAATAAAATGTATTAAAATAATATTTTTCTGTGAATTAAAACTGTTTTTTAAAATAAAATGTATTAAAAACAATATTTTTCTGTGACTGTAAATCTATTTTTTAAAATAAAATGTATTAAAAATATTTCCTGTGAATGTAAAACTAAACTATTTATAAAATAAAATGTATTAAAATACTATAAAGAAAATAGTTGATGTGTATTTTATTTAAAATTTAATACTTAACTGTTTAAAGATGAACTGAAAACATATTTTTTAAATTTATATGGCCTAGATATAATCTTTGTATTTGTAAAGGCTTCTGTGATGAAAAACCCATAGAACATTCTTACATGTAAAAACCCATAGAACATTCATACATTCTTCACGTAGAATGTAATATACTGCTGTAAATCACAATTGTATTTTTCCTAGCTTATAATTGCCTCTTAGGCCAATCAAAATTTTAGGGAGACTAAAAAGCTGATGCATAATAAATACTACTGCTTTCACCATTGGGCTGATTATCTAGAATTTAGAGTTTAATAAATATATCCGTTTGTTCCCTTTTTGTTGCTTCCCCAGTGATTTTTACAGAATGCTTTATTTGTCTAGGCTTGCCTTGCTTCTCCCTGGTTCAACAGATTACATCCTCTGAAATTGTACTTAGTATGTCAAAATGTTGATTCAACCATTCTTGAAGATGGTCAGTAAACTATTTTTACTTTACTCCTACTTGGATATAGCTCATAATGATATTTTAATCAGAATCAAATTCTTAATATAACCAGATAAGTAATAAACATTGCCAAAATGCAACATTGATACCAAGTGTTTTAAATGTTTATTTTCTTTAATTTGGTATTGGGCATTACAAGAAGGTGTTAAAATGTCAAGAGTTCCTTCTCTTTTTTCATACTTTGTTTGGTCATTCATGCATCCATTCATTCACCAAGTAATCTAGTTATAAATCCTGCTACTCATTCACTCATCCATTCATCCTTTATCTTTCCACTCAGTTACTCACATATCAATCCATTTTTCATGCATCCATCCATTTGCCCGCTCACCCATCTACCAATTAATAATTTGTCCATTCATACATCTATCTTATTATGCTTTCCCGCATAAAATGATCCATCCATCCATGCAGCCACCTAATTTTATGAAAGATAATTGTTTGGCATCAGGCCAGGCAATAGAAGTAAGAAGGAGAATAATATTGAGCTTATCTAGACAAGAAAGGATTTCTCCCTTTTTGCACATTTGATCTCTTTTAGTTAGAATATTGATACATTTTTGCAAGTGCTTTACAAAAAAATCTAACCATTGTTAAGTTATTTGTCTTTTGCTCACCTAACTTATGACTCCTTAAATAAATGATCCTTAATTTGGCTGCACAGGCCAAATATAAGTATTTGAAAAAAATTACAGATATTCAGGCTTCAAACTAAATGTCCCAAATTAGAATATCCAGCTGTTTACATACATTACCAATGTTTTTAAAATATCTGTATATGGATTTTGGTGCAGAGGAAGAACTGAACACAACAAGCTCAGAGCAAGCATATGATATAATTTTCATTCAATATAGTATTTCCCCCAGCACAGTTCAGTAGAGCACTTACATATTTTAAACATTCTTAGTGTAGAATGTAAACCCTATATACTTTCAAGCTAAAGGGAAATTTAATGTCAACATACCCAAAATACGTAGAAGTATATATTTAATAAAAAATTACATTGGCATAGTGAAGAGAAGAGCAATATATTTTGGAACTGATTCGTATTTATTAAAGAAAAATACATATTAGATTTAAGAATAGAACTTTCAGCCAAGTGCAATGGCTCACGCCTGTAATCCCAGCACTTTGGGAGGCCAAGACGGGCAGATCACTAGAGGTCAGCAGTTCAAGACCAGCCTGGCCAACATGATGAAACCCAGTTTCTACTAAAAATACCAAAAAATTAGTTGGGCATGGTGGCACATGCCTGTAGTCCCAGCTACTCGGAAGGCTGAGGCAAGGAGAATTGCTTGAACCCAGAAGGCGGAGGTTGCAGTTAGCCGCAATCACGCCACTGCACTCCAGCCTGGGTGACTCGAGCGAGACTCTGTCTCAAAATAGATAAAATAAATTAAAGAAAAGAACATTATTCTCATGATTTCATGGGAAAACTCTCCATTTTTCAAGAGGTGTTTTTGAAGAAACACTTCTGAAATTATTCTTAATTTCTCACCCAAGATCAGAGGTATATTTATAAGGAGTGGGTTGCTAAGGGTCTAAAATACATTGGTCACTTTTGAATAGATAGCAGGGTTAAGGAATTAAAGAACTCTGTTTTCTCATGACCTTCTTTTATCCCGACTTTCGGAACTTTCTTCTTTATTTAGGCCACTTTCAGTGCTCTCTCTATGGAACTATTTGTCCATTCTACAAACCCAACCCTTTCTTGATCCCTGTAGCTTTAAGTAAATCTTGAAGCCAGGTTATGTCAGTTCTCCAATTTTGCTTGTTTCATTCAATATGGAGTTGGCTATTCCTTTTTTTTTTTTTTTTTTTTTTGCTTCTCCATGTAAAGCTTATAATTAGTTTGTTGAAAATCATCAAAAAAAAAGCTTTCTGAGATTTTGATTGAGATTGCACTGTCTCTATAGGGCAAACTGGGAAGAACTAACATACTGCCAATATTGAGTCTTCCTATTCGTAAACCTAGAACATCTTTCCAGTTACTTAGTTTTTTTCCTGAAGTCTTTCATCAGAGTTTTGTAGTTTTATTCACATAGATCTCATATCTTTTTTTAGATTTTATCTAAGTATTTTATTTTTTGGTGTTAATGGAAGTAGAAATACATTTTTAATTTCAAATTCTACTTGTTCACTGCTGGTACACAGAAAAGCAATTGGCTTTTGTATATTGCTCTTCTGTATTGCAATCTTGCTAGGATCACTTTTTAGTTCCAAGAGAGACATTTTGAGATGATTTTTTCAGATTTTCTGTATATATTATCATGTTATTTACATACAAATGCAGTTTTATTTGTTCCTTCTTTATGTGCATAACTTTTATTTTCCTTTCTCTCTCCCCAATCCCTCTCTTTTTCACACACACACACACACCCTTCCTTTATTTCAATAGCTGGGATTTCCAGTATAATGTTGAAAAGTAGTGAGAGGGAACACCTGGCTTTTTTCCTGATTTAGCAGAAAGCATCTAGTTTCTCAACGTTAAGTATGATGTTAATTGTATGCTTTTTATAGATTTCACTTTAATCAAATTGAGGTTCTTCTTTATTCCTAGTTTACTGAGAGTTATATGTGTGTATATATATTTATTTATAAAATATATATATTTAATATATATATTTAATATATATATTAAAAATATATATATATATTTATTTATAAAATAAATATATATATTCATGATATATAGTCATGAATGAATGGATGTTGGACTTTGTCAACTGGTTTTTATGCATCTGTTGATATTATCACATTTTTTTTCTTCTTCACCTCACTGTTCTGTCTCTCTAAGATAACTCTGAATAATACACTTTCTTAGGGGTGCTTTCTCTGACCCTTCTGATTAATTTTGTTGCCCTTTTTATACACCTCTCTGAGCACTACACTAGCTATATGTTTATTCTGGTAATTCTACTTGCAGTACTATTTTATTCATTTGATAAGTTGTGGACTGATACCTGTTTTGAGACATAAACTACTTGAGGGGAATGATGTGTATTCATTGTTTGTGAAAGATTTCACAGTATCTGCATCCAGTTGTTTCTCAATTTGCAGTTATTGAATTAATTAATAAGCATTTGTTATGTGCTGGAAATCACGCTTGAGTCTAGAGCTCCAGAAGTAATTTAAGAAAACAACTAAAAACTTTTAAAACCATGGAGGAGATATCAAATACATTGTTTGACCATAAGTGCAGAGGTAGAGGTATGCACACATTGCTAGAAATTCATAGTCATGTTAATAGGCCTCTGTATGTGCAATCAGTGTGAAATTTTGGAGTACTGGGTCTAATTGTATTTTGAATAGTGTATAAGTGTTGGCCGGTGTTTGAGGTATACCGGGGAAAACTTGAGAGCATTAGAACTGGGAGTAATGCAAGAGACATAAATATAAACTTTCAATATGATGTATAAAAAGAGAAAGGTCTCTTATCCCAAAGTTAGTATTCAGCAAGATTTTCTGTATGAGACATAAATTGAAGTTGTATAGAAGAGTAAGAATTATCTGAGTAAAGAAAATATGGAAAGGCATTTCAGGCAGAAGTGGGTGGGGACAAGAAAACATGAGCAGAAGAACAAAAATAAGAAATGTAAAATTATGTAATATTTAGGACTTTCAGTGACAAATATTTATAGCAGGTCAAGATTGATAAAGAAAGAGGCTGTCAGCAGTTCATAGGGAGCTTATATATCATTATTGAGACTAGAACTTATCTAATAGAGACTATTAAATGTACTAAGTATTTCAGAAAGGGGAACATGATAGAAACTCTCCTAGCCACAATTTGGAAAACAGCTTGGAGGCACAGAAGAATGGCAGACAGTTCTCTCAGGCAGCTGCTCTTGCAGAGATCTGGATGATGTCATGACAGTGCAGACTAGAATGGGAGAGGTACGGATGTAGAAAAGTAGTAGGGAGAAGAAAGTTACTTTGACTTTTCTCTGTAGTCATAAATTAATCACCCAATTATTACAGATACATTTTACCCCATCTTACTTATTGTAGGCTTCTACATCTCAGAATTAGATAAGTGAGATACTGTGCTTTATTACTTTCAGGTTTTTCAAATAAGAAAATGGTAATGTTGGGTAAGGGAATACATGAGAATGATGCATTTTGACATCTAACTACATTGCTAATCTCTCAGTGGCAAGTAGCTATGTTTTAGGAGAAATGTGCCTCTTGCCACTGGCATCTGGTTTACAATTTGCAAGACTTAAAGTTTTTTATTTTACCTTTATAAAGAGAAGGCACTGTCCCCCTACTTTTTTCTACAAATTCACTTTCACAAAACTGTTTTATAGATTTAACTATGCATCAAGAGTGTATCTATCCTTTTTAATGTTTAACTGAAGTCAATGAAGCCTTAGTAACTAGTGAAGTCTGAAGTTTTTATACACTGTTATATAAGGTCTTAGAGTATCTGCACATGAGTACATATTTTAGCTTTACATTCCCCTATCAGCAACTTACAGGTCAACAAAGCCATCTTTTATTATTTAAGAAATATGAACTCCTCATGCTCTATTATGCCTCTGTGCTTTGTTTATGCCATTCCCCTTACCTTAAGCATCCTTCGGCAATTCTTGCACCTGGCTAACTCAATGGTCATGACACTTCATCAAAGTCTACATTGTTTTCTTACTTTGAACATAATTTGTCTGGTTGCTTCTCTGATATATAGTGGTGGTATGGGAACAAATTTTAAATGATTATTGAGAGTATTAAATGAGGTCATGTGTGTGTACATTCTTGGCATAGTACCTGTCACATAAAAAAATTCAGCAAATGGGTGGTATTATTATATTTCTACATTCATAGAAATATTGGAGGTATATTAAATGCAGAGGCTAGGTCTTACTTATTGCATTTGCTTGGCAGATAGATGAGCTCCATCAGATTAGGGAGAATGGCATTTAATAACTGTTTATTGATTGAATACATCAACAAGATGTCATGGAAAACATTGAATACTGGCTCAGTATCAGGGTCTTACCGTTCTGTAAGTGAAGGAGGCAGATACTAAAATACTGACAATGAAAGCAGAGTGAGATAACTGAGCTTTAGAGCACTGCGAGTGCCCCGAAGTTAGGGATAAATGTATTTGCCCTAATCAAAAATAAAGATCAAATTAATAATGACAGTGAAATAAATAACAATAGCTATAAGATCAAACATTTATAAAGAACATAGTCTGTGCCCGGCATTGAGGTAAACACTTACATTATCACATTCAATCATCACAACAAGATTTATGTCAGTTTTACTGATGAAGTAGTGACCCAGATGCTAAACAAGTGTCCATAAGTCACACAACTAGTGGCAGACCCAAGATTGATATCAAGATCTTTTAAACCGTGGGACCAGAGACATTAATCATCATGCTAAAATATAAGAAGAATTGGTGCAAAACTCTAATCAAGAGAGTTTGGTAAGTTCTCCAAAACAGGGGGCCACAAATAAAGGGTAAGACTAAGGGTCTGAATGTGCTATAAGGAAAATTCTGGAAGACTTGTTATTGGGCCAAAAGGCATCTTTCATGGAAAACAGCGCACTGTTTGGTATATACTTTTCTGGGTTATTTGTTTTTTTGAAGTTTGTGATTTTCATTTTCTTTGACCTATTTTACAATTTTGTAGAGATAGAAGAAAATTTGTGGAAAACCAATAATCATGTAAATAATTCTTGAGTATAAAAATGTAATACACTCTTGTCTGGTTGAAGTTCAATTGACTTCCCTTCTTTATTATGGAAGAAGCCAATTTTGCATCTATTAAGGATGCCATTTGAGATGTGTTGAGGATTGTGTGAAACATAACAGTATGAAAACATAAGCTTATATGATAGTATTTACAGTGTGGGTACTTATCCAAAGTTTTCATTAATCCCTGTAAGCATCTTGTGTATAAATGTAATGATTAACTTTTTTAGTGCTATATAACCAAGTACTCAATAAATATCAAATGAATGGATTAATCTCTGCTCAAACCCAGAGCTATAGTAGCTGTGTAGCTATAACATTCTAGCAAGCATTCTTATATATTGTTTTCACATTTAAAATTCATAAATCACAACTATTTTCTCTCTTAGTAGAGGCAAGGAAATAATAAACAACCTTCTTATTTATTGAATTTGAAATGGAAATAAAAATGCTAGTAGTAGTTCTGGAATTCCTAACAGGAAAAAAATGCAAATTTAACCATGCCTTAAAGGTGACTTGTTAAGGAGTATGAAGGGGAATGATTTCAGAACCAATGCCACAGTGACAGGGCAATCATGTATCACTGTGTTAGAGTTGTATGGAGATTTAGCTTTTACCTTGAGATAGAGAAGGGCTATGAGACTTTCTACTCTCAGGAGATTATCTTGTGGGTACAGTTTGTGTCTCTCACATCTAAATATAAGTATATAGATCAAACCTATCTCAGGTGTGCCTGTGAAGCATCATGGAAAAGGGAAAATATATTTTACTTTTCACTCTATTTGTAATGAGTAATTAGTTTAAATCTAATGTAATGAGTTAAATTCTAAAATATAATTCTATAAAAGATAATCATGAAAAATAGAAGGGATCAATATATGATTCACTGGCCACTATGTGCCAGGCTTTGTAGTAATTTATAAACAGTATTTAGACTCTTACAACATCCCTATACAACAGTTGTTATTTTCATTCAGCTGAGATGGGTTCAAAAATAGACAAGAAATTCACTCTGTGCTAGTATGTTAAAGGCACTTGGAGATGAGAATGTAATATTGTAGACTGTCTCCAGATAACAGTCAAATAAAATATGTTAACAAATTGAATTTAGTTCTTGAGGTCTACATCTATTATTCTTCTTTAATAAGGAGACTCATATGAACCCTGTATCGAGGAAATTAAATCATGATAAAAGCCATAATGTCCTTTGTTTCTGAAAACCTAAAATATACCAGAGCCCCAGAACTTTGGATTCTACTGAATATGTTCAAGAAGTTTTTGGCTTTATTATGTTTAATTAAATAAAACAAAGAATCCTGCCTTAGGTAAACTGGGTTGATTGCTTACTTACAAAAGAAAAAACGCAAACCACATGAAAACAAAAGGACTGACACATACTTGTACATAATCCAGAGATGGAAAAGCAGAAAGATCTGAATTAAGAAGGTGTGACACATTTATTGATTGAAAAAAGGATCATTGTTTTTCTGAACTCTGAAAAAGTGGTCAGAAAATTTATTGAGAAATATGGTACGATATTTCTCTCTGATAAATAGAAAGCAATCCGTTGTTACAAGAGAAAGTAATTTCACACATTTAACTTAAAATATTTTCTTTCATATGTACAGTAAAACATTTTATAAGATATATTTATAAACATAATCACATTTGTTTCTCTCCAAAAACTCTAAAGGAAATATATTTGTCATATCCCCAGTTTACACCCAGGGATATTGATGAGCAACAAGGCTAAGAGACCTGACTATGCTAAGTTGCCAGATAACTTATGAGGCTAAGAAATAACTGAGACTTTGACCACATATATATTCCACCATACAAATTACGTTTCCTAAGCAAGAAGCAATGTCCAAATCTTCAGTAGAAAATGTTGGTTAGATATAATTAAAAATACCTATAGTTTAATCAGTAGTTTAATCAGAAAACATGACAAATGACACTGTCATGTAGTGTTAGAATTTTCTCTATATGGTTCAGCGTGCAATGCAGTCCGGGACCCACTGAGTGGGTGATTCTTAATCTACACACCACTATTAAGAATAGTTGGTGATTCTTATTAGTGGTGTGTAGAAAAACTGATTGTTGTCAAGAGGCACTAATGGCATAAAAGGGTTTTGGTGATTTATAGAAAAAGAGTAAAGAGTTTCCACACATCATATAACATAAACCAAGACAACCTAAAAATATGAGCAGCCTCAGAGCTTTTTCACATCTGCAAGTCTGGAGGTGGATGGCTATACTTGAAGGAATATGCTAGCTGAGGTTTTGAAAGGAGAGTTTACAAAATCAGTGAGAAAATGAAAAAAAAAAGATGTACTGGTGGTTGCAGTTTCAGGTCGGTTTGATTTTTCAGTTACTGCCTATGTCGGTTTTATTTTTTAGCTTCTGAATTCAGGGTATTGGCATAATCTCCATATCCTTCAATAAGAGAGAAGAGAATGTTAGGAATAAAGCCTGCAATGGCAGTCCATTAACAACAATTTGAGGAAAATAATCTTCTTAGTGTTCTAATTGGGGATCAACAAGTAATAGCAGAAACAACAGCCAACAGCACAGACATAACAATTGGTTCAGCTCACACAGTTCTAAGTTACTAATGATGAGAAGACTTTCTATTTGATGGGTGCCAAAATGATTGCACCAGATTAGCTGCAGACAAGACCAGAGCTTTCAATGAAAATTTCAAACAAGTGGAATCATGATCCTGAAGCACTTCTTCAAAGAATCATAACAGAAGATCAAATATCAGGACAGTACACTCCTGAAGACAAAGCACAAGCAAAGCGAGAACTGCCAAGAGGTGGGAGTGGGCCAGTCCGGGAACAAGTGACCTGGCCAAGAGCAAAGGTCATGGCAACAGTTTTTTGGGATGCTTAAGGCATTTTGCCTGTTGACTTCCTGGAAGGTCAAAGAATGGTAATATCTGCTTATTATGAGAGTGTTTTGAGAAAGTGAGCCAAAGCTTTAGCAGGAAAACACCCAGGAAAACCGCACAAGAGAGTCCTTCATTACCACAGCAAAGCTCTTGCTCAACCTCTCATCAGATAAGGGCAATTTTGAAAGAGTTTCAACAGGAAATCATTAGGCATTCACCTTACAGTCCAAATTTGGCTTTTTCTGACTTAATTTTGTTCTCTAATTTATTTTTAAGGGAACTCAATTTTCTTCGGTTAATAATGTAAAAAAGACTGCATTAAAAGGACTAAATTCCCAGTAACCTCAGTTCTTTAGGGGTGGAATAAATGGCTGATATCATTTTACTTACAGTAGTGTCTTGAAGTTGATAGAGCTTAAGTTGAGAAATAAAGTTCACAGTTTCAAAAGGAAGGTATGCCATAACCACTTAGGTTTCAAGGTTTGAGGACATAAAGGGAGTCCCTGCTCTCGGGAAATACAGTTGTGTGGACTCTTGGCAACTAACTGTTCACACTGGACTTGGGGTCTGTGAAGACTGGGGGACCCTTCTGTAGCAATGACTGCTGGTGTCTATGATGGTAATGAGGATTGCTAAGGGTATCCATCTCACCTTTTGCCCATAAGAAGAGTACTCTGGCTCTGATCTGATCCCAGTGAGAGAGACAATATGGCAGAGGCAGGATGCCTCACTGCCCTCTTTATTGACTATCCTGAGCTTCTGTGCTCCACAAGCATTTCACTGTTCCCTTGGCACTCTCCAGTACAATTCCTCAGATATTCTAGCCAAAATGTAGTTGTTTAATCATTGTTTTGGCACATTTTGGGGTGCCAAAGGCACCCAAAGCCAGGCAATTTAGTTGTTTATCTTGCTGATGTCACTCCATGGATCACTTTCAAATGAAGAATGTATCTCTTACTTCTGTTTTCAAAAAGACATTATGGAGTATGTAGTTTATAGTTCTGACATGTCAGAAAGAAAAAAAAAAAAACAAGAACAAAATCAAAAATCCAAGAAAACAGGATATATATAAAGACACATATATATACATATATACTTTTCTATATATTCACACAAATACATAAATTTAAAACTATGAAGTTACAAAGTATAACATGTACAATGGAGCTGAAGTTTATGAGCTGTGGAAAAATAATAAAGGGCTCACAGTTTAGACTGAATGAGTCAAAACTTTTCTAGGGAGGCACTCAGCGATGATCTTGAAATGTGAATTTTCTATTTTGAGAAACTTCCTAAGTATAAATACATGCACTCTGGTTGTGTGAAATCAAGAGTTTTCCATTATTCATTTTTCTTCAGATAGTTTACACAAGATGAAAAATCATAAAAGTATTTAACTTACTTCTAGGAAAAAATACATACGAAAAACTCTACTTTTTTTTTTTTTTTTTAATCAGGTCCAAAATAAATCTGTTTCACACTTGGTCATATTTGACAGTAGTGATCTGCATTTTTCGCCTCTGGTCCTTGCTTACATTATGCATAACACTTGTCTTTTACAAGGTTCCATGGAAGTACTTTGGTCAGTCCTCTCAAAAGCATGTTGAGAAGGAACCTCATTCTCTTTATGAGGTTGAGATATTGTCTGAAATTATCTTCAGAGAAAGAAAAGTAATATTTTGGATGCATGGGTTCAGTACTCTGTCCAGATTTCAGACTTATCATTCAAAGACAATGGTCTTTTATATCTTGCCAGATTCCTTGAAAAAAATTGGGAGAACCTATCCGGCCTGATCTTTTATTTAGACTGTGGAATCTTATGAGTAGTATACTGAGCATTTTAGACATGTTTCATTATTTGGCATTTCCTCACCCCAGTTGAAAGCTTAATCCAGATCTGATATTTATTTCCCTTTTTTGTACCAGCAACAGTATTCTATTTGTTTTTGATGCTCAAGGAAAATTTGTTAATTAAGATGGTTCTAATGCTATAGAAAGAGCTGGAAATTTAATGTCTCCAAGGAATGTTATTGTGTTGTATGAACTCACTAGCCAAAGTTGAACATCTTACATCCATATTTCAAAAACACTTAAAGCATCTATTAGCTTCTTCTGGATTTTGCTCCTGGAGAACATAAAGAAGAAACCTTGTCTGTAAATACTATGCAATAATCTTAACTGTATTTATTTCTGTAATGTCTTGGCACCCTGAACATGGAAGTGAGTTTACAACACACTGCACTGTGCTCCCCCAGTGAAGCATGAGTTTGAACCAAACAGAATAGTGGTGATGATTCTTATTTTGGTTCTTCTCACTAGGGTAAGATCTCCTTTAGCTTTAGAATCATGTTTCCTTCATACACCTGCACTTAGGAAATGTTCTCGGTGAATAGCACAAATATAGTGTTCAATAAATGTTGAATGAATGAATTAAATACACTGAAAGAGATTGTGGCCTCAGTTAAAGTCATTGTATCTAAAACACATGATTGAATTCCAAATGGCCACACTACTTGGTTGTCAGAATAAAAAAATAATAAATTATCTGCTGATTCCAGACACATTCAATAGAAGGGCATTTAAAAGGAAGCACTGGAGTGTTTAATCTATGAACACAATTTTTGGGTTGTAGAATTATTAACCAAAGATATCATGCATGTTTCTGTTTTTCTAAGTAGAATAATGAAACATATTAAATAAACATATGCAATTTTAATGGCTCAGAACTCAACTACAAATGCTAATTAATATGCTAGAATAGGGATTAGCAGAACATATTTGTAACATGCCAAACGGTAAATAATTTAATTTTTTAGGACCATATGGTCTCTGTCACAATTACTTAACTCTGATGCCATAGCACAAAAGCCAACAGGGTGAAAAGCAACAACAGGGTGAAAAATAGGCATAGCAGTGTTTCAATAAAACTTTATTTACAAAAATAGATGCCAGACCAGATTTGCTCCATAGATTCTCATCTCTGGTTCCATAATATAATAATGATATAATTGTGTATTACTGAGATTCAAAGTAAGTCTTGCACCGCCTCTAAATGTCCAATGCCTGGCTTTCAGCATCTGTGGTCCTAAATTTTATGTTTACAGTCTTGTTTTTATTTTTGTGCTTAGAGCTTCCTAGTATTACAAATATATCCATATATTTCTACAAATATATTTATTTCTATGCACAATTTTATGTGAATATTATTAAATACTTATTACAGTAATAATCACAGGTACAAAAATATATTTTAGATTTAAAAATTCAGGTTATGTGATTATCAAGAAAATAGCGTACTCCTTTACGCCAGAGCAAAAGGGGTTCCCAGTGCCTCAATAAGTTTAATTTAGGGAAAAGTAGCTCCTATCATACTCAATAACTGCTCCTTTCCACTCAAAATCTAGTTTAGCTATCACAGTGTTCTCACACATAAATCAGAATGACATGACAAAATGGTTAATCTATTTGCCAATAGCCAATCATCAAGCAATGGGTAAATTCAAAAATGCTGATCTCATATGGTCATCAAAGTCAAATTAATGGAAGCATATGATGAATATCATTTATAAAATCACATCAACAATTCTCAATTTAATTACATGATTTTCAACTAAAATAATGCTGGTAAATGTCAGTTTGATCAAACATTTAAAACTAGTTGGTGGATCTCTGTATATATTTACATATCTACATTTCGTATTCATTAAGTATAAATACTTAATTTTATTTTTAAGTTCATTAAAATGAGGGCTGTCTACTTTGATGCATACATTACTTTTATATCATAGCTATGTTCTAATATGATTTTAAACCTTCCTTTTTTCTAGCATATTTTTGGGTTTATATTGACATAAAGGCATTTAATTTTTAAAATTTCTAGTGAGAATCTTTGGTTTCATGCATGTTATAGATTTGGAGAGATCCCTACGTACTACGTACTGCATTCACTTTCATTTGAATATACTATATTGGCTTAAATAGAAAAAGGACAAAAAAAAAGGTATTTGTCTCAGCTAATACAATGATGAATTTACTGGTATTCCTTTCTGTCCATTTGTTCAGATTCCAATATAATTGGACAGCATAATTCACAGGGTTTCAGGTTAAATGTTTACAACACATTTGGATGACAAATCTGGATGGGTATAGGGAAGACCGTCAGGCCTGAACATGGAAACGTATATGGCACATTGAAATGGGCAGTGATTTTGATGCATGTCCACAGTTCACTCCAGCAGCCAGTAGTTCTAGGCAACTGTGTACACTCATACATTTCCATTAAGCCAAATGTTATTCCTGGAACTTCAAAATTAGAGCACTTCACTCTCTGGAAAGATATCCAAAAATGTATCTGATTAAAAACAGCTGCAGCTGCACCCATTGAGCCAGAAAGCTGAACTGGACTCAGGGCAGCCTCTTGTCACAACTCCTGCTGTGGTTATTCATGAGTTAGAAACACAGTCATTTTAGAGACATAGGTAGCAGAGGTGAGTGAAGAAGGGTGCTGACTTTGAAATTTTTCACTGTTGTAACATTTTCTCTCATGATTAGTGCAACACTTACTTTTTTAATTTAGAAAAAGTGTATAGTTCAATAGTGCATAGGTTTTGAGAATTTAGTTTTTACAGGTTTCTGCAATTTGTACTATTCCTTTTATCCTTTCCGAACAGCAGTTCCTAACCCTATCATATCATTTAGATGAAGCATACGTTGTGATATTTTACTTTCCTGAAAAGATACCCACACATAATATAACTTATCTATATATATAATTAAGACAATAATAACAACAAAAATAAAGCTTGCACTGTCATAAAAAATAGGTGGAAAATATTTCATAATATGTACCCTAATATGTAAATTTCAGGCACAACCCTCCAGAAAAATTAAGAAAGGCTGATGCCTATATGTGGAAGTACATAAGTAAAACCATATTAAACGTAGAATATTAAGGCTTACTGCATTGGAACTCAAATATCACAAGCAGCACTAATCTTAGTAAAGTTCTGAACAAAATAACCTAAAAAGCATATCCTAATTTCAGTTAGTAGCTGCATACCTAGACTTATGATGTATTAAACTCAAAATCTTTCTGTAAGTAGAAAATCAGTTAGGTTCTCTACTGAGATAATTGTAAGTAGTTCGTTTTATTTTATAGTATATAATTTAATGTATTTTAAGTTTATTTTGTGATTCTAAATGAAGTTCTGACAGGGCATTTAAAATTTTGGTGAGCTGTGGAATACATTTCCTTTGTATAAAACTTTCTGGGCTTTACAAAATATCCCACTTTTTTGCTCCTGCCTCTGACTCCATGGCAGTATATTTTCCAATTATTGCACAAATACTGTGACCAATGTATCACCACTAATTTTCAAAACACCTTTTATAGATGGTACCGTCTACACTAAGAAACGCAACTATAAGTAGATTTCATAGTGAGTCAACTGGTCTGCTGACAGTCTAAATTAAAATTGAAACCAATTATAAAATAGTTTCCCCAAATAACTGAAAATTTCACCTGAAATGGTTTTCTCACCTTGCTGGAAGTTTTCCTCTCATTCTTTTTTTTTAGGAAAGCTTCTATTCATTCTTTAAGAATAAATTGAGAAGACACTTCATCTTGTCAGCTTTTCCCAATGCTTTAAACCGGGCCCGTGCCCTTCATCGAGGTTATCTGAATAGATTTCACAGTTATCCTATGCACCTTTTAATGAAATAATGGTTTCCAAACCTTTCTCTTCAAATTAGCTGTAGGCAACCCATGAAGTCAGAAAAGTCTCCATAAGTTAGTGGATGTTTGACTGAAGTTGGGACTAATTGTTATTTAGTTTTCAGAAAGAGTTTAGCCATTTATCAATATTTTTCCCATTTAACTAAAAGTTTTATTGTTTTTTATTTATTTATTTATTTTACTTTGTTTGGAGCAACTTGTAAGCTGTTACTCCAATTCTTATCGCCTGATACATTCATTAGTGGTCTTCTGACTTTTAAAGTATTAATATATTCTTTGACAAATTGCATGGTTAAGTAAAAAGACAAGTTCAACTTAGAAAGGACCATATATATGGATATTTCTAAATCTGTGTATATACTTTTTGTAAAAATATATGAGAATATACATATATAATTGATTACATATAACACATATATGAGTGAATAAATATTTTTTCCAGCCCAGCAACTAAAATTTACTTTGCCTTTTGATACCAGTAAAATTATATATTTATTCATTCTTCACTCTGTTTTAGAAACTATAAATACAGATAATGATAAAAAAATGAAAAACCTTACCCTCGTGGATTTTATGTTCTAACAGGATGATGTTCGTGAAAATGTTATTGCATTGCACAATTGTACATAAATGCATTTTTATCATTTTCACTACTCACATTGATCTGATTTAAGAGGAATAGGAATATTTTGTTGGTGTGAGGAAAGGGAAAGCTGAGTGACATGTTAATTGCCTAAATTAAAATAAGTGCTGTAAAATTGTTTTCAAAATGTGGAACTCACATTAATTGTCCTGATCATCTTGCCTATTTGCTTACGATTGCAATGCCTCTTATTGAAAAAAATTATTTAAATGATTATTAGCCCAGCATTTGTTTGAACGTTGGCAAAACACTGATACTTAAGAAGATAATTTTTTCTGAATATATTAAAATTGGGCTTGAATAAACTGTGCATTATAGTTTTAAATCCAGTAGCTGTACTCACCTCCACTATTCCCAACTGGTATTTTATCCATGACCTACAGCTTTCAACTCACAGGCTTAGTTCCTCAAAAAACTGAAACTGCTTGTTTCCCTCTTGAATTATACAGAGAAGTCATTTAGAAGAGTCTTTACCAAATGGAGAAAATTGCTGTTGTTTCTACCTATCTAGCTAGCCTCTATTGTTTCTCCTTCTTGTTATCACCCCAAGATTTTTGCCAAGGGTCACATTTCTCTTCCACATTAAACCTTTTGGTGTGGGTAGTATTGACTCAACTCTCAAGACTGATGAGTAACACATGGCACATTTTTAACCAATCAAAATGCCGGTTTAGGTTCACAGCACAAGCCTGAATACCTAGTTGCGAATATGTGATATTTGATAGAATTACTAGAGAATAGTTAGAGGTTACCAGCAGAAGAAAATTTATCAATGCCCAGATCCAATAAAGGAAAAGGCAGAGTTAGGATCTGGAAAGAGAAATACTGATTAGGAACAATAACGCATGCTCGGCTACAACTATCCTTGGAGCTCTACATTTCTGGAATTTTGTTACATGTTTCTAGAACTAGCATCATTAGTCATTCACAATACTTGAGTCTTTTTATTCCACCATAAATCTTATCTGGCTTAAAAAATGTCTTGTCATGTCTTGTTGTTACTATAAGACAGAAGAGCAGATAGGAATATGCATTTGGCCAAGCTTAGGTCACATGTCCACAATGTAGCTGCCAGGAAAAGGAAAAATGAAATGTATTCCTACCACTTTCTTCTGCGTGAAAAGGCAGAACTTTCTTACCAATACCTGGGAAACATTTCTAAATAGATGTTTAGTCAAATGCTGGATAGACCAGAAGTCCCCTACAAATTATCTGAAACACAACTATAGATACTTGCAAGTCCTACCTAACCTAACATTACATATTTTCTCTTTATCATTGTAAAAAATAATCTTGCAATGATTTTAAAAATAACTGTGAGCCTCTAACTTATACCACAGTTTCAGATTATGTATTAACCATGTTCTCTTTGGAATAATTTTCTTTAGGAATTAAGAGAAAGACTGGGAGAAAAGGCTCAGGAAATCAATAAGAAATAAGTAAGATATAAGTATCTTAGTACAAGTTTAAAATCATGAGATGGGATCATAGCACTATGCATAACTGTAAAGTGAAATGATTGAACCCCAGTAATTTTTTATGGCATATTTCAGAATCATAGATTACTTATGCTTACATAAATTATAAATTATGAAAATGTGTGTATCACATTGTTTTCAGATCTAAATAAAACTTACCATTGCTCTCAGGCAGCTGTAAATATGCCATTACATTTTGTAAGTTTAATTAAATTCAAAAGGAGAGCAAAATCACCTGCAGAAGCATCCAGTTTAAAACTAGAATGTGTCATTGTTGTGTAAAGAATTTCCTATTTTAAAGGTACTAAACTGATTATACAGCAGCCACTTTATATGACTGCTTGAGCTTCACATTTAGTTAAATTTAAATATTTCATAAAATATAGACATAATTAAAAAGTAAAAAAAAAATAGATGTGGGCCTGGATGTGGTGAAAAAGGGAATATTTTTACACTGCTGGTGGGAATTTAAATTTTTAAAACCACTATGAAAAACAGCATGAAGATTTCTTAAAGAACTAAAGGTAGAACTACCATTCACTCCAGCAATCCCACTACTGGGTATGTACCTGATATGGTTTGGTTCTGTGTCCCCACCCAAATTTCATCTCAAATTGCAATCTCCACCTGTTGAAGGAGATGCTTTCCCCCCATGCTTTTCTCATGATAGTGAGTGAACTCTCATGAGACCTGATGGTTTTATAAAATGTTTCCTGCACTTGCACCCACATTCTGTTTCCTGCCACCATGTAATATGTGCCTGTTTCCTCTTCCAAAATGATTGTAAGTTTCCTGAGTCCTACCCAGCCATGCAGAACTGTGAGTTAATTACATCTCTTTTCTTTATAAATTACCCAGTCTTGGGCAGTTCTTTATACAGTGTGAGAATGGACAAATATAGTCCCCAAATGAAAATAAGTCATTTTATGAAAAATACACATGCATTTGTATGTTTATAACAACACAATTCACAGTTGCAAAGATGTGAAACTAACCTAGGTGCCCGTCAACCAATGAGTGGATAAAGAAAATGGGGTTTATATACACCATGGAATAAAAAAGGAACAAAATTATGTCTTTTGCAGCAATTGGGATGGAGCTGGAGGCCATTATTCTAAGTGAAGTAACTCAGGAATTGAAAACCAAATATAGTTTGTTCTCACTTATAAATGGGAGCTAAGCTATGAGGATGTGCATGGACTTTGTGGACTCAAGGGGAAAACTGGGAAGGGGTTGAAGGACAAAAGACTACATATTGGGTGTACGCTGCTTGGGTGATGGGTGCACTGAAATCTCAGAAATCACTGCTAAGGAACTTATAAACATAATCAAAAACTACCGGTACCCTTAAAACTACTGAAATGAAGACAAACATTTTTTAAATGGGATTTAAAAACTACATATTTTGTAAAAGGGTATATGTCCTTCAAACATGTAAGTTTTCAAGTGATAAGGAAACATGAGTCAATCATAAGATAATGCGTAGTGTATAGTGATTAATATGAAAGTGAAATGAAAATATTTTACATTGTCAATTCTTAGATACACAATTTTTTACTTAAAAATTTCTGAAATCAGGATGCGGCTTACAAAAGATAAAAAGATTTTGCCATATTTTACTCAAATTATGTGTTTATTTTGCTATTGAGTTGTTTGACTCCTTTATATATTCTGGTTATTAATTCCTTGTTAGTTGAACAGTTTGCAAACATTTTTTCCCATTCTATAGGGTTGTCTCAACTTTGTTAACTGTTTCTTTAGATGTGCAGAAACATTTTAGCTTGATTTGATGCCATTTGTCCATTTTTGTTTTGCTTGCCTGTGCCTTTAAGGTCTTACCCAAGAAATCTTTGCCCAAACCAATGTCTTAAAATGTCAATGTTCTTATATATTCTGGTTATTAATTCTTCATTAGTTGAATAGTTTGCAAATATCTTCTGCCATTCTGTAGGTTGTTGTAACTGTTAATTTTTTCCTTTGTTGTGCAGAAACATTTTAGCTTGATTTAATCCCATTTGTCTATTTTTTGCTTTGGTTGCCTGTGCTTTTGAGGTCCTACTCAAGAAATCTTTGTCCAGGCCAATATCCTGAAGCATTTCCCTAATATTTTCTTCTAGCAGTTACATAGATTAAGTTCTTGCATTTAAGTTTTTAATCCATTTAATATTTAACTAAGATGTTATATGGTGAAAAGGGGGTCTCGTTTCATTCTTCTGCATTACAGAGATCCAGTTTTCCCAACAGCATTTTTTA
Organism: Homo sapiens; assembly: GCF_000001405.40. NCBI lineage: Eukaryota > Metazoa > Chordata > Mammalia > Primates > Hominidae > Homo > Homo sapiens. The sequence continues at coordinate 25,556,818 of NC_000011.10, read as the reverse complement.
AAGAGGCTGATATTCCTCAGTGTAAATTCTCGGTACTTTAGTCAAAAATGTGTTCATTTTAAGTTTGTGGATTTATTTCTGAGTTCTCTATTCTGTTCCATTGGTCTATTTGTCTGTTTTTATGCTAGTACCATGCTGCAATGATTATTACAGCTTTACTATTTGAAGTCAAGTAATGGGATGTGTCTAGCTTTTTTCTTTTTGCCTATAATTACTTTGGTTGTTCTGGGTATTTTGTGGTTCTACATACATTTTATAATTGTTTTTTCTATTTATGTGAAGAATGTCATAGGTTAAGGATTGCATTGAATCTGTTGATCACCTTCAGTAGTATGAGCATTTTAACCATATTGATTCTTCCAATCCATAAACATGAGATTTCTTTCCGTTTTCTGTGTAGTCTTCAACTTATTTCATCAGTGTTTCAGAATTTTCATTGTAGACATCTTTCATGGAGAAGACCTATCAATGACCAAAAGGTATGCGAAAAAATTCTCAACAAAACTAAACATCAGAGAAATTGAAATCAAAAGTACAATGAGATATCATCTGTATTAGTCTGTTCTCACACTGCTATAAAGACATATCTTCTCTACTAAAAGTACAAAAATTAGCCAGGTGTGGTTGTGCGTGTCTGTAATTCCAGCTACTCAGGAGGCTGAGGCATAGCTTGAACCTGAGAGGAGAAGGTTGCAGTGAGCCAAGATTGTGCCAATGAACTCCAGCCTGGGCGACAGAATGAAACTCCATCTCAGGGAAGAAAAAAAAAAAAAGAAAAAAGACATACCTGAGACTGGATAATTTCTAAAGAAAGATGTAAGATGTTTAATCACCTAATGGTTCTTCAGGCTATACCAGCTTCTGTATCTGGGGAAGCCTCAGGAAACTTACAATCATGGCAGAGTATGAAGGGGAAGCAAGTACATATTCACATGGATGGCAGGAGAGAGAGAGAGAGAGCAAAGCAGGAGGTGCTATGCACTTTCAAACAACCAGATCTCATGACAATTTTGTCACAAGATAGCACTAGAGGAAGTCTGCCCCCATGATTCAATCACCTCCCACCAGGTCCTTCTTCCGACACTGGGAATTACAATTCAGTATTAGATTTGGGTGGGGATACAGAGCCAAACCATATGAGATTTGGGTGGGGATACAGAGCCAAACCATATCATCATAAGAGAAAAGAGACACTCACACACTGTTGGTGGGAATGTAAATTAGTATAGCCACTATGAAAAACAGCATAAAGATCCCTCTAAAAATTAAAAATAGAACTTCCATATGATCCAGCAATCCTACTGATGGATACGTAACCAAAATAAAGAAGTTCAGTATATCAGTAAGCTATCTGCACTTTTATGTTTGTTGCAGCACTATTTACAACAGCAAATATGGAATCAATCTTAGTGAACATCAATGGATAAAGAAAATGTTGTATATATACACATTTTAATGTTATTCAGCCATAAAAGAAGTGACATAATGTCAATGGAGCAACATGGATACAATTGGAAGTCAGTAACTTAAGCAAAATAAGCCAGGCACAGAAAGACAATTATTATCCATTCTCACTCATATGTGGAAGATAAAAACTGATTCTCCTTGAGGCAGAGGGTAGAATGATGGTTATCAGTGGATCAAAGGGGTAGTTTGGAGAAGAGAAAGAAGATGGGTTGGTTACTGGGTATGAAAATACAGTTAGATAGTGGGAAAAAGATCTATCATTTAGTAGCACAATAGGAAGACTATAGTGAATAATAATTTGTTATATATTTCAAAATAATTAGAGAAGTTGATTTGAAATGTACCCAACACAAAGAAATGATAAATATTTGAGGTAATTGATATTTCAATTACCCTAATTTATTACACATTGTATGCTTGTATTTGGATATCACATATACCCATAAATATGTACAACTATTATGTACCTCTAAAAATTAAAAATAAAAATTATGAAAAGTTTTTATGTATCATTTCTTTTAATTCTGAAAACCTGTAGGTGAGTTAATATCTTAGTTAAAATGCTGATTTTAGGACAAATAATTCACAAAAGGATATACAGAAGATTTTGTTTTGAAAGAACAATGAGCTAGCTCTTCATAACCAAAATGTGTGTGATGAATAAAAATTTAATAGGTTTTTTATTGCCAGAAGCCTGCAGTTTTCACAAGTCAATGCAAACCTCTATCAGGCAATATAAAACATTATGATGCAAGAAGTAACTTATACCTAGAGCAGTAACTAGGCAAGACAAATTTTCTGGGAAATCATTACGAAAAAAACAGTTAATTCACCCATGATTATGCTGAGGATATTTTTGCCCTGACATCCCTAATTAAGGCCTGAACACCTGCTACCTTTTCCTTGATATTTTGCTGTGAATCCCAAGACCAATAAAATCATTTCATCTCAGGAACACGACTGAGTGAATACAGTGATTAAAAACAGATCTCACTCTTAACTGCATAGAAAAATTGTCTGAAATTTACCAAAATGATTCTTATTTTTATGCCAAAGATATAAAAATGCATATTTCCAAATTAATTGTATTTTTACCTGAATAAAAATATGTGTGTTTTGCTTTAACAAATGTTATGCTTAAACACTAACAGTCTGTAAACAGGACATATAAAAGACATCAAAGTTAATTAGATGGAATAAGTGAACACCTTGTTATTATTTGTGCATTGATCAAAGCTCGCCAAATATTTACTGTTGTGGACAATTAGTTCTTAATTGATTACTATCTAAACTATCATGTTTACCTCAAGCAGACAATAAAATGCTATTATATATTTAGGAAGCAAGATGGTTTATACAATGTGCTTGGTTTATTTTCCTCCATCAGCGTCATTTGAGAATTTTCCATGCAGGGTGGAATGATCAGGGGCATATGAATGGCAGTATCACCGCCCTTATTATTGCAAACCAGGATAAGGTAGACTTGCCTATGGCATAAATATATTACATTGATTATGATATTGTTAGGACAACAATCTTTGTCTTATTACATGAAAGTATACCGATAATAATGGTGGAATCTTTACAAAATGTAAAGGAGATCAAATTTGCCTCTAATGCTATAATCCCATTTGTTTTCTTTTCTCTCCAGTGGTAAGAATTATCCTTGAATTTGATGTACATATTTTTGTACTTTTTAGAAAGCTACTACTACATATATAACAGAATCCATAAACACTGTTATAAACATAATTCTTAATGATTTGAAACTTGATGCAATTAGTTTCATATTGCTATATCAATTGGCCAATTCTTGATTCTGAAATCTTCTTCCTCATATTATCAGTAAAATTTCTGATGGTTGATCATTATCTTTACTAGAAATTTTTATTGGCCTTCTAAGACACCTCACTTTCATACTTTTGGGTATTATAGTTGTGCTTTTTATTTATTTTTTGGAGATCTATTTTTTCCTTTTCATCACTGGCCACTTTTTGTCAGGTTCCATTGCTTCTCAATCTTTTTAGCTTTGGAATGAGCAGTATTCAGTACTCTCAGTACTTGGTCCTTCTTTCTCTTTACTCATTGAATTAGTGTTCTCCAAACTTAACAGGTTTAAAATGAAAGTGTGAGCTGTCTCCTAGGCCTAGGCCACCCACAGCAGTCTTCCTCTTATCAGTAATGTCAACATGATCTTTCTGAGTATTCTAGACAAAAGCTCTCATTTTTATAACCCACAACCTATGCCCACATTCTTCAAAAATATAATACTATTGCTTTTATATCATTAATATATCAGGAATCTATTATTGAATCTGCTTTACTTCCTCTATGTTGGATACTATCAATTTGTCATTGGTGCCATACTTATATGCAAGACCTTGTGATGGGAATTGTAGGTTACTCAGAGATAAGTACACAATAATTGAAGACATCAAGCATAATATGTTCTCTAATTGTTACAGTGCAAAAAATGTACCTTAATTCCATGAGTTTTGATTAAGATTAAATAAAGTAAGTATCAAGAGTTTTTACAGGAGGGAAAACTTCTAACATGAAGCTCATCTGTTTGTGAGCAAAACAAAACTATAGAATATATTATGATTTACAGTATAAACTGTTAATCGTACTGTAGTTATATAGTCATGGTCTGGAACCTGGGCCTTAAATTTCCCAGCTATTTGACCATGTCAAAGTTAATTCATTTCTCCAGTCTTTGTGTCCTAACCTTTAACATGTTATTAACAACTGAGAAGCTTGAGATAATTAAAGTAAAACACCTAGCTAGCACTTTGCACATAGCAGGTGATCAATGTATATTAACAGCCATGCTTCGTACATAGTGCTTCTCTTCTCAACAACTTGCTCATATCTATCTGTATTTCATAACTCATAAGCACATCAGCCTCCAATGTCCATTATTTGTCTTCCCTGTATGTTTGTAACTTAAACATGCCCTTCTAGATCTAGTGAAAATTTGCCATATTTCGGGAGATTTTAATTTCCTCCATATCATTACTTTCTTCTCAAGTCCACTTCAACATACTTGATTGCCCTTGTGTCTTAAGCTTCCTGCCATGTTATTTTTCAGTTTTACCCTCTAATTCTTTTACAGACAGTTTTACTCTTCAATGGGAATGTATGTTTCTTAAGGTTAAATTCTATTACTTCATTAGCAGTTTCTTTCTTCAGATACAAAATTCTTAACATATTATAAAAAGCACTTGATAAAAGGCTTGATCAAATATCTATATTCAGAGGCTGAAAGTTTACATTAGGGAATATATAACAAATAAGTTATTATCATTTATATTATGATATCTATGAAATTACACATTTCTACGAGATCACAGCTATGACATCCTTTCCTTTACTGCCATGTGCAATCTGGGTAAGTTTAAACTATTTGTATATGCTGATGCCATATGTATAAAAAATGGTTTAATGGGGTATATTAGGCCAAGACAGTACTGATTTGAAACACATTAATTTCTAAGAAAATATAAGGACTGCCATATTTCATTTGTGGCAGAGCAACCTGGATCGCATTGGAAGTGAAGAGAGGTAAAATTAATTCCTGTTAGTCGTAACTACTAGTTAAATGATTTTATCTGTTTGTTGAAACCATTATTGAATTTGGTTAGAACTAACAGCTATGTTATGATGAAATGCTTCTAACATTCTACTAAAATAAGTTAAGAGAAAAGGATGGGAAAGTTTGAAGGCAATTTGAAACCCAGGTTAAATAACCTTATCTAGTGACACTTTCCCCTGTTGTCTCCCTCATCTCTTAAGCATTCACTTGCTCATGTCTGTCTTCATGTGTTTGTTCCTAATCCTTAAGTAGTAAGTATACTGCCAGTTTTGACCCTTTTCTAATTCTTACAATGCTGAATTTAATAATTTTATAATTGAACAATACATGGTTCTCCATGCCATCATGGGAATAGCTGCCATTTAGTGGACATTTGTCATATAGTACAAGGTTTCTGTTTTGAAAAAAAGTTTTACCACTAGCATTTTTTTCATGCAAATAACTATTTTCATTTTGGAGGAAAAAATTGTGTTGAGAGTACACTTCATATGCCGTGGAAGAGACAGTTTCTAACATGATGATGCTAAAGCCTTTCAAGGCAAGGCTACCTCTCTCCATCTCCATTCCAGCTTCCAATGGTGTCCAACACAGAAGCATTAAAGTCAGTGCTCTGGGTTGTAACTGTGGCCTGCATTCCAGAATTTATTTCATCATTCATTTATTTCTCAAATATGGAGTACTTCTGTAAACTATGTATTGAGGATTAAAAGAACCATGAGAAAATTTATTTCACCTCATACCTTACTATCTTTTGGGAAGATATATACCAATACTACAGTACATTTAATTATAATATACAGTCTATCTAACCCTTGAAAAAACACATTGAACCTCCATGCAAAATGGATGTTATATACACAGTATGATTACATGGGGGAAAAAGATGGTGGATAATATTAATAATAAATTGTTAATACTATGTGAAACCTTTATACAACTTCTGATTTTACAACACTGTCTTAAAACACAAACCTCAAGGTAGTCAATTGATAAGTAAGAAAATTGAAACCTTATTGGGGAAATGGATTATGGGAAACATCCATAAGTGAATCTATTAACATTTTTCCTTATTTGATAACTAAAATAAAACAAACATAACGAACACATCATATTGACTGAAGAGAATAATTATATATCCTAAATGTGTACAGCTCCAGCAACCATTTGAAGGAGTCTCTTGAGAGACCTGAGACCAGCTACTCTTGAATATCTGACTCACATAATCAGTGAAAGATAATAAGTGATTTATTGCTGTTTAAGGCAAAAAGTTTTAGGATGATTTGTTATTCAGTGGTAGATAAATACCAGAGTTGTAAAGATATTCTCCACTGTATACTATGAGTTTTAAAGTATTGTCCCTTATGTCTAAATGTATGACCTGTAACAAATTAATTTCTGTTTATGAGGAAATACAGAGGTTCAAATTCATTATTAATCACACAAACCTGTAGTTAAAAAGAAAAGTCATTTTCTCCAATGAATTGTCTTGATAATTCTGTTGAAAAATACTTGACCAGGTATGTCTGTCAATTTTACACTCTCTTTTCTGTGCACTTGGTGTACATGTCTATCCTTACTCTGCCTCACACTGTCTTGACTACAGAAAGTTTAAAAATCTGGTGACATAATTTCTCCAAATTCGTTTTTATTTTTCAAGGTTATTTTGACAGTCAGTTATATATCTTTTGCTTCCTCATACAAATTTAAAAAATAGTGTGTCACTTTCTTCAATAACTCAGTGCAATTTTTATAGAGATAATTTTATAAAGATATATTTTTCCATTACTGAATGAATTCCATAATTTATGCTAAAGTCCATTAATTATCTGTACACACAATTTATTCTTTCACTACAATTTACTACATACCTATCAGAGTACCTATCCCACAGTAAGTGTTCCAAATATTTGTGAATAAGCACAGAGAGTCTGCCTAATAATTATTTTATTATAGGATGTTTTCTTTCTAAAGGTTAAGCTTGCAAGTGAGCCTTATGTTGGATATATATTGTCTTTTAGGTATTGTTTTTCACTTGAAGTTTTCCCACTAAATATTGAAGTATTGGCTTATGTTTGTACTTTTTTTAATTCTGGGAAAACATATGCCCCAATATACATCAGTTACATATTATGCACGTTTTACAAACATAATTTATACATTTTCTAAAGATAATATGTACATCCTATTTAATGAATAACATAATAGAAAACATTTAAGTTAGCCTATCACGTTCTTAAAACTTTAGTACAACATTTTTAAAAATGTGTTTTATGGCACATAAATTCTTCAGGATAATCAGTGAACAGAAGGCTTCATTTTTAAGTGTGAAATTGTTAATATTACATGCTCTATTCTCTTTTGCTTATTTAAGGCTCTAAGATATTCTGTCGTAAATAAGCCTTTTTATCAGTGTTTAAAACAGGATTTTTCAAACTAATTTGACCATTGAACCTCTTCTAAGAGAACATCTATTAATATAACACAGTAATAATGTTTTTAATAAATCTGTAGATCCAAGGGTGGTTCATGGCCCAGGAGCATAAGCACAAGTTGGGAACTTTTGATAAATGCAGACTTGCAGGTGCCACCCAGATCTAGTGAATCTGAATCTGCAAATTGGCAAGATTTACGTAGGTTAAATTTTAGAATCACTGCTTTAGTACACAATTTTGAAAATTACTATTTAATATCTTGCTTCCAAATATTTATTATTGAAAATAACTGTTAATTTAACTTTAGTTTCTATAAATATTAAATATTATTATGGGGTAGTTGACATCTAGTCTTTCTGACTGTTTCTGAGTGCTCCAACATATGGGTTCTGCCACAGTAGGATTTAGGTAAACAATATAGGTAATTACATTTTGGTCTTAAACTGCTTGTTACAGAACATGAGAAAAAAATTAGTTAGCTTCTTTGGTCTCCTAAATCTCCATGAACATATTAAATATTGCTCCTTTGACTTTAAAGTGAAACTTGCATTTTTAGTGCCTATATTATTTTTGAGTGGCTTTATTTTCAAATCAAGTGTAAAAGTTTTATAACACTTATACATTTTTTAATTGTCCTTTTCCCCTGTAGAACAGCTAAAACAAAGGGGAAGCTAATGTCACAGCATGACTTTTGGATATGAATCACTAGTAACAACCCCTGAAGGACACCATATGGTTAGAAAAATTTCTTATCAAATGTATTTCATTTTCCTTTACAACTACGTGGTCATAGTACTACTTTCTTTTTCTCCATCTCCATAAAAATAGTTCATTTGTTAAAGTAGGATATTGATAATTTTTTTATACTCCAATCTCTGGTAAAGATTCCTTCTTGTGGCAACATTCCTATGTTTGGTCAATGTGCTGTAATTTGAGTCTTATTCTCTGAGTTGAAAATCAGAAACGCATATTCTCAGTTTCCTTGAAGGTGGAGTGGAAGCGTGTGACCCAGTTCTATCAATCAGAGGTACCAGTGTGAGGCTTTTATGTGAGGAAACAATGTGAGAAAGCAGATGTCTCAAGAAATGTATTTTTTCAGTGAGGACAGTATCAAGGACAGCCAGTTTTGGGAGTAGAACAGCAGAGATTTTAGTGTCCAGTGCCCCTTGTCAACAGTGTGAGCTAATGTGTCCACACACTGGGTATGTGGGGTCTTTGCAGAAAGACCACTGGGTTGTAACTAGACTTTTTAAATTTTTTTTTTTGGACTACAGAGTCTCAAAGTCCCAATCTTTTTGCCTTTCATTGAGAGAGCTTGTGAGCTACCTAATATTTTAAAACAAATTCCTGTCTTAAACTAGTTGCAAATAATTTTCTTGTTTACAAGCAAGAACCCCGACTTACATGATACAAATAGTTTTAATATTATAAAAATCAGTCAATTATCTTTCAAAAAGATGTATGCTATAGAGCTCTTGTCATTCATGAAAGCCTAAAATAATGATAGAGCAGTACGTATTTCAAAAAATGTGTCTATGGGTTGATTTATATACCCCTGACTAGATTATAGAAACTTTTTAAAGATTGTCTTTCCAACAAGATGATCATGGTATGTAATGGATAAAAATGTATCTGCTAAGGTGCATTATTCCACAAAGCCTTTCTTTTTTATTGTTATTCTATTATAACACAGATAGCGATAAAAAGAGACTGGCATAATAAGGAAATCTATAGAGCTTTGTATCTAATAGTTCACTTCAAATTGCTGCCTGTACAGCAGTTATTTAAGCTATGGCAATTTCAGTGAATTGATGTAATTTAGCACCCATATTGACTGATTGTTTTGAAGGAAAAATAAAAATCCACCGTCACTGACAAATGACTCTCATGCCTGCTATCATCCTGCAGAACAACTCATAAAATATGTATGTGCAATTGTGATTCAGCTGGGCAGTGTCCCACTGAGGTAGTGAAATTTTAAGTTTAAAGTTTGAAAACAAATGGGGATTACTTTAGCCTTGTTATATATGTCTAAGCTTAAGCACAGAGAATTTACAGGATAAAAAATTATTTGATGGCTACTGCCAGATAAACAATTCAAGAAAAGGAAAGACAGCTGTGCTGAGTGTATTCTGTTGGCTCTGAAAGAGCCAACAGTGTTTTTTCTTCTCTACCTTCCCCACTGTGTGCCAGGAGTGTAATATGTATGGTTCCCTCACACTCTGAATTTGAAGCACCTGCAGGAGCCTTGAACATGCAGGGAAAGAGAGATACAGATATTTATTTCCCTGGTTCCTTCCACTCGGGGTTTTGGGTTGGTAGAGGATGGGTTCCTCTACTGAAGGCCACAGATCCTCTCAGAGAGTCCCCATCTACAGCTAGAAATTTCTGGAAGGCTCTGGTAACGGCTCCTCCTGATTCCTTCAGGCCTAAGAATGATAGCTACTTCCTACTACTCGTAACCCAAGAGCATTTCACATATCTTGTTAATTATCTTTAACTTTGACTATGCTTGTGCTCATAGGCTTTTCATTACACTCTATATAATCACTTCTTTTGAGCATACATCTGTTTCTTTTCTGGGATTCCATCTTACACATTAATTAACACCGTTAGTGACTTGAGGAAGAGATTTTCAATATGGATATCTGATACGGGGTTGTTCATGTATTTGACAAATCGATCCATATCCTCTCATCAGGAGAAATAGAGCACTGATATTCTTTGGCATGGGGTGGTATCATGATTATGAGATTATCACTGAGGGTGGCATATGGAAAGTAGTAGAAGTATGGGAAAAATTCCTGAGAGGTGAAGTGTCTGTGGCATTGTGTCATTACAGAGACAATAATTATTAAAAAGCAATTATGGGCCGGGTGCGGTGGCTCAAGCCTGTAATCCCAGCACTTTGGGAGGCCGAGGCGGGCAGATCACGAGGTCAGGAGATCGAGACCATGGTGAAACCCCGTCTCTACTAAAAATACAAAAAATTAGCCGGGCGTGGTGGCGGGCACCTGTAGTCCCAGCTACTCAGGAGGCTGAGGCAGGAGAATGGCGTGAACCCGGGAGGCGGAGCTTGCAGTGAGCCGAGACTGTGCCACTGCACTGCAGTCTGGGTGACAGAGCGAGACTCCATCTCAAAAAAAAAAAAAAAAAAAAGCAATTATGGCATAAGTTGCTACTTCTGGCAACAGTAGAGAGTGTACATAGAGTAAAGGACAGAGTAAAAGCTTAATTGCTCAAACTTACGGTGAAGAGAAAAAGTAGAAAGCCCCTTAGGAGTTTTAATGGTTGAGGATCTTACCTAGGGAATCTATATTTGATACCATGATGCACTCACCTGGGATTTAATGTGTTGTCTTTAGCGTTTGAAGTTGCATTAATATTCCACTCTTACCCCAACAACCAGAGGAATAGGCTTGAATAGAAAAAAAAATTAGACTGCTAAAAACTGAGCTGTAGTATAATCTAGGAGAAGTTGCCCCAGAAGAATGCTATGCTTTTCAATGGGATTTAGTATAGGACTCAAACATATAAACATGATGAAGTCACCACTGCAGTTAAAATGCATGTGTCCAGGAATTTAAAGAATTGAGTGAAAATCTAATGACTGATTTGTACAATAGAAAACTGGCCTTCTTCCATTCTCTACAGTGTCAGCTGGCCCAGGAAAAGTGACCAGATTATAATTCTACTTAATAACTCACTTAAGAAAGCTTTGCATGTTATTCCTATAATATTTGTTTTAGTAAATTTTGAATTCTTGGCCCTCAATGTAGAAAAGTTTTTTATTGTTGTGGTGGTGGTGGTAACATATGCATAACATAAAATTCACTAATTTAACAATTTAAAACATACAATTGAGTGGCATTAAATATATTCACATTTTTGTGCAACCATCACTGCCATCTATCTCCTTTTTTTTTAATTTTCTCAAACTGAAACTCTGTACTTATTAAACATTAACTCCTCATTCTCCCTTCCCCCCAGCTCCTGGCAACCACCATTTTATTCTCTGCTTCTATGGGTTTGACCTCTCTAGATATCCTATATAAGTGAAATCATACAGTATCTGTCCTTTTGCGTTTGGCTTATTTCACCTAGCATAATGTCTTCAAGGTTTAGCCAGGTTGTAGCATGTATCATAATTTCATTATTTTCTAAGGCTAAATAACATTCCATTACATGTATATATTATATTTTGTTTATCCATTCATCTGCAAATGGGCACTTCGTTTGCTTCCACCTTTTGGCTGTGGTGGTTAGCACTGCTGTGAACACGAATGTCCAAATATATGTTTGAATCCCTAATTTCAATTCTTATGGATATACAGCCAGAGGCAAAATTGGGGAATCCTAGGTAATGCTGTGTGTAATTTTTTGGGGAACCAGCACATTGTTTTTCCACAGCAGCTGCACCATTTTATCTTCCCATCCCACAATTCACAAGGTTAATGTTCCCTGCTAATGCTTTGACCAGGGATCATTGTCATGGTCATATGGGGCTCCTCAGGAGGCTATGAAAAGAGAAAGAGAAGAGAGAAACTGTAGTGACTGAGTTATTGCTTTAATCATGTGCAAAAAATTGGGTTGCTGCCAGACAATAGGGGCAGGGTAAGCAATACCCAGAAGCAAGTGTATTTACTGAGGTGCTCTTTTGTAATTTCATGTCTAAATTTACTAGCCAATTGAAAAGTATGGTGACCAAATGAAGATGACCACAAAATACAAAAATCTGTGTTATACTTCCAAATAAATATTATATCTATTCAAAGTGATTGAAGTTGGGTCAAGGTAACATGGAACGGATGAATCGTGCAAAGAAGAAACTATCTTATTTATTTAAAATGTATGATGGGATAAAGAAATGACAACTAATATAGATGTTGTTTTAATAACTGATTATTTATTACCACCCCTTTATCTACTATGAAGAATATATGTGTGGATACTGAGGTTTCCCCAGGTGTGGATCCAACTTAATTGACATTACTTGTGAAAACACAATAATGGAATTGTGTGTTTCACTTTGGAGATATGTTACATCTAGACTAAAAATATAAATAGAGATCTTTGGAGGGAGAATGGCTATAATCTTAGGAATATTCTTTTTTTAATTTTTATTTTTAAGTTCTGGGGTACATTTGCAGGATGTGCAGGTTTGTTACATAGGTAAATGTACGTAATGGTTTCTTATTGCATATCCACAGAAAGCTGAACTTCATGCCTAATCATCAGGGCAAGTTGGCCCCTGCTTTGAAAAAATGACTCAGGGGCTCTGAGCTTTGAAATATTTTCCCCAGAATATTCTAAGTCCCCTCTGTCCCACCTCTATTATTTATAGATAATAACCCTCCTATTATTTATTTATTGATAACTATATGCTGGGATACCAAAAAAAAAAAATGTGCCAGGAATGGCTGGGACCAGTATTGTTCTCCAGACATTCTGTCTTAAACTCCAGACCAGGACTAAAGTGCATATATATGGAATTTCAGGACTCGCACCTATGTGGTTGTCTCTGGTCTCTATGACTGAGTCCTGGTTCCACGGATGCTTCCTGGTGAGAAGATTCCTCCTATTGGTGGGTGCAGCATTGTCTGGAATCACATGATATTGGGCTGCCAGAGTTGTGCTGACTCCTTGACTTGGGGCAATGTTCCCTCATAGTATCAGCCACAGTATTCCATAAAGTTTCTGGGACATAAATAGTCCACTTCTGACCCATGGGCTTGAGCTACATTATGAGGGCCTATGTGTTGGTTCTTGCTTATCTGAGTTCTGAACAGAGTGCTGCCTCTGATCTACAGTACCCAAGGGTGGTAGGAATCCCAGTGACCGTTTTCTGCGCTGTGCACATGCAATCATTCATACTGGGTCTCAGAGCAGTCATCTCACCCCTTTTTCAGGTCCCATGCCAGGTAGCAAGCAATACTCTAGGAGTGGCACATCTCTTTCCTTTCAGGGCTTTCAAGGTCATATTCCTGCAACATTAACAGTCCCTTCTTATGGGCGTCCTCTCTTATTTCCAACTGATTTGGTAACATCCATGGTTTTTTTTTTTGTTTTTTTGTTTTTGTTTTTTTTTTTTTTTTTTTTTTTTGAGACGGAGTCTCGCTCTGTCGCCCAGGCTGGAGTGCAGTGGCGGGATCTCGGCTCACTGCAAGCTCCGCCTCCCGGGTTCATGCCATTCTCCTGCCTCAGCCTCCCAAGTAGCTGGGACTACAGGCGCCCGCCACTACGCCCGGCTAATTTTTTGTATTTTTAGTAGAGACGGGGTTTCACCGTTTTAGCCGGGATGGTCTCGATCTCCTGACCTCGTGATCCGCCCGCCTCGGCCTCCCAAAGTGCTGGGATTACAGGCGTGAGCCACCGCGCCCGGCCACATCCATGGTTTTAAGCCATGCTAGGGAAGAGATGGACATTTCCTGTGCAAATGAGACTTTTGTTCCTGTTGCATACATTGGCACTCACTTTTCTATCCCGTTGATTTTAGGGGTGTAATTAATACTGAATAAAGATGGCATTCTGAAAATGTAGTAGTTCTGAAGGTTTCAAAAGGAAACATAATTGGATGTTGTTTTGTTCTATGTTTATGATATAAAATGCCAAATCGTGGATTTAGCATGATCAGAAAATAAATTATTTTTCACATTTTGTTGCACAATCCAGGTAAACTCATGTTTGTTATTGTTTTCAACAAAACACAATAATAACATTTGTGAAAAACACTGGCAGGAAGTATTCCTAGGAAGTAAGGTGGATGATATAGCTTCAGAAGTAATGATATAAGCCACATTAATAAATGGTATTAAGTTACTTAAACGTCAGGATCTACACATTTTAAATGGAAAACAGCTTCTAAATAGTCATGTCACTCTGGGTAATAACAGCATTGTTAAGTTTTTCTTGTGGGAGGATATATAAAATTAGCAAGAAATAATACATTTGAAAATTAAGAATACAAAAAGATATTTTCAGGACATCAACTAGAAAAAATGGTACCTGGACAACATGAAGAATCTTCACATGTGCAGATTTAGTAATCAAAATATGTATGTGTTCTATGAGTTAAATCTTCATTGAAAAATTACTATAACTCACCTGACCCATGAATAAACATATCTTATAAACAAATTATTTATTATAACAGGTAACCCAGGAATTATATTTTCCCGGCACCTTACATGACCTAACAGTGGCCCTGCCACTACAAATTGCAATAATTATTCTCTGGATTCCTCTTGGATTTGGCCAATAAAGTGGTCCAGTGATCCATCACATAATCTGAAGGAGGCCTAAAAAAAAAGCTAGTTTATTAATTACCATCTCTGCTGTGCCATCGAGATAAATTCCTCTGCCAAAGGTCATAATCTGCTTCTTTTGTTAAGACCTCTTATATGTACAACCGTAAATTTCATTTGTTCTGCTAACCACTCCTTCCTCTTGACTTGTCAATCATTTTTCTTTTCTTTTTTTTTTTGTTTAGGAGAAAACGCATGCAAATTTATCAATGCATGTCGTGGAAAATCACAGAGTGATTATCCAATTACTCAGTGTGGGAAGAAGTGTATACATCCTTTTTAATCTTAAATATTGAAGGGGTGGCCTGCCCCTCCACACCTGTGAGTATTTCTAGTTGGGTGGGGTGAAAGACTGAGAAAAGAAATAAGACACAGAGACAAAGTATAGAGAAACAACAGTGGGTCCAGGGGACCGGCACTCAGCACACCAAGGACCTGCACCAGCACCGGCCTCTGAGTTCCCTCAGTTTTTATTGATTATTATTCTCATTATTTCAGCAAAAAGGAATGTAGTAGGAGAGCAGGGTGATAATAAGTAGGTCAACAAAAAACATATGAGCAAAAGAATCTATATCATAATTAAGTTCAAGGGAAGGTACCATGCCTGGATGTGCACGTAGGCCAGATTTATGTTTCTCTCCACCCAAACATCTCAGTGGAGTAAAGAATAACAAGGCAGCATTACTGCAAACATGTCTCGCCTCCCGCCACAGGGCAGCTTTTCTCCTATCTCAGAGTTGAACAAATGTACAATCGGGTTTTACTCCGAGACATTCAGTTCCCAGGGGCAAGCAGGAGACAATGGCCTTCCTCCATCTCAACTGCAAGAGGCTTTCCTCTTTTACTAATCCACCTCAGCACAGACCCTTTACGGGTGTCAGACTGGGGGACAGTCAGGTCTTTCTCATCCCACGAGGCCATATTTCAGACTATCACATGGGGAGAAACCTTGGACAATACCCCGCTTTCAAGGGCAGAGGTCCCTGCGGCTCTCCACAGTGCATCGTGCCGCTGGTTTATTGAGACTAGAGAATGGCCATGACTTTTACCAAGTATACTGCTTGTAAACATTTTGTTAACAAGGCACGTCCTGCACAGCCCTAGATCCCTTAAACCTTGATTTTATACAACACATGTTTTTGTGAGCTCCAGGTTGGGTCAAAGTGGCTGGGGCAAAGCTACAAATTAACAACATCTCAGCAAAGCAATAGTTTAAAGTACAGGTCTTTTTCAAAATGGAGTCTCTTATGTCTTCCCTTTCTACATAGACACAGTGACAGTCTGATCTCTCTTTCTTTTCCCTACAAATATGATGGTGACTTCCTGATACTGACAGGTCTGGGCATTTTATCATTACTTGCTGTTTAAGTCTGCCCACATCTTTTTATGAAATTCCTTTATTATGTTAAACTGTCTTCATTCATATGCTCTTTCCTATAGGAATACAAATTGAAAGAATGAAGTACTACTGAAATTTAAAACATTTCAAGCAATTGTAATATCCATCACCTCTACTAGCCTTTGCTAATAATCTCTGTACCTCATCTTCTCTTGACCAAAAATCTTCTACCTTTGCTTATGCTAAATTTATCTGGCCTATGTAGTCCTCACCTTGTAGTTACCTTCTACCTACAGTACTTAGTTGAGTCTCTCGGATGAATTCCTCACTTGATTATAGATTTTATACTATGTTCAATTCATTTCCATCTATGTTCCTAAATCCAGATAAAGTTGAAATCTATGTTGTGAATCATCTTTCTTTGCTTTCCACATTTCCACATTACAGTTGATGCTATTCTGTGATAATATCTATAACTTGTTACTATCTAAAATTGGAATATTACCCATATTTCTTATATTCAAGAAATCTATACAACCACATAATAATTTTGGCTTTTAATATTTGTGTCCCAGTGCATTGTGATTAATAAATAAATGATTGGGAACTTATTATTTATAAACAATAAATAATAGGAGTCGGACACGAAGACGCGTAACATTCTGAGGAAAGAACTTCAAACCTCAGAGTCCCTGAGGCCTTCTTTTAGATCAGACAGCAACATGCCCAGATGATTATATGTAAAATTCAACTTTCTGAAGATATACAAAAGGAAAAATACAATATCATTAATTAAATATTTGTGTCTCAGCAGATTGTTATTGACAAATAAATAATAGAAGCAGAGATAATAGTATCGCATAAGCTATTTTACTATGTGATTTAACATTTTCGAAGCAAAATTTATCATTTCTGCCACCATCCAACAAAAACAATCAATAACTTATCTTTCATATCTTAATGTCAACACCTTACCTGAATTGTTGAGCATTCTCTGTCTAAGTCATCAACAAGTCAGGTTATTTCCGCTGTGAAAATATTTCTTATTCCGATCTCTTATGTCCACCATTACCAATCTCATCCAAGGCCACATCAACCACCACTTAGACTAATAAACTTAGTTTCTAATTAATGTCCTTGGTATTATTCTTGCCCACTCAGGGTATTCTTCACACTAGAGTAAGAGTAGTATATTAAGGGAAAAAAATCAGATTGTCTTTCTTTCAGATTGAAATAGTCCAAAGTCCCATCAAGATCAGTTGTGAATCAGTAACTGCATCTTTCTCTAATCTGAAATCATGCAACTTTTCTCTTTGCTCATTTTGGTCTAGCCTTACTAGCCTGAAATCAGTCTTACAATTTTTGAAACAAGACATACTCATTTATCCCAAAATCCTCAGTCTGAGACACCTGCCTTTAGCCCTTTATGACTCGCTCCTTCATTTCTCACATGTGAGGTTCAAGTAACACCTCAACAGAGTGGCCTTCCCTAACCAAACTGCCTAAACTATGAGCAGTTTCTTCATCAGCAGGATCATTTGTCTGCTTATTTGTTTCTGAGCATTTATTATCTCTGAAAGTTGTATTATTTATTGAACTTTTTATGTTCTGTCTTATCCCCCAACCTCTGTAGTGGAAAGAACAAGATTTTTGGAGTTATAAAAATTTGGGCTATAATCCCAGTTCTGCCACATGTCAACCATGAATTCTTGCTAAAAGTCTTAACTTTTATGAATTTTTATTCGCTTAAATTCTTCTGGGAATTTAGGAAAGAAAAAGAAAAGCATTTGAGATTTGCTATAAAAAGTGCTGTTAACACAGAGTACAAGGTCACTAAAGAGTGACAAATAATGGAGAACTGGGAAATTTTTTTTGCAACCAGGAAAGGATAGAGGAAGAATATTTATAGGCAAAACTAGCGCAAAGAATAAAAATATGGAGATGTAAGAAGATATGCTTTGATTGAGGAGCTGGAAACAGCGTTTGGGGTAATGAAAAATGATAGTTGAGAGTGTAGATCTGGAGCTTTTGCCACTCATAAGAAGCCATCAAAGCATGTCGTAAGACCTTAATAAAGGTTATCATCAGTTATTATGACCAGAATGTGGGAAATAGTTAATTTGGTAGTGGCAGATGAGTCTTTGAACAGGAAATATATTATTTCCATTTTACAGATAAAGAAACTGAAGGTCACAAAGTTATAACTACAATGTAGGCCTTAAATTGATTTAATTTGTAATCTACTGATGGACTTTCACTGTATTTTTAATTTTGCTAAAGTAAAATGAAGCTGCAAAGAATATTCCTGTTTACATAAATTTCTGTAACTAGAAATATATCTTCAGAAAAGATGGCCAGAAGTTCAACTATTAGGTAAGGTGGTATGTGCAGTTTTTATTTTGATTTTAACTTAAATTGAATTTAACTTAATTATCCTCCAGGAAGGTCTCATAGACATTTACTGATCCATAATTTAAAGGGCCTTATCCACTACACTCTAAGTAACACTGGATGTTTTATTTCTCTTTCTAATATAATTATGAGAAATAATATTACATTATCAGATCATATCATTTGTACTTTTTGCTCTTGGAAAATTAATTTTTATTCATTTTGAGAGTTCTTTATATATTTTTAATATTATCTTTTTATAAGTTATATTTAAAGTATTTTTCTTGTCTACTCTTTTTAAGTTGTGAAATTCTACATAATTCTTACTTGTGCAGAAGTTTAACCTTTTTATTTTTATATGGTCTAATCTATTGATCTTTCATAATTATCTGTTTTATGTTTTCTTAGGCAGTCAATTCCAACAGTAATTTTAATTACTTTGTTTTCAAGCTATTGCTATATGCTATAATACATATACCAAAAGTACATTAAAAGAAAATTTTAAGAATGAAAGGTATATTTAATTAGATAAAATCTATCAGAGAAAATTATTGCTCAATAACTTTAAAGGCATTAGATGTCAAGTAATTGATAAACCAGTCACAAGCCTCAGTCTAATATCCAAGTTAAATATCACTGATATCTCCCAATATATCTTCTCTCCAGTTGTGAATGTGGCTTAGTATCCTCCTAAGTCCAGTCCTCTAGGCACCACACCAAGTCAATTAGACAATCATCCGTGTTGATAACTATCTGACCTGGCTGATGTCTACAGCATTTTTAATTCCTAGAAAACCATTATGCCATTAATATGTATTGAAGTTCCCATGTGTATATAACTATTCAGTAAATGTTTAATAGAGATAATTGTGATGGATAATTTATAAATATATAAAATAATTTATAAGGTATTTATATTTATATATGGATAATATATACGTGTGTGTCTATGTGTGTGTATATATATACACACACACACACACACACACACATATATATATATATATATGTAATCACAGTTAATATAAGTTTGTGAAGAAATTCTTAAACGATAAGCTTTCCATGATGCCTACAAAGTGGCCAGACCTATGCTAGGCACATTGGGAGAAGTAAAAAATATGCAACGTAATTTCTCTTCTTAAGTATTATCTGAATTTTGGGGACAAAGCAAGAAATCTCATACTGTTTCCACTTTACAGTTCAGGACATGAAAGGTCACGTAAACAAGGTAGAAAGGAGTAATAACTTTATTTCCATTTTTCAAAATAGCATTAGTGGGGGCCTCCACAACTGCCATCCTATGGACCTTTTCAAAGAAAACATCATAAGATGGTGACCATGTTTTGGCCCAAATAATTTACTCAAATTTCATTTACATCATTATTTGTGGAATCACTTATTTAATACCTGAAATACAGAAATACCATCTGCTTAAACTTTGTCAATTTAGGATTTTGAAGTCTTTCTAATCATGGTATCTTCAATGTCTAGAAAATGTCCACACCTCTCTTAAACAGATCTGCACATTGATATGTGGGCTTTGCAAAGTAATATCACTTATGAGTTTCCTAAAAGATTCTAAAATGTTTAGGATCACTCAAACCTGATGGAAGAAAAGTGCTTCTATCTTCTCATTTTTGGGCAGACAACCAAATGTGTTGCTAGGCTGGGTGGTAAATTCAGGGGAATTAATCACTATTGACTGAAACAAAGGTCATGGGTGTTTTAGCTGAATAGCAGGAAAACGATTCTGTAGCATAAAAGCCAAGAACACAGCGCTATCACTCAATAGCATAACAGCTGCAGATGATATCTAAGTTTTAATAGCAAAACCGAAGAGTTGGCTAGGTTGGTGAAACTTGCAACTCTTCTAACAACATTTTCCTCTTTGCTGGAATCTGAGACATCTGTGCCTGAGAAAATCACAACTATTTCTTACATATGGATTCACCTTATTTTCAGAGAATATTTTTTTCCAATGCATGCTTAATAGATATACATAAAATAAACATATGAAAATGTGTTGGGCTACACTATAAATACTATTAAAATTGTTCTGCCCTCAATAATTCCAGAAAGTTTTTTCAGTGTTTATAAATGTATGTTTATCTGTGGTGGGAGACATGGGACTAGGTTCTCAGTTAACCATTGCACAAGATACACAATTTTCCCCTTATTCTTTGATTAATATTAGTCTCAACTGGCCTCTTACTTGTGTTGCCAAATAAATACAGAGACAGATAATAACATGATAATGTAAGTGCTTTTTCCCCTCGCAAAGTTTTATTTTCATTTTTTGTTTGTTTTGTTTTGCTTTTAAGAGACAGAGTCTTTCTTTGTTGCCCAGGCTGGCATACAGTGGCATGATCATAGCTCATTGCACTCTGGAACTCTTGTGCTCAAGTGATCTTCCTGCCTCAGCATCCCAAGTAGCTGGGACTACAGGCATGCTCCTCCATGCCAAACTTTTTTTTTTCATTTATTTTCATTTTTCTTTTTTAGAGATGGGGAGTGTTGCTATATTACCCAGACTGGTTTCGAAATCCTGGCCTGAAGCAATCCTTCCACCTCAGTCTCTCGAGTAGCTGGTATTACAGCCATGAGCCACCATGTCTGGCCAGTTTCTGATTTTTAAAATTTTGATTCACAGTCTTGCTAATGCCAAATAGCCTGATTCATTTTTTCCCCTGGAGGAAGTAATTCATCTTCCACTACTGAACAGGCCAGAGTTAGGAGGTGTTGGTTGCTAATTCTTCCGAGTGTTCCATCTGGAGAAATCTCTTCTTTTTGTTAAAAATGAAAACAAATCACTAAACCATTGGGCCAAGTTTTGGCTTTCGATACTTTATCATTTATTTTCTTTTATGAACTCTATTATAGCCCATCTTTTGCTAATTACTGCAATATTATCTTATGAAAAATGTGTGTTTATTATTAACCCTAATTGTTTTATGGGTGTCTTCACCACTATTTCTATCTGCCTTGGGAACTATTATGCGCAAGATGTGACAATTCAGATGGCATTACAGGATAATGAATCCTCTAGGCTCTGAAATGAGGCTTCATGAGTTTGGAGAGAATAAAATCATTTTTCTCTTTACTTTCATACTATGAAGATTAGAGAAAGAAATTTCCTTCCAGACTCAAGTCTCCTTAGTATTATCCAGATGGTATGGTCAAGATCATCTCAGAGCCTAATACCTTTCAAATTCATTTTGTTCTCACTCCAAATCATGGTTAGCAGCATGAAATAAGATGATATTTATACGTAAACCTCAAATTCACTTCCTTTGCTAAAGCTTGAGGATACAAGCCAAAAGAAGATACTCTGGTTACTGCTAAAATAAAGAGATGAAAAATCTGCTTCCATATCACTGTCCAGACTTGTTATTTTCCTCCTTCTTCGTCAAAGAGAAATCACAATAAATGTTAAGACCTACTGAGTTTCTACCCCAGTCAGGAAGCTATTTTTAATCATTCTGGATCCTAGCAGAAGTTATGAGATTTTATAGCTTTGTCTCTGGAAACATACATGTAGACTGAAATCTCAACTTCTATTACCAGCTATATGACCTGCGAAGTTACATAATCTGTCTTAGCTCACTTCCTTCACCTGAAGAGTAAGGGTATTTGGAGTCTTTCTGAAAATTCGTTATGAACGTTTTATGTAAAATTACACAAGGCAATGCACGTCCATGCTAAATAAATATTGGCTGTCGACAGCTATCATCATCTTCAAGTTATGTGTATATCACTTATCATCTCTACCAATTTTTTGGCCTCTCTAGTCCTGTTATACATATATTCATGTATAAACTCTTCAAATACTTTGTAAGTTCCTTTACAGCAATGATTAGATTCTTACATTTATTTGTTATATGATCAGAATATAGGAACAGAAAATGTATTAGTTTCCTGTTGCTGATGTAACAAATTACCACAAACTTAGTGGCTTAAAACAACACATTTTTATTTTTCTACAGTATGTGAGGGCAGAAGTCCAAAGTGCATCTTGCTGGGCTAAAACTAAGGTGTCAACAGGGTTCTACTTTCTTTAAGGCACTAGGTGAAAATCTGCTTTTTTATCCTTTTCCATCTAGAGCTGTATCTCTTGCATTCCTTGCTCCATGATTGGATCATGGGGGCGGACTTCCCCTTTGCTGTTCTCCTGATAGTGAGTGAGTTCTCACAAGATCTGGTTGTTTAAAAGTGTGTAGCACCTCCTCCTTCTCTCTCTCTCTCCTATTCTGGCCACACAAGACATGCCTGCTTCCTCTTCACCTTCCACCATGATTATAAGTTTCCTGAGGCATCCCCAGCCATGCTTCCTGTATAAACTGTGGGTAAATTAAACCTCTTTTCTTTATAAATTAGTCTCAGGTAGTTCTTTATAGAAATGTGAGAACTGACTAATACAGTGGCCCAAAGAAAGCCTATTTCTTTAATCACACATTAAATATTTATTCATTCAGTACCATCATATTGAACAACTATTATGTGCCTGACATGTAAGAGATATTTTAGACTGAGATATTTTATTGAACAAAATGACATAAATTAGAAAGTTATATCTAGCAACAAAGAAATCATAATAAATATTTAAATTGCATAATATATTAGAGGGTCCTAGTGTTAAAGAAAAAATTAAGGTAGAACATATAAGGGAAAATAATGAATTTTCAAAGTATTTTTGAAAAGATTACATTTAAGAAAACAACTCAAGGACTCGTACTACAAAATTATGCAAATATTCATGTAAAGACTGATTCATGAAGATAGAAGAGCTGATGGCAAAGCCCTAAAATATAGAAGACATGGTCAGACATGCAATAGGAAGGCTATTCCGTGGCTTTTGAAATGTATCTATTTGGTTATTTAACTTTCTCCCCAACCCCATCACATAATTATAGGAAAAGTGCAGGACCTCCTTTCTACCTAGTACACAAAGACATTAAGGACAAATGGAGTACCTAATGGGGTGTTTTGGCAATTTGTATCAAGAGCCTTAAAATAATTACTAAGAAAAAGGTATGAGTCTACTTACAGAAATCCATGCTAAGGGAGCCAAATGAGATTATTTAAAATTATTGCAGAATTATTACTCCAAATGTTATTTAAATAGTGAAACACTAGAAAAGATAAAATATCCTTTAATGAGGAATGATTAAAAATAAGATATATCCAACAATAGAATATTCCACAGCTATAAAAAATGTGTTTTCAGTGTGTACACATGGATATAACAGAGTGGTATAACAGATATTGGAGACTCCAAAAAGTGGGAGCTAGGAGAGGAGTGAGGGATGAGAAATTATCTATTGTGTGCACTGTACACTATTCAGGTCATGGATACACTAAAAGCCCAGAATTTACCACTAACAATACATCTACGTAACAAACTGCACTTGTTGCCCCCTAAATATAATATTTTTAAGCATGTTTTCAAAGAGGATTTAAAGAAATGGACAAATGGTCATAAATATATCAGTAATTGTATATATAAACAACACTTATATAGATACAAATATAATTAGGCATGTTTATTTGTATATGTTATATATAGTTACGTAAAAATGTGTGCATATACATATCTTTACATGTATACATACACATATGTATACATCTCCATACACATGCACGTGAACACACACAAAATTCACACAGAAACATAATTATCTCTGTCTTCAGAAAATAATAGATATTAATATAAAAATAATGTTTTCCAGGCCGGGTGAAGTGGCTCACGCCTGTAATCCCAGCACTTTGGGAGGCCGAGACAGGTGGATCACGAGGTCAGGAGATCAAGACCATCCTGGCTAACACGGTGAAACCCCGGCTCTACTAAACATACAAAAAAATTAGCCGGGGGTGGTGGTGGGCGCCTGTAGTCGCAGCTACTCGGGAGGCTGAGGCAGGAGAATGGCGTGAACCCAGGAGGCAGAGCTTACAGTGAACCAAGATTGCGCCACTGCACTCCAGCCTGGGCAACAGAGCGGGACTCCGTCTCAAAAAAAAAATAAAAAAATAAAAAAAAATAATGTTTTCCTTGGATAGATAATTGTAGATAGCTTTAGATTTTATACTTCTCTATATTTTCTAAAATGAATATGAACTACAGTCTAAAGAGAAACCATTTTAAACATACAAGAATCTCATTGTTATAGCAATAGGTCTTTTTTCATTTTTTTTCTGATTTCAAATCTGTTCTGTCATGTAATTAAATCACAGCAAAAAGTATGCTTCATCACAGTGTAACAACTGGTGATCTCCAGGTACAATTCTGAACTGTTTGATGGAAAACATCTCCTTTGATCTCAAAAATATACTTCTAAAGTGATATTAACCTATAAAAAGAATGATGTGTAGATTTTTACTTAGTCTTGTTTAAAGAAGCAATGTTCAAGAAAAATTATTAATGAGAAGTAAAAATATATGTGAGTGTGTTGGGGTTTTATTTACAGAGATGTTAGATGTTAGCATTTCCTGGACTGGCATGTATTGTGCAGGGGAATTTTGATATTTTTATGCTTTAAAATAAGGATAAGAGAAAAAATATGAAATAGAATGAATATGTCTTTAAAATTTAGCAGAAGAACATGAATTACAAATATACATTTCTATTCTGCCTAAGCTTCATAGATTAATCACTGAAAAAATTCTGCTTTGATCTTTGTTCTTGCATTATGTCTACCTGTATTTAACTTTAGCTAATTGGCATATTGCTGGTGTTAATTTTTACACCAGCATTAAAAGCATTAAGGAGCCAGCCAAATACAGATGGACTTCCACAAAGTGGATAAAAGTTCATTTATTTTTTATCCAAGATTAATGAAGTGAAATAAGGTATTTGTTATATTAGTATATGGATCATCTAAAGTACTGCATGTACCCATAGAAAAGAAAAATGTTTAAGGGTATACATGCACTTCTAAGGTATCAGGAGAGCTGGACTTTAGGTCTTACTAAAAAATTGTCTCATTTGTAACCTTGGTAAGCCTCTGCCTCTCCCTGGGCCTTGGTTTCTTTATCTGTTAAGAGGGAGGACAAATATCTATGATTCATTCATTTCCCAAGATATAGTAAGTCTCACACTATAGTCAAGGATTTTTGGATGCCATTCATGTTCTCAGCCACAGGAATGAACTGCCCTCAGAAAACACACCAGACTTACCACCATCAGTACCACCATACTACCACTACTACCACTAGCACCTTTATAAATAACACATGAAGGCCAGGCGCCGTGGCTCACACCTTTAATCCAGCACTTTGGGAGGCCGAGGCGGGCGGATCACGAGGTCAAGAGATCGAGACCATCCTAGCCAACATGGTGAAACCCTGTCTCTATTAAAAACACAGAAAAAATTAGCCGGGCGTGGTGGCAGGCGCCTGTAATCCCAGCTACTTGGGAGGCTGAGGCAGGAGAATCACTTGAACCTGGGAGGTGGAGGTTGCAGTGAGCCGAGATCGCGCCATTGCACACCAGCCTGGGCAAAAAAAGCGAAACTCCATCTCTAAATAAATAAATATAAAAACACACATGAAGAGAAGGTGACATTATACTTGAGGGATGCTTTTAATCTCAGAGGCTAAAGTCTTTAGAAGATTTCTACAAGGGGACTGATTTGAACTTTTTCCAAAGATTCAATGCAGTATTTATCCATTGTTTATGTGAAAAAAGTGTAAAGCTCAGAAAAATCAAGGTAGTTTTCAGAGCTAAAGAATTAAGAATGGTGATATTGGGAGTTGGGATTTTAGCTTGGTTCATTCTGTCTGATATTGCCACCTTGAAAGCTTGGATATAAATGTGGATAATTGAGTCCCTATTTTATTTCTTTCTCTTTTGCCTTCAAAAGATTACCAAAGCAAAAATTTCAGGAAATTTATTTACTAATAGTCATAATTATATTTTTCAATTGTAAATCACTTCCAAAAAAGGTATTGATTTGACAGACGTAGGGATATAAGAAATATCTTGATGGCAAAAAGTGTCCTACACATCATGGGCCTGTAACAGTGAAAGAATTGGATTTTGCAGGGACAGTGATCTTAACAAGATTGAGAAACACAAGCTGTAGAGAAGATTCCCACTCTTTCAGCACATTCTTTCAGCTCTTACCATGTTCCTTACATTATAAGCAAGAGAAAGGGGGATATTTAATAACAGCACAGTAATATTTACTGTAGACTAATCTAATTCAAGAAAGGCTCCATGCTTAGATGTTTTATTTATCAATTCCTTTACAGTGCCCGATCACTTTAGCCGTAACTACTGTGGAATAAATTTGGAAAATTTAAATAAATGGTTTATTATTTCCCTGACAACTAGGGATTTTTTTTCATCATGCTCATACTATCATCTCTTTCTTTCTCATGTTTATTCTCTTTTGGTTTTGCTTGTGTCTTTATTTACATTTTCTTTTTTCTTTTTTTTTTTTTTTTTGAGACAGGGTCTCACTCTGTCAACCCTGGCTGGAGTGTGGTGGTGTGCTCACGGCTCAGTGCAGCCTGACCTCCTGGGGGCTCCAGCAATTCTCCCACCTCAGTCTTCTGAGTAACTGGGACTACAGGCATGCAACACCACACCTGTCTATTTTTGTGTAGATAGAGTTTTGTCCTATTGCCCAGGCAGGGGTCAAACTGCTAGGCTCAAGCAATCTGCCCACTTTAGCCTCCCAAAATGCTGGCATTCTAGGCATGAGCCACTGTGCCCAATCAATTTATGTTTTCATGTAAACATTGTAACCAATTATACTTTAAAGCTGATATCTATACTATTTGCATTATAGACTTCAGAGAAATTATAGTCTTTCTTTTAAAAATTTCATTTCAAGGGAAATGCCATTTGTTTACTTACATGGCTTTGTTTCAGATGCTTTCAAAAAGTGCTTTTCTTTTTCGTTTTTATTTTTCCTTTTTGCCATTTTAAGTCTAGTCAATAAGGAAAGTTAAGAGGAAGAACACCAGATTTTAGGAAAACTCTAAACATGCTCAAGTTTTACCCTCCAACTGTCCAAGTTATCTGTCAAATGTCATGTTATTACATCTTAGTGGAGATAACATCTTTGACAATGGAAAGGCCAAACAAAACTGTTTTTTTTTTTTCACTCTTGAAAGTAAAGGACAAATACAAAGAGACTGCCTAATGTACTTTTCTATATAGGGTGATGACTTTTAAAAAGTTAAATAAAAGAGGTCAATTAACATAGAAAAAGAGATCCTAAACACAAATAGAAAAACAATATTCTTGTGTTCGAGTAATCCAGGGATTACATATTTAATAAACCTTGAGGCACCCTGTTTATAATGTGAACATGAGATAATATTACAATTATAATGCCAATTTCTAGAAGATGTAGCAAAACAAAAGCACTGAGATCATTTAAGAACTTGTAAATTGGTTTAAACTTTTAAACATCAACTAAATAGTATATAGCAATAATTTTAAAGGCATTTATGTATTGTGCCTTATAATCACATGCCATTTTTGGGGTGCTGTGTTTCTAGGTCTATCATAAAACCAAACACAAAAATGTTTGGTTTCCCTAAGATAGTCATTGATGCATCATCTATTAGTTAAAAGAAGAGAAAATGACTGGAGATAACTTAAGTGTCCAACAATATTGAAATGGCACATCAATGGGAGTTATTATTTCCTTGTCCTTAAATGTATACAATTATGATGAAAACTAAAGATAATGATAGTGGAAAACATTTGACATAAAATGATAATGTAATTTTAAATGTATTCAATGACTATAATAACCTATTTATGTTTGTGCAAATTTTTGCTCAATTTGAAAAATGACATAAATATTAACTATGGCTTTGTTATGGAAATCAAATATAATAATACAAATAAAATGCTCAGAACAGTGTCAGATTCATATGCTATTGCAACTATTGTTGGAAAATAAAATAAGTCAATTTGACTTTTGTAATTACAGTTTTCGTTTTTTAAATTTAATGGCTTCTTCAGAGTACGTTTAGGTGATGTTTAAAAGTCTCTATTCTATCTCCACTAATCAGGTAGCCTGTTTTAGTGAGATTCAATTCTTAGCTTTTATTCTTCTCATAAAAATATTTTTTGATAAGAATGCTTTTATATAGACAATCAGCCATCATAAAACATCTTTTTATAATTCTAATAAAGTTTCAGTTGTTTACCTTGTAAACCCTCCAAAAAGTATTTTGCAGAGAAGTTCACTTAGGCAGATGCAACAATATTTAATGGCAGGTAACGCTTATTTTATGATTCATCAGAATCCTATTTTAATTGCAAGGACACAAGACCAAATCTAAAACCTAGGCCGAGAGCCATAGCCTGAGGGTACAGGCTACTAATGAGATCTTATGAGATTTTTATTACAGCACAGGTGCCTATAGAATCTTCTTAACTAATCCACATAAACAGAATTTCATACATTTCTCCAATTAAAAATATTTCTAATTGTTTATAGTGATTAGCAAATGTTCTAGTGAAGATCATATGGCCACATTGAGGCATTTTTAGTACACCATACTGGAACAGTGTGTAAGTCATTAGAGAACTTCTAATGTTAACCACCATTAAAGTATAGATTAGAACAGTGGTCCCAAACCCTGTTGGCACCAGTGACTGGTTTCAAGGAAGACAATTTTTCTAGGGACAGAGATGCGAGAATGGTTTTAAGATGAAACTTTTCTACCTCAGATCATCAGGCATTAGTTAGATTCTCATAAGGAGCACTCAGCCTAGATCCCTCACATGCACAGTTCTCAACAGGGTTTGCCCTCCTGTGAGAATTTAATGCCACCATTGATCTAATAGGAGGCGGAGCTGCTCAGGTGGTAACTCTTGCTCACCTGCCTCTCACCTCGTACTGCGTAGCCTGTACTGGTCATGGCCTGGGGTTCAGAAACCCCTGGATTAAAAAACACATGCACACATGCACACCCTCACACGAAAACACCCATGTATTATACTGTTTCTATTAAAGTGTTATAAAGAAAATTAGAGATAATTGTGATCATTCTTACTATTCCCAATAAATATTTTACATGCGAATGTACAATAAATGGTTGATTATACAACTAAATCCTAGTTGGGGATGTAGAAAGGTGTTTGACATAAAAGGAAGTAAATAAATTAGTAACTTTTATATAGAGAGAGTGTTAGAGAGAATGCTGTTTAGGTGCTAACTTTCTGCTAAAATTTAGTTTCTTAATATACCACTTAATCTAAAAAAAGGTAAAACAGATGTTTCCTAGAGGAATTTTTGGCTAAAACTCTCCTAAATTTCAGCTTTACATGAAACTGCAGTAACTAATTGGAACTAAAATAGATTGATCAGTATAAATTCATGAAGGAGAACCATTTTGGGCTATTTTAGATACAAGATTGCTAAGATACAGTACAAGAGACAACTAGTGTAATGAAAGTAATATAAGAATTAGAAGATCCAAAGGATGGTATAAAATTAGCACTAGAAAAAGTTGGAGAAGATCTGCATGACATCACCTTATATTATTACAATTTAATATAAAACAACCTAAGGTATTCATCTTTATATGAAGTACGTTTTTGTTTATTGCTAATTCTATAGTGTGGGATCAATTATTCTTATAATTAGTTCTAGTGTTTTATATAATATTAGGATAATTATCTTCTTCTGTATCAAGAAAAAATAGATATATTTTAGCTCACTCCTCACAGAGCATTGCTACGTCACTCTTGTCCTCTTTGACTCTACCCATTATTACACCACCTTTCAAACAAGGATCAGAACAGTAACCCTCAACAGGCTTTTCCAGAGAGACTGATTTCAGTCATTGTGGTTTGTTCTAGAACTGCGCAAAACTTACCTTCTCCATTCTGCCTCTTTGAGGTCCAGTCACCTCACCTATTATCTGTGGGGTAGGGGGAAAGGAATAGGTACTTTCAGATGTCAGTGTCTATGTGATGCTTCAGATTAAACAAGTTTCTGAGACCCACTCCTCCATTCCCCATCTAACAGTATTCTAGTTTTAGGTTTATTTAAATAAGTTGGGTAAAATGGAGGGATTTGGGGTATTTTTCTCCTTTAAGGGTTAGGGTTAGGGTTAGGGTTCAGTTATTAAAAATCATTAAACATAGGCAACTCTTTATCATGGGAAATAGAAACTTCTGCCTCTCTGAGGATGTTTTTTTCTCATGTATGAATTCTTCTTTGAAGGAATCTGCTTATTCTTAACAGTACCAATGTAGGGTTGTGTTAAACACATAGGCTTTAGAACTTGGAATTTCTTGAGACCTTGAAAGAGCTAGGACTTCCTTTTTTTCGGTCTTGGATCATCTGTCAATTTGTGATAATAATCATATTTTTGTGGGATTGTCATTAGGATTAAATGAAATGACATGCATGAATTTCTCAGCATATGGATTTTATATTAAAGTTTTACTATAATTTTATTTAACTAAATTAAAAACATGTGTAGTAAACAACTTTAATTTTCCAGGGCATAATTATGTGTTAAGAAACATATCTGTAGTTTATTTACTACAGAATCCTTTTATGTAACTGTAGCCTTTAACAATGATAAAGCTAGGTTAACATCAATGCCATCTTGTATATACAAGATACAGATAAATTCTCTGGTGATATTTCAACCTTAAAGATGTAGTAGTCAAATGTAAAACAATTTATCATTTGGCTTAGCTTATTTTCAGTAGGAAGTACTTACTTATACAAAACAAAATTAATAAAAAATAAAATTGACTTCGGTAAAAATAAATGATATTATCCAGATTTATGCAGAGAAAAAAAGCTAATTAAATGAATGACTTTCTAAATAACACTTAGCATCAATAAAATGAAAAGAATCAAAGTAGTAACTTCTATTTCATGTCTATTTTAAATTAACATTAAAATTTTAGGCTGGGTGCAGTGGCTCACGCCTGTAATCCCAGCACTTTGGAAGGCCGAGGCTGGCAGATCACGAGGCCAGGAGATCGAAACACGGTGAAACCCCATCTCTACTAAAGATAACAAAAAATTAGCCAGTCGTGGTGGCTCGCGCCTGTAGTCCCAGCTACTGGGGAGGGTGAGGCAGGAGAATTGCTTGAATCCGGGAGATGGAGGTTGCAGTGAGCCAAGATCACGCCACTGCACTCCAGCCTGGGTGACAGAGTGAGACTCCGTCTCAAGAAAAAAAAAAAATTAACTTTAATTTTTATACTTTCAATACAGAGATATTAAAATTCTTTTATTAAAATAAATAAAGAATATTTCTAGTATCTTTGAATCCTAAATTCAAATAATGATATTGGAATCCTAATTTTAAGTGAAATTATGGAATGCATGCTGTTGCATCTGTTATGGATTGATTTGTTCCCTCCCACCCAAATTAATATGTTAAAGTTCTAACTTCTAGTAATTTAGAATATGAACTTATTTGGAAATAGAATCAGATATAATTAGTTATGATGAGCTCATTCTAGAGTAGGATGGGCTCCTAATCTTATATGAGTAGAGTCCTTACAAAAGGCAGAGTTTGGACACAGATTCTGACACAGGAGAATGCCATGTGAAGATCATAGTTATGATACCATCATTCAATAAACTATCCGAAGCCAGAAAAGAGCCCTGAGACACATCTTTCCCTCCTTCAGAGAAAGCACAGCCCTTTTGAAACATTGATCTTGAATTTCTAATCTCTAGAACTGCAAGACAGCAAATTTCTGTTGTTTAATTCACTCAATTTGTGGTCCAGGAATACCTTAGAGCTGTTCAGGGTTCAGTTCCAGATCACTAAAATAAATAAAATATTGCAATAAAAGGAGTCACACAAATGTCTTGGTTTTCCGGTGTATATAAACATTCTGTTTACACTATACTGTAGTCTATTAAATGTCTGATAGGATTAGGTCTAAAAAACAATATGCATACATACAAAAGTGAGCACATGCTGTTGAAAAAATGGCACTCACAGGCTTGCTCCATACAAGGTTGCCACAAAACTTTAATTTCTGAAAATTGAAGTATTTGTGAAGTGCAACGAAGCAAAGTGCGAGAATATGAGGTATGCCTGTACTTTGTAAAGGCAGCCTTAGCAAACAATACAGCATCTCAGTACCTCATTAGCATTCTCACCTCAATACAATTTCATAACTCATAGGATATTTCTCTGCTTAACAACTCTGAAAAATGTGAAGTTTCACTCATTTTCCATTTCAAATATATTGTGTAGTTATGCAGGTAATAATTTTTGATTCAAACCCCATTTTCTCCTAAGCTAAATGATTCAAAACAGCTTTACAAGGCAAGTATAATGCAAAACAGGATAATTAGAGACAACTGAAGTGATGATTAAAGAGAAGGGGATCAGTCAATGGAGCTCATAGTTTTCTTCCTTGGGAGAGGCAAGTGAATAGTTTGGGATCCACCAGGAACTCACTTCACAGTTTTCTGGAAGGTAAAGTAAAATGGGTAAAATTGACATAAAATATAATGTGTTTGTTTTTCATTTTCTGACCAACAAATATGTTTAACTAAGGTAAACTGGTAAGTAGCAAAGCTAAAATTGGATTGGATCCTGGTCAGGGATTGAGAATACAGCACATGGCTTTATGATCATTATCTTCTCTCATGTGTACTGGCTGGTTTGCAATTTCACAGTCACAGCTCCCTATCATTGTTATACAGCTTTGGTGATTGAAAATTGCAACAACATATATTAGCACTTCTTGTATGCCAAGACCTTAATGCTACTCTATATGGTTATGTAGACTGTTTAGCAGCAACACTAGGAGCCCCATATGCTTCATATTTATCACAAATTTGTGTACATATTTTGCTATTTTTCTGACACATGATAGAAAATACTTTGAGTAGATGAGTCATTTCCATTAAAACAATGCAGATGCATAAACTCAGACCTGCTTTTAGAGTTTACATATATATTTTATATAGCAACCTTTGTTGAAGAAATAAATTCACATTTTTACAGTTGAAGAAATTAAGGCTCAGAAAGACTGCAAGTTACCCAAAGTAATAGAGCTTGCCATTGACTAATTCGGGAACTGAAACTGTCTTACTCTATGTAGTATTGCTATAAAGGAATACACAAGGGTGGGTAATTTATTAAAAAGAGAGATTTATTTGATGCATGGTTCTGAAGGCTGTACAAGAAGAATGGCACCAGCATCTGCTTCTGGTAAGGTTTCAGGCTGCTTTCACTCATGACCGAAGACAAAGGGGAGCCCACATATGCAGAGATCACATGATAAGAGAGGAAGCAAAAGAGAGGAGAGGGAGGTGACGCTCCTTTTACCAGCTAACTCTTGTGGCAATTAAAACAAGTGACAACTCTCTCTTCTTCAGAGAGAGCATTAAGCTATTCTTGAGAAATCAACCCCCTTGACCTAACCATCTTCCATTACGTCTCATCTCCAACGCTGAAGAACAAATTTCAACATGAGGTTGGAGGAACAAACATCTAAACTATAACAAGCCCCATTCTACTATTGAAGTATACAAACACACACACACACACACACACACACAAACACACTCATGCAATGTGTGTTTGCGTATACATACATATGTTCACTTTTTAATCTTTACCTTTATACTGAAAAGTTTTGGCCACATACAAAGTAAGCAGAATACTATATTGAACATCCATGAAGCCATCACCTGATTTTATAGCCTTAATCAATCTACCAGTAGTGCTCACTTATATTTGTAACAACACGCCATTCTCCCTACTTGATTATGGTTTAAATGCTATTCTATATTAAGAAGATAAACACAGAGTCATTCATAATTTAGTGTGAATAAATTTCTGTATTTTATTTGGGTTATACCTGGGAGACTATACTAAGGCATTTGGTGCCCTGGGGAATGGAGAGAAGCCCCAGCAATCTTGGCTGGTGGTGCCTGTTACACGGGTGACACAGCACCTCTACAACAGGGCAAATATCTTGCGGGAGACATGAGTTGTTTCATGTAGTTTATTCTGAAGAAGTCATATTCTCAATAGAGGTCAACGTGAGAATACATGTTACTTTTATGTGTACAACGTGATTTTACATCCCTGATCTTCAAATGTGGTTCATTCCATAGGGATCCTGATGAAAAGAAATATTATGGCTGTCAAGTAGCTAGAAAGGCCACTTTTATTTTTTAATTCAAGACCAACCTGATGGGAAAAAAACTACTTCAAATGTCTTTTTGTTACCAGTATAGAATTTCCAATGTTCATTTTTGACTGTTACTTCATTTTTGCATTCATAACTATTTTCATATAAAGTCGGCTGTCTCCTGAACAATTGAGAACTCATTATATACCAAGTGCTTCTGTTAACACACTGTGTACATCTAAAAACTAGAAAACATACCTACCCTGATAAATTATACCCAACTTGTGTACAGATTAAAAATCTGTTTCATAAACTGTTTTACTTGGATAACGAGTATACTCTTCTTGGGATTTCAAGAGTAATACATTTATATATCAGTGGCCATTCTTACATAGTGATAACACTGACAATTTTGTGATAAATCATATTAAATGAGACACAGTATATTCCTTAAAATATTATATTTAAACTTATAATTATTTTAATTATAAAATAATACAATATTTATACCATGGATATACATACATTAGCATAATTGAGCCCTGGTAATGATTCAGAAACTACACTCTGTTCTTCAGCTTTTACCTTCTAAACCATAGCTCACACAATGCTTTTGTTTCACATGGCATTTCCTATATTTGCCTTCCTTTGATCCCCTTCTGTATTTGCATTATTGTGTCATATATAATGTACATTGGGTGACTCAGAACAGGTTATTCAGTTTGTAAAAGGAATTGGGGAATTTATGTTATTAAAAGCCATTCATGTCTAGTGTTCCATTATTGGAACGCTAAGCATGTGGGAGTTATTTATATCCTACTGCTCAAGGTCATTGCCAAGGTCTGATTTTTCAAATTCAAATGTCAGGCATAAATGGGTTAATAAAAAGTGAGTGCCACAAACATATGGAAATGCCCCTCTCCTTAAAGCCAACTTTTCTAATATTAAACTCCTCTCACACTTGCTCAGCCATTCAGGTTACCTTGAGGAATGGGCTGTAGACATTCCCTAATGTATGGATATACATCACTTTAAGAGAGCATGCACTTATCAGTAACTTGCAGCCCTACGCACCACTGCTACTACTGTGGTTTGTGGTGCTATTTATCCACACACAAGTCCATTAAACTTGATGACTGGGATAAGAAAAAAGTAAAACTGTATCCCTAGTTGAACATACAATCACCTTAAAAATCTTTTCTCTTGAAATAGAAGTTTAGTAATTTCTTTCCTCATAATAAAATGTTTATTGGTTTTCACAGAGTATTCACCAGAAACACAAATAAATACTTGATAAATGTTGGTACAGGATCTGATAAAAAACAATAAGATCATTCATGATAAGTGCAGCTATAGGACAAATGGCTCAATTTTGAAGGTTGCTTTCACACATATGTGATTTTTTCTCCCATCAAAGTACAAACAGGAAGATTCCACATCTGTTTTACAGGGGTTCTGAGGGTTTGATTGAGCTCAGCAGTGAAGACAGGATGCATTTAAATAAAGATCTATCAATCAATCCTGTCACCATGGGCTAAGTGTAAAACCTTTCTGATTCACCTGCCAAGTGTTGTTAGGAGGAACTGACTTAGATAACATGTGTCAGCTTTCCAGCACAAAGTTTCAGCTAACATCTTTTGTAGTGCTGGCAGAAGAAACAATGATATTCTTTCTGTGATAATGTCACTCCATGGGTACAATCCTGAAAGCTATGACCCTACACCCATGGACACAGATGATTGTATTGCTGGTGGAAAGATAATTCAAGATCCTCAAAAATCCTTAACTGAAACTTTAATAGTGAAAAAGAGATGCAAATATTATGTGTGTTGAGTAGTAGATAAAATCTATCTTCCAAAAAACTAAGTAAATAAAAATAGCAAGAATTAAATAACTCAAAAAGGGAAACACAGATTAAAAGGAGAGAGAAAACATTGCCAAGAGTTTTCCAGTTTCTGGCTTTTCCATAACCCAAAGTCTGTTGTCTTTGGGCTCATAAAGATATTCGGGTGCCTTCTTAATAAATTTGTTGCCTAGAACATGGTAAGTACGTTATATATATATATATATATATATATATATATACACACATACATATATATAAAGTATATAAAGTATGTATTTTATATATATACATATATATATATCAATACAACTATTACCTTGTTTCACAAATGCTCTGTCAAACCATTTGCTGTATAAAACAAAAGCACATAAAACACAAGTATGTAAATATAAAATTAATAATTAAAAGAACAATACACTAAGATTTAGCCAGTTTTTGTTAAAACAAAAGCAATTATTTTAAAAAATCTATTACACATATAAAAATTAATAAAAATATTGTGTACTGAAAGAGAACAAAGCTATGAAAAAGAAAATACTCTTAATGAAAAAGCACT
Source organism: Homo sapiens (assembly GCF_000001405.40). Classification (NCBI taxonomy): domain Eukaryota; kingdom Metazoa; phylum Chordata; class Mammalia; order Primates; family Hominidae; genus Homo; species Homo sapiens. Next base: position 25,519,786 of record NC_000011.10, on the reverse strand, counting down.
AGGGGTTAAAATAGGAGACAGTATTTCCCATCAGTGCAACTGATTCTAACAATGTAAGATTTTCAATGTGGACATTAGCAGAGTTCATTTAAATTCAGAGACTATCATATGTCCATTCACATTCAAGATGGAAAAAAATCTCTGAGGTCAATCACATAGTTCATTCAATAAGCTACTGGAGCTCTATTTTATTTTTAGTATACTTGTTGTCTTTTTAATTGTCGGATACTATAAACCAACACATAGAAAATGGTTGTGATAAAACATAATCAGCACATATCAGAGCTCAGAAATGGAACAACATTTGCTTTTATCCATCAGAATCTTTAAAGCTTGTTGATTAACAAATATACTAGAACTTAAAACATCTAACACTGTTTCCCTCATTGATGCCCATCTTTAGAGAAAGAAGCAATCCTTTCACCTGGGATTTCAAAAATGATTAGATGTAAATGCACTGCTTTCTAAACAAAGTCCTTTTCAGCAAATTGCATTGAGAAGCAAATGCACGCATGTCTCTTGGATTTATAATACTTTCTTTGAAATCTTCAGGAAACCCATTTTATCATTCCTGGAGTATGAAAATCAAAATAAGATCCTTGGCAAATGTTTTCTTTAGTAGTGACTTTCTAAAAATTATCATTATTATTCTCTGTCAAAACAGCCCATCAAAAATTTCCCCCGAGGAGATTTCCTTGATTCAGTGAGTTAGGGATAATAAATTGTCCTTCCTTCTTCTGATGAGAGGAAATAAGCATGGATTTTGGAGTCCTCTCACATCTCAGCTTCTTTGCTTATTTCTGTGTAATTCTGACAGATCACTTTGTGTATTCAGTCATACTCTAAACACTGCTCGAACATCTTTGTAATCTAAGGTTAAAAACCATCTATATATCTTCAGAGATAAATGTCCATTCTGCATTGTTTTATTTGTTTCTAAGAATCAAAGGCTAGAAATCAAAATGACACAGGCAAATAGTGGAGCTTCTCAGAGAATTCTGAGCGCCCTATACACCACATGAATATTGCACAGCTCTCTGTTTCTCATAAGGGACATAAAAGCTAAGAATGCTTGGATAATCTCTGAAGTCCCTTTCTTCAGAGATCTGGGAATTTTATTAGAAAACCATGAGTAATAGGTATTTTTTTACTTCTGTTCACAAAAGAATCCCAGATACCTAGAATAGTGCCTAACACACAATTTGTGTTCTATTAATTCTTAAACAAAATACCTTTAGTAAGTGGGGAAAAAAACTAAACTAAAAACTGAAAATCTCTGTTACCAGTTATAAGAAACTGTAAGGCTTGCTGTCTGGACTAGAAAATATGCTCAAGGAGTTAAATACTTTCATACAAACACTTCGGTATCTATGCGCCAAAATCAACTGGTAATAAAACCATTGTTTTTGTGTGTGTGTGTGTGTTTTCTTTTTCATATAAATTTTAGGAGTACAAGTGCAATTTTGTTACATGGATATATTGTGCAGATGAAATCTGGGCTTTTAGTATAACCATCACCTCTATGTGATGAGAGATAGGCATCCAATTTCATTCTTCTGCATGTGGCAATCCAATTTTCCCAGCACCGTTTATTGAAAAGGGTGTTTCTTCCCTAGCCATTGTTTACTTCTAGAGACAGCATCCCCCGCCATGTTTAGTCATCTGTAAGCTTAAGTGATCATTAGTAATGCTTATAAGTCTAGATTAACCATTGTTAAGCACAAAAGATAATTATTAATAGTGAATTGATAACAAGCAATATAAACCCAGATACTCTTAATGAAAAGAGATTCAAAAACCTTCTGTGTCTTCAAAAAGAGGTACCATCTCAAGATACACTGTTAGGATAACTGTGGAGAGAACTGCATTGCTTTTCAGATACAATTAAATTAGCCTCCAGTATAAACACTCTTCATATTTGCTCATTTTAAGCTTAGGTAATCATTTGGAAGTTTCTTTAAAAATAATGAATCAAATTTACATAGTAGTTTTAACTTGTTAATAAAATTACAAGTTTTATCCTGTCTTGTTTGCAAACTTATTACCAGAGATGTGGTTTTATTTGATTAAAAAAAATAACTTCCAAAATTCAGTGCAACTACCCTATCAGATAAACTTTTATTTCACTTATGAAAGAAATATGTTCTGGGCATTTCCATGTACAAAATCTGGTCCCAAGATTATAATATATAATACATGAAAATACTCATCTTCTTATTTACTCATGCAAAAGGGTGTGTAGCCAGTGTACCTAAAACAACATGCAGATCATAAAGGAATTTGATAATAGAATGAACCTAAGACAGAAAGAATACTTGTACCCTTCCTACCAGAGGACAGTCAGGCATTCTGCTTTTCAGTTGTTAAAATTACACTGAATTTAGGTTTAAAATAATAATAACTGAGGATTTTCTGAACAAACCAAAATGTGTGAATATAGCACGTAATGATGACGTACTCTGTTGCAGATATTTGGCACAGCAGATTACGTAAGAACACAGAACATATATACAATACGGTTCAATAGACTTTTCAGTGATATTCTGCATGAGAACTGTCCATGGAGGCATCCATTACCCACTTGTGATAATTGATCATTTGAATTGTGGTTACAGCAACTAAAGAACTAAATTCTTAATTTTGGGTTCATTTTTAATAGACATTATTTAAGACTTTGTATATTTACAGAAATAATGCAAATATATTTCAGTGTTCCCACATACATCATGTACCAATTTTCCCTATGATTAGTATCTTACATTAGTATGGTATATTTGTTACAATTAATGAACTGATATTGGTATATTGTTATTACCTAAACTCCATTCTTTATTCATATATACTTGGTTTTACTTAATGTCCTTTTTTTATTCCAGATTCCATCCAGGATACATATTACATTTAGTCATTATGTCTCCTTAGGCTACTCTTGATTATGATAGTCTAAGCGATAACTTTATGTGCGATTTGACAGAGTCACGAGGTACCCCAATATTTGGCTTAACAATATTTATGGGTATGTCTGTGAAGGTGTCTCTAGATAACAAAGGCAACTGAATTAGTAGGCTTGGTAAAGCAGATTGCCCTCCCACATGAGGGCAGGCCTCATTTAATCTGTTGAGGACCTGAATGCAATAAAAGTCTGAGAAAGAAAAAGTTCCTCTTCCTCTGCTTGATCCTTATATTCTTTCAAGAATACACACTATCAAAATGATTTACCACTGCTGATGTTGACCTTGATCAGCCTAGCTGAGGTAGTTTTTGTCACAATTCTATACGGTAAAGTTACATCATTTTTTCTTTCCATGTTGTACTCTGGAAATAAATCACTATATGCATCCTATGTTTAAGGAGGTGAAGATATGCTCCTTGAGGATAGAATACTTTTCACAAAAAAACTCAAGTAAGATTACATTTTTCTAACAGTGATGATATAAACAGGAAACAGGGAAATACTGAGTAGAAGAGTGCGATTCTCTAGCAAAGACCCCACCCTCAAGCCAGGATATACACGGCCCTAAATGAGAACAGGCATTTCCGTATCCGCTCCCAAAAACTTGCCTTTTAACCCACCACATCCCCTATGTTGCCCATATATAAACCTTGAACCCCAAGCTCCAGGGCCGACCAGTAGACCAGCAGACCAGCAGAGGAGCGACGGTGGAATGACACGGCAGAGAAAGAAAGAAGAGGAGGGATGTCTAGACGCCAAGGGGAGCTCAGTTAACTTGGGCGGTCAGACAAGAGTCCGACCACGGGGCAGCCCGACTCCAGAGGAAGACCACTTCCCACTCCATCCCCTCTTCCCGATCTCCATCAATCTCACTGAGAGCCACATCCACCACTCAATAACACCTTTCACTCATCCTTCGAGCCCTCGCGTGATCCAATTTATTCAGGGCACTGGGCAAGTTCTCAGGATACAGAAAGCTGTCACACTGTCCCGCTGCTCTTGCGATAAGGTAGAGGGTCCATTGAGCTGATTAATACACAAGACGTCTGCAGACGGCAAAGCTGAAACAGCTTGGTAACACTGGGGTTGCAGGCACCCACCCCTAGACACTACCGCGTGACCAAGAGCCCTAAGCACTCACCCGGGCCTCTGCACTTGCCCATCTGCATGCTCCCCGTAAGGGTTGGAGCTGTGGGGCCACGAAACAGATGAGTCACACCCCTTTCGCATGTCCTGTGAGGGGAATCAGGGAACTGTCTCGTTTCAGCAATACAATATTTAATGCAGTACGAGTTACCTACATACTATATTGTTTTTGCCTTCTATATTAACATTTCTAAAACAAATACTGCTTAGATACTATTTTCCGATACCTTTTAGTAATATCCTTGCATTTTTTTCCACTGCTCTTTGACTTTCAATAATATTGCCAGAAGTGGAAACCCTTTACTAAGATGTTTACATTAAGGTCATAATTTTTTGCATATTTTAAAAAGTTAAACATAGCAGGTAATAATTTGAAACATACCCAACATCCAAAAGCTTTCGTTGAGATTTCATTTCTTTGATATTTTAGCTATAATAGAGGACAATTAAAGTATCCAAAACTTGGCTATAAAGGTGAAAGATCTTGGTTTCAATGTCTAAATCTGTTGGATGAAAATTTCTAAGCACTATTTCTTTTCTACACATGAAGGATTCTAAGCCTTATTAGTTTGACCACAATTGAATTTTATCTTTGAAAATGAAATGCAGTACTTTCTCTTTAAGATAATTTAATTTGTAAGATTTAATCATTGCTTTCAGCTGAACAACTGATTTCTGTCTTAGTTTATATAAAACTATCAAAATATAAAAAATGAAACTTTGAAATTATTTTTAAATCATACAATAGAATAGACATAATAATCAACTTTCCCTTCCCCACTCTAAAGCTTCAAATTATAGTAGAAAAATCATTATTTCTGTTATTCTCTATTTTCAATGCATATTTCTTCCTTATTAATATTCTAGCTAATAACTTTAGTCGGTGTCAAAGAAAGAATCTCTACAAATAAGTTCCAGAAAGCTGAAAGGAGCAGGGGGAAACTAAGAAATATTACAAAGGTTCTAATTTTTGGACAAAAGTTTTCAAGTTATCTACTAATTAGTGAAGAGGCACAACAAACCTATATTAACTGGCTTGTTACAGATTGCACGGCAAATCATGATAATTTTAATTTGGAACATGAATCTATGCTCTTTGTGTCTTCACATATAAAATATCTTCCAGTTTATCAGACAAAACAAGGAATATTTGACTTAGTAGAATTTAGGTTGCCAGATGTGATTCACCCTACTAGGGGAAAATGAAACGATATATCTTTTGAGTTCAGATGTCAATCAATGAAAAAACAATTTCTATAAACAAATTGTTTCTTGTTATTTCACTTATTTTTCTGCCTGCTTCGGGATGAGACTGTCACAAAAGTATTTTAGAAGAGCTATTTGATACAGGTCCATGTCTAAGATGCACAAGATGATCTGTCAAAAACCAGTTCTCTACCACTGAAGTTTTATGAAAAACAGGAAAATAAATTTCTTTAAAACTCAATGGGGAAAACACACTTTTGTGTGCTTTAGGTTTTTTGGAAATACATACAAATACCCTGACACCACTGCTCATATACTATTTCCTAGGGCCTTTTAGTAATATTATTGGATTTTGTTTCACTGTTATGATTTTTATTAATATAATATATATATAATCTCTAGATTACTACTAATAGTGAATACAATATAAAACTATGAAAATAGTTATTATACAATTTTATTTAGGGAATAATGACAAAGAAATACTTACATGTTCAGTACAGACACTTTCTTTTTGAATACTTTTGATTCACAGTTGTTTTAATCCACAGATGCCAAAGACATAGATATGGACAGCCAACTCTGTGTGGGTCTGTGTGTATGTGTGTGTGTGTGTGTGTGTGTGTGTGTAAAGAGAGACAGAGAGAGCGGTGGATGTGTGTGTGTATTTTTTAATTTGCCAAACGGGTTATATTGATATCGCCAAATAACCCTAATGGATATACTATTTTTGATCATTAAGAAAATGAACAAATTTAACATTTGTTATATGTTTGCTATTTCTAAGGTACTCTTCTAAGTGTGCTACATTTTTAAATCAAATCTCACAACTACCCTATGAGACAGGTTATTATTTCTAATTTAAATATAAGAAAAGACGTGCAAAGGTACACAATAAGCCATGCAAAATCAGAGAGTTTATATTAAACTAGAATTTGACCAAGGCAGACAAACTCCCTATTTGACTCTTTTCATCTTTGTATTGCCTTATTTCAAAATATAAAATTAAGTTACACTTGGCCTAAGGCTGCCTTCTTACCTTGACTTCCTACGTAGCAAATTGCAAGCTAACATAGTACGTAAACAAACTGAAACCTAAGAAGTATAAAAAACACCTGAGTTTTAGTAAATCACAAGCAGCCATGTTTCAGCCACTTGCAGGTAGATAGCCAATTCATCACACCAGCCCAAATAAGGAAGATATATAAATCAGGTGATTTCTCAACTTTGTTTCTGTCTTCGTTCTATAAAAGTTCACTGACTGCTCACATTGCTAGGCCGGGGTCCTGTGAACTTCCTCTGATTCAGGGTACTCCCCAATTCATGCATTGTTTTTTACTCAAATAGCCTCTGCTAAATTTAATTTGTCAACAGTTTATTTTTAATAACAAATAGAAAAAAATAAATGATTTACTTTGGACACTAATATTTTTGTCACATCATTGTGAGCTGTGAAAGACATGCAGTCTTGAGAATTTGGCACTGCCGCTACATTTACACACTATGATAGAGAGGACTTGAATCACTCTATGGTTTCTGCCTAGGTTATATTATGTTGGGGAATTTAAACATAGGAAATATTTCAGTCAGGATAAAATCAAGATAATTTTAGTAGCAACCAATTTAAAGTATCTGAAACAAACTAGTAATCTCTTGTAAAGATATTCTGTTTTTCATCGAAGGAACTACAGAAAAGAACTCAGGAAAAACAAGAAATTGGAGACTATTAAATTTAACATTCTTTTTTTCAGCCTTTGCTTCTCTCTAAAAATCAATATCAATTATCTTTCTTTCACTCCTTTGGCCTGTAGTCTTCTGTGACCTATGTGGTAGAAACATGACCCTTCAGAGCTCCTATATTTACATGCACAGTGAGACTGACTCAACTAATCTTTGTCCTAATTCCAGTCTCTTCAAAGAGAGAACATGATTGTCCCAGATTTCATCTAGAGAACATAACTTATCTTAGGAGAGCAAAAGATGTAGTTTCTTCCAATGGATAGGAGGCTTCAGACCCAGGAATAGCCTATATTTCAGTTTAAGTCTGAAGGCAGAAAAACAACAACAACAACAACAACAACAACAACAACAACGTACCAGATCAAAGACAGTCAGGTAGGAGAAATTTAATCTTATTCAGAGGAGGATCAGCCTTTTGTTGTATTCAGCCCAACTGATTGGATGGTGCCCATCTACTCACATTATGAAGGACAACCTGCTTTACTCGGTCTATTGATTTAAATTTCAAACTCATCCAAAAACACCTACACATAAACACCCAGAGTAATTCTGACAAAACATCTGGGCACCTGGTGGCACAGTCACAGGATAAGGTCTCAGGAAACTTACAATTATGGCAGAAGGGTGAGGGGGAAATAAACATGTCTTCACATAGTGGCAGGAGAGGGGAGAAGAGGACGTGAACACGCTTTTTAAAAAGCGGGATTAGGGGGATGGGTCTAAGCCATTGAAACCACCCCCATGATTCAATCACCTCCAACCAGGCTCCTCCTCCAACAATGAAAATTACAATTTTACATAAGATTTGGGTGGGGACACAGAACCAAACAATATAACTGTTCAATGTCTTTTTGTTTCAACTTGAACAGCTAACTTTATATCTTGTGTAAGAAAGATCTCGTGGTGATGAACTTTCCCATTGGTTGTCTGGGAAAGCCTTATCTCTCCTTCATTATAAAAGGATAATGTTGCTAGCTACAGAAGTTTTGGCTGTCATTTTTCTTTTCTGTCAGTGCTTTGAATATATTACCTCACTCCCGACTGCCAAGGTTTCTGCTGAGAAATCCAATGATAATCCATAGACATTCCCTTTTATATGATTCGTTTTCTTCTCTTGATAATTTTTATAATTATTTATTTTTGACTTTTGAAAATTTAATTATGTTGTATTTCAGTGTGGTTCTCTTTAGATCCAAATTCCTGGAGATTTTTTGGCTTCATAAATCTGAATGTCCATTTTCCTTCTTAGATTTGAAATGTTATTTCAAATTATTTCTTTAAATAAGCTTTCTGCCCTTTTCCCTTTTTTTCTCCTTCTTGGTTTCCCATAAAGCATATATTGTTTTATTTGATGATTCCACTCAGGTCCTATAAGCTTTCTTCAGTCTTTTTATTTTTTTCTCTTTATTCCTCTAATTGAATAATTTTAAATGACCTATCTTTGAGTCCATTGATTCTTTCTTCTTGAAGATCTCTATTTCATTTTTCGGTTCAGTAATTGTACTCCTTAGTTCCAGGATTTCTGTTTGATTTCTATTTGGTTAATCATTATTGTTTGTATTTCTTTGTCACACTTCTCATTTTGTTCATGCATAGTTTTCCTGATTTCATTTTGTATCTGTGTTTTGTTCCTCATTAAGCTTTTTTCTAGATGGTTATTTTTGAATTCTATAACAATCAGTTTGTGAATCTCCATTTGTTTAACATCAGTTACTGGAGCTTTATTAGGTTTCCTCGGTGGTGTCATGCTTTCTGATTCTTCATGATTCACATGCCTTTGCATTGACATCTGTGCATTTGAATAGGCAGTCATGTTTTCCAGGCTTCACCAACTAGTTTTGCTAAGGAAAGACCTTAATCAGTCAGCCTTATCAGAGATTCTGGGGGTTGACTGGCGGTATCTATGGGTAAGCCTAGTGGAATTATTTGTAGGAAGTCCTACTGCAAGTGTGGGCCTACTGCCAGGATCTGCGGATGGATAGGTCTGCTGTCAGGGATCCATATGTGGACCAGGCTGCTGGTTCATAGACAGGTAGGGAGAAGGTGAGGCTGGGAGTGTATCTATGGTTGGACAGGGTTGGTTTCAGGGTCTGTGAGTGGGTGGGGCTGCTTCTGGATCCACAGGCAACAGGCCTGCTACAGCTAGTACAGCTGGTTAAGGCTCCTGCTGTGTCTGTGGGAAGGTGGGGGCTCCTGTTGTCTTTTGTTTTGATCAACACAGCAGAATTTGTCTAATCTGTGGAGTGATAAGCAATATGGAATTGAAATATGTGTTAAATTTGATTTTAACCATTATAGCCATAGCAGTTGTTCATAGCCAAAATCCATTTGGATTTGTTGTACCCATGTAGGCTGTATCCCCATTCTTTTCCAGTTATTACATATTTTAGTGTCATCCTTATGTGTAAGTTTAACAATAACCTTATGTTTTCAATTGTCCCTCTTGCATAACCCTTCAAAGATTTCTTAATACAGTTGGATAATAAACTCTTACACTATTTTTCTTTTCTCTAAGTAATAATTCAGATAAAGATAGGTTGCTTAACAACCTTCTCACTCTCCACCTGTTATCAAATTCCACTGCCACATATTTGAGGTTTTTATTACAGTAACATGTCCTTTTTCTGACTAACATATATTATTGGGTAAAATACTGCATAACAAACTATACAAACTCAGTTACTTAAAGGAACAATAACTTATTCTATGTCACACAGTTGTATAATGGCTGGAGTAACTACCGATACAGGCTAGGTTTGGTTGGGAGACTCTGCTTCTAGCTGCATATTTAGCTATAAGTTTCATTCGGATCTGCTCAGGATGTGTTTATTGTAGGTTTCAGATTGAAGGGTAATGACTATCTGAGAAACAGTTACTTTCTCATGGATATAGCAGAGTTGCAAAAGACAAGCCAAATAGCACAAGCACATTTTAAGTCTCTGCTCACCTCATATCTGTTAATGCTCCATTGACTACAAAACATGCATGATCAACCTAACTGTTAAAATAACCTTTCCAAAGAGGAGGAGAGGGACAGTGAACATTTTGAAAAAAAAAATGAATATACTAAAATGCCCAAGTCTAGATATGTGGATTTACTCTCAGTGAAAGCAGTGGGAAATTTAATTTCTTTTCTTAACATACCAAAAATCTGTCATTAGCTCTATTCACAGTAATTTTATACTAGATCTCATCAGTACATTTCACAATTTTTTGACCTGCCAACATTAGCTGTATGTTACACAAATGTCAACATTGTCCCCATTAGACCAGAATTCATTTCTAAGGTTTGAGATTTCATTGTTACATTTTATGTGCTAAGATTTTTAAAGGAAATATGTGAATCGATATTTGTACTTTTTATCTCTTTTCTCTTTATAACATCAAGCTTCCTCTTACCTTATTTATCAAAAAATCTTAATCATATCTCTTAGAATCTATGCAATTCTTGTGCCAAGCACATCTTATTTAACTTAGTTTATATTATATAAATTTTTATCATTTTATTTAGTATATTTTATAATTCTGATATGTACATTTTAAGTAAAAAAATAAAAATGTATTGATTCAAAATGATTACTTCAAGATCCTAGCCCCTGCATGTATCAAAATTATGACTGTGGAACAATTATTTCAAGTTTTAACCCTTGTCATATTATCTAAAGTTTCTTATCTGCTTACGTTGACTGTTGCTCTAATACATTCCACATGTAGTAACACTTCAGTTTGGGAAGAATAATTTATTTAAAAAATGCTTTAAGTCCACTGACAAAGTGAATTAAAGATTCAGAAATGGACCTTGAAACTAATAAACCCTTTTATTTAGTGAATCAGTATCATGACCAGAATGAGGATATTTAAAGACTATAATTTCACCCAGAGGAACCTAAGATTACCTGAGTATGAAGTTTAAAAAGTGAGGAAGATTCTATTACAAAATCTACAACTGTAAATCTCAATCCATATAATAAAATATCATGTAATGATTTAATACTGACTGTATTTTAAAAACATTTATATTTAGGCTAATTTATTAAAGAACTATTTTGATTTTTTTTAGAAATAATACCTTGTAAACACTTCTATTTAAATTTACAGTTTATAAAATTGTATATGTATAAAGTTACTTTATCCAGTTTTAACTTGAATTTGGAGAAAAAGGACACTCAATGAATGCTTTCCTTATGAATAATTTCAACCTGTGATTGAAACACTATTGAAGGGCAGGCTCCATGTTTGAATAACTCTCCATGTTGAATCAATCAGCCTAACTCCAATCTTACCTAACACAATGCTCCTAGGCAGAGGGATAAATGAAACTTACAGCTGATTTGCATTTAAAAAATGAGTAGATTATTTACATGTTTATTTGCTTGTCCATCAGTAATGAATCTGTCTATAACACATAAACTCCTTAATCCAATGACAGGATTTCCCAGGGGAATTATTGCGAGTAAATAATTGGGCAATAGATAATACATGCAAAGAAACATTTTGAAGGTACTAGGAATTACCTAAATGTATGAAGGGTTCAGAGAACTAAGGATTAGAAGTTGGCTGGAGTTTCACAACTGCAAATTAAGTTTCAGCCAGAAAACAGCATGTCACAGAAGCCTTATGAGTGAATCTATTAAAAGGATACTACTTTGCACAGACAAGTTAATGGGCCAAACTTGTATTTCTCACACTATGAGCAAAAGAGTAGGCACTACCTTAGGAGCTAATGTCCTTAACTGCAGGACCTAAAGTAATTGGTTATAATTACAGTAATGATAATGATAGACAGTTCGATGTTTATATCAATGAACTATGTTAAAAAATTTCATGATCCTGATTTAATTCTGCAAGTATTCTCATAAAGAGTATAACTTTATAAATTTTATTTTACATATAAGGAAACTGATATGAAAAGAGATTAAGTACCATCATTAATTTACTGGTACCAAATGGACTTTTCCTTTTCATTGAAATTAAATTATAATTTTCTTTTTAATTTATCTCATTTGCTACTCAAAAGTAACTACTGTAAAGTCTAGAAACTGTAACTCTAAAAAGACGTCTAGTATGAAAATTATTAAATTTAGGGGATTTTTAAAATTGTTAAATTTATTAGCATAGCCATTATTTTAAAATATATGTCTAAATTTACACTTAAATATACATTTAAGTGTATATTTAAAAAATAAAGATAATACATACTCAGAAATTCTAAATTTCCTAATTATATTACTAAGTTTAATATAATCAGTACAATTGAAATAACTTTATTGTATATATAAGGTGAAAATACAGCTCTCTTCCAGTGTACAATGTTCAGTAATATCATATTAGTAGGTTAAAATAGGCCATTGTGAAAATTTACAAATTTATAAAATAGTAAATTGGTAAATGTTACAAGTTAGAGCTTGATTCTATTGATTGTGTCTACTGACAGGAAAAGTATAAAGTGTAAATTAAACTAAAAGTGCACTGTCATTAGCTATTACATAGGGATAACACAAAAATTGAGGAAATAGTCTTCTAGCATTCAATATTTCATGTAATTCAGTAAAACTCATTTGTATCTGTGATGAACAAATAAAGATTTTGCATGTCTTTCTTGTTTCCTTTTCATTTTGTACATTAATACAACTGAAAAGTTCAGTCAATAAATGTCAAAATTATGTTTGTTTTTTAATTATAACCATAGTTTGGTTATAATATAAAAGGGTAGAAAAATTAACAAAGGCATTATGGAAAAATTGATTTGTTATAGGAAATTTAAAACAAATAATATTTTACATTTATTATTATTTGTAAATCATTTCTCTCCACATAATTTTCCTTTTTGTTGGAAAATTTCTTTCTAAGTCAGACTTTGTTTGACTAACAAAAATGTTCACCAGCCGTAAGATGAAATTCTACTGCATCCAAAATCTCAGCAGAAAGAAGACTTGCCTTCCCAATAATCTTAGCCAAAGTCCTAAGATTAATTCTATTGGCCTGGTTTGGGTCAGGATCAATCACTGAAAATGTGATTGCTGCTGTGGAAATGGAGGTCAGATTGGCCAATTCTGGGTTACATTCAGTACCCTCTAGAGTCCAAGTTTGAATTCAGTTTCATCAAAGCCAGAGGGTATTTATTACCATTAAACAAGCCTTGCAAGAGATACTTAAGGGAGCAATAAACACATAAACAAAAGAACAATGCCTGCTAGCATAGAAACATGTATACATAATTATACAACCCACAGACCTTATAAAGCAAATACAATCAAGACTACAAAGCAACCAGCTAGCAATACCACACCAGGATTAAAACCTAACATATCAATATTAACCTTTAATGTAAATGTTCTGAACATTTCACTTAAAAGGCACAGAGAGGCAAGTTGGATAAAATAACAAGACCCAACCTTTTGCAATCTTCAGGAGACCCATCTCACATATAACAACACCCATAGGCTCAAGGCAAAGAGAGCAAGAAAATCTATCACATAGACAGAAGACAAAATGGGGTACAGGTGGCTATTCTTATATCAGAGAATGCAGACTTTTAACCAATAACAGTAAAAACATCCAAAGAAGGGCATTATATGATGAAAAAGGGTTCAAGTCAACAAGAAGGCCTTAACTGTCCCAAATATATGTTCAGCCAACACTGGAATACACAAATTCATTATACAAGTACTTCTAGACCTACAAAAAGACTTAGACAGCCACACAATAATAGTGGATGACTTCAATACCCCACTGGCACCATTAGATAGACCACTGAAGAAGAAAACTAACCAAGAAATTCTGGACTGAAATCTGACATTTTACCAGTTGGATGTAATAGATATCTATGGGATAGTTCACCCAAGAACCACAGAATACACATTCCTCTCATTTGCACATAAAGCATACTTTAAGATTGACCACATGCTTGGAAATAAAGCAAGCCTCGATAAATTCAAAACTATAAAAGGTGTATCAAGCATATTTTCAGACCACAGTGGAATTAAATTAGAAATCAATACCAAGAGATATCCTTCAAGAGGATATCTCAAAAACATACAATTATATGGAAACTAACCAATTTATTTCTGAATGACTTTTGGGTAAACAATGAAATTAGGGCAGAAATAAAAATATTCTTTGATATAAGAGACAACAAACCAAATCTTGTGGATGAAGCAAAAGGAGTATTAACAAGAAATTTATAGCACCGAACACCTACATCAAGAAGTTAGAAATATCTCAAATTAAAAATTAATATTGTACCTAGAGTAACTAGCAAAACAAGAACAAACTAAACCAAAAGCTAGCAGAAGACAAGAAATAACTACAATCCTCGCAGAGCTAAAACAAAATTGAGACCCACAAATCCATAAAAAGGTGAACAAAATGAAAATGTTTTTTTCCGAAGGATAAACTTGATAGACCACGAGTGAAACTAACATAGAAAAAAAGAGAGATCTAAATATGCATAATCAGAAATGAAAAAGATGACATTACAACTCATCCCATAGGAATACAAAATATACTTAGACGTTACTATGAACACCTGTATGCCAAGAAACTAGAAAATATAGAGGAAATGGATAAATTCTTGAAAACACACAACCTCCTAAGATTGAATCAGGAAGAAATTGAAATCCTGAAAAGACCAATAATGAATCCCACAATTGAATCAGAATTTAAAAACCTACTAACCGAAGAAAGCCCAGACCAGATAGATTCATAGCTAAATTATACCAGACGTACAAACGATAGCTTGTACCAATCCTACTGAAACTATTCTGAAATTGAGAACGAGGGTCACCTCCCTAATTCATTCTGCAAAATCAGCATCATTCTGACATTAAAATCTAGTAATGACAAAGTGAAAAAACGAAAACTACTGGCCAATATCCCTGATGAACAAGGATGAAAAACTGCTTAAGAAAATGTGAGCAAACCAGATTTAGGAGCACATCAAGAAGTTAATTCACTATGATCAAGTGAGTTTTATTCCTGGGAGGCAAGTTTTGTTCAATATATACAAATCAATAAATGTAATTCACAATATAAACAAAATTAAAAACAAAAATCATATGATCATCTCAATAGATGTAGATAAAGCTTTCAATAATATCCCAAATCCCTTCATGATGAAAACCCTCCACGGATTAAGCATTCAAGGAACATACCTCAAAATAATGAAATCCATCTATGACACACCCATAACCAACATAGTAGTGAATAGGTAAAAGCTGGAAGATTCCCCTTAAGAACATAAGACAAGGATCCCCATTTTCACCACTCCTATTCAATATAGTACTACAAGTCATACCCAGGTCAATCAGACAAAAGAAATAAGAGGCCTCCAAATAGGAAAATAAGACAAATTATCTCTTTTCACTGATTACATTATTCTCTAGAAAAGAAAACATAACACTTAAAGATTTTGCCAAAAGGCTCCTAGAACTTATAACAAACTTTAATAAAGTTTTAGGATACATAATCAATGTACAAACATCAGTAATATCTTTATACACCAATAATATTCAAGCTGAAAGCCAAATCAACAACACAATGCCATTTATACATCATCCACAAAAAATAAAATACCTGGGAACACATCTAACCAAGAAAGTGAAAGATCTCTATAATAACTACAAAACAATGCTGAAAGAAATCATATATGATATAAACAAATAAAAAAAATTCCATACTTATGGGATAGAATAATCAATATTGTTAAAATGGCCATACTGTCCAAAGTAATCTACAGATAATATGCAATTCCCATCAAACTACCAATGTAATTTTTCACAGAATTGGAAAAAAACTATTTAAAATGTATCTAGAACCATTAAAAAGTCTGAATAGCCAAAGCAATCCTAAGCAACAGGAACAAAGCCAGAGGCATCACATTACCCAACTACAAGCTGTAATATACGGCTACAGTAACCAAAGCAGCATGGTACTGGTACAAAAACAGACACATAGACCAAGGAAACAGAACACAGAACCCAGAAATAAAGCTACACACCTACATATATCTGATTTTCAACAAAATTGACAAAAACAATTTCAGAAGGTACTCTCTATTCAGTAAATGATATTGTAATAATTGGCTATTCATACGAAGATGAATGAAGCTGGACCCCTATCTCTCATCATACACAAAAATTAACTCAAATTAATTAAAGACTTAAATGGGCCCACCATCATGTCCCACACCTACAATTTCAGGTCCCAACCAGGGACTTGCATTTGAAGTAGGGGGAGCAGTATTCTTGGGGCCAATGGGAAAAGAGTTAAAAAGACTTGTATAGCTAGAAAATGTTTACACAAGCCTCATGATAATCACCAAGAAAAATCTACAGTAGATACATGAAAGATAAAGGGAAAAGATAAAAAAAACACTACCAAAGTAAATCAAACCACAACAAAATTAGCAAGAGATGGACAAGAAAACTACAAAATAAACAGAAAGTAATTAACAAAATAGCAATAGCAATTTTTTAACTACAAATAATTACTTGAAATGTAATGGAATAAATTCCCCAATTAAATGACATAGGGTGGCTAAATGAAAAACAACAACAACTAAAGAATATACTGTCCACTACAGACTCAGTTTAGATTTTAAGGACAATCATAGGCTGAAAGTAAAGAATTGGAGAAAGTTATTTAATGCAAATAATGACCAAAACAGACCGGGGCGAAAAGCTGACTCTAAATCCAAAACTATCATAAGAACAAAGAAGGTCACTGCATAAAGATAAATAGGGTAATTCAACAGGACGACATAGCAATTATAAATATATAAGCACCCAACATAAAAGCATTTAAACATATAAGGCAAACATTGACACTTCAGAAGAGAAAAGCACACAGCAATACAATAACAACAAGATATTTCAAAGTCTCTCTTCTAAATATATTTTGTTTCCTACTCCTTTTATTTTTCAGTCAGTGGATATGGAGGCCTACTGGTCAAGCTAGGAACATTTCCACTAAGAAACACAGTGGTGGTTCTACCAAATTCTAGGTAAAAGCTTTTATAGGGTGGCTCATTTTTTAAAATTGCTTTATGCTCTCTCCAAGCTCATTAAACTTCAGTAATTATTAGTTCCTCTCGTTCCTTTCTATCTAAATGTGGTAACAACTTCTTGATGTCGCCAGACCCTAGGGGCTTCATATTACTTGTTAGATATTTTAGCTGCTGCAACTAACTCTTCATTAAATTCTCTTTGGCTAAAATATTTAAGTGTGCTCTCTATTTTCTATCAGCATTGTGACTGCTGCAGACTATGCGTACAAAATTCTCCTGAACATCATCTTTCTTTATACTAAGGTTCTTTCCTTTGACCAAGACTAAGAGGATACTATCTACCTGCATTAAAGTTTCCCAGAAAGAGGTAATTTAATTTTTTTATAGATAAAATTTTATTTCAATTACTCTAAATTATATGTTTTAATTAAACAGGCATCAAAGTAATATTATTTAAAAATGATAGTTAAGCAGAGATTCTTAGGATAATTGATAATAGAACTACTACAGATTAGTGTATCTTATTATTTCTCTGAGGGACTTATTCTTCTCACCATCTTTCCTTATAGAATTTTGTTAAACATAAGAAATTTCGAGGGGGAGGAGCCAAGATGGCTGAATAGGAACAGCTCCGGTTTACAGCTCCCAGCGTGAGTGACACAGAAGACGGGTGATTTCTGCATTTCCATCTGAGGTACCGGGTTCATCTCACTAGGGAGTGCCAGACAGTGGGCGCATGTCAGTGGGTGCGCACACCGTGCGCGAGCCGAAGCAGGGCGACGCATTGACTCACTCAGGAAGCACAAGGGGCCAGGGAGTTCCCTTTCCTAGTCAAAGAAAGGGGTGACAGACAGCACCAGGAGAATTGGGTCACTCCCACCCGAATACTGCGCTTTTCCCACAGGCTTAAAAAACAGCGCACCACGAGATTATATCCCACAAATGGCTCGGATGGTCCTACACCCAGGGAGTCTCGCTGATTGCTAGCACAGCAGTCTGAGATCAAACTGCAAGGCAGCAGCGAGGCTGGGGGAGGGGCGCCCACCATTGCCCAGGCTTGATTAGGTAAACAAAGCAGCCAGGAAGCACGAACTGGGGGGAGCCCACCACAGCTCAAGGAGGCCTGCCTGCCTATGTAGGCTCCACCTCTAAGGGCAGGGCACAGATAAACAAAAAGACAGCAGTAACCTCTGCAGACTTAAATGTCCCCCTCTGACAGCTTTAAAGAGAGCAGTGGTTCTCCCAGCACACAGCTGGAGATCTGAGAACAGGCAGACTGCCTCCTCAAGTGGGTCCCTGACCCCTGACCCCAGAGCAGCCTAACTGGGAGGCACCACCCAGCAGGGGCAGACTGACACCTCACAGGGCCGGGTACTCCAACAGACCTGCAGCTGAGGGTCCTGTCTGTTAGAAGGAAAACTAACAAACAGAAAGGACATCCACACCAAAAACCCATCTGTACATCACCATCATCAAAGACCAAAAGTAGATAAAACCACAAAGATGGGGAAAAAACAGAGCAGAAAAACTGGAAACTCTAAAAAGCAGAGTGCCTCTCCTCCTTCAAAGGAACGCAGTTCCTAACCAGCAACGAACAAAGCTGGACGGAGAATGACTTTGACGACCTCAGAGAAGAAGGCTTCAGACGATCAAATTACTCCGAGCTCTGGGAGGAAATTCAAACCAAAGGCAAAGACGTTGAAAACTTTGAAGAAAATTTAGAAGAATGTATAACTAGAATAACCAATACAGAGAAGTGCTTAAAGGAGCTGATGGAGCTGAAAACCAAGGCTCGAGAACTACGTGAAGAATGCAGAAGCTTCAGTAGGAAATTCGATCAACTGGAAGAAAGGGTATCAGTGATGGAAGATGAAATGAATGAAATGAAGTGAGAAGGGAAGTTTAGAGAAAAAAGAATAAAAAGAAACGAGCAAAGCCTCCAAGAAATATGGGACTATGTGAAAAGACCAAATCTACGTCTGACTGGTGTACCTGAAAGTGATGGGGAGAATGGAACCAAGTTGGAAAACACTCTGCAGGATATTATCCAGGAGAACTTCCCCAATCTAGCAAGGCAGGCCAACATTCAGATTCAGGAAATACACAGAATGCCACAAAGATACTCCTCGAGTAGAGCAACTCCAAGACACATAATTGTCAGATTCACCAAAGTTGAAATGAAGGAAAAAATGTTAAGGGCAGCCAAAGGTCGGGTTACCCTCAAAGGGAAGCCCATCAGACTAACAGCAGATCTCTCAGCAGAAACTCTACAAGCCAGAAGAGAGTAGGGGCCAATATTCAACATTCTTAAAGAAAAGAATTTTCAACCCAGAATTTCATATCCAGCCAAACTAAGCTTCATATGTGAAGGAGAAATAAAATACTTTACAGACAAGCAAATGCTGAGAGATTCTGTTACCACCAGGCCTGCCCTAAAAGAGAACCTGAAGGAAGCACTAAACATGGAAAGGAACAACCGATACCAGCCGCTGCAAAATCATGCCAAAATGTAAAGACCATCGAGACTAGGAAGAAACTGCATCAACTAATGAGCAAAATAACCAGCTAACATCATAATGACATGATGAAATTCACACATAACAATATTAACTTTAAATGTAAATGGGCTAAATGCTCCAATTAAAAGACACAGACTGGCAAATTGGATAAAAAGTCAAGACTTATCAGTGTGCAGTATTCAGAAAACCCATCTCATGTGCAGAGACACACATACGGCTTAAAATAAAAGGATGGAGGAAGATCTACCAAGCAAATGGAAAACAAAAAAACGCAGGGGTTGCAATCCTAGTATCTGATAAAACAGACTTTAAACCAACAAAGATCAAAAGAGACAAAGAAGGCCATTACATAATGGTAAAGGGATCAACTCAACAAGAAGAGCTAACTATCCTAAATATATATGCACCCAATACAGGAGCACCCAGATTCATAAAGCAAGTCCTGAGTGACTTACCAAGAGACTTAGACTCCCACACATTAATAATGGGAGACTTTAACACCCCACTGTCAACATTAGACAGATCAACGAGACAGAAAGTCAACAAGGATACCCAGGAATTGAACTCAGCTCTGCACCAAGCGGACTTAATAGACATCTACAGAACTCTCCACCCCAAATCAACAGAATATACATTTTTTTCAGCACCACACCACACCTATTCCAAAATTGACCACATACTTGGAAGTGAAGCTCTCCTCAGCAAATGTAAAAGAACAGAAATTAAAAAAAACTATCTCTCAGACCACAGTGCAATCAAACTAGAACTCAGGATTAAGAATCTCACTCAAACCCGCTCAACTACATGGAAACTGAACAACCTGCTCCTGAATGACTACTGGGTACGTAACGAAAGGAAGGCAGAAATAAAGAAGTTCTTTGAAACCAACGAGAACAAAGACACAACATACCAGAAACTCTGTGATGCATTCAAAGCAGTGTGTAGAGGGAAATTTATAGCACTAAATGCCCACAAGAGAAAGCAGGAAAGATCCAAAATTGGCACCCTAACATCACAATTAAAAGAACTAGAAAAGCAAGAGCAAACACATTCAAAAGCTAGCAGAAGACAAGAAATAACTAAAATCAGAGCAGAACTGAAGGAAATAGAGACACACAAAACCCTTCAAAAAATTAGTGAATCCAGGAGCTGGTTTTTTGAAACGATCAACAAAATTGATAGACCGCTAGCAAGACTAACAAAGAAAAAAAGTGTGAAGAATCAAATAGATGCAATAAAAAATGATAAAGGGGATATCACCACCGATCCCACAGAAATACAAACTACCATCAGAGAATACTACAAACACCTCTATGCAAATAAACTAGAAAATCTAGAAGAAATGGATAAATTCCTCGACACATACACTCTCCCAAGACTAAACCAGGAAGAAGTTGAATCTCTGAATAGACCAATAACAGGAGCTAAAATTGTGGCAAACATCAATAGCTTACGAACCAAAAAGAGTCCAGGACCAGATGGATTCACAGCCAAATTCTACCAGAGGTACAAGGAGGAACTGGTACCATTCCTTCTGAAACTATTCCAAACAACAGAAGAAGAGGGAATCCTCCCTGACTCATTTTATGAGGCCAGCATCATCCTGATACCAAAGCCGGGCAGAGACACAACCAAAAAAGAGAATTTTAGAACAATATCCTTGATGAACATTGATGCAAAAATCCTCAATAAAATACTGGCCAACCGAATCCAGCAGCACACCAAAAAGCTTATCCACCATGATCAAGTGGGCTTCACACCTGGGATGCAAGGCTGGTTCAATATATGCGAATCAATAAATGTAATCCAGCATATACACAGAACCAAAGACAAAAACCACATGATTATCTCAATAGATGCAGAAAAGGCCTTTGACAAAATTCAACAACACTTCATGCTAAAAACTCTCAATGAATTAGGTATTGATGGGACGTATCTCAAAATAATAAGAGCTATCTATGACAAACCCACAGCCAATATCATACTGAATGGGCAAAAACTGGAAGCATTCCCTTTGAAAACGGGCACAAGACAGGGATGCCCTCTCTCACCACTCCTATTCAACATAGTGTTGGAAGTTCTGGCCAGGGAAATTAAGCAGGAGGAGGAAATAAAGGGTATTCAATTAGGAAAAGAGGAAGTCAAATTGTCCCTGTTTGCAGATGACATGATTGTATATCTAGAAAACCCCATTGTCTCAGCCCAAAATCTCCTTAAGCTGATAAGCAACTTCAGCAAAGTCTCAGGATACAAAATCAATGTACAAAAATCACAAGCATTCTTATACACCAACAACAGACAGAGAGCCAAATCATGAGTGAACTCCCATTCACAATTGCTTCAAAGAGAATAAAATACCTTGGAATCCAACTTACAAGGGATGTGAAAGACCTCTTCAAGGAGAACTACAAACCACTGCTCAAGGAAATAAAAGAGGATACAAACAAATGGAAGAACATTCCATGCTCATGGGTAGGAAGAATCAATATTGTGAAAATGGCCATACTGCCCAAGGTAATTTACAGATTCAATGCCATCCCCATCAGGCTACCAATGAATTTCTTCACAGAATTGGAAAAAACTACTTTCAAGTTCATAGGGAACCAAAAAAGAGCCTGCATTGTCAAGTCAATCCTAAGCCAAAAGAACAAAGCTGGAGGCATCACACTCCCTGACTTCAAACTATACTACAAGGCTACAGTAACCAGAACAGCATGGTACTGGTACCAAAACAGAGATATAGATCAGTGGAACAGAACAGAGCCCTCAGAAATAATGCCACATATCTACAACTATCTGATCTTTGACGAACCTGACAAAAACAAGCAATGGGGAAGGGATTCCCTATTTAATAAATGGTGCTGGGAAACTGGCTTGCCATATGTAGAAAGCTGAAACTGGATCCCTTCCTTACATCTTATACAAAAATCAATTCAAGATGGATTAGAGAGTTAAACGTTAGACCTAAAACCATAAAAACCCTAGAAGAAAACCTAGGCATTACCATTCAGGACATAGGCATGGGCAAGGACTTCATGTCTAAAACACCAAAAGCAATGGCAACAAAAGACAAAATTGACAAATGGGATCTAATTAAACTAAAGAGCTTCTGCACAGCAAAAGAAACTACCATCAGAGTGAACAGGCAACCTACAAAATGGGAGAACATTTTCGCAACCTACTCATCTGACAAAGGGCTAATATCTAGAATCTACGATGAACTCAAACAAATTTACAAGAAAAAAAACAAACAACCCCATCAAAAAGTTGGCAAAGGACATAAATAGACACTTCTCAAAAGAAGACATTTATGCAGCCAAAAAACACATGAAAAAATGCTCACCATCACTGGCCATCAGAGAAATGCAAATCAAAACCACAATGAGTTATCATCTCACACCAGTTAGAATGGCGATCATTAAAAACAGGAAACAACAGGTGCTGGAGAGGATGTGGAGAAATAGGAACACTTTTACACTGTTGTTGGGACTGTAGACTATTTCAACCATTGTGGAAGTCAGTGTGGCGATTCATCAGGGTTCTAGAACTAGAAATACCATTTGACCCAGCCATCCCATTACTGGGTATATACCCAAAGGACTATAAATCATGCTGCTATAAAGACACATGCACATGTATGTTTATTGCGGCATTATTCACAATAGCAAAGACTTGGAACCAACCCAAATGTCCAACAATGATAGACTGGATTAAGAAAATGTGGCATATATACACCATGGAATACTATGCAGCCATAAAAAATGATGAGTTCATGTCCTTTGTAGGGACATGAATGAAACTGGAAATCATTCTCAGTAAACTATCACAAGAACAAAAAACCAAACACCACATATTCTCACTCATAGGTGGGAATTGAACAATGAGAACACATGGACACAGGAAGGGGAACATCATACTCTGGGGACTGTTGTGGGGTGGGGGTGGGGGGAGGGATAGCATTGGGAGATATACGTAATGCTAGATGACGAGTTAGTGGGTGCAGCGCACCAGCATGGCACATGTATACTTATGTAACTAACCTGCACATTGTGCACATGTACCCTAAAACTTAAAGTATAATAATAATAAATTTAAAAAATAAAAATAAAAATAATAAAATAAGAAATTTCAAAATCATTTTTTATGGTTTAGTGAAGAGTAAATTTAGAAGGAATTTTTTAGATTAACCAAGTCTAGTTCCCTCATCTGACCATCTAGGAAACTGAGGAAGGCCAAAATAGAGAAATGACTTCTCCAGGATCCCACAGCTCATGCCAGAAAATCCAGATTGAATCTCTGACTCTCAACATATCTGTGACATATTAATTCTGGAAAAGACACATTACTTCTTAGATGAAAATTGTACAACTAAAAAGGTACTTATCCCTAATATTTAAAAAATCCATGTACATGCAGTTATAATATACAAAATCTATGTAGAAACTTATAGATATGCAGATATAGATAGAACCAGGGATTAAAGGGTCTATTTATCATGTAGGAGAGCCTTTGATTAGAAGATGGGACTTATGAGAAGGAATAACAGTTCTCCCAATCATTTCATTAAATACTTTGTAATACTTCTCCATATCACAGAAACTACAAGTAACCCCTCTCTGACAACGTCAACAAGTGCTTTCACTCAGTGTTTGAATTAGGTGCAGCATGAAGGAATAAAACAACTGTGAATGGCCAAAAACTTACTAAAATTAATTATTGTTCTGATTAAGATAGAATTGCAGTGGGATTGACCTCCCAGAGATCCTGCCTAGTCTGACTTGAGAGGCTTTTTCAGAGAAAAATAACTTTGACCAATTAGACTAACATAATCCTTGACATCTGCCATATGAGCAAACTGCATAGGCGCACAAGTTTAGGTAAAAACCGGCAGAGAGCTTGAAGAAGATGTCAGAGATTGCAGAAAAAGTGACCTGGCAGGAAGCTTGCATTAACAATAGACTGATTTTGATGAGCAAGTTGGGTAAGAAAACAAAAACATGCAAAGCATGTCTTTACATTTTACAACTTTGCTCTATTTATGAAGCAATTATATTTATTTCTAAAAACAACTTCGGATTGAGACTATCAATTTTGCTACAGTTAAAGGTAAAGCCTGGCACACCTGTAACCCTATCTCCTCAGGAGGCTGAGGTGGGTGGATTGCTTGAGATAGGATTTGGAGGCTGTAGTGAGCTATGATTGTATACCCATTCCAGCCTGGGTGATACAGTGAGATACCCTCTGTGATGTTTAATATTGAGTGTCAACTTGATTAAATTGAAGGATGCAAAGTATTGTTCCTGAGTGTGTCTGTCAGGGTGTTGCCAAAGGAGATTAACATTTAAGTCAGCGGACTGAGAGAGGCAGACCCACCCTCAGTCTGGGTGGGCACCATTTAATCAGCTGCCAGCATAAAAGCAGGCATGGAAAGAGCAGATGTGCTAACTTTTCTGGCCTCCATCCTTCTTCTGTGTTGGATGCTTCCTGCCCTCGAACATTAGACTGCTCCTGGACTCTTGTACCTACACGATGGTTTGCCAGGGGCTCTTGAGCCTTCGGCGACAGACTGAAGGCTGCACTGTTGGCTTCCCTACTTTTGAGGTTTTGGGACTCAGACTGGCTACCTTGCTCCTCAGCTTGCAGATGACTTATTATGGGACCTTACCTTTTGATCATATGAGTCAATTATCCTAATAAACTCTTCTTCATATATACATATATTCTATTAGGTTTCTCCCTCTAGAGAACCCTAATACACCCTCTCTAATAATAATCATAATAAAAGGTGAAATAAAGAGTAACTGGTATTAAATTTGACAAATTTGTCTTTCACAACAGACTCTATCTCACTTTTACAATGGGTGTTATAAAGGTGATATGAGCCTGGTACAAAAACAGGACAGAAGGGAGCTGCTCAAGAAATGTATTCAAGGAATGATTACATGAATGGAAGATTAACCACACACACACCACACACTAACATCAAAACACACCAGTCATAGAGGTATCTTTCTGTAAAGATCCAGAAGATTCCCCAGGACTTTGGAATTGTCTTACTGACACTCTAAAGTGTATAACTAACTGATGGGATAAAAGATTAATTTGTCATTTTCTCCCTAGTCCTGTCTCTCTCACACTCCTTCCACAATCATATGTCATTATACCAGTTTTACTATCACTGCTTATTTAGTTTCTTTTAGAATGGTGTTGACTAAAGTAGAAGAAGTCAACTTTAGTTTTTGTAGCATGCAGTCATTTCACTTTACTTTCTGATGTGATGTAAGTTTCAACTATTTGCAAACTGACCTGTGACTTTTGATGCAGAAGACATTCGTGCAAGACAGGTAAGCAGTCATTTTAGATGTATTGAAAAACACTTTTTTGGAAATCTGTTAGACACGAGAAAAAAACTGAACTTGCCATCTTGTGTATTACTGCTATAGATTTACCTGCATGTGTGCTTCTTTCAGTTGTATTTTTATTTTACAATAAATACTACCACTTTGTGAGATTTTAAAAAGTTATTGAAGAGGAAAATATAGTAGAAAAAAATCCTCTAATAAATATGGCTTTTGAAAGCAGACTTTGAAATAGTGCAAATATTCATTTATACCATACAGTCTACTCTAATTCATCTTTAAACTTTTCCCATAATGCTGTGCAGTTATGACTTTTGACTTGAACTTCACATGCATTTGCTATGCATTAATTTTAAACACTAATAATAAACTATTTGCATTTGAACTCTGTAAGGATCATAAAATGAATGTTTACTGATGAGTGTATGCCATGTTAATATATAAGGCTTAATATACTTTTATATATCTTACATTTATATTTTACAACAAAATATAGGCAAGTACATTCAACAGTGATTTAATCATTATTCTAAGCAATATAGACTCATAGTTGCTTCACTGTAGAAAAAAATTAATAAAATTTAAAATGTGATGAAGAGCATTTCTTCATGTGTCTTTTGGCTGCATAAATGTGTTCTTTTGAGAAGTGTCTGTTCATATCCTTCGCCCACTTTCTGATGGGGTTGTTTTTTCTTGTAAATTTGTTTGAGTTCATTGTAGATTCTGGATATTAGCCCTTTGTCAGATGAGTAGATTGCAAAAATTTTCTCCCATTCTGTAGGTTGCCTGTTCACTCTTATGGTAGTTTCTTTTGCTAATCATCACTGGCCATCAGAGAAATGCAAATCAAAACCACAATGAGATACCATCTCACAGCAGTTAGTAGGGCGATCATTAAAAAGTCAGGAAACAACAGGTGCTGGAGAGGATGTGGAGAAATAGGAACACTTTTACACTGTTGGTGGGACTATAAACTAGTTCAACCACTGTGGAAGTCAGTGTGGCGATTCCTCAGGGATCTAGAACTAGAAATACCATTTGACCCAGCCAGCCCATTACTGGGTATATACCCAAAGGATTATAAATCATGCTGCTATAAAGACACATGCACACGTATGTTTACTGTGGCACTATTCACAATAGCAAAGACTTGGAACCAACCCAAATGTCCAACAATGATAGACTGGATTAAGAAAATGTGGCACATATACACCATGGAATACTATGCAGCCATAAAAAATGATGAGTTCATGTCCTTTGTAGGGACATGGATGAAGCTAGAAACCATCATTCTCAGCAAACTATCACAAGAACAAAAAACCAAACACCGCATGTTCTCACTCATAGGTGGAAACTGAACAATGAGAACACATGGACACAGGAAGGGGAACATCACACACCGGGGTCTGTCGTGGGGTGGGGGGAGGGGGGAGGGATGGCATTAGGAGATATACCTAATGTTAAATGACGAGTTAGTGGGTGCAGCGCACCAACATGGCACATGTATACATATGTAAGTAACCTGCACGTTGTGTACATGTACCCTAAAACTTAAAGTATAATAAAAAAAAAATTTAAATGTAATATGTGATTACAATATAGAGATCATAAGTAAACATGCAAAGGATAGATGTCTTCATGTTACATGAATGGACTGCTATGGTTAAAATTAAAATTTCCAGTGACAACTTCTAAAATAAATTTAAAGATCAAAGAATTCAAGAACTGGTTTTTGAAAAAAAATTAATAAAATAGATCACGAGCTAGAATAATAAAGAAGAAAAGAGAAGATTCAAATAACAATCAGAAATGACAAGGGGGATATTATCATTGATCACAAAGAAATACAAATACCCATTAGAGAATATCAGGAACACCTCTATGCACATACACTAGAAAATCTAGAAGAAATGCATAATTCCTGGACAAATGCTCCCTCCCAAGACTGAGCCAGGAAAAAGTTGAAACTCTGAGCAGACCAATAATGAGCTCTGAAATTGAGGCAGCAATAAATAGCTTACCAATCAAAAAAAGCCCAGGACTCGGTGGATTGATAGCTGAATTCTGCTAGATGCATAAAGAAGAGCTGGTACTATTCCAACTGAAACTATGCCAAAAGTTTGAGGAGGAGGGATTCTATCCTAACTCAGTCTATGAGGCCAGCATCATACTGATAACAAAACCTGGTAGAGGTACAAAAACAAACAACAACAACAAAAAAAAAAAAAAAAAAGGAAAACTTCAGGCCATTATCCTTGATGAATATTGATGCAAAAATCCTCAACAAAATACGGGCACACTGAATCCAGCAGCTCATCAAAAAGCTTATCCACCACAATCAAATAGGCATTTTACCTGGGATGTAAGGTTGGTTCAACCTACACAAATTAATAATAAATGGAATTCATTACATAAACAAAACTAAAGACGAAAACCACATAATTATCGCAAAAGGTTCAGAAACAAATTTTGATAAAATCTGACACCCTTTAATGTTAAAAACTGTCAGTAAAGCATATATTGAAGGAAAATACCTGAAAATACCATCTGTGACAAACCCCCAGTCAACATCATATTCAACAGGCAAAAGCTGGAAGCATTTCCCTTGAAAACCAGAACAAGGCAAGGAAGCCCTCTCTCACCACTCCTATTCAACATAGTATTGGAAATCCTGGCCAGGGAAATCAGGCCATAGAAAAAAGAAAGGGCATCTAAATAGGAAGAGAGGAAGTCACACTATTCCTGTTTGCAAACAATATGATCCTATATCTAGAAATCCCCATAGTCTCAGCCAAAAGCTCCTTAAGTTCTTATCAAGAACTCCATCGAACTCTGAAGGATACAAAATCAATGTGCAAAAATGACTAATATTACTATACACCAACAACAGTCATTCTCAATATACATTTTATTACCCAATCTGCTCCCGACATTAAATAAAACTCCAAAAATTAAGTTCCGGCCCTAAAACCCCACAAAAGGACTTAATTAACCTCACCTTCAAGGTGTACAATAATAGAGTAGAGGCAGCCAAATAGCAACATATTTCTGAGTTGCAATTCCTTGCCTCCACTGTGAGACAAACCCCAGCCACATCTCCAGCACACAAGAACTTCCAAACGCCTAAACCGCAGTGACCAGGCGTTCCTCCAGGCCTGCCTCCCCCAGGAGCTTGCTACAAGTGCCAGAAATCTGGCCACCAGGCCAAGGAATGCCCGCAGCCCAGGATTCCTCCTAAGCCACGTCCCATCTGTGCGGGACCCCACTGGAAATCGGACTGTTCAACTCACCTGGCAGCCACTCCCAGAGCCCGTGGAACTCTGGCCCAAGGCTCTCTGACTCCTTCCCAGATCTTCTCAGCCTAGCAGCTGAAGACTGAGGCTGCCCAATCACCTTGGAAGCCCTGTAGACCATCACGGACACCGAGCTTTAGGTAACTCTCACAGTGGAGGGTAAGTCCGTCCCCTTCTTAATCAATACGGAGGCTACCCACTCCACATTACCTTCTTTTCAAGGGCCTGTTTCTCTTGCCTCCATAACTGTTGTGGGTATTGACGGCCAGGCTTCTAAACCTCTTAAAACTCCCCAACTCTGGTGCCAACTTAGACAATACTATTTTAAGCACTCCTTTTTAGTTATCCCCACCTGCTCAGTTCCCTTATTAGGCCGAGACACTTTAACTAAATTATCTGCTTCCCTGACTATTCCTGGACTACAGCTACATCTCATTGACACCCTTCTTCCCAATCCAAAGCCTCCTTTGTGTCCTCCTCTTGTATCCCCCCACCTTAACCCACAAGTATAGGATACCTCTACTCCCTCCTTGGTGACCAATCATGCACCCCTTACCATCTCATTAAAAACTAATCACCCTTACCCTACTCAACGCCAATATCCCATCCCACAGCATGCTTTAGAATTATTAAAGCCTGTTATCACTTGCCTGCTACAGCATGGCATTTTAAAGCCTATAAACTCTCCTTACAATTCCCCCATTTTACCTGTCCTAGAACCGACAAGCCTTACAGGTTAGTTCAGGATCTGCGCCTTATCAACCAAATTGTTCTGCCTATCCACCCCGTGGTGCCAAACCCATATACTCTCCTATCCTCCATACCTCCCTCCACAACCCATTATTCTGTTCTGGATCTCAAACATGCTTTCTTTACTATTCCTTTGCACCCTTCATCCCAGCCTCTCTTCGCTTTCACTTGGACTGACCCTGACACCCATCAGGCTCAGCAAATTACCTGGGCTGTACTGCCGCAAGACTTCACAGACAGCCCCCATTACTTCAATCAAGCCCAAATTTCTTCCTCATCTGTTACCTATCTCAGCGTAATTCTCATAAAAACACACGTGCTGTCCCTGCCAATCCTGTTCAGCTGATCTCTCAAACCCCAACACCTATAAAACAACAACTCCTTTCCTTCCTAGGCATGGTTGGATACTTTTGACTTCAGATACCTGGTTTTGCCATCCTAACAAAACCATTATATAAACTCACAAAAGGAAACCTAGCTGACCCCATAGATCCTAAATCCTTTCCCCATTCCTCTTTCTGTTCCTTGAAGACAGCTTTAGAGACTGCCCCCAACCTAGCTCTCCCTAACTCATCCCAACCCTTTTCATTACCCACAGCTGAAGTGCAGGGCTGTGCAGTCGGAATTCTTACACAAGAACCGGGACCGCGCCCTGTAACCTTTCTATCCAAACAACTTGACCTTACTGTTTTGCCTAGCCCTCAAGTCTGCGTGTGGCGGCTGTCACCACCCTAATACTTTTAGAGGCCCTTAAAATCACAAATTATGCTCAACTCACTCTCTCCAGTTCTCATAACTTCCAAAATCTATTTTCTTCCTCACACCTGACACATATACTGTCTGCTCCCCGGCTCCTTCAGCTGTACTCACTCTTTGTTGAGTCTCCCACAATTACCATTGTTCCTGGCCTGAACTTCAATCCGGCCTCCCACATTATTCCTGATACCACACCTGACCCCCATGACTGCATCTCTCTGATCCACCTGACATTCACCTCATTTCCCCATATTTCCTTCTTTCTTGTTCCTCCCCCTGATCACACTTGGTTTATTGACGGCAGTTCCACCAGGCCTAATCGCTGCTCACCAGCAAAGGCAGGCTATGCAATAGTGTCTTCCACATCTGTTATTGAGGCTACCGCTCTGCCCCCCTCCACTACCTCTCAGCAAGCCGAACTAGTTGCCTTAACTCAGGCCCTCACTCTTGCAAAAGGACTACACGTCAATATTTATACTGACTCTAAATATGCCTTCCATATTCTGCACCACCATGCAGTCATATGGGCTGAAAGAGGTTTCCTCACTACACAAGTGTCCTTCATCATTAATGCCTCTTTAATAAAAACTCTACTCAAGGCCGCTTTACTTCCAGAGGAAGCTGGGGTCATTCACTGTAAGGAGCATCAAAAGGCGTCAGATCCCATTGCTCTAGGCAATGCTTATGCTGATAAGGTTGCTAGACAAGCAGCTAGCATTCCAACTTGTGTCCCTCAAGGCCAGTTTTTCTCCTTCACATCGGTCACTCCCACCTACGCCCCCGCTGAAACTTCCACCTATCAATCTCTTCCCACACAAGGCAAATGGTTCTTAGACCAAGGAAAATATCTCCTTCCAGCCTCACAGGCCCATTCTATTCTGTTGTCATTTCATAACCTCTTCCATGCAGGTTACAAGCCGCTAGCCCGCCTCTTAGAACCTCTCATTTCCTTTCCATCATGGAAATCTATCCTCAAGAAAATCACTTCTCAGTGTTCCATCTGCTATTCTGCTACCCCTCAGGGATTATTCAGGCCTCCTCCCTTTCCTATACATCAAGCTGGGGGATTTGTCCCTGCCCAGGAGTGGCAAATTGACTTTACTCACATGCCCCGAGTCAGAAAACCAAAATATTTCTTAGTCTGGGTAGACACTTTCACTGGATGGGTAGAGGCCTTTCCTACAGGGTCTGAGAAGGCCATCGCCGTCATTTCTTCCCTTCTGTCAGACATAATTCCTCGGTTTGGCCTTCCCACCCCTATACAGTCTGATAACGAACCAGCCTTTATTAGTCAAATCAGCCAAGCATTTTTTCAGGCTCTTGGTATTCAGTGAAATCTTTATATCCCTTACAGTCCTCAGTCTTCAGGAAAGGTAGAATGGACTAAAGATCTTTTAAAAACACACCTCACCAAGCTCAGCCACCAACCTAAAAAGGACTAGACAATACTTTTACCACTTTCCCTTCTCAGAATTCCGGCCTGTCCTCAGAATGCTACAGGGTACAGCCCATTTAAGCTCCTGTATGGACGCTCCTTTTTATTAGGCCCAGTCTCATTCCAGACACCAGACCAACTTGGACTGTGTCCCAAAAAACTTGTCATCCCTATCTTTTGTCTAGTCACACTCCTATTCACCATTGTCAACTACTCATACATGCCCTGCTCTTGTTTACACTTCCAGTTTACACTGTTTCTCCAAGCCATCACAGCTGATATCTCCTGGTGCTAACCCCAAACTGCCACTCTTAACTCTTAAATAAATAATCTTTGCTGGCAGGACTATGCTGAATCTCCTTAGGCACTCTCTAATTAGATATCCTGGGTCCTCCCAATTCTTAGACCTTTAATACCTGTTTTTCTCCTTATTCCGTTTAGTTTTTCAATTCATACAAAACCATATCCAGGACATCACCAATAATTCTACATGACAAATGTTTCTTCTATCAACCCCACAATATCACCCCTTACCACAAAATCTTCCTTCAGCTTAATCTCTCCCACTCTAAGTTCCCACGCCGCCCCTAATCCCACTCGAAGCAGCCCTGAGAAACATTGCCCATTATCTCTCCATACCACCCCCCGAAATTTTCGCCGTCCCAACACTTTACCACTATTTCGTTTTATTTTTCTTATTAATATAAGAAGACAGGAATGTCAGGCCTCTGAGCCCAAGCTAAGCCATCATATCCCCTGTGCCCTGCATGTACACATCCAGATGGCCGGTTCCTGCCTTAACCTTTGACATTCCACCAAAAAGAAGTGAAAAATGGCCTGTTCCTGCCTTAACTGATAACATTATCTTGTGAAATTCCTTCTCCTGGCTCATCCTGGCTCAAAAGCTCCCCTACTGAGCACCTTGTGACCCCCACTCCTGCCTGCCAGAGAACAACCCCCCTTTGACTGTAATTTTCCTTTATCTACCAAATCCTATAAAACGGCCCCACCCTTATCTCCCTTTGCTGACTCTCTTTTCGGACTCAGCCCGCCTGCACCCACGTGAAATAAACAGTTTTATTGCTCACACAAAGCCTATTTGGTGGTCTCTTCACACGGACGCGAGTGAATGTTTAGCGATCCAAAGGAGACCTTGCCAAGTACAAGGTTGAGGAGTTAGATTTAAGTTAGCCCAATAATGCAGAAGACTGATAAAAAAAACAAACAAACAACAACAACAAAAAAAAAACCTATAGTGACAGCAGAAACATACATTTGAGGACAGAATTAAGAAATATTGCAAAGATTATCTTGATGAAGCTTAATGATGGCAAATAATGGGGAAAGAAGTGTATGAGGCCAAGGATGAGTATGAAATCCCTTATTAGTGTGAAATAGAAAGTAATCCAAGATTGCAACTGGAGGGTAATTGTTCAATTGTCTCTTCCATAACACTTGAGATTTTTATTCAGCAATTTAATTTTAAATATTTATTTTCCAAGCTTAGGCAAGGGCAGACAATCAAGGAATGCTTAGACAAGTTGTCAAATATGATTTTGTGGAAAAACGTGGCATAGAAGTGACATATGTTTTAGGTTATAATATTCCTATTCATTTAGGAGGAACAATCAGGGTAGTAACAGCACCCAAGTATAGATATATGTAGAACAGACTAGAAAATACCAACTCCCTTATTAACAGAACCAATTCTTTCACATTCCAAATGCCAGTGTTGAGTATCTACAAAGAAAAGATATCAGTTTGCTAACATCTCAGTCTCTACTCACCCTCAAATTTGAACTTCCTCCAAGAAGGATTCTGCTATAATACAACACAGAAGAAATTACATTTCAAGCATGACTTGTAAAATGAATCTCAAAAGGGAAATAAAATATAACAAAGCCCCTTTTTAGTTTGATTACAACTAGAAGGTGAAACAAGTGTCAAACATTAACAAATTAAATATTTGATTCTCCTTTGTTATGAAATTAATCATAGGGCAAGGTCAGCCAAATGCCCTTTGTGTTTGTACTACTTAATCTTTTTAGAGAAACAAGCAGATAAGGAAGACATTGTCAGATCTCCGGTAAACAGGAAACAGTAATTACGGGTTGATTGCCCCATCAAAGGAAGCAAAATGAAAATAAGTTTATTACATCCAAAGAACAAAATATAGCTTGCACCACAAACTTTAGTTACACACTGTGACTTGCAGGGGTTTCATGCAGATGAGTATCATCTCTTCTGAGTTGGCAGAGTTTCTAGAAATAGTATCTCATTATAAGAAATAGGTCTTGGTTAGGAAACAAACATCCAGATTTATCCCGTCAACAGTTAAGTCAATTGTAAATCACATAATGGGTGTGCAGACTGTCATGTGATAATGAGTAGAGAAGCAAAATAGCAAGAGTGGATAATATGTCAGTCATGGAACTCAGCAGAAATTGGAGATTTTGTCCCATTTCTATTACTTACTGCTGTGTGACATTGAGTTTGACCAGGTTTTATGCTGCCACAAACCTTAGATTCTCTAAATATAAATTAGAAATAAAATTCCTAGAAAAATTACATAAAGTAATATATCTTAAAGACTTACCACAGTGGTTAGAGCTTGTAATGAAGAATCAACAAAATGTAGCTGTCAGTGATGATGGAATACCGATTGTAGTTGTTTTGAGGTTTTTTCTTGTTAGAATTCCCTAGACTTATACACATTTATTATAGTCATTTGGCTTCCTGTAGAACTTACAATAAGAAGGAGACAATTTGACTTACAAAATTACTTACAGATTTTATATGTCTGGCACTCAATACACCACTAAAGCAAATAAAATGCAATACAAATTTGATTTAGAAAATAGTTTTACAAAAATTGTGTAAGCTAAAAATTTAATTCTATATGTATATTTTAAAATCCATTATTTATTTTTCTTACCTAGCATTGCAATAATCCTTGCATCAATAAAATAAATACAGAATGGATAAATTTTGAATGAAATGACACAGGGTATGGGGATTAAGAAGTACAAGGGAGTGGTTTGATTTAATTAAGGGGTCAGGGAAAGTCTCACTGATGGGGCGACAACTGAGTATACAGACATAAATAAATCAAAGAAAAACCTTCTGGTAGGAGGAACTGCAAGCGCAAAGGCTCCAAGGAAAAGCATCTTGAAGCAATCAACAAGGATCAAGAAGGCCAATGTTACTGGAGCCCCATGAGCCAAATAGAGTGATACAATGCCATGTGATGAGTTTAAACTTCAGAATTAGAACACGTAAAAGCAAATAAATTACATGCTTTCATTTTTAATTTTTCTTCAGTTATTATATCCCTATTAAATATTTCAGTTATTATCTTAATCCAGAAATATATTACTTCAGAAGAGTACTTTTTGATGTTGAAATTAAAGTCACTTTTAGAATATTTTCTTAAGCTTAACATTCACAAAATAGCAACTTTTCTACTGAATTCCAACCTAGCTGTACTTTCTTATCTTCCTTGTAGATGCAGAAGGGCCTGAGGCCAACACTGTGATTTAGTTAATAAATGGTCTGAGTTCAGTTTTTCTGCTATCTTCTGCATTAGCTAGTACACTACGAATTACCATCTTTTAATTTCAGTAGGTTTTTGGGAAGCAAGTTGTATTTGGAAATAAGGATAAGTTATTTAGTAATGATTTCTGAGATTTTGGTGCACCCATCACACGATCCTTGTACACTATACTCAATGTGTACTTATCCTTCACCCCCACTTCACCCTTCCTCCTGAGTACACAAAGTCCATTGTATAATTCTTATACCTTTGCATCCTCATAGCTTAGCTCCCACTTGTAAGTGAGAAGATAAAATGCTTGTTCAATTTGGTTTTCATTCCTGAGTTAATTAATTAATTTTTTTTAATTTTAATTTTTTAAAGTTTATAACTAATTTATTTAGAATAATGGTCTCCAACTCCATCCAGGTTGCTGTAAATGACATTATTTCATTTCTTTTTATGGTTGAGTGGTATTCTGTGGTATATTCATATACCATATTTTCTTTATCCACTCGTTGATTGATGGGCATTTGGGCTGACACATATTTTTGCAATTGTGAATTGTGCTGCTATAAACATGTGTGTAAATATCTTTTTCATATACTGACTTATTTTCCTCTGGGTAAATACCCAGTAGTAAGACTGCTGGATCAAATGGTAGATTTATTTTTAGTTCTTTAAGGAATTGCCATACTGTTTTCCATAGTGGCTGTATGAGTTTACATCCTCACCAGCAGTGTAAAAGTGTTCCCTTTCATCACATCCATGCCAACATCTACTATTTTAGGATTTTTAAATTATGGACATTTTTTTGCAGGAGTACGGTGGTATCACATTATGGTTTTGATTTGCATTTCTCTGATAATTAGTCATATTGATAATTTTTTGTATTTTTTTTTGTTCATTTGTATATCTTATTTTGAGAATTGTCTATTCATGTCCTTAGCCCACTTTTTGATGGAATTATTTGTTTTTTTCTTGTTGACTTCTTTGAGTTCTTTGTAGATTCTGGATTAGTCCTTTGTTGGATACATAGTTTGCAAAGATTTTCTCCCACTCTGTGGGTTGTCTGTTTACTCTGCTGATTATTTCTTTTGCTGTGCAAAAGCTTTTTAGTTTAGTTAAGTTTCATCTATTTCTCTTTGTTTTTTGTTGCATTTGCTTTTGGTTTCTTGGTCGTGAAGTCTTTGCCTAAGCCAATATCTAAAAGGATTTTTCTGATGTTATCATCTAGAATTTTTATTATTTCAGCTCTTCGATTTAAGTCTTTGATCCATCTTGAGTTGATTTTTGAATAAAGTGACAGATGAGGATACAGTTTCATTCTTCTACATGTGGCTTGCCAATTATCCCAGCACCACTTGGGCAGCTTTTATGCTCAGAATGAAAGAAGAAATAAGCCATTAAGTTACCATGCTGGGGATCCCCAGATCACCTCAAGATTTGATGATTTACTAGGGGCCCTACAGGATTCAGCATATAGTCTTATTTGTGGTTGATTTATTATAGTGAAAGAATACAAAGCAATATCAGGGAAAGAAAAAGTGCAAGGCAACCAAGCATAATCTTACAAGAGCCGTAAGAGTCCTCCTTCAGTGTCGTCACACAGGATGCACTACTCACTTAATTCCTCCAGCAATGAGTTATGAAAACACAAGATTTTGTGTCTTCTATAATTTCTTTCAGCAGTGTTTTGTAGTTTTTCTTCTAACAGTCTTTCATCTCCTTGTTTATGTGTATTCCCAAATATTTTATTTTTGAGTTGTCTTGTCTACCAATGAAGCTCATTCGAGACTCAGTGCTCAGGATTTATATTCGGGATCCCTTACAAATAACCCTCTGCTTAGCAGGTAGCAAAATTCCAGACTCCTAAAAGGAAAGCAGATATTCAGCAAAAGCCATATTGTTTTGCATAAACTTTTTAGGCAGACTGAGCCACTCTGATCTGTAAGGACACTGTGGGAATTCTCCTGAAATTTAAGTTTCCAGATGCCAATCAATGGCCAGCCTTTAAAGCAGGCCTAAGGTTAACTGCTGTGCTAATTCTCATGTATGGTTGTCAATCTGAAAATCTGATGACAACCTGGCAAGATATGTAAAAGTTAGCCCACGAGTGGTGAGAAAAGCAACTGTACTATAACACTGGCTGAAAAACTGCCAGTTTTGCAAGTGATATAACTTCTTTAATAGGTAGCTCTAAGTACCTTGCTTCTGGCTTCTTCATAGCACATTCGGATAACTAGAGAGAGTTCATATAAAGAGAGAATCAGTACATTGTCCAACCTAAGAGGGTAATACTTACAGAAGTAGCACAGGGCAGCAGCTCTTAAATTTTAGAATACTTAGGTTTGGATAAAGAGTATTATATAAATGCAAAGTCCTGAGCTCTAGCACCAGAAATACACTTTGGTAACTTCAGGATGTGTCCTAAGGATGTATATTGTTTTTGTAACTCTAATCTCACGTTAGTCTGATTCGGTATGTTGCTAACTCAACACTGGCTTCCTCATTAGGAGTACTGGCTCTACTTTCACATGATCTTGGGAAAATCACTGAAACTCTTGAACTGAACATGTTCATAATCTTGTTAAGCTGTACAATTACTTAAAAGTAACAACTACATATGCTTGTTTCAATCTTTATATCATTCTTTTTAGGATGTTATGGCTCCTTTCTTTTTGATGTTGTATTCAGTATGAATCACTTTATGTTCACCTTTAAGTAGTGATTCTCTTGAGTACTTGCTGGTGATTTGGAGGAGACAAATAAAACTCCAGCACTCATGAATTCTTAAAATGCTAGATATTTTCCGAGTGGCTTGCTGAAGGTCACAACGCTAATACCTCTGAAAGTGGCAGCGCCATGGCCCGAGCCTAAGGCCTTGCTATTCTAGTTTCAGAGTGATGCCTACCTCACTGTCATGACAGAGAAGTATTGAAGCTAGTGAGAAAGTGAGTTGTTAGTTAAATTATTCAACCAATATTTGTTGAACAACTAATTTGTGTCAGACCTCTGTGGACATGGCAATGAACAAAACAAAGCTCCTGCTCTTATGGAGCACAATACATTTTAGAGATGAGAGTTTTTGTAAATAAATACACAACTATACATATGTATCTCTGTGTGTGTATACATATGTATATAATGTCAGGTAGGTATTACTATAAAGACAAATAAAGCAAGTTAAGTGTATAAGTTAAGTATATAACAAATGGTGACAGTGGGGTGCGGGAGTTAGTGGTGCTCTTTTGCATAGAGCTATTCTCACAAAATATAAAGTGTTACCTGAGTACAGAGTAGAAAGAGTGAGATAAATAAACATTCAGAGTAAGAAGTTTTAAGAAAGATAGAATATTAAAAGCAAAGGTCCTAAGGCAGAGAATTCCAAGCAAATTCAAGAAACAGAAGAGAGGCCAGTATAAGCAGAGGGAGCCATAAAAAGAATGGAATCAGGCGAGGCCCCAGAAAGGTGGGCAGGTCTAAGAGGGCCTAGTAGGCCAAGGCAAAAATCTTTTGTATTAAAACATTTAATCAATTTCAATCAAATTCTCAGTGAGATGGGAAGCCATTGGAAGTTTTAACAAGAACAGTATCATGACCTGACTTGGAATTTAAAAGAGTTATTATGGGTACTGGCCCGTAAATACCTTGAAAAGTCAGGATTGTAAGTGCAGTTTTAACATAGCAGGTTACTTGAGTAGTTCAAGAAGTGTAAAGCTTTTTATTTTAGGAGATTGATGGGATTTCTAAATTCTAAACATTCAAATGAAATTTCATTTTTAAAAATGTTCATTCACATGAGGAAGAAGTCCATTTACATGTGTTCCTTTAAAAAACGGTGCAGGGATAGACAAAGATTTCAAAGGCTTTATAACCTCAAAGTAGTAACAAAAAAATTAAAAGAAAAGTTAATGGTTTAATTTCCCAAATAAGAAAATAAAATATCAATTCAAAATTCATGAATGTGAGTTGAATTTTTTCTACCATAAAATATAAATTATAGCTATTTTGATTATGGCTTTATTAATATTTTAAATATCCCAGTTATTATTGCATAGAAGTCTTCATAAGAATTTAGAATCTAGAAAAGTCAAGAGATGATCCGAAATATGTACTTTTATATTTGTATATAAACATCAAATTGAACCTAAAACTTCAGAACAGTGCTTACATGCTTACTTAGTTAAAAAATAATCTTTCTTTTTATTGCAATTATGGACTAAGATCTCTCTCATTAAAATTTATATCCCTTAGTTATGAAAAATATATATATTATCATTTTCTCTCCAATATCACTCACTAAGTAGGAAAAAAGTTGTAGAACAGAGCAAAATTTTATAATAATTCTTAAAATACAAGTAATCAAAATTATAGTTTGTATTAGACTTTGTTATTTACAACACAGACAGAAATAAGTGTGTATAAATAATTATGCGATCAAACAAATAAATAAATGAAGATTCATTTGATGCCACAGGTGTAGGTATTTTACAAGGTTAATCACAATAGCTTCAATTCATTCACCTTATGCAATATGAGTACAACACATAATTATATAAGGTAAATTTTTTGCAAATAATAGTAGGAGTTATGAACATTTACAGAATATTCTTAATGCATGAAAGCTTGTATATTATACATATATTCATAGATGTCTTTTACACATATGTAAATGTGATCATTTTGTGTATAAGGACATAAAATATGTGCATTTATGCGTAAACACTAAATGATTTATAGTCATAGGTGGATGAATATTACATCCTTGTGCAAAATTTCACATTTATAATTATGTTTCCATTCACATGTGTATGCATGTATACATACATGTTACATAACCACATATATAGCAATAGCTAATATCTTTATTGAAGGTTTACTATGATCCAAGTGTTCTACTCAAATTATCTTGTCTAATATTCAAGTAGATGCCTGCTATAATTGCTAAATAGGCATTTTATTATTCTCAATTTAAAAATTACCAAACTGAGGCATATAATGGTTAAATAAGGTGTTTAAGGTTGTGTAGTTGATGAGTAGTTGAACTGAAAATCCCCAAGAAATCTGATTCTAATGCCTTTGCTTATAATCATTATGTTTTACCACTTCTGGTGTGTATATGTATCTCCTACATGTTTGGATCTAAGTATGCATGTAAGTCACTATTGGATAAGCTGACTTGAGGAATCTTGCTGAGGAGTTTATTTCAAGATGGCAAATAGAGACCCATGCTCAGGAAGATTTCCAAGGCCCTCTGATAGAAGCTACTACCACACATAGCATCCTTTTGTCCAAAGAAGGTACTTAAGACAACTTTAAAGCAAGGGTATTAGTAAGCTACATCATTTATGCATACTTAGGAAACAACTGGAGATGTTATATGATATGGAATAGAGATAAATAAAAACTCAATTGGTTACCTAGTTGTAATGGACATTATATAACACACACTAGACCTCAGGTTAAAGCCAAGAGACCTTGGTGGGTTACACCATGAAAGAGGCAGTGTTGTGTTCTTAAAATTATTGAAATACACTGGACTACCATTAACTGAAATTTCAAATAAAGCACACAAACAGGCAAAATTTTAATGCATTGTTGGTTTTATATAAACAAAGTACTGTGTTTACTCTAAGCAGACATTGGTTTCAAATGTATCATCATTTTTAAAAAATAGATCATATCCAAAAATATCTGAGGTTAATTGCAATCAGAAGAACATTCCCTTTATTGTTATTGGAGGAAAATGAAATATTTTACTTTCCTTAACATTGTATCTAAGTTATTATCTCTATAATAATACACTACAATAATACACTACAGTAATACTCTGTAATAATACAATAATTTTTTTAGTAGTCAGATATGTAAGTCATTTGACATATTTCCTTCATTTGCATCCAACTAAACAATACTTTAGTTATTATCAGGATAATGTATAAAATTCCTCTAGCTCTGTGTGTGTTTACTAATCTCTTTGAGCATCCAATAAATAGCCGCAAATGTAACTCCCCAACCGCAAGCACATGTGAGGCAGATTGGGTATCTGAATCAAATGGCAGCTTTGGTAGCTGGGGAAAGCCTGCATTGATATATGAGGCAACGGTAAGCACATTGGGGCTTCAAACACCAATAGGGAGTTATCTAGTGCTTTTTAGAATAACTGTTTATTTAATTTTGGCAGTAGTTTAAACGGAAATAAAATCCCAGTAAACAAACAACATATTTGACACAGGTGTGTACATTTTGATGGATTATATTATAAGGCTAATATGTACATATGGATATATGTATACATACCTGACAGGGATGTACAGATACAGGCACACACATTTGACTAGTGTATGTGCCAACACATATGAATGTACACATTCAAATGCCATAAGTCACAAATGAAAGTAGAAACAGTTACATGCCTATAAGAATGTACACAATGGGACTATAATGAGAAATATACACTCCCAAAAGAAGGCACATGTTAGTATAAATATGTTACAGCTAATTAATGAAATGTCAACGAATAAATCAAATGCTTTCTAAAGTATGTGAAATTTATTTAGGAACTCAAGCACTGAAAAGCCTCGAAATTTTTCTTCCCCCAAAATGTAATAATCAAAGAGGAATGACAGGCAGTAAGCATAATATTGTGATGTAAAAATATCTGTCCTAAGTCTTCATTCAAAGGAATACTCTGTGTCTCCAAAACAAGAGTTAATAGATTTCTACCATTATCCAGATTTCCCAAAACTACAATAAGTTCTTTGTCTCCTTATTCTGTGCATTGAAGTTAATCTGAAAATGCATAATGAACTTCTCAATTTATGATGAGAAGGCTAACTTCTGAGAAGATAAATTTTTTCAATGTTTCTAGAATTTATTTTCATAAACTATTTCACATTCCTAGACATAGCTGTTCTCAAATTTTGTTCATTCAAATAAGATAAAGTAATGAAGCCACACCCTGCACTACAATGTGAAAAACCTAAAAACCAAACAAAAAAAAACAAACAAAAAAAACTACATTTTCTTTCTGTCATAACCTTGCCATCTTTTAAATATTATCTTGGCCAATGTTTTCTAAAGCATCTACATAGTCCTTGTATTATATGACAGATCTCAAATCAAGTTAAATATTTTATCTCATATTAACAAGAGTCTCTAGCAAAATTTATTTCAGGGATTATAAATAAATATTAAGGGATTGCTGATCTATTATCTACTGCTCCATTTATCAACATTTCTTCTACACTTTTGTCACTGTTTCTCAAAAGGAACATGTCCTCTGGCTCTAGGTATACAGTCTAGAGAACACTTGTTTATGCTAGAAATGTGACATCCATGTAACATGGGATCTGGGTAACAATGATGTACTGGTGTATAGATGCAGATGGCTGTTCCAATAAAGGACATGAATGGCAGCTTTGGAGAGTTTCTGCCTAAACATTCCTGTAATGTGGGGGACCAAGACTGAAAAAACTCTTCAAAAAGATTATCTGAAATTTATAGAACAGATTCTTGTTATCTTGAATTTACTGCTGCTTTAATGAGGGATAAGAGGAGAACCTAGTCAGAAGTATAACCCCTAGATTCAGTTTATCTATGAGCAGGACCAAACTGCCAAATATATTTCACTAGACTTATGTGTTAATCTGTCCTTGTGTTGCTATGCAGAAGCACCTGAGACTGGGCAATTTATAAAGAAAAGAGGTTTAATTTGGCTCATGGTTTTACAGGTTGTGCAGGCACGGCACCAACATCTGCTTGAGTATACCAAAGATGATTATCTTTGATCAAAACTACATATCATACCCCAACGTGTAAACTGTATAATACATGAGATAAAAGAGAAGACATTGGGATTAAATTTGGTGGAGGAAGAGTTTGGAGAGTCCAGGGCTATATTCTTTACCTCCTTCACCTCCTTGGGTGAGGTAGAATGAGGGGTAGACATAAAACAAACTAAATTCCCTGATTTCCTTTCAAGGACCTGTAGAGATAGTTAAGCATCTCACTTCAATACAGTGAAAAACTGAAATCAAAGAGACAAATAAGCCTAGAAATATTTGCTCTTAAAGAATCAAGTATTTTTAGGAGCTGACAAGAGATCTTTGGAAGCTAGAAGAAACTGAATCAAGAGATCCAATATTTTACATTTCTCACTTCATCTGGAAACTCTAAGTATTAGCTATAAAATTGGTTCTCCTTCTCTTGCTCTTTGTCTCTAGCTGTGCTATGAAAAATAGATAATAAATGACACTACCTATTAAGGTTTTACATTTTAAAAAGCTATTTAGTAATAGCTTTCCAATACTTCAAGTCACTAAACATTTTGCCATGTCCTTATAGAAAGCTGTTATTACAAATTTTAAGGTCACCTATTGGTTATAGCTTTTATGAATATTTAACATTCTTTTATAAACAAGGTTTTAGCTCACTCTTACAGATTCCTATTTCTTACACCTGAAAGTCATTTTGAGACTGTTTAGGTGGGACATAACCTGCCAGTTACACTATTATAAATATCTTCACATGCTGTAGTAGATCCATTTTGTAAAACCAAGGATTTTTCCATGCTCTTTGTATTTCTAAAATGTG
Organism: Homo sapiens; assembly: GCF_000001405.40. NCBI lineage: Eukaryota > Metazoa > Chordata > Mammalia > Primates > Hominidae > Homo > Homo sapiens. Next base: position 25,475,493 of record NC_000011.10, on the reverse strand, counting down.
TCTACTCGTAAAAGATGAATATACAGAAAAACTCACTGCTTCATTTAATCCATTAACTTGAACCCACAAGTTAAAGTTACTGCTGAAACCATCAATCAAGTATTTATTCAAATGCCAATTTCCTTAAATGGCTTCCTGGGAGCCATTTTCAGAATGATCACCAGTGCATTTATTTGATTAGTCTTGGTCATATCAAGACTCCAATTTTTAGTGTTCATTAAAGCCATTTAATGATTATTTTTAAAATATGTTGATGGTCAAAAATTATGAATGTAAGTTTATTGGTTCTATATGAATGTTTGTCTTTCATCAACTGGTCCTTTACTTAAAATTATTTTTTAAACATAGCATGTTATCTTTTTGTATTGGTTTTCTAGAACCCTTACCCCTAGCCAATATTATATTTCACTTATACAAAAGATCATGTTAAGCATTTCTAACAAGTCAACAATTTTCATCACTTGGCATAATCTTATGATATATACATAAGAAGATTTTCTATAGAATTCTAAATACTCTAATTGAGACATTTATATAGATTTTTTCTACTAAATATTAGCAGTAATGAATTATTTAGGCAAATAAATTATCTAATGACTTTTCTTAATATTCTATGAGTTTAGTCCAAGATATTAAGAATAGAAATAAAATCCACAATAAACAATACACTCAAACTAGCACAAAATCCAGACCTGAGGAAAGTGAATGTAAATGGTTGATGTAAACCATTTATGGGATGGTTGCAAGTTTGATTCTAGCAATGCTGAAGATCCCCAGCATTTCATAATACTCAAAGTGATTTCAACAGCTGTATTATAGAAGGACTAGAAAAACAGAATGAAATCGAAACGGTAACTGTTATATAACATTTGGGTCCAAAACAGACCAATTTATAATTGGCAAGTTATTGAAAAAGCCTATATAGTCTTTATGAAATTATGACTTTGTATATCCATTCCAAGTAGACTGTCATTGAAGCATCATAACTGTTAACTTTTAGGAAAAATAGACAACTTTTTAAAGATACATATATTTTTTAAAATTACATGATTGTACCCCGAGATTATGGTCTGAAAGAGTATGAAGGAACTAGCAACTGAGTGAATTTAACTCAGCTTCTGGTTTTATTATCTACTTATTATTTATTATAGTTTTTTCTCTATTTCTTGTTTTTAAAAGCTGTTCAACTGTTTTCTGTCAGTAAACGTGTATATGTGTGTGCATCTCACTTTCAGATCAAGGATGCATGTGGAATTTCTTTTCAAAAAGTTGATAAAAAATAGAAGCATCAAAATAAATATAATTTAATAAATTTAAGTCTAGATCTCTAACATAATTCAGCAATTAATTTATAGCAACAAATTATAAAAAATAAAAATGTAAAACAAGACAAAATTTTAATACCTAAATCTCATATATTTCTAGTTATGAAAATGCCAAAAATATTGTGTTTAAAAATATAAAATATTTTAGTAACTATTATGAGAAGAATCTAGACAAGCGTTTCAACTCTGATTCATCTAAACAAAGGGATCAGGAATGTTTTATGGAAAAATGATAAAAGGGGATTTTGTCTAACACATGATAGGGATACTTGAAGTTCAGAAATAATGAATTGCTTTTTTAAAATTTTGTGTGTGGGGCGTTCTTAATATTTTCACATTTCTCATCTCTCCAAATCTTCTACTTATCTATTTTGTTTTTTAAGAAATGTGTGCAAGCTTTGTCTAGTTGTGTATTTTGCCAGGGCAGTGGGCGGGGGGTGTCGCACAGGGGAAAGGCACTTCTCTGGCTCTCGAACTTTTAGGCGCTTCATACAAATAAACAAAGCCAAGTTATAAGCCTAATGCCAGGCACAGTATCTGGAAGATTCCAGGTGCATAAATGTGACTTGCTCTAGCTTTACATCTCCTGCTAGAAAAAGAATCTGCTCTAGGATCTAGGGAATACGTTCTGACATAATCAAAACTGAAAACAGCTCACGGCAGTGGGGTTGTTTGGGTAGTTTTATTTGTGCTTCATTCAACAGGTCCTGTAAAGTACAAATTGAGAATAGACTAGCAAATTTAAATTGAAGGGATGAAGGAGAATAAAAAGTGCCATCACTTTAATATATATGAGGGCCACAATGGAGAAAGAATCAGAAATCTGAGATATCCACAAGGTCAAATATTCAGAGTGGCTTTTAATCAATATTAAAATACTCAGTTACTACAAACGAGTCAAATTCTACTGGAAATTCCTCCTCCATGATAAGAAAAATATTCTTAATGTAAAAGAATTAGAAAAACATTGAATTCTAAATTTGTTTAGACATTAAGATTATTAAAAAATGACAATCATTTCTACAGTTTCAGGTACATCAATAATGGAAACCACAAGTAATTTAAAAAATAGTAATCAATCTATCTAGCAAAAACCTCAATATCCTATAAGATATAACATCAATCCAGCAAACTAAGATACAATATTCTGTTCATTAGGAAATCTCACATTATGTATTAACTTCAGTATTTTTCAATAAGGTTGACTGCTTTTAGTCTAAAAGCATACCAGATGTTCATTATTTGAACACACATTTTATTATGAACCATATGTAATTCAGAATCTCAATGAAGTTTGAGTTACAGTACTTGATAACTGTCAAATACAACAAAGGCAGATATTGTGTGAAAAATTTCCTGAATCTATTCTTTACCCTGAAATCCTTCTGTTGTAGCACATCTCATGAAACCACAATCTTGAAAAAGAAATTTACAGATATGCTGTAGGGTGGGTTCTTTCATTAATGTAATCATAGATGATTATGAGGATAAAATCCTTTGATCTTCCAAACAAACATCTTTTATTGAATATGAAAATTAAAGAAAATAATTGATAGGTGTATTTCAGCACCAACCTTGTCTAACATCTCAATCTTATTGTGATAAGGGGTATTACAATTTAAAAATACCTTTGAATTTCCTTTCTCTGTGTTCCTCAAACACTATGGAAACTTAGCAAAATAGTATTCATAAAATGAGTTCTACTCAGGAAGAAAACAAGTGATAAGTCTAATATGATCATAACTTGCTAGTATCATGTCTTAACTATTTCATCAAGTTAAGTAGCTACTATTGAAGCAAACTGTCACTTAGAACGCAAAGGGGATGTCAATTCTCTGTGGAATTTTCTCTCTCTGCCTCACTCACTTGGTAAATATCACCCAGCCTGCCTTTGTGAAAAATAACGAACCACCAAAAAAGCTCAGAGGATTTTACATGTGAAAATCAAGAAGAAATTGCCCCTTTTCCTACATGATGAAAAAAAGGTAGCATTGTAATAGCTAAAAATAGAACATAGCTCCAGAATTTGCCCCAGAAATTACCCCAGAAACAACAGCATACAACCCAGGGAAGAAACTTTTGTGCCCACAAGTGACAAAACAGGGTGAGAGTGGAAACCTTAGCATTACCAGAAGGCTAAAATGGCATTGCATATGCTCAGATACTAAATTGTCATTGGAAATAAAGCCCAAAATAGTAGGCTAGATTCCACATACTAAACCTAATCAAGGCAACTGTGTGCAAAAATAGAAGACTTTAGTACTAGAAGATTCCCAACACAATAACTCACATTTCTGGGATTCCAGAGAAACTTACCCTTAATACCAAAAACCAGGAAAATTCCAATTTGAATAAGAAAAGACAACCAAGTAATGCCAATAATAAGATGAATCAGAAGTTAAAATTTCCTGACAAAGATTTTAACTGTCATAAACATGCTTCAAACATCAATTAAAAATCACCTTGAAATAATAAAATTATTAAGTCTCAGAGGTTGATTATAAAAAAGTTATAAAGAATATGTCATACAAAAAACAAGATTAAAAATTACATGATCATGTAATATGACAAAATTCAATACACACATGATTATAGTGTATACATATATGTGTGTGAGTATATATATGATATATATGATATATCATATGGGATATATTATTATATGTACTCACATGAGAAAACTAAGCATAGAGAAGAACTTCCTCCACTTGATAAAGAATAGCTGCAAAGAACCCTAGAGCTTACATCATATACAGTTTTGAAAGACAGAATGCTTTGTTCATTCAATGAGGAACAAGGCAAAAGTGTCCAAGCCTCCATTCCAATGGTCATTCCGTTTTTCAGGTCAACTTTCTCTCTAAAGTTATCAGCTTATTCAAAAATGTACAAACAGTAGACAAAACTTAAAGGTAAAACTTATTTGCTTCACCTTCCCATGAATTAAACCAGAAAACAATATTGTAATGAATACATGCAGAGGCACAGGATAGTAGAGTTTTCTAGCCTTAAATATAAGTGTTCAGGTTATGACTTTGATTTGAAGACTGTAATTTACTTCTCCATCTTAAATATGATGTTACTGTATTTTTCTGTGTCTACAAATTTCAAAACTATGTAATGGATAAAATACAAATTCATTAGGACACTTTCATAAAACTTTACTTCCAGAGAATGCAGGCGTGCCCCCTAGTATTAAAGAAGGTATAGAGAAAGTGGCATACATTTTTAATGTTAATGTCTAAAAAAAAATCTAGATTATCCTGCAATGCCTTACACTTCGAAACTTGTACTGAAGAATTTACTACATGATTCCATAGATTCAATAATTGGACTAATTACATAACTAGTTTTCTTAGTAGGTTGCTGGTTTTGTTAGTTTAGTTGATTCATTTTGGACCATAGAAACTATTTTACCACAAGTTTTAATGCATGATTTTCATGGACATGGTGCTATCGTGAAGAGGTATTTCTGAAAATGGAGGACTTCCATTAAGGAAGTACATCTGTAAGGAGAACACGAGCTCTGGAAACAGAAAACTGAGGTTTGGCTTAAAAGTCTACTTATTTCTTCCTGAATAAATTAAAAACCTGCTTTAAAAAATAAGTTTTAACACTTACCACTGCTATTCAACAGAATACCGCAAGTTCTAGCCAGCACATTAAGCTAAAAAATGAAATAAAATGGTTACTGATTGAACAGGAACAAATAAAAGTGTACCTATCTGTGGAGGGATAACTGACTATGTAGACAGTCTCAATAAATCAACAAAAGCATTGTAGAATTGACAAGTGAGTTCAATAAAGATGTAGGATAAAAGATAAACATACACATATAAGTCGTATTCCTAGATAAAAGCACTAAATATATGGTCACCAAGTTATTTATCGTAAAAATATAGTATCATGTATATATTCCAAAAATAATGTACAGTGAAATAACTAGTTGTTGATCTAACAATTACTTGGACTTGTGTGCTGAATACTGCATAATGCTGATGAAAGTATCTAAATAAATAGAAAAATATACAGTGTTATAGAATGGAAGCCTCGACATTATAAAGACATGAATTCTCCCTAAATTAGCCTATAGGTTTAATGCAATTTCTGTCAAAATTTCCACAAATATTTTGTAGACATATAAACATTTATTTTAGGGCCAGGTGCAGTGGATCATGCCGGTAATCCCACCACGTTGGGAGGTCAAGGCAAAAGAATTGCTTGAAATTAGGATTTTGAGACTAGCTTAGACAATGTAGTGAGACCCTGTCTCTACATTTTTTTTTTAAGTTAACTGGGTTTCGGGAAGCATGCCTTTAGTTCCAGCTACTCAGGAGGCCAAGGCAGGAGGATTGCTGGAGCGTAGGAGTTTGAGGCTACAGTAACCTATGATTTCACCCCTGCGCTCTAGCCTGGGCAACAGAGCAAGATACTGATTCTATTAAAAACAAACAAGAAAAAAGAAACAAACAAAAACCTTACTGTAAAATTCATAGTAAATGAGAAAGGCTCTAGAATATCCAAAATAATTTTCAAACATGAAGTGAGAAGAATAACTTCCTAAAGTTAAGGCTAATTACGTGGATAAGTAACTAAGACTGCGTGGACTGCATGCTGCCTGAGACATATGCACAGCTGTGGAACAGAATAAAGAACTCAGATATAGAGCTCACAAATATGCTCAATTAATTTGTGCTGAAGGAACAAAAATAATTCAATAGAAGGGTGATAGTCTGGTCAATAAACTGTGTTAGAACATAGGCAAAAACAAATGAAAAAATTACCATAAATCTCATACCTTATACTAAAATTAACTCAAAATGGAGCCTAGACTTAACTAGAAAACATAGAACTGTAAAACTTCTACCACAAATAAGGAAAGTAGGAAAAAAATGTTCAGGACCTAGAAGTCGACAGTTCCCAGACTTAAACAAAAACACAACTTACACAAGTTTGATAAATTAAATCACAGTGAAAATAAAGTTATGCTTTACAAAAAGACCATATTAAGAAAAGTAAAAGACAAATTATAGACTGATAAAATATTTACAAATTATGTATCTGAAAACACTGTGTATCTAGAATATATGAAGAATTCTAGAAATCAACATTAAAAGTAAATAATCCAATTAGAAAATGATCAAAAGACATGAACAGGTATTTCCTAGAAAATAATACACAGATACAAATGAACACATGAAAAGATGTTCAATGTATTTAACTATTCAAGAAATGCAACTTAAAACCATAATGAGATATACTATAAAACCATCTGACTGGCTATAATAAAAAATAATGATGAAACATGTTAATGAGAATGCAGAGAAATGGTAGAAATGTAAAATCATTAATTCAGCTTTGAAATTACTGTGGTATTCCCTTTTAAAACCAAACATAGACTTATGTCCCAGAAATTTTGTTCTTGGATATATTATAAACATAACATGAGAGACCAATGGCCTTGAGAAGCAAAAGAGTTAATGCCTCAAGATTACTTTACTTTAACTGACTCTTTCCCCAAACAGATGCCCACAAGTTCAAGCGTCTGGCTCTTAAAAACTTCTATTATTAAGAAATACTGCGTTGCTCACTAAAAAAAGCTTTTAAGACCCAGTAAAAGAACTAACCTGCTTAGGACATGACAAAGTTGGCACATGTGCCTGTACAGGTTTAGCACAGGTTTAATCCTAAGTCTTTATTTAAAAAATAGTTTCCAGCTATAAGAAAATTTAAAACTCTCATTATACGTATATTGCCAGTAATAAGAACTTGCTTGCTGCTTCCCTGTGTATTACCCTTGCTCCTTCAAATGATAAAAGGTTTTGTTGCTACCTTGGTTCATCAGAAAACTTCAGCACAAGTATATTATATGAATCACTATCACTCTGTCTCACAAAGAAACTCAGAAAGTAAAATAAAAGTGAGAACTTCCACTAATAAGTGAAATTCTCAAAAGAGGGAATAAGGAAGGATACCACCACTTCTCCTGCTGCCCTCCTCCCCCCACCCTTGCCTAGTTTATAAGACAGGAGGAAAGGAAGAAAGCAAAAAGTTTAAAAGAAACGGAAGTAAGATAAATAGCCAGACAGCCTGCTGCCACCATCCAGCCCTGGTAGTTACAATAATAATAATAATAATAATAATAATAATAATAATAATAATATCAACCCCTGACCTAAACTACTTGTGTTATCTGTAAATTCCAGACATTGTATGAAGAAGCATGGCAAAACTTTCTGTTCTGTTAGCTGATGCATGTAGCCCCCAGTCATGTTCCCTGCGCTGACTCGATCTATCACGACCCTTTCACGTGGACCCCTTAGAGTTGTAAGCCCTTAAAAGGGCCAAGAATTTCTTTTTCAGGGAGCATGACTCTTAAGATGCAAGTCTGTCGACACTCCTGACCGAATAAAGCCTCTTCCTTTTTTAATCTGGTGTCTGAGGATTTTTCTCTGCAGCTTGTCCTGCTACAATATGTCATAAAAACTAATTTTCATACAGAATCTTATACAAAATGTTTCTAGAAACCTTGTTAATAATAACAGAAACCTGGAAACTACTCAAGTGTTTCAAAAAACAAATAAACAAATGTGATACATTTATACCATAGAATACCACTCTGCAATAAAAAAGAACAAACTATTGATGCATACAACTAGATGAACAGCAAGGAAGTTAGGCAGAGTGAAAAAATAATCCTAAAGGATAAACGTTGGATGATTCCATCTGTACACTTTTTGAGAAATAAGATAAATAAAAAAGGGAGAACGAAATGGTGAGTCCCAGGAATTAGGATTAATGAGGAGGATTGAGTAGATGTGGGTATAAAGAGATAGCAAAAGAAAGATTTTGGTGATGGTACCATTAAGTATTTTAAATTTGGTAATCATGGAGAATAAGTTTTCAGTCTTTCATTATTATGTTAGCTGTGGACTATTAATTTATAGCTTTAATTATATTTAGTTTCCTTCTATGTCTAGTTTGTTGAAGCTTATCATTTGTTTTGTTTTCTATAATTAAAAGGTGTTGAATATTGTAATATAATATACATTAATTGAGACAATCATGTACATTTTTGTCCTTCAGTCTGTTGATGTGATGTATTACATTGATTGATTTTTGTATGTTGAACTATCCTGACATTGCAGGACTAAATCCCACTTGGTCATGGTGTATAATCCATTTCATTATTATTATTTTTATTTATTTATTTTTTGAGACAGAGTCTCCAGCCTGCACTCCAGGCTGGAGTGCAGTGGCACGATCTCGGCTCACTGCAACCTCTGCTGCCTGGGTTCAAGTAATTCTTCTGCCTCAGCCTCCCGACTAGCTAGGATTACAGGTGCCTGACACCGTACCAGGCTAATTTTTATATTTTTAGTAGAGATGGGGTTTCACCATCTGGGCCAGGCTGGTCTTGAAATCCTGACCTCATGATCCACCTCCCTTGGCCTCTCAAAGTGCTGGGATTACAGGCATGAGCCACTGCGTCTGGCCTATTATTTTTCAACATAAAAGTTTACCACTATGAATCCCTCTTGGTTCTGTTTTTGCTGAATCCCATAAAATTGTGTATGTTGTATTTTTGTTCTTATTTGCTTCAGGATATTTTTTAATTCCACTTGTCATTTGTTCTTGGCCTATTGATTGTCTAAGTATGCATTCTTTAATATATACTTATTTGTGAATTTTAAAATTTTATGTTATATATATATATATATATATATATGTAATATGTGTATGTATATATATATATTTTTAATTTTTAAAATTTTTGTTTGAAACTGGGCCTCACTCACTCTGTCACCCAGGCTGGAGTCTGGTGGCATGATCATGACTTACTGCAGCCTTGAACTCTTGGGTTCAAGTGATCCTCCTGTCTTAGCCTCCTGAGTAGCAGAGATGACAGGCATGTGCCACAATACTCAGCTATTAAAAAAAATTGTAGTGATAAGGTCCTACTACGTTGCCCAGGCTGGTCTCAAACTCCTGGGCGCATACAATCTTCCTGCTTTGGCCTCCCAAAGTGCTGGGATTACAGGCGTGAGCCGCTGTGCTCAGCCTTATTTGTGACTTTTTGACTAAATTTGTTAACAGATGAATAAAACTAGAAAACAATAGCTGAATGTGTTCAACTATTGTTTTCTAGTTTTATTCAACTGTTGTAGGAAAAGATACTTGATATAATCTCAGTATTTTAAAATTTGTTAAGGCAGTGTGCTGCCAACACTTGATCCATTCTGGAGAATGTCAAAGGTACACTTGAGAAGAACATGCATCCTACTATCATCTGGGGGAGGTGCACTGTATATGTCTATTAGGGCCAATTGATTAATAGTGTTTTTAAGTTCTGTGTTTCACTATTGATTTTCTATCTGATTATTACATTCATTTTTGAAAGGTTGGCATATAGTCTCCTACTATTATTGTGTTACTGTCTGTTTCTCCTTTCAATTCTGTCAGTGTTTGCTTTATATAATTGAGGACTCTGATGTCAGGTACATATACACTTATAATGGCTACATCTTCATGGTAATTTGTCTCTTCTATATTCATACAGTATCCTTCCTTGTCTCTTGTGACAGATTTTGACTTATCATCTAATTTTCGAACATAAGCATTGCATCCTCTGCTATCATTGATTAACATTTGCATGAAATATCATTTTAGATCCTTTCACTTTCAGCATTTGTGTCTTTACACTTAAAATGTGTCTCTTTTAGAGAGTGCATAGGTGGATATTATATTTTTATGCATTGAGCCAGTCTATGGCTTTTGATTGGGAAGTTTAAATTATTTAAATTTAATGCAATTACTGCTAAAGAGCCTATTATTATAATTTTGTTAATTGTTATCAGTACATCCTAGCAATTTTTCCCACTTTTACCATTCCTCTGCCTTCTTTTTTGTTATATTAAGTTCTTTTTAATTTTTTTTGCAATGATATGTGTTGGTTCCTTTCTCATTTCCTTTTGTTTAATATTATCTCCCTAATTGACCTAATTGACATTTATAGACAACTCTGCCTCAAGTAACAGAGTATGCATAGCTTTATGTGTATTTGAAACATTTGTGGAGACAAGTTTATATTCTGAGCAATAAAACATCTCAGTAAATTTAAAAGACATGAAATCCTATAATGTCTTCTTCTATAATATTATCCTCTGATGTCATACCACAACGCAAACTAGAAAGAAATCTGCTAAAAAATCTATAAAATCCCAAAATATTTCTAAATTAAATCACACAGTTCTAAATGGTATTAAGTATAATGTATTTAGAAAATATTGTGAACCATGTAAAAATGTTTAAGTATAAAAATTTGTGGAATGCAGTTGTTTTTCACAGTCTGAATGGTTTTTGATTTTTAGTACTGAATGCTTAAATTAAAAAAAAAACTAAAATTAATGATCTATGTTTCATCATTAGGAAAGTAGAAAAGTAAAATAAAATAGGTAAGCCAAAAATATGTGGAAAATAAGCATAGAGATTAACGAAATAGAAAACAGAAAAAGCCAATAGAGTAAATTAACAAACATAGAATATAACTAAAAATATGGATAAAATCAATAAAACATTACCCAGGTTAATTATAAAAAAGAATGAAAAAGCAGAAAAAAATTGCCAACATAATAAATGAAAGATAAAAACTCCCTACAAATCCTACAGCTATTAAAGTAAGACAATATTATGAACACCCTTACGCCAAGACATTTGACAACTTAGATAATATAAAAATATTCTTTAAAAGACAATAATAAAAATAAAACCTAGATTTCAGGCACAATAAATAACTTGAATAATCCTGTATTTATTAAATTTGTAGTAAATTAAACGTATTACAATTTGAATTTATAATAAAAATCCTTACTATATAGAAATATAGAAGTACATATGGTTTCACTATCTTATTCTACCATATGTTTCAGGAATAAATTTTAACAAATCCACACAAAGTTCACAATTTCCATTTGTCTCTATTTAAGGGATTTTATTTTGCAACTACAATTTCATAGTTGTGGCATCATTTACTTTATTTTTTTCCTTTACTACTCTAAACATAATATAGTTTCTTGGAAGTCTTTGCCTGCTTAATCATCTGGGCTCACTGAGAATCAATACCTGTTTACTGTATTTTTTTTTCATTTTCTGAGTATATGTCACAAGTTTTGTTTGTATGCATCATGTATTTTTTTTGAAAACTGAACATTTATAATGTAGAAACTATGTGTTCTGATTTTCATTACTTAGGATTTTTTGTTTGTATGTTGTATTTTGTTTTCTTTGCTTATTATGTAGTAACTAGACTAGATTCAAACTGAAGACTCATCCACCCTTGCAGTGTATAGATGTTGATCTCACCATATTTTAAAACTTTTTTTAACATTTATTTATTATGGATACAAATAGTTGTATACATTTGTGGAGTATAAATGATATTTTACTAGAAGCATACAATGTGTAATGATCAAGTTAGGATAACTGAGACATTCATAACTTCAAGCATTTAATACTTCTTTGTGTTAGAACATTTCAATTCCATTGTTTTAGTTATTTTACAATAAATTGTTAACTATAAACTCCCTAGTGTGCTGCTACCTAAAACTGGATCTTATTCCTTTTATCTAACTGTATTTTTTACCCATTAAACAGCCCTCTTTATAATACCCTCCCCCAACCCTTCCCAGCCTCTAGTAAGCATCATTCTTCTATTTCCATGAATTCATTTTTTTTCAGTTCCCACATATGAGTTAGAACAGGTGATATTTGTCTTTCTGGGCCTGGTTTATTTCACTTAACATAATGTCCTCCAGTTGCATTCATGTTATTGCAAATGACAGGATTTCATTCCTTTTTATATCTGAATAATAGCCCATTATTTACTGATACCACATTTTCTTTATCAATTCATCTGTTCATGGACACAAGTTAATATCATATCTCGGCTATTGTGAATAGTGCCACAGTAAACACTGGAGTAGAGAAATCTCTCGAATGTACTGATTTTCTTTTTCTTGGATACCCAGCAGTGGGTCTGCTTTATCATATGATAATTTTATTTTTAGTTTTTTGAGGAATCTTCATACTGTTCTCCATAGCGGATCTAGTAATTTACATTCCCAAATACAGTTCTTTTTTGTTCTTAATTATTTTAGCTTTGTTTCTTCCAATTAACTGTCCCTGTGAGATTGAATGATTAGCATGGAGGCTGAGCTCAAACACTGTAAGTTCATAAGACTATTACCCTATTCCTCTGCAGGATGGTTGGGGGACACACTTAGTGTTCAGTTGTTTCTCAAATTTCTCCTCACTTTCACTTTCATATGGACACTCAGATCTCATTATAAGTTTATTTTCCTAGTAATCAGAAATATAAGGTGAACTTATCTATCTTTTAAATACTTCTCTCATTTTTCAGAAATTCTCCATTAAGTTTTTGGCTGGTCTTGCTCTTATGGAAATACAACTTCAGGGTAATATTCATTTTCTGTAGGGTTTGCAACTTTTATTTACCATGTCATAGATTTTCATCCTCTAAGCCTCTGCCTCAAATCGTGCCATTTGGCAAAAAAGCTTTCAGGCCAACCACGTAGGTCATGCTCTTTGATAACAGTATGTTCAGAAAAGAGAATATAATACTGTAGGCTGGCTACAGAGTTTTTAAAACTAGTTTTTTTGTTTTTGTTTTTGTTTTTGAGACAGAGTCTTGCTCTGTTGCCCAGGCTGGAGTGCAGTGGCATGATCTTGGCTCACGCAAGCTCCGCCTCCCAGGTTCACGCCATTCTCCTGCCTCAGCCTCCCAAGTAGCTGGGACTACAGGCGCCCGCCACCACCCCTGGCTAATTATTTTTTTTTTAATTTTAGTAGGGAGGGGGTTTCACCGTGTTAGCCAGGATGGTCTTGATCTCCTCCCTCGTGATCCGCCTGCCTCAGCCTCCCAAAGTGCTGGGATTACAGGCGTGGGCTACTGTGCCCAGCCTGAGATATAGACCAATGGAACAGAACAGAGCCCTCAGAAATAATGCCGCATATCTACAACTACCTGATCTTTGACAAACCTGACAAAAACAATAAATGGGGAAAGGACTCCCTATTTAATAAAGGGTCCTGGGAAAACTGGCTAGCCATATGTAGAAAGCTGAAACTGGATCCCTTCCTTATACCTTATACAAAAATTAATTTAAGGTGGATTGAAGACTTAAATGTTAGACCTAAAACCATAAAAACTCTAGAAGAAAACCTAGGCAATACCATTCAGGACATAGGCATGGGCAAGGACTTCTTGACTAAAACACCAAAAGCAATGGCAACAAAAGCCAAAATTGACAAACTGGATCTAATTAAACTAAAGAGCTTCTGCACAGCAAAACAAACTACCATCAGAGTGAACAGGTAACCTACAGAATGGGAGAAAATTTTTGCAATCTACTCATCTGACAAAGGGCTAATATCCAGAATCTACAATGAACTCAAATAAATTTACAAGAAAAAACAACCGCATCAAAGAGTGGGTGAAGGATATGAACAAACACTTCTCAAAAGAAGACATTTATGCAGCCAAAAGACACATGAAAAAATGCTCATCATCACTGGCTATCAGATAAATGCAAATCAAAACCACAATGAGATACCATCTCACACCAGTTAGAATGGCAATCATTAAAAAGTCAGGAAACAACAGGTGCTGGAGAGGATGTGGAGAAATAGGAACACTTTTACATTGCTGGTGGGACTGTAAACTAGTTCAACCATTGTGGAAGTCAGCGTGGTGATTCCTCAGGGATCTAGAACTAGAAATACCATTTGATCCAGCCATCCCATTACTGGGTATGTACCCAAAGGATTATAAAACATGCTGCTATAAAGACACATGCACATGTGTGTTTATTGCGGCACTATTCACAATACCAAAGACTTGGAACCAAGCCAAATGTCCAACAATGATAGACTGGATTAAGAAAATGTGGCACATATAAAGGACCCCTGTCTGTCCGCAAGCCAGAATGCTGGCTGTGAGCCACCAAGATGACACTCAAGTTGATCCCCAGAGAGTAATAGAGCTTTTGCTGTATTATCTGAACAAGATGCCAGACCAAGGAAAGGGGAGGGGAGGTCTTATCAGTGGCAGCTCAGCAGGCTGGGCTATTGAAAAAAAAAAATGTAGCACATATACACCATGGAATACTATGCAGCCATAAAAAAGATGAGTTCATGTCCTTCGTAGGGACATGAATGAAGCTGGAAACCGTCATTCTCAGCAAACTATTCCAAGGACAAAAAACCAAACACTGCATGTTCTCACTCACAGGTGGGAACTGAACAGTGAGAACACATGGACACAGGAAGGGGAACATCACACACCCGGGCCTGTTGTGGGGTCGGGGGAGCGGGGAGGGATAGCATTAGGAGATACACCGAAAGTTAAATGAGGAGTTAAGGGGTGCAGGACACCAACATGGCACATGTATACATATGTAACAAACCTGCACATTGTGCACATGTACCCTAAAACTTAAAGTATAATAATAAAAAAAAACACAGGAGAACTTGCACTAATTAGAGTTCTCTGAAAAACTTCAATTCCACATATTGGATTCATCACAAAGTAATATTAATTTTATTGTCTAGAAAGCTTTTAGTTCATGGTGATAATGATGATGCTGAACTTTGCTTCTGAGCTGATTGTTCTCACATCCATTTTACATTTGGTTAAAAAGTTAAGATTTCTATATCATTTAAAAATTTCCCCCAGATAATCATTTGCTTCCTATGGCATTTGGTTTATTAATCAAGCTGACTTAGAAAATGCTAGACAGTACTAATACTTTGAATAATGAAACACATTATTTAGAAAATTTAATATGTGTGCATTGTTTGAAATTGCGTTCTTATAAAAAGCCACAACAGAAATGTTTTAAGTTAATAGTATGTGCAATATATTGTGCTATAAGTTTTATAATATACATAGTTGTACAAAACATAGTCCCTGCAGTCTTGAACTTATGTTCCACATACACAGAACAAAGGGATTCTACTGCCAAGAGAAATGCTTTGTTTTATCTCAATCTGTAACTACATGCGATTTAAAATGTTTAAGTTGTTAAATATAAGACTGCATCTCCCTCTTTTCTGGCTTCTGAAATTTTAACATGGTGTTAAAGTTAAATTTACTTGTACAAAATTACTTATAAACTTTAATCATATGACTAGAATGTAAAATACAAATGAGTAATCTATTACAATACCAAACTAATAAAAAGTCTATTATAAACAAAGAATAGAGAATATAAATTCTTGCATTTTTTAAATCTTCATCTTTAGCAGTTTTTTATGAATAGGTGCTTTTCCAACTATTCCCTTCACTTGTTTGCCTCCCAGATACCTACTATGATTGTTTGGGACAATTATGTCCTATTTCTTATTAAGAAAACTCTTCTAATAATATTTTATTTTTAATAGCTCCCTCTTTTGCTAAATCTTTACTCCATTTTATCCCCCAAACCAGGGGTATCCAACTTAGGTGATGTTTCATAGGGGATATGTAAAGCAAGCTATTATACACAGATAAAGAATATATCCAAGTTTCTATAAATGCTTACTTATAGAAAAGAATAATAAATTAAGCTTGCTGATAATTAGCATATCAATTGATGCTTATTCTCTTTTTCAGCAAGACATGTCATGTTTCAAGGATGGTCATGTGAGAGATCACAATTATTATTCATAGTTTGAAACCCTTTGAAATATGCGTATTCCCTATCAAAATAATTATGATGAATCTTATCTAGATTAACCAAAGAACAAAATATAAATGTGTCTTAAAATGTTACTCTGATTTTCTGTAATCAATAATTGAAGGTAATATTTGTAATGGAAGCACAATAACTAAATTACATTGCTAACATGTTTTATCATTACTTTTATGAACTTATCTTCAGTCATCTGTCAAGATAAGAGAGTTGAATTAGAACTGACAAGCAAGCAAAATGACAATTAAAATGTGTATATTAAGTAATAATTGATGGTATTTGTATCTTTTAAAAGGTATCTTAAAATACATATAATTCTTGTTATTTTTCAGAGATTATTATTATTTTTCAGAGACAAATCTCTGGCCTAGACTGGAGTGCAAAGCCACAATCACAGCTCACTGCAGCCTCAACTTCCTGGGCTCAAGCGGTCCTTCTGTTTCAGCCTGCTGATTAGCTAGGAGTACAGGCTCATACCACCAAGCCAAGCTGATTTGTTTTTTTTAAAGATGGGGTCTCACTATGTTGCCCAGGCTGGTCTTGAATGCCTGGCCTTAAGTGGTTCTCCCAGCTCAACCTCCCAAAGGGCTAGGGTTACAGGTATGAGTCACTGTGCCTGCCCTCAATATGTATATATATTATATATATGATTTTTTATATATAATATGTACACACATATATATACCACATTATATATATAAAACATTATATAATAAATGTGTATATGTATATATATGATGTGTGTGTGTGTGTATGTGTGTATATATATATGTATGTATGTATATACTGGTCTGATCTGCCCAAATATTTTTGCTTATTGGCTTTCAACATAATAGTGTATTTATATTGGTTAATATTTACTAAGTGCGTACTACATGCTAGAGATGTTTATTTCATTTTCGTGAAAAATCTCATTTTAACGTCATCACTATCTTATAGCGTAAATAATATTGCTTACAGGTTTCAAATGAACTGACTTATAGAAAGACAAAGGGAGGTGGTGATTTGCTGTTGTTTTTCTGTTAGATGTCTCTTTAGGGCATATGCTGAAATAGGTTACACTGCATCCTCTCTGCGGTTTAACCCCAGTAAAAAGCTATTTTTAAGAAAATGAAATGATGACTACATAAGGAACTTTCTCAAGGCCATGGATTTATTACTGGCAAGCTCCAACTCAAGTCTGCCTTCCTCTAAAAATTGTGATCTTTCTAATATTGAAGATCTCTGTGGCACTGGAGATTAGGTTTCCAAATACTGTAAAACAAAGCCCTGGTCTTTGGATGCTGCTGAGGGGGATCTAAGGGAATTGAACTAGATGTGCACTGATCAAAGAACATAGAAAGTCCTTGTTTTGGGAATGCCTGTTAGAAGTGCGTCTCTCGTGATTCTTCGCAGACCTACCAGTCAAGGACAATAAACTCTTCTTAATGGATATGCTTTGGAATATAAAAATGGGAGAGAGGCAGGAGAAGGAGGAAGATGGGAGACTGGAAGAGGGTGCGGAGAGAGATAAAAAGAGGAACAAATGAAATGTATCAAACAGCTTTTTTCTATTTAAAAAAATAATAATAAAAGCATCTTCAGGACCAGCCTGGCCAACATGGCCAAACCCCGTCTCTACTAAAAATACAAAAATTAGCCTGGCGTGGTGGCTGGTTCCTCTAATCCTAGCTATATGGGAGGCTGAGGCAGAAGAATCACTTGAACTGGGGAGGCAGAGGTCGCAGTGAGCAGAGATTGTGCCACTGCACTACAATACAGCCTGGGCAACAGAGCAAGACTGTCAAAACAAAAGAAAACAAAAGGCACTTTTCTCTCTCTCTCTCTTTCTCTCTCTCTCTCTCTCTCTCTCTCTCATAAGTTGTATGTTTGTGTTTCTCCAAAATTTATATGTTGAAACCTCAACAACACCCAATGGGGTGGTATTAGGAGGTGGTGTCTTTGGGAGGTAATTAGGTAATGTGGGTAGATTTTCATGATGGTACCTGTGTCCTAGTAAAAGCTTGCATCCTCTCTCTAATATGTAAGAATACATTGCAGACAGCTGTCTGCAAACCAGCAAGAGTGCTCTCACCAAACAACAGATTTACCTGGGTCTAGATCTTGGATTCCCTAGCCTCTAGATTGATTAAAAATAATAGTTCATTTATTATTTAAGCTACCTAGTCTATCTAGTCTATGGTATCTTGTAATAGCGGCAGAAGCAGAAACTAAGTTACTATCTTCCTCTCTCCCACTCACATTTAAAAATAATTCATTTAAAAAATCAAGTTGTTTTAAAACTAACACATATCAATCAATCTTGATACAAACATGAATGTTTTATCACTTTATAAAGAGACACTGCCATATATAAGAACCCTGAGTATTTGTGTAGAGGTGGCTTATATACTTATTCATAATTATTATATTTAAACCAGTATAGTTCTTGAAAACATAGGCTTTACATTCTGCTTCAATTTGAAGCAAAGAGTGTCTTTGCTGAACAAATGAAAATTTCATCTTATGTTCCTTCTTTCACACATTAGATTAAGCAATATATTGTAACTTGGAAATAACAGATATAGATGTATTTAGATATAGTGCATGATTGATAGAGGGACTACTTTTTATATTAAAGGAAGCAAAAAGCAAAAGTGTGAAGTTTGAGAACTGAACAAAAGAGTACTATGAAAGGCTAGGCACAGGTCTTCAAAACATTTATATTGTCTTGATGAGTTAAAAATTTATCCTGATTAGAAAAAAAAGGAAATTCAAATCTTATTACAATGAATGTTATTTTAGTTTTAATTTTTATTTTGCAGTTTTGCAGTTTATTATGCAGTTTGACCAGAAAACCATATATAATTTCAGCTGCTTCCGTATGCAGCTTTCCCATTTAATTATACAGAAGACCTAGGGAGGAGCACAGCTGGGTCTGTAAATTATGAAATGGAATGAGCCACAAATGCATCTTTACTAAAATGATTACACATCCTCTCTCTTACATGCAAATATCCACCAATACCCCAGAATAATCAGTTTATTTCTATTCTTTTTGAAGACAATCTGCCATCTGCCAAAATGTGATAATTTAGCAACAAAAGCATGCATGATAACACCAAAACTATATAGATAAGTAAATCTTTCTAATTACTTACCTCTTTGCATGAGAAAGAACCTACAATCCATGATGGAAATGATTGCTATACTGGTGTCTTGCCAAATGATCAGCAAAACTTCATTGTAGTAGGGAAAGAAAAGGCTTTGATCTAGAATTCAGTCCCAAGTTTACCAAACACTAGCTGTAAAAATTAGTTTAACTTAATAAACATACAGGTTTTTAAACTCTGTATTATAAAGGATAGTAAAATTAAATACTAATAACAAAAACTGAGATTGCCAATGGTAAAATTGGACATTAAAACAAATAAAAAACAAATCCAACTACTAACTTTTACATTCTAACACCCAAAACACAAAAAGTTACAATATCAAAATAAATGAGCATTTTTTAAATAAAGAAATATAAATTGAAAAAGTCTCTATTTTGTCCTTGTTTTCTCATTCTTACAGGTTATTTTTCTGTATCTTTAGACTGTTGAAATCATTATCACAAACTATTTGGAGGTTGGTTCTTGAGAACACGAACAACATTTCTTAGTCTCTTTCTTCTTGGTGAAAATGAAGATAATGATGTGTATGTAACACATCTGAGAAATACAGAGTAGGTACAAAACAAATGTGTGTTAGTTTATAAACCATTTCTTCGGAGAACATAATATAGTGAAAAGATTGAAAAGTCAGCCCACTGGAGGTTCAAATTCCTTTACCACTTTTTAACTACATCAACATGGCAAAGTTACTTTATTTCACTGATGCTCTGATATTTTTTCTGTACAGCAGATATACCAGTTCCCATTTTAAGATGTTGAAAGTAGATAAAAATATACAAAAAATTCTAACAAAATATATTGCTCATAGTAGATGCTTAAATTTTCTTTGACCCATTTCACTTCTTTTCCCAGCCTTTCTCCTCTTCAAAATTTCTATATTTTAACATTACATTTTGAGTCCTATAACAGTGGAAACAACAATATATGTTTTTTTTTAAATTTTGCAATTTCTGTTATCAATATGTTGACTAAAACACAACTATCAGATCATCAGAACAGACCATGTAACCTACCATTTGGAAATGTTTTATGATTGTACATGCACATTTTTTTGTTTTCACTGTAAACATTCCATTTGGAAATTACATGTTGAATTAAATTTGTACTAAGAAGGGCATGTACCAAGGAGGCCTGTAACTGAAAATAGCATCTTATTTAAAAACAACAACTACAACAACAAAAACACCTTTAAATGAGCTACATCATTTCTTGTGTTTCTGTTTGTTTTTTTTTTTTTTACAGTGACTTAATTGTCTGGTATTTAAAAAAGAAGAAAAAAGTAAGTAAAGACAATAGAGGGTTTAGGTTTTGAAGCGATTCATTTCAAGTCCTGTTTGAGTTTGTATGTAAGCCCACTGTCTATGTTATTTTGGTACTATATTGCAAAACAGGCTCATTAAATTAAGCCTTTTGTGTTCTGTAAAACTCTTAAAAAACACAGCAAAATGAAAACAAATGAATAATTGGGGAACAGAAACTCTGTCAACTAGAAAGACCCATGATAGAACAATGTCTAGGCCCTTTATTCATTTAATTAAGAGAGATGAGGCTAAAAGCTGAAATTAAACATTTATTCCCCATAATATTCTCAAGGGTAAAAATATTGCAATTAAGTTCTAGGTTGCTTATAAACAAATACATTTTGGGACAATTTATCTGTGATATGGCCACCATTTGTTTCACATATGAAGCAAATTCATTCACTCAAAATGGTGCTTTAGTACAACTTGGCTGTTCAGAAAGCTTCAGATATTGGAAGAAAATGGATAGAAACAGAAGTCACGAAAGGAAAATAAGATTCTGAATCAATACAATAAATATGAGGCCATTTGGTGAAGCCAATAATAAGTGTTTAGACTAGAAAATAGTACATGAGGGTCCCCATACTGATTCTCCATTAACTAACCAGGTTACTCCAGGCAAGCTACCCTCCCATTTTCCTCATATCTGCAAACAAATTATTAATTTTTTGAGATATGCATTCCTTCTGAATTTACATATATGTAGTACTATATGATAAATATTATTAACCATCTTGGTAAGAGCTAAAGGGAATACCTGTACAATGATTTATATAGCCTACATTTTCAGATTTCTTATAATCTAAAGCCAAAAAAAATAAATTTTTAGGAGTAGTTAACATTCTCATTCTAAGAAGTTACAGCACTTCTTAGCGGATATAATGGTCTAGATCCAATTTTCATGAGGATCGACTATAATCTTTAAACATATTGTAAGATATCACTGGAGGAGAACCGCAACGAGTGACAAAAGGAGTGCAAGTGGTTACAGACCGAAGCATTGGAGGAAGAGCACAGTGCAAGGCATATTTTGGCCTTACCATATAATAAAGCACCCATTTCACTAAAATAGTTTATAAATATTCTATCTTTACCCACTTGGCTTTACATACCAAATACATACATACAAGCATAAATTGTGGGTTTGGTTAAAATCACCACAATAAAGCTAACTTTGCAATAAACTGAGAGTATTAGTCCATTCTCACACTGCTATGAAGAAAAACCGGAGACTGCGTAATTTATAAAGGAAAGAGTCGTGACTCACAGTTTCACATTACTGAGGAGGAGTCAGGAAACTTACAGTCATGGCAGAAGGCAAAGGAGAAGCAAGCAGTTCTCGACAAGGTGGCAGGACGAAATGAGTGAAAGCAGGGAAAATGCGCAATGCTTATAAAACCATCAGATCTCATGAGAACTCACTCACTATCGCGAGAACAGCATGGAGGAAAACATCCCCTTGATCCAATTACCTCCACCTGGTCCCACCCTTGACACATGTGGATTATGGAGATTACAATTGGAGGTGAGATTTGGGTGGGAAAACAGAGCAAAACCCGTATCAGTTATCAAAACCGTATCACTATTCTTTTGCTTTCACAATGCATATAAACGATACACTTACACTATACTGTAGTATGTTACGTGTGTGATAGCATTTTGTCTAAAAATGTATATACCCTAATTTTAAAAGACTTTATTGCTAGGAAATGCTAATGATCAGCTGAGCCTTCAGTCAGCAATAACTTTTTTGCTAGTGGAGGATTTTGCCTCAATGTTGCTAGCTACAAACTGATCAGAGTGGTGGTTGCTTAAGATTAGGGTGGCTGTGGCAATTTCTTAAAATAAGACAACAGTGAATTGACTCTGCATTGATTCCTCCTTTCATGAAAAATTTATTTGTAGCATGTAATGATGTTTGGTAGCGTTTTATCCACAGTAGAACTTTAAAAATTGGAGTCAATCCTCTCAAATCCTGCCAGTGTTTCATAAACTAGAATATTTATGTAATATTCTAAACTGTTTGTTGTTATTTCAACAATGTTCACGGCATTGTCACCAGAAGGAGATTCCATTTCAAGAGACCATTTTCTTTGCTCACCCATAAAATTCAATGCCTTGTCTGTTCAAGTTTTATCTGGAGTGCAGCGATTCAGTCATGTCTTCAGGTTCCACTTCTCATTCTATTCTTCTTACTGTTTCTAACACATATGCATTTACTCCCTCCACTGAAGTCCTGAACCCCTCAAAGTTACTCATGAATATTAGAATCAATTTCTTCCAAAACCTGTTATCATTAATATTTTCACCTTCTCCCATGACCCATGAATGTTCTTAATCACATCTAGAATGATGCATCCTTTCCAGAAGTGTTAATTACACTTTGCCTGGATTCATCACTGGAATCATTATTTATGATGGCT
Source organism: Homo sapiens (assembly GCF_000001405.40). Lineage (NCBI taxonomy): Eukaryota > Metazoa > Chordata > Mammalia > Primates > Hominidae > Homo > Homo sapiens. The sequence continues at coordinate 25,452,542 of NC_000011.10, read as the reverse complement.
ATAGAATTATGAAATACATTCTTAAATAGTAAGACTTGAAGATGAAAATTACTATTTGATTCAGAATGCAAAACAGATGTTGTGTCAGCAGCCAGGAAAAGGACATTAATCTCCTTGTGCATCTTCATCAGAGCTTTTAGGCAATGAGGTACAGGGTCAATAAGCATTAATACTGTGAAAGGGCTCTTTTTTTCTGAGAAGTAGGTCTCCAGGCCGGGCGCAGTGGCTCAAGTCTGTAATCCCAGCACTTTGGGAGGCCGAGGCGGGCGGATCACGAGGTCAGGAGATCGAGACCATCCTGGCTAACATGGTGAAACCCCGTCTCTACCAAAAATACAAAAAAATTAGCCGGGCGTGGTGGCTGACGCCTGTAGTCCCAGCTATTCGGGAGACTGAGGCAGGAGAATGGCGTGAACCCGGGAGGTGGAGCTTGCAGTGAGCCGAGATGGCGCCACTGCACTCCAGCCTGGGCCACAGAGCGAGGCTCCGTCTCAAAGAAAAAAAAAAAAAAAGAAGTAGGTCTCCACAGTGGAGTTAAAATATTCAGTAAACCACGCTGTAAAAAGAAGTACTGTCTTCCAGGCATTGTTATTTCATTTACAGAGCTAAGCAGAATGCACTTAGCACACTGATAAAAAATATTTAAAAAGAAAGTCATATGATCATTTCAAAAGTTGAAGAAAAATCACTAGTAAGTTGAAGAGAAGAGACTTAACTCCAGGATCGTTGGTCTTAATTATGTGACTCCAGACAGTTGGAAGAACAATTTATATTAGACAAGATCTGGTATGGGAATGTGTATGCATTGTCCACATTGAACGGTGAGTAATTAATGGTCTAGTATGAAAAACACAATATCCCTTGCAATAAATATTGTTTTAAATACATCTGAGTAAATTAATAAAAACATGGGATAAATTGAAATGTTCTTAAAAGGCCCATACTGGCTGGGAGTGGTGGCTGATGCCTGTAATCCCAGAACTTTGGGAGGCCGAGGTTGGTGGATCACCTGAGGTCAGGAGTTTGAGACCAGCCTGGCCAACAAGCTAAAACCCCATCTCTACTAAAAATACAAATAATTAGCCAGGCGTGGTGGCGGGTGCCTGCAATCCTAGCTACTCTGGAGGCTGAGGCAGGAGAATCCCTTGAACCCAGGAGGTGGAGTTTGCAGTGAGCCGAGATCATGCCATTGCCATTGCACTCCAGCCTGGGCAACAAGAGCCAGACTACAAAAAAAAAAAAAAAAAAAAAAAAGAGAGAGAGAAAAAAAGCCCCATAGTGAGATTGAAAACAAAGAACAAAGATCAGGGTGATGGGAAAAAGGTTGCATTAACTGTAACCAAAGTATCTATTACTAACATGATTCTTCCCACCCCATACAGATATAGTTCTTCCTTTTGAATTTTTAAATATTGGAATCTAATATGTTGAGACTTTTTAAAGCATAATGGATTTGGTTAGTAATGAGTTTCTCATATGTACTCGAAGCAAAGAACAAGAGAAAATAGTAATATACAGTGGGAGAACTTTCTTTAAAATCATTGGGTGATTCTAATGTCTAGTAATATATAATGATATTGTGGCCCCTTTCCACACATATCTAAAAGGAAATAAAATCCCACAAAAGTTTAATTAACACTTCTGTGGCTTTTTGAAGTCTTTAGATGAAAGGTACTAACAGAGTATGAAGTATTATAATTAATATCCTAAAATAGAGATTTTGATTTGTTTTTCAATAGTTAAGTAGATATTCAAGATTTGCAAGTATATAATACTGCACATCAGGTGGGTTGATTACTATCAGGCATGAAGAGCTAGTTTGACTAAAATTGGTCAATTGACTCAGAATTTATTTACTAATGCCTTTTATAAAAAATTGTGAAAATCTCAAAATATCTTTTTATGCTTAGGGACAAATAAAATGCTATTTAATGAGTCTGTCTCGGTGTTCTAATTGATTTATATTGAAATAACAAAAATAAAAGTGAATGAGGAAGGGGTATACTGGTTGTTTTGAATCAGAGTGTACTCTCCACAAATAAGAAAAAATAAATTAAAACAGTGGTTAGAATATAGACATTATTAAATAATTTTTTCAATGATCCTGGATAGTTATGTGAAGGCAATGCTTCATCAGTGTAAAGATTTTGTAAAATATAATACTTATATTTCAACAAAAACTATTGGAAACTTTTAGTGAGCACTCTACTAGATACTGAAAGGGATACACATATTTAAATGAAACTGCACTATTTTACGTTGGAAAAGGAGGATAATTTACTACCTAAAGACTATGGCTATTTTTATCTAACAGTAGCTGTACAAACTTAATGGTATATCATTATATTTTTACATCGTAATTTTAAAATCTCCCCAAAATATATAACTAATACATGATATAGCTCTTTTAAAAAAGAGAACATTAAAAACAAACATTTCTCTATCAAAAAAAGGTCATTGACTTTATTCCTAATATAGACAAAAGGGACATATTTGAGGATTAGTTCATCATTCACAGAATTTGGAGCCAGGTATCTTGTATTTGAATTGGAATTTAAGCTTCAACACTTAGTTGGTTTTGTAACGTTCAGCAAGATACTTTTTCTTCATGCTTTTGTGATCTCATTTATAAAACTAAGATAGTAATAGAACATACTTCATGAGTTATTATGAGTATTAAATGGGTTCATTCATGAAAAGTGATTAGAATAGTACTTTTTGCTTTGTAAGTTCCTGGCAAAAGATTATTTTAATTAATAACTAGTTATTATTATTGAGTTTTGAAAATAATAAAAATGTATTTTCTGTGCTCTTCTGAAAATACCCAAGCAGTCAGACAACACTTTAAAGATATTTGAACAACGAAGAGAAATAGTGGGAATGCTCATAAAATAAGAATTCAACTTTAAGACCATATGATTTAGTTCATAAACATCATAAGGAAATGCAGGCTGCATAATGTAAAATTCATGGAGAGTTATGCTCAGGTTGTCACAATAGCATGGTAATAGTTCCTGGGCAATTAAATTTTGTGATTGAGGGGGAGCATTCCCTATGAATATGGATTTCTACTGAAGTTGCTTTGCAAGAGGATGTTTTTTAACATTGATTCACTGTGTTTTGTATATTCCAAGCAAAGAGAACAAAATGACTTGAGGTCCCTAAGCATGAAAGGCATGGACTTATGGTCTGGTATGAATGAGGAAGAGGGTAATTGGGATTGAAATTGGAAAATTGCAGGCTAGAAGCATGGCTTTTTGCCAGACTTGATCTGATAGTTGCTGAGGAGCTGCTGATGGTTTCCAGATTGAGGAATTATGTGTTACAGATTGTGATTTAGACAGTAGACAGCCAGCAATATGGATAAAGTGACTGGAGTGAAGTAAGAGCCCAGGAGAAAGGAGGGAAGGTCAGATGGAGGTGCCGGCACCAGGCCAAATGATTCATGATCAAGAACTGATCTGAGACTAAAAATTAGAATGGACATGAAAAGTATAAATTCAAGAGAAATATTCAATGGTTTGAATAAGTAAATAATTCCTCCTTCAAAGAAGTCCTAATTCTTCTTAATTCTTCCAAGACATACAAAAAAGTCTATAACTGCTTATATCTTATAGAGTGTAGAAAAGAGAATGCTTGGTAATTATACATTTATGTAACCTGGGTATACATCTTTGTAAATATTATTGCTCTGCCCTCAGCCCCCTACCTGAATTCTACCCAAACACAGAAGGGGATTTGTCTTCCAATCTTCAAGTGGAGTAAAGGATGAGGGGTAGGCTGTTTCTGGTGGGAAACCCATGAAAGTGTGAGGCTTCCCTTTATATTGGCCCTTCCGGTTGTTTTTTGTTTGTCTTTCTGTTTTGTTTTTAGTGTTTTGTTTTTTTGTTTTTGACAGAGTCTCAATCATTCTGTCATCCAGGCTGGAGGGCAGTGGCAAAATGTCAGCTCACTGCAACCTCTGCATCTCTGTTCAAGTGAGTCTCCTGCCTCAGCCCCCCAAGTAGTCTTATATGGCAAGACACCAGCCAAAAGTCCGGACATTTTTTTTGAAGTGAAGATTTAGAATTCATTATGCTGGAGTATATTCATACAAAGCATTTATTTATTCTTTACTGTTGCTACATAATGTCCTAGTAGGCTGGTAATAGCTGAAACACCTTCCCAGTATGTTATTGGAGTGGCAAACCTTTCGTTTAGAAGGAATACCCTGGCCAACTGTCAGATCACCTTGGAAATGTTGAAGTCTTCCAGCCCAAGAAATGAAGATGCTGATCTTTATTGTGTATTATGTGTGATAATAATAAATAAGTAGCCTGATATGATTTGTCGTCCTGTTTTGCACATATTTAATGGCCGAGGTGAAACCAGATCTGCAACTTTTAAGGTTTGTAAACATGATACTTCTATTTTCTGAAACAAATAAGTTATCCCTTTTCCTCACCTGTTCTTTTTGCAATGCCAAAATCTTTGCTGACAGTTCACAATGGAGCTAATTTTTTTGTCTGGTTTTTAGAAACCTAATTGACAGCCCACAGATAATGGACTAGAAAGTGGTGTATGAAATGAAAACTATTGAGCAGGAAACACTCTGCCTTTTGACTATAACCATATTTGATACATGGTCTCTCTTCAATTTAAGTGTATTATCTTTACATTGTCCTGATAGAGCAAACATTATTTATAACAACAAGGATAAATATTCTCCTTCTGAGCTACTTTTTTTTTTAGTGTTAAATATCACAAAGCTAGGGCTAAAATATTTAATAAAATCTTCCAAATTTCATACAGAGCAGATGTTTCAAACATAAGTCTGTTACAATGTGTCAGGCTGAAGGGTGTCCCCCCACCAAATCCATATGTTGATGTTCGAACTTCAGTAGCTCAGAAGGTAACTGTATTTGGATACAAGGTCTTTAAAGAGATACTTAAGATTAAGCAGTTATGATGGTAGGCCTTAATCCAATATTACTGTTGTGTTTATGAAAGATGAGGACACAGATACACAGAGGGAAGATCATGTGAGGACAGAAGGATAAGATACAAACCAAGGAGAGTGGCCTCAGAGGACACCAACCTAATTGATACCTTAATCTTGGACTTCTAGCTTCCAGAACTGTGAGAAAATATGATTCCATGGTTTAAGCCACCCAATCTGTGATACTCTGCTATAGAAACGAGTAGACTAATACACAGTGCATGGATGCACACAGAGGGCACTTCCTATTTGCCTCTAAAGAGAGGCCTTAGGTTGAGACTGAAAAATAAAATGAGACCATACATTATTATACCGAAAATGCATCAGATTTTTAGTAGAGATTAATATATCTTATGTTTTTCCAAATGTTAGCCCTAGAAATAAGTTGCAAATAACTGAAATCATATTCACATCGACAGGGCTTAGTTATTGACCTTTTAATTCTGGACATTTTAACTTTTCTTTTCTTTTTTTAACCCAATTGTTGCTTTGTTTTGTTTTGTTTTGTTTTTGTGAGTGGGAGTCTCACTCTGTCACCCAGGCTGCATCGCAGTGGCACAGTCTTGGCTCACTGCAACCTCTGCCTCCCAGGCTCAAGCGATCCTCCCACTGCAGCCTCCTGGGTAGCTGGGACCACAGGCGTGCGCCACCACACTCAGCTAATTTTTTGTATTTTTGGTAGAAATGGGGTTTTGCCACGTTGCCCAGGCTCGTCTTGAACTCCTGATCTCAGGAGACCTGCCCGCCTCAGCCTCGCAAAGTGCTAGGATTACAGGCATGAGCCACCATGCCCGGCTGATTGTTGCTTTTTTTTTTTTTTTTTTTTTTGCAGTCAGAAGTAGAGGTAAAATAGACTGATTTGCTATCTTTGATTTTTCTCTCATTCTATTTCACATACATGATACATAGAGGGAAAAACTTGAGGTTTAGATAATTATACATGTAAATATCAATTCTGCCACTTGTTAGTGCATAAACTTTGGAAAGCAGTTTAAATTATATGAGCTTCAGTTTCTTTCACAGTATAATATTCTTTAAGTATAATATTCATGGTAGGAGCCTATCACTCTCTCAAAGATCAAATAGCTAATCAAAATTATTCATTCTTATTCTGTAGTTTAACAGGCACAGAGTTTAAGTTTGAAATGATGAAAGCATTCTGTAAATGGATGTTGGTAATGCTTGCACAACAAAGTGAATATACTAAATACTACAGAACCGTACACGTCAAAATCGTTAAAATGATAGATTTAGGTTGTGTATATTTGCAATAATAAAATAATGTTTAAAAATTATATGTAGTAGGTACCTTTGTCCTGCATAACTCAGACATAAATATTTGCAACTATTTCCATATAATTATTAAGTTCCAAACATCACTATGCTCTGCTCTCTTTAGTCGGTAGAACTGGTAAATGAATATAAAGATGATACTGACTTAGATACCTGGTTGGGTATTGTTAATAAAGCCAATACTATTTTGTTTTTTAAAAAGATGCATACACACTAAAGCACTCATTTAAGCAGTTCTTCCAAAAGTTACCAAAGACCTCCATGTTTTAAATACATCATTGGCCCACCCCTTAATTGTCTTGTCAGCAAGCCTCACCTTTGTTACCCACCTTTTCCATGAACCATTTTTCTTGTAGGCTTCTAAGACTGGCTCTTCTGATCTCTTGCTTCTCTGACTCTTCCTTCTCCTCTTGGCCTTAAAATACAGCAAATCCTGAAAGTTCTGCCCTGGGCCATTGCATCCCTCTGATCTATAAGCTTGCTTTCAGAGCTGTCTCATCCACATATAGAATCTCTACTACCCATCTATACACAGAATTCTTACAGATTGATATCTCACCCCAAGACTTTTTCTCTGTGTCAAAGACCCTCATATTCTATTGCCTTTTCGGCTTCTACCCTTGCCGAGCTCCTTCTCAGGCTTCAGGTCTCTGCTCAGTTGTTACCTCCTCAGTGGTAGCGACTTTAACTACCAAATCTATATAAGTTTCCTCTCATATTCTGTGCCTTAAACTAATTAGCCTTCCCTTCAAATTACATTAGAATATTTAAGATTTCTCTGTTTACTTTGTTCTTAAATTTTTATTAAAAAAGATAGTTACCTTGTCCATATCTACCTTGTAATTATCTCATTATTAACCTCAGTGCCTAGTGTCTAGACTATAGAAGACATTTAGAAAACATTAAGAAAGCCTTTATCAAATGAATGAACAATTTACAGAAATTATTTCCTAATGAGAAACATGCTGGCTTGATAATAATTGCATTATTTTTAAGTAAGAGGTTTTTAAGATAGATAAACTAATAAAGAACATATACCAGAAAAAGAAAAATAAATCTGGCTTAAAAAGATGTTTTCTAGGGTTTCTTTAATATGATACATGATCTAACAAAGTTATATGATGAAATTAAAACCGAGTTTTAAAATATTTTTATAGAGAAATATTTTGAAATATAAAATTTCATGGTAACATTATAGAATCCAACTATATGCAGTCAATTTAAGTAATTACAGAAAAAGTGAGTATTAGAAGCCATTATTTTTCTCTAACTTTTAAAAAGTTATTTCTGTATTAAAAATCATATCTCTCTAATAGGCATTCCTTCCCTATTTCCATTCTCTAAACACAAGAAACCTTGGAAATTAAAACAAAGCCTTAGCTGGAACACATTAGTGCGAACTGGCCCAAGTGTTTCTGTTTTTTTTCTGAGCTAGCCTGTGAATTTTGATTTTAAATGTTAAGGTTATGTCTGTTTAAATCTTTATTTTAAAATGCATACCCTAGTTGCTTTCAAGGCAGGTGACCAGGATAACACTCTTTAAGAAATATTATATGAACTCACTTTATTTCATGTCGATATGGCTCATTTAAGGACTTGTTGATTTTGGAGTCCACAAATTAAAGGCCCTACTAATTGAAATAACCACAGAACTGAAATTCATCTTTGTCCTATTAAGTAGGATAGTACTGAATTTCAGAGAAAACTTTCATTTAATCTTAGATGCACATAAAGTTAACTCTGAGAATGTTTAAAAATACTGGCAATTGATGCCAAACCCCAAAGAACCTGATTTTTCGGGAATGGTATTGAGCTCAGATATCAAAAGTTTATGCAAGGTTCCCACATTATTCTGAAGTGCACCCAGGGTTAAAAAATAAGAAGTTATATAAACAAAAGCTGAATATGCATATTAAAAGACAATGTTTAATACTAGGAAAGATTATTGGCTTATATATCAATCATATGGTATGTATTTGAACACAATCTTAATAGCATATTTTCTTTAAGTTACTTATAAATTTATATATGTATCAAACAATTATGTAACAAGGCTCATTAATAGAAAAGGGAATCATATAACTGGACTCAATGATACAAAACAGAAAATGCTTGTATTAGTCCATTTTCTTACTGCTATGAAGAAATATCTGAGACTGCATAATTTGTAAAGAAAAGGAGGTTTAAGGGACTCACAGCTCCACATGACTGGGGAGGCCTCACTGTCACAGCAGAAGGTAAAGGAGGAGCAAAGTCACATCTTGCATGGTGGCAGGCAAGAGAGCATGTGCGGGGGAACTGCCCTTTGTAAAACCATCATAACTCATGAGACTTATTCACTATCATGAGAACAGCACAGGAAAAATTCAACCCCGTGATTCAGTTACTTCCCAATGGGTCCCTCCCACAACACCTGGGGATTATTGGAGCTATAATTCGAGATGAGATTTGGGTGGGGACACAGCCAACCATATCACTGCTTTTCAACTTTCTCCAAGTTACTATGGAGACTTTAAAAACTGGGTGAGTATTATCTTTCATATTTCTTCTAATCTCTCAATCAATTTGAAATCCTTCTTAGTTCCACTAAAATAATTTTATAAAGTGAACTGTCAAAGAAATGCATTACATGATTTCACTTTTTAAAGCAATAAAAATGCACCTTGCTGTTTGCTATTGCATCTGGAAGCTTAGAGTCAGTTTAATAGGCTGGAAATAACAGTTGAGTTGGATTAACATGATTAGACACATGGGGAAGATTGAAAATAAAAAATAATTTTAGGCAGAGTTATACATTCACCTTCAGAGTATTAACTGTGATTCCTATAAAAAACAAAGGGGCATTGAATTTTTTACATGAAAACAGTATAGTCCATATATAATATTTTGAAATGTGTGATGCTAAGTATATTTTGAACCGAAAGTCACATTTATCTTACTTTCTTTTTGTGTTAGCATAAGGATTTCAATCATAATATTGATAGACAGATTGACGTACTCAAGGCTTATTCTGAAGTAGAAAATATCCCTCTTAGAAAGCTGCCAAATTTCTGTTAAACAACAGCCTAACTTATCTTAATGAAACTCTTTCCTTATCAATCTGTGTTCTCTTAGTTAGATGATCCAGAACCCCACTCACATTCTGCATGCATTGTAATGTTTTTATCTCTAATCAAACTTCGATATTTCTTGTCTTCCATTTTCTCTGAGTCTTTCTGGGAGACAGGAGTTAAATTGATGTGCTTGTAAATGATAATGTTAATCCTAACTATTTTCACATAAAAGATAAAATTTCCACATTTTCATATCTAACAACTTGTTTGCTCTTTTCAAGCAACTGTAAATCTGGCATGATGACAGAATTTTACATAGGAAAAACCACAACTCAGTGTTTTCCCAGGAGTAAATTCTGATTTAGGCAGCAAGGCAGAATATAGTAAGGTAAACAATCTCTTGTGCTCTTCTCTTCCACCCAGCTCCAACAATTAGAAATATTTAGAAATGCTGATCAAATATAACCACAGATATAATTCTAAGCTAAAATGAAAGTGAAATTCTAGGTGAAGAGAAACATAAAGCCACAGGGGAAAAACTCCTGAGTATGGGGACAATTTCGATGGCTCATTAACATCCATTCAGGGATAGAAGTTGTGGCCTTAGGGCTACAGAGGACTGGCTTAGTGGCTTAGTTCCTGGGACTAAGTCTCCTGCATAACCAGAGACAGTAAGAGATGATCTCTGTTTAGAGATAGTAAGAGATGATCCCTGTTTATAGCCCTGTTTAATATGTGTGAATGATAAATATCTTAAAATACCCTCTACTATCTCCTTTTTCTGAATCCCCTCATTTAAACAGCCAGTTTCTCGAGTACTGAAATGATGACACAGGTCTTTCCCAGTCCCTGACAGTATATTTATTTTAAGATGAGGTTGTCTTTTGTTATGCTAGGATAACTGTTTAATAAATCTCACATTTTGTGAGTTTTCAAGAAACTAAAAACTGTTGGAGTAGAAGTAGCTATGTTTGTCACTAGGCATGTATTAAAAATTGGACAGACATGCTTTTATATATTGATTTTGTATCACTAAGTTGTCTAAGAGCATAAGCATCTGAAAACACTGGGGTAGAGGGGTAGTAAAACATGGCAAGAAGAGAGGTATACTGAAATGGGTAGCACAGACACCTTGGTTGTTTTTCATGTTCAGTTTGTTACCTTCATAAAACATACCCCTAATTATTTGTGTATTTTAATTAATAAATGTAGAAATACACATATAACCATTTCTTTATTTTTTTCGACCTTATATAACTAGCACATAGCTTTATTTCTGACATAGAAGTATTCAAAAGATTGTTTTCTCAATAAATGATTTAACACACTATATATGTATGTGTATATATGCTCTCTCTATATTATTTCCCTTTATGGCAGTGAAAGAAAGTTACAAGCTATTGTACTGTCAGAGAAACATAAAAAGCAATATATCAAATTATTCTTTCTGTGGATATCATCTTGGCTGAAACTTTTCTCTCACAGGAGTCCAGAAAGTCACAGATTACTGGGTCAGGAGTGAACGCAGCCAGCTGGCAGGGAGCAGTTTAAACATGTTCTTTACTTTGCATATATCTGTGGTATAATGCAGAGGGAAATGGTTGATGTAATAAGGGTCAGGCATGGCTTGGACAGAACCAAAGCTTATGCGGCTTTGAACTGCAGATGTTAAATTCTCAGATCAGGCATGGTGCCACCACAGTGGTTACTGTATTTTTGTCCAAGGAACACACGTTCTCTTTATTCAAATTTTGGCTGTTTGTACACCAAAACAGATCAAAAAGTATAACAGTCATAAGGAATATTTTGCCTTAATTAATTTATCATATTTCAGCACACATTTTAAGAAGTAATGTATCACCACACTTAGATGCTGAAAACAAATCATGCATTATTCAGTATAAGCTTACCAGTCAAAAAAGCAGGATCTGAAAATACATTAAACAATACGGTGTAAGTAAATATTCATTTTATACTGCTTGGTACACTTGTTTTGAATCTACAGGTCACTGTAAACACTGAGGTTCACTAGAATCAAATGCCTCCTGATGATGCAGGCATGCTGTAAACCCTCCACATTTTAATCTATGCTGGATCTTACAGTTTATTCCCTTTCCTTTTGATTTGCCTTCCTCTCCTCACAACCAGTCAACAAATACTTCCAAGCTGCTTTGCTATTAATATTAAAGTAAAATGCAAACTCTTACCAAAAAGATCCTATACAACCAGACGGCAAATACTTCTCTAACATGACTTCTTCCCACTTGTATCTACTGACCATATTCTGACCACATTTTCCTTTTTTTAGACATGTTTCTCTTTCTCGAATATGGCAATTTAAATCACAGCTCTGAGACTCTGTTCCTGCTATCTAGAATACACTTTTTGCAGTAATTCACACAGCTATCTTCCAATTAGTATCCATGTCTCAGTCCAAGTCTCACCTTCTTGATGACATATACCTGATCATTCTTGTTTGCTGCCTTCCAGCCTATATGATACCATCTATCATATTTCCTCAGTTGATGTCCTTTATAAAACTCAACAATATCATGCATTTTCAAATTTTTTTTGTTTCTTTGTTTTTGTACACCTTCCCTCTCTTTAGTTTGTCATTTATTTTAGGGCAGGTACTGATTTTGATACGTTACCTCTATTTCTTTCAACAGTGACTAGCAGATGGAAATATTAAATAAATTTTTAAAAAGAAGCAAATTACACCATAGGAAATATACTGATGTTCTTTTAAATGACATGCCAAGAATTATTCTGGAATATTTCAATGTTTTTATAGCATTTTGAGTTAAATAAATTTAAAACCCAGATATAGCATTCTTAAAGAGTACACAACTAAGGAACGTAAAAACATCATGTAATTATAATGGAGAGAGGTGAGCCATGAATTCTTTAAACTATAGTTTTTGCCTTTTGTGATCTGACCACAGCATTTCTTCCTGGCTTTATGGCTGAGGTTTATGGGCCTCGCACATAAATTCCAGAAGCTTCTTTGGACTCAAACATTCACTGTCCTAAAAAAGACCAGAAACTCTTGAAAGGTACAAGGGAACTGTTATCACAGACTCCTCTCACATATAACTTTCTTTAGCTCTGGACTGGCTTAACACTCCCATTCTTTTATTTTACAATATATGCCGATTTTTCTGTGCCCACAGATTCTGTGCCCACAGATTCAAATTTCACAGAGAAATTTGAATCCTAAAAATGTGTCTTCAATATGTATTTAAATCTTATACTATATTTATTCTATAACTTCTCTTTCAAACCTATGTATTTGTGATTTTTCATAGTGTGTGTGTGTATATATATTTACACTTATACATATATGTATAGGTTTCACTAATTTCAAATTATGCATATGGTATCATTAGGTAAATAAACAAAAATAAATTTCTGCATTTATTTTCCCACTGGAAGACATTAAATTACTTTCAAATTTTTTTTTATTTCAAACATTGCTATAATTGATATTCTTATGCTGTAATCCAGACATACATGAAAAAGTGCAAATACTACTTTTTAAAATTTTGTTCTCAAAAGTGATTGTATCAATTTAGAGTGTATGTGCACATCTGTTCCCTAGTTCTAGCATCAAACATTTTCATTTTCTAAGTTTGTTTACCACGTTTACCAAACTTGTCAATTGTTTTTTATTAATATTTTCCATATATTCTGTTTAAGTTGAACATGTTTTTTTCTTTTTACCTTCCACTTAAGAATGGAATTACTGAACTATGACTGTGGCCAGCTTCACTAGACACAGCAAATAATTTGTAAAAGTAATTTATCTAGTACCAGTGCACTGACTTTATAGATTAATTGAAGTAGAATTGATATCTTTATAAAATTTAACAACCATCAACATGAATTTACAGATTTCATATTTACTCGGGTCTTGTTTACTACTCCTTCAATACTGTTATGTTATTTATAAATTTTGAAATTATTTAATATTTTTCTCGGTAAATATCACATATTTTATAATTCCTTTTATTGTTCTCTTGGGTTTAGCAATAACATTTTTAATTTGGTCCTTGCTGCTGTATTTTAATTTCTTTGAATTTTGTTTGATTCTTTTTGAATTTTAGTAATTTAGAATGAAAAAATTGCTTTTCTTTCTTTTAGAAATAAATATAAAATATTTAAAGACATTAGGGTTTTATTAGAGTTTAATTCATAACTTTAACTTATTTCTGAGAAATATAAGAAAGTAGAAATACTTTAATTTACATATCCCCTTTTATCTTCTCTATCATGACTGTCTACTTTAACTGTTTAATAAAGTATAGTGTACATGTAAAAAAGAGCACGTCACATAGATTTGCAGATTGAGGACGGTATTCAAACTGGATACATGTATAACTAACACTATCCACAAACCAGAATTCCCTTTCTTGCTCTTACAAAAATGGTAGTAGAAATAGTCACAGAGAAGACCAGAAACATAAACAGGATGCCACAGAAAGATTTAAGTGACAGTTTAAGGAGTTTGTTATTTAATCAGTAATTATTGAGACACTTTTAGAGTTTTCTAATTTAATCATCACTTTTGATCTGAGAGTGAGGCAAGGAGGCTGACAATTCAGAAGCTGTGTTGGAGTGTATGAGAGAGGTGTGTTTTAAGGGCCCAAACTGAGGTCATAGAGCAAATTACAAGAGGAAGCATCCAGCAAAGATATTACAGTGCTGGAATTTATAGGGTTCCACAATTGATATAACGTTAGTGTAAATGAGAGGGCACATGGGTGAGGAAGATGAGCTAGAAAAATCATGATTACAATAAAAAACTGTGGAATCAAGACAATAAGGTGGGCTGAAAATTTAGGATGCAGGTGTTATATTCATGTGCAGGTAACCAGCTTTCAAATAGAAATACATCTGGGATTCAGAAATAAGGTAGGTTGCTAGGTACATAATTAATAAATGTGTTATAAAAAGCATAGTAGAAGCTATGTGTATGAATGTGGTCACTCAAGTAGAAGGTGCAGAAAAAAAACAGAATAAAGGAATGTTATGAAATTCACAAGTCATACAAAAAGAGTATGATGAGGAGCCTGTGGATGAGTATATGGAAGCATAAGTGGATTATCAGTGAGATAGCCCAGATGAAAAGGAAAAGAAGAATTTCCACGAGGCAATTGTGTCCACAGTATGAGAAACTACAGAGTATTTCAGAAAAAAATAAGTGAGAAAATAAGTCATTTAATTTGGTGTCATAAGTTAGACTTCTTTTTTCCCTGCCTTTTCTATAAATAAATTGTGTTTGATCACTTTCCTTGTCACAGCCCAGAAACAGAGTCAGCCTTTAGTTATAGTTTACTTCCCTCATGTCAACACTGTAAAATGTTTTATAAATTCTATATTATAAAAACAAATTAATTATTTTGTTAGGCAACATTTACTTAATTTTCAATGTAGAACAATTATTTTTCTGTGCACTAGTTATAATGATAAAAAGACAATTCTCTCACTTTATACTTAAATTGTTATTACTATTATTATTATTATTCTGAATTTCGAGATGGAATCTTGCTCTGCTACCCAGGCTGGAATGCAGTGGCACGATCTCGGCTCACTGCAACCTCTGCCTTCCGGGTTCAAGTGATTCTTCTACGTCACCCTCCCAAGTAGCTCAAACTCCTGACCTAAGGTGATCCACCCGCCTGGGCTTTTACACTTAAATTGTATGTGGAAAGACACAAAATTACATATAAATATTTAGGGAAAGGCTGAGCACACTGACTCATGCCTGTAATCCCAGCACTTTGGGAAGCTGAGATGGGCGGATCACTTGATGTCAGGATTTTGAGATCAGCCTGGCTACCACGGCGAAACCCCATCTCCACTAAAAATACAAAAATTAACTGGGTGTGGTGGTGGCCACCTGTAGACCCAGCTACTCGGGAGGCTGAAGCAGGAGAATTATTTGAACCTGGGAAGTGGAGGTTGCAGTGAGCTGGGATCACGCCACTGCACTTCAGCCTGGGCAACAGAGTGAGACCCTGTCATAAATAAATAAATAAACAAATAAATATTCAGATATAATTTTAGATAACCTTAAGTGCTGTAAAGGAAATAAAGTTGTAAAAAGACTAGAATGTGGTAGATTTAATTGATGTACTTTTTCTTCTTTCTCTGAAACCATCTCTTTCAGAATATATGATTAAAAGTATTTTTATTTTCCATGAAGAGGTGCTGTATATTTTTCCTTCGATTGTTCCTGAATTTGGCCACTAAACTTTTGTTGGCAAGTAAGATATAATCAGAGTAATGTAAGCAAACACTTTTAAATGTGCTTATGCTTAGATTTGTCTATACCACTTCTGCATCATCATAAAAAGACATGCCTGAGGAATAAAGTTGGAGGATACATACTACCCAATTTCAAATGATACTATGAATCTACCATAGATAAGTTAGCATGATATTGGTGAAGGTATAGACACATATATCAGTGGAGCAAAATAGCCCAGAAATATATCCACAGACATACACCCAGCTGAACTTTGATAAAGAAGCAAAGACAATTCAAGGAAGAAAGAATAATCTTTTCAACAAATGATGTTCGAACAATTGGCCATTCATAGTCAAAAAATTGAACCTAGAAACAGACTTTACAGCTTTTGCACAGATTGACTCAAAATAGACCACAGACCTAAGTAGCAAATGCAAAACTACAAAATATGAAAAAAAAACCGAAAGAGAAACTGTGTGGCCTTGTATTTGATAATGGGTTTTTAGATACAACACTAAAACATCATCCATGAAAGAAAAACTTAAGTTAGACTTAATTTTCATAGCTGGCAAATATCAAAGTATGCCCTCAGCCTACAGACAAAATGAACTCCCTGTAGCTAACTGAGGTGATCAAAATTAAAAAAGAAACTGGTGGCCACAGCTGGGTGAGAGACTGATCATGTACTCATGTTGTAGAAATACCATAGGACCTTTTTTTCTACAATCTGGCCAAACCAGTCTTTGTTGTGCAAGCCAAATTAAGCTGTGACCAAAAGCCGCCCCATCACGCACTCTTTCAAACACAGATATTGAAAGAAACATCTTACAGAGACTTCTGGTTTCACTGTTGGTAACCAACCACTCAGAACTTAGTTAACCCAGCCAATCGGAGTTCAGCTAATGAGAACTCGTCTGTGCAGACCAGTTAGAACTAAGCAAGTTTCAATCTTTCATTGGCATAAAGGAGAACTCCCGCATGGGGAGTATATGGGAACTATGTTTGAATCTCACATTTTCCATTGTACAGCTGAGATTCAACCCTCCTAAAAACTCTTTATATAAAATAAACGTTCCTCTTTCCTCTATTTATAAAAATGCTATTTCCTGAGATGCTGATTTTCTTTATTCTTGAGACAGAGTCTTGCTTTGTCACCCAGGCTGGAGTGCGGTGGCCCCATCTCGGTTCACTGCAACCTCCACCTCCCAGGCTCAAGCAATTCTCTTGCCTCAGCCTCCAGAGTAGGTAGGAATACAGGCAAGCACCACCATGCCCAGATTATTTTTGTATTTTTGGCAGAGATGGGGTTTCACCATGTTGGCCAGGCTGGTCTCGAACTCCTGGCCTCAAGTGATCCATCCACCTGCCTTGGCCTCCCAAAGTGCTGGGATTATAGCTGTGAGCCACCATGCCCAGCCCCCTCAGATGCTGATTATTTCTTCTGTGTATTCTTGTTTTATATTTTGGGAGACAGCAGAGAGGAGTTGGTGGGAGATGTACTTTGGAAGGAGAAAGCTGGCAGTTAAATATTGACTTTTCTTGCTTACTCGGGTATATATAATTTGGGCAACTCATTAACCTCTCTATAACTCTAAATCCCACTTGTGTAAAATGAGGACAGTGAATTTTTATGAAAATTAAATTAGGAAGCACTTGTGAAACACTTAGTAACTGATACTTAGTAAACATGTAAATATTTGAAAAGTGAAAACAAATATGACTTCTAGTTTTCTTTACTTACTGTTAACATATCACAAAAAAATCAAGGTAAGCAATGAGGAATGCTTGTGCCCTGACAGAAATAATAGATTTCAATAGGAATAGCAAATGTGTCCTTAAAGCAATGAAGCCAACAGCTGCCAGATTTTCATTATTTAAATTGTTCAGTGCCTCAGTGAACTTGGTGTAAATTAGCTAAGAGATCTTGGGACTGGAATATTACAAAAAGATTAAGTCAAGGTGATTTCTGGAATTTAGATAATGCCCACATTGTGATAGATTTGATCCTATTGCTAAAAGAATCATCTACTTGCATTAATTCTTGCATTAAAGTCATGAAAACACATATTAAGAGAACAAAATTTGAAGATGTTAAACCAACAGAAGACTTATGAAGGCCAAGGGATTTTATTAATTAGAGTTGTTATTTTATATGTTTTCAGTCAAATAAGTAAATTAGAGTTGTTATTTTATTTGTTTTCAGTCAAATAAGTGAACTAAAAATGCAAAATCCTGATGAATTTATAGGATGTTCATAGATTATATCATAAAGCCTACCTGGTTTTATAAATATAATTTCAAAAACAAGACCTTAAATTCATAAATAAATAGGTCTAGAAAAAACACAAACATGAGGTACGACCATGAGGGTGAGGGCACAAAGATGACAGTAGAGGAGAGCAGAAGGTTGCACTGATAACAAGGTCATATTATTGAAAATATATTTGTTGGCTGAGCAATAATTTTAATTGCAACCTTCCTTGCAGCCAAGTCCAAAGTAAAACATACCCTGCTCTACAACTCTTATTACCAAAGAATAGAAAGGATACCTAAGACATAAGATGAGTACAACTATTTCAAGAAATAAATTCTAAAATAAAATTCTCTCAAACCAAGATCATAATTCAATTCAAGAAAATCAATCCTTCTAGGGGTCAATATAATGTAGTCCAAACTCATGGTTCTTTTTAGACCAAAGATAAAGTTATCATATTTTAACAGTTCTACTCCGAAGTCACACACAGTAGGTTGAACGAGCACAAGCTTTCCTCATACCTCAATGAGAGCAATCTATTTCATTCTTTCTTATCCAGACTAGAGAATGGGAAAACATACAAGTAAAAGGAATTTCTATAGTTTTTGATATGAGGGACTGGAACATTTTCCTCACCATTGTATCTTAAACAGCTAGCAGTGTCTGACACATAATAGATATTTAATAAATATTTTCATAAAAATAAACCAATGATAAACGTGACTAAAAATTCAATGTTGATTAATATTGGGCTAAACTGAGAGAGGAAGCACAGACTTTGAATAATACCTAAATTCTCCACTAATTCATCTTATAATTAAACAGTGAGAGATTGAGGCGAGTGGTGTGAAGCGATAAAAGATAAATATCAGGATACTCATTGTTCACCACGATTCCTTATGGCATCTCTCCTGCTTGGAGAGACAACTGGGCACTGTGGCAGGTGAGATCCAGAAGATAAAGTATATCTTACTCTCCAAACATGTAGTTGTAAACAGATCCAGATAATCTTGGTTTACTACAAGCATACTGGCCTCTAAGTTATAATAAGGGAGCATAAGATTTTCCCAAGATTAGATAATTTTGGTGACACATTTATCAGGAGTTTAAGTCAGTAATAGGCTGATTAAAAGACCTTAAGGGGCATAGCAGTAAGGCCAGGACTTGCAACAGGTTTGTAGTTGGCAAAACAGAAGCAAGATCGCATAATTCTAGGAGAAACCTCCATATGCAAAAGTTGTTATTTTGACTGTTAATAATACATCACTCCTCATACAGCTTGGGACTAATAACAATGCACACATGTGTTTTAACCTAATAATTAGAATTAGGAAAACCATGTTTTGTGATCTCCAAACTAGTTTGCAATCACCTTAGAAGTAACAAGATGGGTTTGCGGAAGAAAATGTTAGATTATCTCCTTTTTGTTCTCTTTCTCCTGTTCCTCTTCCTTTTCTTTCATCACTCCCTTCCTTCTCTCTCTCTCTTTTCTTTCTTTCTTTTTTCTTTCTTTCTTTCTGTGTTTCTCTTTCTTTCTCTCTCTCTCTCAGTGTCTGTGTGTGTGTGTGTATATATATGTATGTGTGTGCAATTTATTTTTCTTTACTATTGGGGGACATATAATGTAATATTATAGCAATAACCACAATAAAATACAAATAATACCCCCCAGTATTTGAATACTTACAATATTATAAGAACTTGATACATATTAAATAATTCCATCCTCACAACAGCCATATGAAGTGGATGCTATTACCCACCTCTTCATTTAATATTAACAGTGATACATATTGATAAAATAACTTACCTAAATTCACAAAGCTAGAAAGTGGCTGAAGCTTGATTTAAATCAAGGCAATCTAACTCCAGAGTTGGTGCCTTTGATCACTACAGGATATAGGTACATAGTTAATAATTTAAAATCTATGAACATATTTGGGGATGTATGCTTAACATTTAATAGAATGAGTGATTAAACTGTTGAAAACCATTCGGACTATTAGAGGGATTTAATGTATAAGACTACTCATCTCAGGAAGCTAATGAAGCAAAGAAATAGTGTTATTTCGTTGTTGAAAGAACAAAGCTAGGATTGAGGTGCTATCATATATGACTCAGCTTTTGTATAAGCATTTACTAAGCACATGCATTCTGGTATATATGCTATGATTAATACTTGATATACATAACACACATGCACAGATCATCTCTACTTACCACTTTATTATTTTTTAAGGAGATGAAAGTAATTTTTCTTACACACACACACACACACATTAAAATCAAAATTTACTTTAACCCCCAGATTTCTTGATGCAACACCTGGTCCTGTCAATGGTAATGTCTTGTGATTAAGATTTAGAGAACTGATCTTGAATAACATATGTGTAAGGAGCCAATTTAGTTTTAAAATTTTGCAGATACAGCTCAGCATAACATCTGGTTAATGTGCTATTCAAAACGAATTTTATTTTAATAGATTAACATTATATAGGTCTCCTATGGGAAAAACAATAGACAAATTTCATTTTTCTCAAATGTAATAATTGTATGTAATACAGATTTTTGTAGACGAAATCACTGTTATTAAAGTAGTGTTTGTATATATGTGCTACTTTTATGGACACATACTGAATATCTAAAATAATGAATATTTTCTTACTATACTTTTTATTAATTGTTTTTCTTCAAGAGACCATTTTTGTTGTTGTTGTTGTTATGTGTTTGGGGATGAGGAGATTTGCTCTACCTCCTTTTTCAATAACCGACTTTAGGTGAGACTGACCATAGCCTTCTATACAGCAGTTGTCCGGCTTAGTAATTTTTAAATTAGTTGATCTCATCTTCTCTGAGAATTCTCCAATTTTCTCGGTACTTACTTTGTGGTTGTGGTTGAGTAATCTGAAATAACTTGTGTCTGGTTAATTGGGGAAAATAAAGATAATTCTTATGTCTCTCTCACATTTTTTTAACTGGATGGTGGGAGTTTATGGATAGATTTAAGATGGATAGATAATATAATATAATATAATATACTAATAATATAATATAATATAATATAATATAATATAATATACATATAAAGATGGGTGAATTTCTCTCTGGAAAAGATCTCTGATTTTTATGATGTTCTCACAAGAATTGAAGATTAGGAAGAAAAATAAGAATCTTAATGTATTATTTTAGGCCTACATTAAATTTCTCAGAAGTCGTTTTGGTAGTGATTAATATTCTCAAAGTCAGAACTAAGGTGTTACAGAATCTAAAACACTCATTGGGTGACCTCAGTCAACTAATTTGTAAAATAGGTACTTTGAATTAGATTAAGGCTTAAGGATCCTTCTAGTGTGAGTATTTGGATTTATTTCAAAGTAACAAATATTTCCATCTCATTTGCAGAAACAGATAAAATATTCTAATATTTAGATTTATCAAACAATTGTCTATTTTTACTTTTTACAGTAATATATGTCAACAATTTAAACACTAATACCTATTTAAAGATGGTTTATGGCACAGTAGTGTGCAATTCCATTTGTTTTTTTTTTAATTTATTATTATTATACTTTAAGTTTTAGGGTACATGTGCACAATGTGCAGGTTAGTTACATATGTATACATGTGCCATGCTGGTGCGCTGCACCCACTAACTCACCATCTAGCTTTAGGTATACCTCCAAATGCTATCCCTCCCCCCTCCCCCCACCCCACAACAATCACGAGACTGTGATGTTCCCCTTCCTTTCTCCATGTGTTCTCACTGTTCAATTCCCATCTATGAGTGAGAATATGTGGTGTTTGGTTTTTTGTTCTTGAGATAGTTTACCGAGAATGATGATTTCCAATTTCATCCATGTCCCTACAAAGGACGTGAACTCATCATTTTTTATGGCTGCATAGTATTCCATGGTGTATATGTGCCACATTTTCTTAATCCAGTCTATCATTGTTGGACATTTGGGTTGGTTCCAAGTCTTTGCTATTGTGAATAATGCCGCAATAAACATATGTGTGCATGTGTCTTTATAGCAGCATGATTTATAGTCCTTTGGGTATATACACAGTAATGGGATGGCTGGGTCAAATGGTATTTCTAGTTCTAGATCCCTGAGGAATTGCCACACTGACTTCCACAATGGTTGAACTAGTTTACACTCCCACCAACAGTGTAAAACTGTTCCTATTTCTCCACATCCTCTCCAGCACCTGTTGTTTCCTGAATTTTTAATGATTGCCATTCTAACTGGTGTAAGATGGTATCTCATTGTGGTTTTGATTTGCATTTCTCTGATGGCCAGTGATGATGAGCATTTTTTCCTGTGTTTTTTGGCTGCATAAATGTCTTCTTTTGAGAAGTGTCTGTTCATGTCCTTCACCCACTTTTTGATGGGGTTGTTTGTTTTTTTCTTGTAAATTTGTTAGAGTTCATTGGAGATTCTGGATATTAGCCCTTTGTCAGATGAGTAGGTTGTGAAAATTTTCTCCCATTTTGTAGGTTGCCTGTTCACTCTGATGGTAGTTTGTTTTGCTGTGCAGAAGCTCTTTAGTTTACTTAGATCCCATTTGTCAATTTTGGCTTTTGTTGCCATTGCTTTTGGTGTTTTAGACATGAAGTCCTTGCCCATGCCTATGTCCTGAATGGTAATGCCTAGGTTTTCTTCTAGGGTTTTTATGGTTTTAGGTCTAACATTTAAGTCTTTAATCCATCTTGAATTGATTTTTGTATAAGGTGTAAGGAAAGGATCCAGTTTCAGCTTTCTACATATGGCTAGCCCGTTTTCCCAGCACCATTTATTTAAATAGGGAATTCTTTCCCCATTGCTTGTTTTTCTCAGATTTGTCAAAGATCAGATAGTTGTAGATATGCGGCGTTATTTCTGAGGGCTCTGTTCTGTTCCATTGATCTATATCTCTGTTTTGGTACCAGTACCACACTGTTTTGGTTACTGTAGCCTTGTAGTATAGTTTGAAGTCAGGTAGTGTGATGCGTCCAGCTTTGTTCTTTTGGCTGAGAATTGACTTGGCGATGCGGGCTCTTTTTTGGTTCCATGTGCACTTTAAAGTAGTTTTTTCCAATTCTGTGAAGAAAGTCATTGGTAGCTTGATGGGGATGGCATTGAATCTATAAATTACCTTGGGCAGTATGGCCATTTTCATGATATTGATTCTTCCTACCCATGAGCATGGAATGTTCTTCCATTTGTTTGTATCCTCTTTTATTTCATTGAGCAGTGGTTTGTAGTTCTCCTTGAAGAGGTCCTTCACGTCCCTTGTAAGTTGGATTCCTAGGTATTTTATTCTCTTTGAAGCAATTATGAATGCGAGTTCACTCATGATTTGGCTCTCTGTTTCTCTGTTTTTGTTGTATAAGAATGCTTGTGATTTTTGTATATTGATTTTGTATCCTGAGACTTTGCTGAAGTTGCTTATCAGCTAAAGGAGATTTTGGGCTGTGACAATGGGGTTTTCTACATATACAATCATGTCGTCTGCAAACAGGGACAATTTGACTTCCTCTTTTCCTAATTGAATACCCTTTATTTCCTTCTCCTGCCTAATTGCCCTGGCCAGAACTTCCAACACTATGTTGAATAGGAGTGGTGAGAGAGGGCATCCCTGTCTTGTGCCAGTTTTCAAAGGGAATGCTTCCAGTTTTTGCCCATTCAGTATGATATTGGCTGTGGGTTTGTCATAGATAGCTCTTACTATTTTGAAATACGTCCCATCAATACCTAATTTATTGAGAGTTTTTAGCATGAAGGGTTGTTGAATTTTGTCAAAGGCTTTTTCTGCATCTATTGAGATAATCATGTGGTTTTTGTCTTTGGTTCTGTTTATATGCTGGATTACATTTATTGATTTGCATATATTGAACCAGCCTTGCATCCCAGGGATGAAGCCCACTTGATCATGATGGATAAACTTTTTGATGTGCTGCTGGATTCGGTTGGCCAGTATTTTATTGAGGATTTTTGCATCAATGTTCATCAAGGATATTGTTCTAAAATTCTCTTTTTTGGTTGTGTCTCTGCCCGGCTTTGGTATCAGGATGATGCTGGCCTCATAAAATGAGTCAGGGAGGATTCCCTCTTCTTCTGTTGTTTGGAATAGTTTCAGAAGGAATGGTACCAATTCCTCCTTGTACCTCTGGTAGAATTTGGCGGTGAATCCATCTGGTCCTGGACTCTTTTGTTTGGTAAGCTATTGATTATTGCCACAATTTCAGCTCCTGTTATTGGTCTATTCAGAGATTCAACTTCTTCCTGGTTTAGTCTTGGGAGAGTGTATGTGTCGAGGAATTTATCCATTTCTTCTAGATTTTCTAGTTTATTTGTGTAGAGGTGTTTGTAGTAGTCTCTGATGGTAGTTGGTATTTCTGTGGGATCAGTGGTGATATCCCCTTTATCATTTTTTATTGCGTCTATTTGATTCTTCTCTCTTTTTTTCTTTATTAGTCTTGCTAGCAGTCTATCAATTTTGTTGATTCTTTCAAAAAAACAGCTCCTAGATTCATGAATTTTTTGAAGGGTTTTTTGTGTTCTATTTCCTTCAGTTCTGCTCTGATTTTAGTTATTTCTTGCCTTCTGCTAGCTTTTGAATGTGTTTGCTCTTGCTTTTCTAGTTCTTTTAATTGTGATGTCAGGGTGTCAATTTTGGATCTTTCCTGCTTTCTCTTGTGGGCATTTAGTGCTATAAATTTCCCTCTACACACTGCTTTGAATGTGTCCCAGAGTTTCTGGTATGTTGTGTCTTTGTTCTCGTTGGTTTCAAAGAACATCTTTATTTCTGCCTTCATTTCATTATGTACCCAGTAGTCATTCAGGAGCAGGTTGTTCAGTTTCCATGTAGTTGAG
Organism: Homo sapiens; assembly: GCF_000001405.40. Lineage (NCBI taxonomy): Eukaryota > Metazoa > Chordata > Mammalia > Primates > Hominidae > Homo > Homo sapiens. The sequence continues at coordinate 25,427,854 of NC_000011.10, read as the reverse complement.
CGGTTTTGCATGAGATTCTTAATCCTGAGTTCTAGTTTGATTGCACTGTGGTCTGAGAGATAGTTTGTTATAATTTGTGTTCTTTTACATTTGCTGAGGAGAGCTTTACTTCCAAGTATGTGGTCAATTTTGGAATAGGTGTGGTGTGGTGCTGAAAAAAATGTATATTCTGTTGATTTGGGGTGGAGAGTTCTGTAGATGTCTATTAGGTCCGCTTGGTGCAGAGCTGAGTTCAATTCCTGGGTATCCTTGTTGACTTTCTGTCTCGTTGATCTGTCTAATGTTGACAGTGGGGTGTTAAAGTCTCCCATTATTAATGTGTTGGAGTCTAAGTCTCTTTGTAGGTCAATCAGGACTTGCTTTATGAATCTGGGTGCTCCTGTATTGGGTGCATATATATTTAGGATAGTTAGCTCTTCTTGTTGAATTGATCCCTTTACCATTAAGTAATGGCCTTCTTTGTCTCTTTTGATCTTTGTTGGTTTAAAGTCTGTTTTATCAGAGACTAGGATTGCAACCCCTGCCTTTCTTTGTTTTCCATTTGCTTGGTAGATCTTCCTCCATCCTTTTATTTTGAGCCTATGTGTGTCTCTGCACATGAGATGGGTTTCCTGAATACAGCACACTGATGGGTCCTGACTCTTTATCCAATTTGCCAGTTTGTGTCTTTTAATTGGAGCATTTAGTCCATTTACTTTAAAGTTAATATTGTTATGTGTGAATTTGATCCTGTCATTATGATGTTAGCTGGTTATATTGCTCGTTAGTTGATGCAGTTTCTTCCTAGTCTCGATGGTCTTTACATTTTGGCATGATTTTGCAGCGGCTGGTACCCGTTGTTCCTTTCCATGTTTATTGCTTCCTTCAGGAGCTCTTTTAGGACAGGCCTGGTGGTGACAAAATCTCTCAGCATTTGCTTGTCTGTAAAGGATTTTATTTCTCCTTCACTTATGAAGCTTAGTTTGGCTGGATATGAAATTCTGGGTTGAAAATTCTTTTCTTTAAGAATGTTGAATATTGGCCCCCACTCTCTTCTGGCTTGTAGAGTTTCTGCCGAGAGATCTGCTGTTAGTCTGATGGGCTTCCCTTTGAGGGTAACCCGACCTTTATCTCTGGCTGCCCTTAACATTTTCTCCTTCATTTCAACTTTGGTGAATCTGACAATTATGTATCTTGGAGTTGCTCTTCTCGAGGAGTATCTTTGTGGTGTTCTCTGTATTTCCTGAATCTGAATGTTGGCCTGCCTTGCTAGATTGGGGAATTTCTCCTGGATAATAGCCTGCAGAGTGTTTTCCAACTTGGTTCCATTCTCCCCATCACTTTCAGGTACAGCAATCAGACGCAGATTTGGTCTTTTCACATAGTCCCATATTTCTTGGAGGCTTTGCTCATTTCTTTTTATTCTTTTTTCTCTAAACTTCCCTTCTCGCTTCATTTCATTCATTTCATGTTCCGTCACTGATACCCTTTCTTCAAGTTGATCGCATCGGCTCCTGAGGCTTCTGCATTCTTCACGTAGTTCTCGAGCCTTGCTTTTCAGCTCCATCAGCTCCTTTAAGCACTTCTCCGTATTGGTTATTCTAGTTATACATTCTTCTAAATTTTTTTCAAAGTTTTCAACTTCTTTGCCTTTGGTTTGAATGTCCTCCCGTAGCTCAGAGTAATTTGATCATCTGAAGCCTTCTTCTCTCAGCTCGTCAAAGTCATTCTCCATCCAGCTTTGTTCCATTGCTGGTGAGGAACTGCGTTCCTTTGGAGGAGGAGAGGCGCTCTGCTTTTTAGAGTTTCCAGTTTTTCTGCTCTGTTTTTTCCCCATCTTTGTGGTTTTATCTACTTTTGGTCTTTGAAGATGGTGATGTACAGATGGGTTTTTGGTGTGGATGTCCTTTCTGTTTGTTAGTTTTCCTTCTAACATACAGGACCCTCAGCTGCAGGTCTGTTGGAGTACCTGGCCCTGTGAGGTGTCAGTCTGCCCCTGCTGGGGGGTGCCTCCTAGTTAGGCTGCTCCGGGGTCAGGGGTCAGGGACCCACCTGAGGAGGCAGTCTGCCCGTTCTCAGATCTCCAGCTGCGTGCTGGGAGAACCACTGCTCTCTTCAAAGCTGGCAGACAGGGACATTTAAGTCTGCAGAGGTTACTGCTGTCTTTTTGTTTGTCTGTGCCCTGCCCCCAGAGGTGGAGCCTATAGACTCAGGCAGGCCTCCTTGAGCTGTGGTGGGCTCCACCCAGTTCGAGCTTCCAGGCTGCTTTGTTTACCTAAGCAAGCCTGTGCAATGAAGGGTGCCCCTCCCCCAGCCTCGCTGCCGCCTTGCAGTTTGATCTCAGACTGCTGTGCTAGCAATCAGTGAGACTCCATGGGCATAGGACCCTCTGAGCCAGGTGCGGATATAATCTCCTGGTGCGCCATTTTTTAAGCCCGTCGGAAAAGCGCAATATTCGGGTGGGAGTGACCCGATTTTCCAGGTGCCCTCTGTCACCCCTTTCTTTGACTAGGAAAGGGAACTCCCTTACCCCTTGCGCTTCCCGAGTGAGGCAGTGCCTCGCCCTGCTTTGGCTCGCGCACGGTGCGCGCACCCACTGACCTGCGCCCACTATCTGGCACTCCCTAGTGAGATGAACCCGGTACTTCAGATGGAAATGCAGAAATCATCCATCTTCTGCATCGCTCACGCTGGGAGCTGTAGACCAGAGCTGTTCCTATTCGGCCATCTTGGCTCCTCCCCCCATTCTAGTAATCGCAATTCCGTTTGTTAACAGTGTTATGATTAATATCCAGATGACTTGTAGATATTTTCAATAAATTATTCAGCATATATATATTCAGCATATATAAGATAAATATATACACACATACATATGTAATATGTTTATGTATGTGTATATGAAAAATAACAGTCCTAATATATTTATAATTACAAATTATAAAATAGGTACTTTATAAATCTTAGTACCTATGACTTTTTTCCCAAAATTGATATTCATACTGTAGTCTTAGGGTTTGCTTTCATCCAGATGTTTTTGAATACCTGAAGGAGTTCACTCACCCATTTTGTAAGTTGTTGGAGCATGAAAGTATTATTTCTTATAATTATCAGATCTTCTTGATGTACTTTCTTTGTGGGCTTAGATATTCTGGAGAAGCTGTGAATATGAGTCAACAAACATGGCAAGTATTTTGTGCCACCTCCTCAAAATTTTGTGTAGGTTGCACAGCATAGTGCCAAATAAATAAAACTTGCAGCAGAAAGCTGATGCTTTAATTTTCATTTTTGCATGAAGTAAATGTTTTAGAACACTTTTATGCCCTTCATTTATTGGGTAATAATCTCCTAAAATATAAAGAGCAACTTAGGTGCTTAAAAGTTTGAAATTATAGTACAAGTTCAAAGGCCAAAAACTCATAGGCAGGAGCTGATGTTACATTCTTTTAATATTATTATTGATTTTAATTGACATAACAATTGTATGTATTTGTGGGGTACACAGAACGTTTTCATACATGCAATGTATAAGGTTCAGATCAGAGTAATTAGCATATCAATCATCTCAAACATTTATCATTTATTTGCTGAGGACATTCAATACCCTCTCTTCTCACTATTTGAAAATATATAGTATGGTATATACAAGCACCACAGAACACTGGGATTTTCCTCTCGTTTAGCTGTAATTTTGTATTCTTTAACAAATATCTCCCTATCCTCCCATTCCCCCACTTCCCAGCCTCTAGTAATCTCTGGTCTCATGTTTACACAATAAGATCAACTCTTTTAGCTTACACATGTGAGTGAGAACATGTTGTTTTTAACTTTCTGTTTCTGGCTTATTTCGCTTAACGTAATGTCTTCCAGGATAACTCATGCTCCTGTGAATGACAAGATTTTATTATTTTTGTGGTTGAGCAGCATTCCATTGTGCATACATAACACATTTTCTTTATTCATTCTTCTGCTGTTGGATACATAGTTTGATTCCATCTATTGGCTATGGTGAATAGTGTTGCAATAAACATGGGGGGTTCTATATTTGGGTGTTTGTCCCCCTAAAACTCGTGTTCAAATTTTATCTCAAGGCTTGAGGTAGGGCCTAATGGGAAGCATTTTGGGGAAGCATAATCTATTCCTTTATGAATACATTAACGCCCTCCCTGGTGACGTTGGGATGGGATAAGTGAGTTCTTGCTCTATTAGATCCTGTGAGAGCTGGTTGTTAAAAAGGGCCTCCCTCCCCCAACCGCACTATTGCTTCCTCTCTCTCCGTGGGATCTCTGCACTTTCTGGCTCTCCTTTCCTTTCTGCCATGAGTGGAAGCAGTCTGAATCCCTCACCAGAAGCAGATGCTTCCTGGCTTATTTCACCTGCAATGCTTCTTATACTACAGCCAGTAGAACCGTCAGCTAAATCAACCTCTTTTATTTACAAATTACTCAGCCTCACATATTTCTTAACAGCAATACTAAATGAACTAAGAAAGAGGTGCAGATATCTCTTTGATTTTCTTTCCTTTGGATAAATACCCAGTAATGGGATTGCTGGATCGTATGACAAACACATAACGAATATTATCCTGAAGGAGGACAAGCTGAAAAGTTTTCCTGTAAGAACTAAAACAGGACAAGGATGTCCATTCCCACATTCTAGAAGTCTGTGAAAGAGCCATCAGGCAAGAGAAAGAAACTGGAAAGGAGGAAGTAAAATTGTCCCTGTTTGACATGATTTTATTATAATATATACAGAAAAAAACAAAAGACTCTACCAAAAAACTCAGAACTGATAAATGGATTCAGTAAAATTGCAGAATACAAATTTGACATACAAAAATTAGAAGTGTTTCAATACATGAATAACAAACTAGCTGAAAAATATCAAGTAAGCAATCCCACTTACAGTACCTACAAAAAAAAAAATACATATACCCAAAGATATGAAAGATCTTACAAGGAAAACTATAAAGCACTAATGAAAATATTTTAAGCTATGGTCTTGAAGCAGAATTTCTTCTCTGGTGAAACCTTAGTTTTGCACTGTTTTTTTTTTGTTTTTTTTTTTTAACTAATGGGATTTAGTCACACATACGATTAAGAATAATCTTTACTTGAAGTATACATATATGAAAATACCATGTTGTATACTATAACCATTTACATTTTAATTTATCAATTACAAATATAAAAATGAATAAAAAGATCAAATTATTATAGATATTAACCATATAAACAAAATATCTTTGCCAACAACTAGAATAGTGTTTGGTTGAATAACTGGTACTATCATCTAGCTAAATTACACATGAAAATAACAATCGCACTTGGATTAAGTTTATAGAAGCTTAACAGTAAAGAAAATAAAATATGTAGACAGGAAAAAATAATTTATAGCTCATATCCATGATATACTTATTTAAATTAGAAAGTTCCCAGAAGGAAAGTCATTTTCAAAGTTCACACATCTGTATGATCCTTTTGTTCAATATCTCCTTCCCTGTCTTGGTAATTATATTAGGACTTTCCAACAACCCCTGTGGTACCCTTGGCTATAGAGTCATTTATAGTTCTAATGAGTACCTGGATCCTTCACCATATAACCAAAAGTTATAAATGAGCCTGAAAATGTCTGAGGAGTCTATTCACATGGAACATTATTCATAAAACAGAACAAACGAGCATTGGCATCATAAAAGATAGACATCAGAAACAGTTCACAATCTTTGTTCAGAAAAAAAAAAACTTCTCTAAGAATAACTTATTTCTCTTTGGTATAAATTTTACTGACTTTATAAGAGCAATAACAATTATGTTATCTTAGAAAAATTATCTGAAATTAGAAATAAAGCAAGTGTTTACTGGTCCTGAGTGCAGTGCTGAGCTCATTTTTTTAATTGACTGGTCTATTTTACAACTTTAAAGTGGCATAGGTTAATATATAAATTTTAATCTAACAGAAATACTATGCTAGTTAACTTTGTGCATCAACTTTTAAATCATTAGACTTGGAGTTAAGCACATTGTCTTGTGTAATGTGGATGGGTTTCATCCATTCAGTTGAAACTTTCAATAGAACACAGACTGATGTTCTCTGTGAAAGAAAACATTTTGTCAGAAGACTGCCATTGTGTTCAAACTGCAATTCTTTCCTAGGTCTTCAGCCTGCCTCCCTACACTGCAGGTTTGGGGTTCACCAAGCCTCCACAATGTGTAAGCCAATTTCTTAAAATGAAGATACACACACACACACACGCACATTTTATATATGTATATATATGTGTATATATATACATATATATATATATACACACATATATATGTGTATATATATGTATATATATACACATATATATACTTCCTGTTGGTTCTGTTTCTCTAAAAATTTCTAACTCACAGAGATACTAATTAATTTGGATAATTTTTCCAGTAGAATGAAACCCAAAAGTATAGCTTAATATTTGTAAAAGATCAGATTTGTGTCTGACCTGAAAACTTAATCTAACATTACTTTATTAAATTGTGTATATAATACTTGCAAAAACGCGGATAAATCTTGAACACATTATGTTAAGTGAAATCAGCGATATACAGAAGACTATTATCACATGATTCCATTTACATGATTTGCCAGAAAAGGCAGAAGTATAGGGACAGAAGCAAGACCTGTGATTGCCAAAGTTTGGGAGTGATAGAAGTGGACTGACAACAAAGACATGAGGAAATCTAAGGAAATGCATATAAACCCCTGACTTTCCATTTCTGACAATAAAATTTTATTAGTTACTATGACTAAATGTTGTACTTTATTATAGTGTTCTAAGGTGGCCACAATAGATAGTGGAAATGGCCTCACACCTTTGTATACTTTATGATAATTAATTTGAATGCTCTTGGAATATAGTGAAAATTAGCTGACTTAAATCTTTTTAAGGCAAATATCACCAGCTTATAGATATGCAGAATATCATTTGAAACCCTGGTAAGGACTGGTCTTGTAAATATCCCATTTGGCTTGCTAGTGTATTATGAGAGGTTACAGTCACCTAACATAATTGTGAAGAAGATATAAATAAAGCACAATGTACTTGCTTGTATATTTCTGTATAATGTAGACGTATGTATATTATGTATTCTGTACAGTGGCCTCCAGTGGATTTATGAAGTTAACAAAATTTGTCCTTGAGAATTTAACATCTACCTCACACCCCTCTGCTTTCTAAGGCTGTCTAACCCAACAGGCTCCATTTGTGATTTCTGTAGTTTGGGAATTAAAAAATATGTATTATAATTCATATTGCAATAATTTATTCCTCTCATGAAATAGTAAGTACCTTTAATCAAAATCTTTTCAAGGGCTAAGAAAGCTATTAATTGTCCCAGGCCTGACCTGCTTGAGCCTTTGGGTAGTATGTGGCACTGTTGAAAAATCTCCTCTTTGTCAAAATTGCTTTCTATGGGCAGTTACTGCAGAAAACTTCGTTCGTCATTTATTGTGTTCTACTTATCTGAATGTTTATTTCTTGTTTTTGTTTTGTTTTTCCTATTTATCTGCCTTCTTTTGTGGCTCTTCTTACACTACTCTATAAAAAATCACAAGGATTCTTCAACAGCTGAGGTACTGGATTAACTACAGCTTCTTAGGTCATTTGTATTCACCTCTCTGCCCTTGGCTAGACACCAACTTATTTTAGTGACTTAAATATGTTCCAATTACATGTGCTTCTTAAAACTCAAATTTAACTTCTATAAATAGATCAGTGAAACAGAATAGAGAGTCTAGAGGTAAATTCACACATAGTTGTACTACTTTTTTTTTTTTTCAAGAGTCTGAACAATAGAAATACACATGGAGAACAAATGGTTCAGTAAGTAGTGCTGGAAAGATTGGATATCAAAATGAAAAAAAGAGTGAGCCTATATGTTTGCATCATGAACAAAAATTAATTCAGAGTGGATTACCAAGCTAAATGTTAAACCTAAAACTATGCTACTTCTAAAAGAATGTATACCAGAAACGATTTATTTTTACCTTGGGAGACACAAAGATTACCTACATATGATAGCAAATGCACAATTCCAAAAGAACAAACTGAAAGAGTATGCATCAGATTAAAAACTTTGGTTCTTCAAAAGACACTGACAACAGAAAGGAAATATAAGCCAAAGGTCAGAAAAAAGTTACTGCAAAGTAGATACCTAACAAAAGATTTTTATCTAGCATATATACAGAAATCTCAATAGTCAACAGTAAAAATGCAAATAACCTAACTTTTTAAAAAGTGGGCAAATGTTTGGACAGAGAATTCACCAAAGAAGTTATATGAATGGTCAGTAAGCACACACACAACACTGTTCAACCTCATTAGTTATCAGGTAACTATGAATAAAACCACAATTAAATATTACTATATACCTGTCAGAAGGAGTACAATTCAAAAAGATAACCATACTAAGTGCTGATGAGGATATAGAGAAACTGGGAAACTAGTACTCAGATAACAGGAATGTAAAATGGTCCAACCACTTTGGGAAACAGTAATTTCACAACTAGGTATTTACCCAAGTGAAAAAGAAACATACGTCTATACAAAGACGTATAAATTAATGATTATAGAATCTTTCTTTCTCTTTCTTTCTTTCTTTCTTTCTTTCCTTCTTTCTTTCTTTCTTTCTTTCTTTCTGTCTTTCTCTCTCTCTTTCTCTTTCTCTCTCTCTCTTTCTCCTTCCTCCCTCCCTCCCTCCCTCCCTCCTTCTCTCCCTTCTTTCCTTCCTTCCTTCCTTCCTTCCTTCCTTCCTTCATTCCTTCCTCCCTCCCTCCCTTTCTTTCTTCCTTTCTTTTGAGCTGGAGTTTCACTCTTGTTGCCCAGTCTGGAGTGCAATAATGTGATCTCTGCTCACTGCAACCTCCGCCTCCAAGGTTTAAGTGATTCTGTTGCCTCAGCCTCCTGAGTAGCTGGGATTACCCACCACCACGCCCAGCTAATTTTTGTATTTTTAGTAGAGATAGGGTTTCACCATGTTGGTCATGCTGGTCTCGAACTCCTAACCTCAGGTGATCCACCCACCTCGGCTTCCCAAAATCCTGGGATTACAGGCACGAGCCACCGCACCCAGCTGAAGGTTTCTTTCTAATAGTCCCAAACTGAAAACAACTCAAATGACCATCAGCTTATTATTATATAAACAAATTGTGTGATATTCCTGCAAAGGAAGAGTGTTTAGCAATTATTATTGATTCTAAATACATAAATGTATATTCTATATATATATATATATTCTAAATATATAGACCCTTTAAATATATTTCCTTCAAAGAACATTATACATTCTCCAAAAAAGCCTGACTAAACAAAATCATAAGTCGTAGATTCATCTGTGTGAAGTTCCCTCACAATATATACCATTAATTTCAAATTTATTTACTATTAATTAACTATAGTTGGTAAATATACTTTCTTCATTACATTCATCCTCCTTCATTCAATTTTTCAACAGATCTTTGTTAAAAAGCTATTAAATGGAAAGCATTTTATAAGTTGCCTGCTATTTAAGCAGACAGACTTGGTTTACTCTGTCCTTTTCTTTATTTCTGTACAACTTCATTTAGTATAATTCTCTATTTAGCTAGAAAAGAGACACCAAATACAATCCAAAATATGATAAAAGCCCTGATTTTTGGAGTCCCACGTCATGTAGGCTTCTTGAATATTTTTGTATTCACCACTATTCCTATGAATATGTTCTGTGCTTATTAGTACACCAAAATATATTTTTAACATTGCACTTCAAATCTCAGAAACTTCACATTTATTGGAATTTATTGTCAGAGGAACTACCTTGATCCAAATGGTGTCCCTGTTCTTAGATGGATGATCTGTTTGCTTCAAAAAAAAATTTATTTTCTTCAACAATTTTTGGGACTGATTATGTCATAGTATATTAAAAATTCAACACCAGCCAGGTGCAGTGGCTCACGCCTGTAATCCTAGCACTTCGGGAGGCTGAGGCGGGTGGATCACCTGAGGTCAGGAGTTCGAGACCAGCCTGACCAATATGGAGAACCCCATCTCTACTAAAAATACAAAATTAGCCGGGCATGGTGGTTCATGCCTTCACTCCCAGCTACTCGGGAGGCTGAGGCAGGAGAACCATTTGAACCTGGGAGGCGGAGGTTGCAGCAAGCCGAGATTGTGCCATTGCACTCCAGCCTGGGCAACAAAAGCGAAACTCTGTCTCAAAAAAAAAAAAAAAAAAAAAAGAGAGAGAGAGAGAAGTAAATTCAACACCAAAGATGTTGTGTACCAACCAATCACGAAACAGTTGACTTTTGTATTGAATTTTCACAGCAACGAAGTTAAACTTAGGATATGTCAGGATCACAACTACATTGATTTTTTTATGTGCCTTACTCTAGGTAGTAACCATTTACAATAAAGCCACTTTTGTCTTTCGTTCATCGACTGTGCCCATGCTTCTTCTGCCAAGAAGGCTTTAACCTACAGTGTCATTGCATTCTCCATTCTCAATCAGGAATATTTACTTGGGTAGCTCTCACTCATTCTCCAGATTTCAGCTAAAATTCTATTTTTCCAAAGATATAGATTTCTTATTATCTTGACATAATTTTGGCATTGGAATTATGTTTCTTATAATTTCTAATGTTTATGTTTTATAATGTTTATCTTTTAATTTTAATGCTATGTTTTTATAATTACTTGTAAAAACAATTTTTATATTTAAATAAATATGATTATTTATAAAACATAATTTTTATATTTAAAATAATTATTTATGACACAATTTTTATAATTATTTAGACGGATAATTATATTGTTCTTCTGTATTAGTCTGTTTTCATGCTGCTGATAAAGACATACCCAAGACTGGGAAGAAAAAGAGGTTTAATGGACTTAGAGTTCCACATGGATGGGGAGAATTCACAATCATAGTGGAAGGCAAGGAGGAGCAAGTGATGTCCTACATGGATGACAGCAGGCAAAGAGAGCTTGTGCAGGGAAACTCCTTCTTATAAAAATATCAGATCTTGTGAGACTTATTTACTATCATGAGAACTGCACAGGAAAGACCTGTCCCCATGATTCAGTTACCTCCCACTTGGTCCCTCCAACAACATGTGAGAATTCAAGATAAGATTTGGGTGGGGAAACAGCCAAACCATACCATCTTCCAAGTATTTTAACTAAGTGTGTTATTAAAATGTATAGCAAGTTCTGTGAAAACGGTCAACAACCAAGAACCAATGCTAGCGTTATGCATAAGGAGGGGCAGAAGATTCTCTCTTTAGAGAGTTATTGACAATTTAATTTTCAGATCATGGTTATTTTAGGAGGATTCAAGGGAATGGGTCAGGATGGCTCAAGTAATGTCTATTTATCAACTGCTACAGAAGAAGTTCAATATTTTAAACATTCTCAATGCTATACTGGCACATACAGTTAAATTTCGGTCCTCCTTATCACAGTTTTGGTATGTCTCTTCACCTGTTTTATTGTTTATTGCCCATCTCTCTCACTAGATAATATGCTCCATCACAATATAATCTGCTTTTGTTTTAAAAAATATTAATCCAGTTAGAGATGACTAACGAAAAAGTAAATTACTCTGCTGCTGATGCCAAGTACTCTACTGTTCACACTTCTAGGAAAAAGAATATATGAGATTCTGTATCCTGTTCCAGTCACCCAGAAATATCATTTTCTAATTTGTATTTGAAAAGCATCCGTTTTTATAAGTAGGGACATTCTGCCTAGTTGAGCACTTGAGAGAGCCTGAATCCACTACTTAATAGACTAAAGAATGCTCCTTTTGGAGCCATTATAGCCCATCACATAATTGACCTGACAGACAATGGCTGCACTTCATTCTGTCAGGCACAGGAACTGACGGTTTATTAATAATAAGAACAACCATGCTGAGGAGCTACGGAATAAAATACATGACAAAATTTTATAGGTGTCAGGATTACTAAGTGATGAATATTTCCAATAGGCATTTTTATCTAGTTGAATATGATTGAGTGTAATGGTCCTCTATATTTGAGTGAACCCTTTCACCCTTGGAAGCCTGGATAGAGATAACTTTTTGAGTGACTCCGCTAAAGTACAATAGCTACACTAAATGTTTGTTGCAAAAATCCTTTCAATTATTCTTGTTGTTTAACAACAACAACAAAAATCTCGAAGTCAGTAGGTAACTACAATACGAAATATTAAGTTTTCAAATTCCTCATTATTCAAAAAGATATTTTATTTAGATTCTTTTTTCCTCAGTATGTTCTTCTGGTATGTTGCTCAAAGTAAGTTATTGTTTATTCATTGGATTTAAATTTGGAGTCAGATTATATAAGATTTAACAATCAAAATAGAATCCAAAACTCTCTAAAATATCTGGGGCCTCAGAAATGTTGGGCACCTCATTGAGATGGTCAAAGAACTTTTGAATCTATGCTAGTATTCAACATCTTACATGATTAATCATTTATTATGTACCCATTTTTTAAAAAGCACATATTGGGTCTTTATTGTATGCAAGTCACATTTCAAGCAGTTTACAAATATCATTATTTTACAACAGCACTACAAAGTAAGTATTCAAATTTTTACTATATTCTTGGGGTTAATGGAGGCTAAGAAAGATATCTAGTAAGTTATAACACACAGCTATAGCCCAGGTCTTATTGTCCCCAAAATCCATCCTTATTTCTCTCTACTCTCTCATTTCTTTTTATTATTATTGTTATACTTTAAGATCTTGGGGTACATGTGCAGAACGTCCAGGTTTGTTACATAGGTATACACGTGCTATGGTGGTTTGCTGCACCCACCAACCCGTCACCTACATTAGATATTTCTCCTATGCTATCCCTCCCCTAGCCTCCCAACCCCCGACAGGCCCCATTGTGTGATGTTCCCCTCCCTGTGTCCATGTGTTCACCTTGTTCAAATCCCGCTTCTGAGTGAGAACATAAGGTGTTTGGTTTTCTGTTCTTGTGATAGTTTGCCGAGAACGATGGTTTCCAACTTCATCCATGTCCCTGCATAGGATATGAACTCATCCTTTTAATTTCAGGCTCTAACATTACCTGACCTAGGATGCCTGCTCCATTCTATTTAATGCTGCTACTTGCCCTTCTCTCCTCTTATGGCGTCTAGCTATCCTTACGTCTTTTTTTTTTCGTGCTGTCACCCAGACTGGAATGCAGTGGTGCGATTCAGCTCACTGCAAGCTCCGCCTCCCGGGTTCACGCCATTCTCCTGCCTCAGCCTCCTGAGTCGCTGGGACCACAGGGGCCCGCCACCACACTTGGCTAATTTTTTGAATTTATTAGTAGAGACGGGGCTTCACTGTGTTAGCCAGGATGGTCTCGATCTCCTGACCTCGTGATCTGCCCGCCTCGGCCTCCCAAAGTGCTGGGATTACAGGGTGAGCCACTGCGTCCGGCCCTAGCTATCCTTATCTTATTACACTTCTTTTTTTTTCTGTAACACTTAACTTTCTAATATATCATAGAAATAAGTTTTGTTTTCATCTGTTTGGTGATGAATCATTGCCTATCCATCCACTTGAATATAAGATAGATCAAGTAAGAGATCCTGGCTTTTTTATTCACTAACATATCATTAAACCTACAACAGTGTCTAGCACATAAAAGGCACTTTATAAATATTTAGTTGAATGAACTGATATATTTAGTTGATTGTTACACTGTAGCATGACATAGAAGACAACTGTAAGGTTTGGAAACATTGTCTCAAAAACAGTTGTCAAAACATAAGCAATGAGTTAGTACTAAATAGACATTAAATATAAAAATAATTATAATTATTAAAAATATATGGTTTCATATACTACTAAAATTAGAGTGCTATCAAATTAGTTCATATCCAGTTAACTTATTTTTGAAATGTATAACTCTTCTCAATTAATTTTCAATATGTATTTGAATTAACAAAATGACTCGAGTACACAAATATCTACCAATTACCTATTTTAATTTGATTAATATACAAATTATGACCATTAAAAATGAACATACATGCTGACGCCAAGACAGGAGGATCGTTTGAGGACAGGAGTTAGAGACCAGCCTATATATATATATATATGTGTGTGTATATATATATATATGTGTGTGTATATATATATATATGTGTATGTGTGTATATATATATATATATATGCATCCTATAGGCCAAGAATTTTCTTTCCATTTTTGGATATGATACACAAACCTGCAGTCACTTCTCATTTTAACTAAAATTGGTATTGGATTAGAGTCAGTACAGTAAGGTTTTAGAATATGTTTAAATTAATAGCATTTTACCTAATTAGAGAGTGGTGCAAGGTTGTTTGATTCTGCAAGAAACTAACTCATTGCTTGTGCTATTGGATCAAAAAAGTTCATTGAAAAAAATTATATCAAGTGCAAAAATGAATTTTAAATATATATATATTTTTTCAAAAGTGTCCTTCCTAAAAAATAGAAAATTGGTCAAAACCCCCATAAGAATAATAACAAAAATTGGTCTAATAATTATAAATTCACTTTAAACAATTACATGAATCACTTTCATTTGCCTTTCCAATCATCATTATTGAAATGGATAGAATTAAATGTATTAGAAAAAGGTCCAGGATAAATGTAAGAAGACAATACTTTATTTATTGAATTTACAAATACCAACACATTTTAAGGAGTATCTATCACAAGATATTCAAGCGTTATGATTTTCAATCTTTGAAACAATTATATGGCAAATATTTTTTATTATAACAATTTTGAACTGGAGGAAAGTGAGCCTTTGCAAGCTCACGTCGTTTGAATGGCCTGAGTCAAATACTGTTATGTGGCAGATCCAGGACTAATAGGCTAATACCAAAGCTTTACCTAAATTACAGATCTGGTGTGATGATTAAATAAGATGATAAATACAAAATAACTAACTAAACATTAATTAAATATGCTAAATAAGAATCATTGATTTCTCTTATTTTCACATTTTATATTGTGTTTTGGACTTAGAATATCCCAAATAACTGAAAAAAAAAGTCTTTCTCCATTCTTTGTAAGGAAAAAATATGTTTAAACATCAACAATGTCTGTTACATAAACGTTACACTTTTATTTTCAACTATAGCTCAGCTTAAACAGTAAGATTTAAAGAAATTTCTGATAGGTGCAGCAAACCACCATGGCACATGTATATCTATGTAACAAACCTGCACATTCAGCACATGTATCCCAGAACGTAAAGTAAAATAAAATAAAACAAAAAAGGGAAAAAAACAGAATAACACAAAGCAAAAAATTATAGTAAAATACACATAAAATAAAGTTTACTATCTTAACCATAAAAAAAGAAATTTCAGAGAAGGAAAGTCTACCAACCAAGACTTATTTATTTGAATGAGTGTATATGTACATATGACCAAGTACAAATTTCTTCAGTATATACATTTGAAAAAGGGGGTGTGAAATCTGGCTTAAGACCACTAAATTCTGAATTTCACACTACTTAAAGAGACTAATAAATTGAAACACATGTTTTAAGAAATAAGTGAACATTATGGATTTAATATACCACATTTTTTGATTGGACAAGGAAATACCAAAATGTATAAATTATATCATTATCCTAAAAACAGATTTTTGGTTTTTTGTTTGTTTTTGTTTCATATCTTGAAATATTTTTTCTTTTGTTTCCTTTTTCATTATTTTTACTGGACAAACAGTAATTGTGTATGTTTACGGGGCAGAATGTGATTTCTTAATCTTAGTATACATTATAGAAAGTTATAATCAAGCTAACAGGTCGATCATCTTATTAACATAATTGTTTTTGTAGATCACTAAGACTTCTTTCTCTAATGTAATAAACTTGTATCCTTCGATCTTATAGAAACAGATTTTAAGGAAGAGTAAAGAAACATGAGTAATGGCCCTGGTTCTGTGTCCAGGCATTTGGCCTGAAAGAGATATTTGTTCTTGCTTATTTCAATTCTCACTTATAAAGTGGGAGTAATAATGCCATTCCATTTGTTTGACAGACAATGCTTGTATTTGAGAAACAAGTTAGACTCTGTAAGTATAACACAATTGACAAACATAAAACATATTCTAACCAAGGTAGGAATTTTTTAAATTAATTAAAATGTTAAAAACATATGATACATTGAATGGAAACCTAAATTGTGCTTATACAGGGGAACATAATAATATTTTCAGTAAGTATAATGAGCTACTGGAAAACACAACAAAACTGATGAATCTCAGAAATATTATACTGAATGAAATAATGTAGGCCCAAAAGACATTGTATTTAATGGGCTCATTCATATGAATATTCTAGAAAAGGGAACACTAAGCCATGGTGATAGAATCAGAAAAATGGGTGATTCCAGGATGATGGAAATGTTTTATAACCTAGTTGCTTTAGTGTTTATTTGGATTTAGACATTTGTCAAATCTTACAAAGTTGTACTCTCACAATCTGCATTTTTTACGTATAAGACATATTTGAATAATTTTTTAATTAAATATGTAAATCACTGAAAAAATAGGGGAAGGGAATATAAATAAAATTAGAAACAAGATATGAGCTATAGCAGAACAATTGGTTTTCATGCAGTTGAATACTTAAAATTTACTTTTTCAGTGGTTAAAAATGAATTTTTTTTTTTTATAACTCATTGCTTGTGCTATTGGATCAAAAAAGTTCATTGAAAAAAATTATATCAAGTGCAAAAATGAATTTTAAATATATATATATTTTTTCAAAAGTGTCCTTCCTAAAAAATAGAAAATTGGTCAAAACCCCCATAAGAATAATAACAAAAATTGGTCTAATAATTATAAATTCACTTTAAACAATTACATGAATCAGTAGTTAAATAATTACTAAATATATTTGCCTTATAGGCTCTGAACACAAACTTGCTCTATATCAAACAAGTTCTTTCAGCTGAGTAGCCCGTGGTCTGTTTCTGAACATAGAACTTAAAACACGCATAATTCACAATAAAATTGTCTCTAGCTTATCATGCACTCTGCAAAGCCTGACAGCAATCTCTGTATTCTTTCATGCCTAAGAGACTGACACACAACAAATTGCTCTTTTTGCCCTTGGAATAATCTTGTTCAGTTTAGAGCTGTGATTTTGGTTTCAGTACAAATAGTTCTTTATAATTATATCTCTGTTTATTGGCTTTATTGCTTCCCAATAGACTTCTGAAAGGTCTGCTTGATTTCCTCTGGCATGCTTCATCTGCCACTACTTTTTTCCTACAGTTAGAGAGGTTACATGCTTTGAAGCTATAGTTGTCAAAAGAGAGTCAAAATGTTTATCCAGCCAGTCTTTTGTTACATCAATTTTATCTTCCGCAGCCCCTACAGCAGTTAGCTTGTTCCTGTATTATGACCTATAATTCACAACCAGATAATAAGCAAACTTCTTCAAACTGAAATTGTTTTATTGAGCATAAATAATCAAACATTTTAAAAATTTAGTCTGGGTCAATTTCGTAGAGTAGACATTGCAACATCCTAGAAAGTTCATTACTTCACTTCTTTTAGTCATTCTGTACTCATTCATCCATTTCTTTACTAGTTTTGTCAATCATCAATTCAGCTACTTGTCAAGCTTTCCATTAACCCTTCATCTTCCACTTATTTACATAACTGCAATGCATTATCTATGCATCTGTAAAATTGTATATCCATGTGTTTACTGATTCAGCCATCATCCAGCATTTGTCTAGCCAGTCATCCATCTAACCCATCTATCCACCCACTCAGCTAACATTATTAAGGCTGATTAAGAGTTAGGCATCAATTTATAGCAGACACTTGAGAAAGAAGAGGGAGTGACATTAAGCTTATCTCAGACAAGAGGGTAGAGAAGCTTGATTTCTTTTAGTTAAATATTTTTTTAAAAAATAAAATGAATTTCAAATAATTGTTTCAATGTTCATCAGTTCATATCTATTTACTTAAATGAATACTAAAAGCAATGTGGCCACAAGAAAAAAAAAAAGGTAATCTGGGAAATTCGAGGAAGATACATAGTTAGGCTCCAAATCAAATGTTTCATTGCAGAATAATCAGAAAATTTGAACGTTAGAATATTTTTTGTATCCTCACATGAATTTTGGTGCACAGCCAGAACTGAGAACCATTGGCTTCAGAAAAATCCTATAATACAGTTTTCATTTAGTAGAATCTTTCCATGGCATACTCATGAAGAACACATAAATATTTTAAGTAGACATTGCAGAATGCAAATCTTATATTTTGCAAAATTAGACAAAAACTTAGTATAAAACAAAATATTCAAAGTGTGAATAATTAAAAATAATATCACACGGGTCAGTGAAGTGAGAAATAGTGCATTTTATAACTGACATCTATCAAAGAAAACAAAAAGCTTAGATTTCTTTATACATTATTCTTCTTATGGTTTTATAAAGAATTCTTCTCCTCTTCTATTGTCTAGGAGGCAATACTCTTGAAGATATATTTCTGGATCCTCTTCTCACAACTTCTCATTAGGTAAGGAAGGGAGTTTTTGTGAGTAGGTGGACTGAGAGCCTAAAATCCATTGGCCTTTATCTTTTCATCAGAATTACAGTATTAAATCTCTCTGTTTTTTAGAGATTCCTCTTTATTCCCTTTTTCCCCAGCCTCCTCTTCTCTGTATAATAAATGAACATTCTTCCCCTCCATAAGATAAGAATAACTGATTAAGAATCAAAAGTCTTCTTTTCTAGAGGCAATTCTGGAGCCCATTTCTCTGTTCTCGTTTCAAGATTTCATGAATATTAGGCTACAGTGTGCTTTGTACCTAGTCTGATAACAGTCTTGGAAACCCATTTCTTGTATGCAGATATGTATTTAGGATGCAAAACAAAAAATGAAGACAGACGCACAATACAGGACTTTCATGAACTAACATTTTTACCACTGATAAGTCTGGAAAGGAGGCCAGGGAATGATTTATGGAGAGCTTCTTATGCTATGCTAAAGAGATTGGTCTTAAACCTGTAAGTATTGGGAAGACATGAAGGATTAGAGGGGAAGAAAGGGAATATTTGCATTTTGGATGGATAACTACTCAGTCTACAGTATGGAAGACAAGAAAGAGGAGAAGACCAAAGCAGGGAAACCTGTGTGGCAGACTCCTGCAATGATTCAGAAGAGGTGAGAAGGTCTGGAAAAGTAGAGTGGTTATGGGAAAGAAGAATATTTGGAATTAAATATTTATTTTAACTTTGTATCACCATAAATAGATATGCAACTATTATTGAAATATCTCTTGATTCTGGATTCCAGAATTGTGAAAGTATGATCATCTGCTCCATTGCTTTGGAATTTTCCTATTATTAAAACAGCAGGAAGGATCACAGAAAGATGAGGAAGAGTTGCATATTGACATCTGAATATGTTTCTAAATCTTTGAAACTGACAAATGGGAGTCTATACATAGAAATATGCTTCTTGCCAGTGGCATCTGGCAATTCTGCTAAAATATGTTTCCCAGGTTGCAAAGGACTTAAGATTTCACTGAAGAGTTTTAAAAGAAAAATTCTTTCCTTGCTGCTTTTAATATCACTGCTCCCAAGTAAGAAATTTGCATAGACGCAGTTATGGTCAGATAAATCTCATTAAATTTGTTGTATCCATATTAAATTTTGATTAAAGTCAGAAAGCTAGCACCACTGATGATTAGTAAAGTTTAAGATCCTTAGCCTGTCATGCAAAAATCCCCAACATCTTTCAAGTTCTGCCAGGTCACCACTGATAACTTGCAATATTTGTCAAATCCAAGCTCTCCATTTTCTCTCATGTCTCTGGGCATTTCTTCATGCCATTGACTCTGCCTCAGTTACCACTCCCCAGTTCTCACACCTAGATGACCCCTTCTCCTCTTTGTAAACTTACTTTAAGCTTTAATTTTTTATTCAAAATATAATTTATACTCCCCAACAATTTCAACTCCTTTATGCTATTCTCATAAACTATAGTAAGTTTTCCAACTGGGTACTTTTCTCATTTTTATTAAGGTTTTACACATTTTAATATATACATAATCAGCAAATAACCATATCAAGTTTGCTTAAGATAGGCCCCCAAAAGAAACCAAATATTGTAGCAAAAGCTCCTTATGTATGTAATCAAAATTAGAGCATTTCCGTTTGTTATTCCCAGAAAAAAATGTTAGCAGCTGAAAAGAAAAATGTAATTTTCACACTTCTTTCTCTAGACAAACCTTAAAAGTTGCAGTTAAGTTAAAGAATTGCATTTAGTCCTTGCTCTCAATATCTATTTGTTCTTTAACATAAATAGACACGCACAAATTTTTAGACAAATATTTCAGTGATAATCTCACTTTTAAAAAGTTTTAAAGAAAAGTTTTTGATAACCTAATGCTTATAGAGAATATGAGCTGAGTCTTCTCATGAATGGCCTTGAAAAACTTTGCCTCTAAAACATTTAAATAAACAAAACAAAAGTTTTATCCCAAATGAAATAAGTGAATTGCTCTTTCTTAGCTTATAAGGAGAGCTATATAGCTAAAGGAAAGAAATTAACCTGTAATATAGTTTGACATATCTCAGAGATTAAAAAGTACAAGGTCCAGAGTTAAGAAGGTGCAACATGTATCACGAAAAAGAAAATAGTTTTAGACTTTGAAAAGTGGTCTGAAAATTTGTTGACGAATGACCTTTTTGAAAAATGCATGGAAATTCACTGGGAGTGGAGAAGGTGAATCTCAAATATATAGCTTAATAAATTGTCTTGCAAATGAGTAGAAAAAAATAGATTTTTAATGTAAATACCCATATACTCTCATTGAGCCTCTCAAATTACATTGAAGTGCATATATTTATCAAACTCTTTATAGACAAGGACATTGATGCCCACCCAGTTTTAGAGATTTGACTATCTCATTTTTTAAATAATCAAATGAGATAAAGTGGGACCCAGATCATCTGACTTCTAAAAGATACCAAGTTACATTTCCCCAAAAGGCAATAATTGACAAAATATTCAGAAGATGATACACAAAATATTTAGAAGAAGAAGTTATATTTTTGTAATACATTCAAAATAGAATGCTTGAGAAGATACCATTAAGTTATAAAATAATTTTTCTTTAAGGTTTTTTTTTCTGTTCTTTTTAATAAGGATCAGTCTTAGCCCTTGGGTAGTATGTTGTTATGGTGGCATATGGATTGCTTGGTTGAATGCAGGAAGAGCTGATATCAGAAAACTGTTTAACAATATATAAAATACCAATTTTACACATCAAGAATGTATCCATGACTACACTTGAATATTTGCAACTTCTGTACATTTTAATACTTATAGTTGTTAATGTCGGTGAAAAAGGTTGAGAGAGATATGCAGATCGTAAAGTGGCAGATTACAAAGGAGAGATCATGAAATTTAGAAGAAAAAGAACAAGGCATTGGTAGTTGTATTTTAAGAAGGGCTTTGTCTTTCAAAGGCTGGCAGAGTGACATAAATTCAGGAAATTGACATGATCACCATAACTTTCTTAAGTACACCACCCCTCTATTTCTACCTTTCTCATCTGCCTTTAATTTTATGGTTAGCCATGATGTGATTTCTTTCCTCTACTGAAAACACAAACACTCCTGTGCATGGAAAGCAGGTACACCATTCATTTAAATTCTCTTTCACAAGGGTGTTAGAGAAATTGAGCGTAGACTAAAGAGTAGGTACCTGAAGATGAAAGACAGATGAAAGAAGAGAAACAAACAAACAAAAAACATAGAAGAAAGAATATGGGGAGGGGGAAGGAGGAGAAGAAAAAGATGAAGACTGCAGGGATAATACATGCTCACTTTATTCATTGACATGAACCTATATTATCTGTGAGTATCTGTAAAATCAGTTTTCACCAGAAAAGACGGAAGAATTTTCCAAAACTCAGAACTAGGTAAGGAGAAAATGGCTTGATTGTGATATAGCATTCTCCAAAACACTGCCATTTATTTACAAGCAAAGGCTATAAATGTACTATTGGGCTCTATATCTTGCAAGTGGCTGAATTATAGGCCCTTTCAGGATCCTTCCAATTTAGAGATTCTGAGTTCAAGGAAACTTCTGAGATAAAAAATATATTGAGATATTGGTTCCTCTTTGACTCAGTACTTTTATGACATAAGAAGTCTTTCTTCAAGTAGATCTCTTCTGTCACATTCTAGGAAAAAAACTAGAGGTGTTGGCCAATTGTGCAAGAATTCTAGAAAGTATAATTGCAGATTCTTCTTCTTTCGTGACTTTTAAATTTGCTTTGATAAGGTACATATTTTTTGAAGAGTTTTTTTCTTTACTTTTGAAAAAAATTTTGCTGTACTAAAAATTGTTTGTTTTAGTATTTATTTCATTACATTCAGAGGTACACAGCTTCTTGTCCTATTTTACTAGGTTAACAAATATTCATGTGCCTTAAGAATAGTTACGCAAATAAATGAATTAAATAGAATAATTTCACAAATATGGTTTTAAAATGAATCCTTATGTAACACTTAAAATACTTTCAGACAAAGTATGTTAGTCAGAAGAGAAAAATAACATGTTCTTGTTTTCTGAAATTGCAGTTGGCACCACTAGTAAGGTAAAGCAGATAGAAAGGAAAACTAAAAAAAATTGTTTAATGAGCGAATTTGCTGTATGTTTTTTCACTGCCATTTCTTTTGATTTTGTTGGTAATAATACTCAGTATTTAATACACTGATCAGCCCTGTAGTTTATCTATATTTTCATTTATTATAAGTGGTTTTCTGTGTTTGTGCTAAGTACCTGGGCCATACTTCCATAATGCTTAAGGATATTTTAAAATGCCACACATGCTAAATTACTTGTATCACAATATCACATGTATGCCATAAATATGTGAAATTATGTAATTATGCGACTTATTATTATGTAATTATTATGTAATTATTACATAATAACATATGTAACATAATAACATATGTTCCCCCTCCCCATATTCTTTCTTCTATGTTTTTTGTTTGTTTGTTTATCTTCTTTCATCTGTCTTTCATCTTCAGGTACCTACTCTTTAGTCTATGCTCGATTTCTCTAACACCCTTGTGAAAGAGAATTTAAATGAATGGTGTACCTGCTTTCCATGCACAGGAGTGTTTGTGTTTTCAGTAGAGGAAAAAAATCACATCATGGCTAACCATAAAATTAAAGGCAGATGAGAAAGGTAATAATTATTATAATTATTATGTAATTATGTAAATAAATATGACTGTATTTATTTAAATCTGAAAAAAAACCTCTAAGATAGACTAGACCTTCCTAATGTTGGCCATTTAGTTTGCTTGGGATATTTAAATGATGCTCAACAGTTTAACTTAATTTAATGCTCAACAGTTTAATTCAATTTAAAGTTTGAATTTATGTCCTAATAGAAAAATATTTTTACATTGATTTCTGTATTCCCTAGGCTATAAATATGGCCCAGGCAATTTTGCCAATCATGTGTTTTCCTCTACAAGACTGGTAACAGCTCCACTGGTGCTGTACATATTTCACTTAAGGATGTTTTCTAACCCTAAACATGAAATGTTAGCGTGTGTGCTCCTTCTCAAAGGAATGCCAGCCATCAGTGGATCAGTGTGTGGAGGGTAATATTGGCAGGGGAAGCCGGCACTGTAGCATTCAACTTGCCTTCACAGGCGCAATGAAACATGTTCTATGGTGAACCTAAACTTACATAGCTTTGGCCTGATTAACACCATAAAAGTCCCACTTGTGTTCCAACCTCTAAGAGTTCTTCACTTTTGAACCATATTTCCCCAGAATTTTTACAAATAAAACTAATATGATTAACTGCCATTCATAGGCAATGTGAGCAAAGCCTGGTGGAGATGCTTTCCAGGAGATGAAGACTGGATGTAAATATATACAAATATATAGCTACAGCACATGCAATGATACAAAAATGTTAGGCCTGGAGAACCGACTCATTAATTTTAAAAGGTAAATATAATTCTCCATTGAAAGAAAACATTCTGAGACTGGGTCCTAGCTCAGTGAGCAAGAATGCCATGATCCATTTGCAAGGTCTTTAATAGGTACAAAGGCGGGTAGGACATAAATATATTACATATATATATATATATATATATGTATATTTATATGTTATATTTTTATAAATATATTTTATATTTTTACATTTTCAATATGTTTCTCATCACAGATTACACTAGCAATGTCAAGATATGTCATAACATTTGATTTTTGAAATTTGAATTGGTGATAAAATTTCAATAACATTTCATAGCATAAAAATAAAAAAAGTACATATTCAAAGAAGACCTTTAACCAAATTTGTACTAACACAATTATCTGTTCCAAATTTCAAACCAATAGAAAGAGTAGGAGCTAAAGAAAAAGGCAGAAACAAAATAAGCACGTTTTATTCCCTAGAGATAGCTATGGAATATTGTTCCTTCCACTGGAGAAAGCTACTTGGAATGGCAGATGGGAGGGTGAGGATCAATCTATAAAGCAATGTTTCTTAACAATCTTGGGGTTACAGATCCTTTAAAATTTGACAAATTATACAGCCCTTCCTACAGGAAATGAAAAGATATACTTGTGATACACTTGTGAAATTTTAAGAACAAAAGTGTCAGTGGGGATTAAAAGATTCCATTGACTCCAGATAAAGAACTTTTGCTTGTGAAACTATTCTGCAGGACAACTAGAAAAATTACTTATTGGTGCTTAAGAGATACGATGTATTCAGTAAATATGTGTGGAATGAATAGGTCAATGAATAGATAAGCTATGAGATTTAGATTGAAACTTTTTGATTTTATATAAATCTCTAAAACACTCTGGAAGTTTTAATCTGTAAAATATGTCAACAGGACTATGCTACCTTAAAATCTTTTGAATAACTCATTGTTACTATTTCTGATTATTTAGAAAACTAATAAGATTTGTAAAGGAATATTTGTCTGCTTAAAATTTTGGTTGGGATGTATTCTGATGAGAATTCGTTATTCATCTATTCTTTTATGTGGTTGGTGATGAAAAATAACAACTGGCTTTGAGTTTTGAACATGGCACCAAGATACCAAGGGAGGCATTTTGCCATGTCCAAACAAATGTCTTTGATAAATCTGTTTTCTAGCCAGTAAAATATACTCCAAATCCTTACAATAGGTTTTTAAAATAGATAATGTTAACCATAAATGTGTGTGTGTGTGTGTGTGTGTGTGCGTGTGAGAGAGAGAGAGAGACTGAGTGAGAGAGAGAGAGAGAGACAAAGAGAAAGACAGAGGTGGGGATCTGGATAAATGGCATATCTCAACTCCATTTAGACTGTATCACATAAGGGTCATATTTTTACATAAAAAATGGGGTCAGTTACAAATGGACATTATGCATATTTTCCATATTGTCAAATATTTGTTTGCAACACTGTATTTTTTGAAGATATATAGTTCTAACATATTTTCAAAGGTGCGTGTCTGTACTTGAGTTTATACTTTATAAATCCATCTGTTAAGAAGAAAAGTAGAAATATACGTTAGAACAAATGTGAAATGAAGTTGAAAGACTAAGTTTAGAATAAAACTCTGTCATGGAGCAACCCTATGACTTAGGGAACTCTTTTGACATTTGTGGACTTTGTTTTTCTCTTTTATGAGATAGGGACAAAGCTGCATGCCCTATATGCCTCACAGGATTATTCCAAAACACAATGATAACAGGAAAAGAGAAGTGTTTTTTTTTTTTAATTATACTTTAAGTTTTAGGGTACATGTGTTTTGACAACCTCAAAGCTTGTTCAAAATACAAGATGTTATATAAGAAAATACTCCCCAAAGACCTTTCAAACCTTTTCTTCAAGGTACTTATCTGTTAGGGCTGAAACTCACTTAACTGGAGACAAAATGAAACTTCTAACAAATGAATAAAATAAAAAATGATTATGCTCATTAAAAACTAGTGGAATATGTTGATGTTTTAAGTGTAAATTAATTTTTTAAAGATGCACAAATTTTACATTAAATTACACAAGGGTCTTAAAATCAAGGGACAATCTCTTGACATCATTTTCTTTTAGAAGGCTCAAAGCATTTGGAAAATAAACTGAAACTGTTGATTTTCTTTCTGAGAAATGTCTGTGGTCATGTCTCCAGTATTGATAGCAGATAACAATGGAACAGCAATTCAAACAGGCCTGAAATGTCTTCTAAATATTTGGAGAGAATTATCATACAACCAGCATTGGAAACATGTGCCCCATTGTTGCCTGACACTTACACTCCAAATGATTGTGTCTTGTTCTATCACTATAGACATCAGAATGACAGAATGAACCTTTTAACCCAATGACACAAGTATATGCTATAAGAAAAATTATTAATATGATAACTGTGATTAGAGCTATCAATGTCCAGGACCCTTGCTAAAGACACTTTGAGCAATGGTGTTCCTCCAAGTCAAATAAACTTTGAACAACATGTAATAAGTGAACAACAAGAAAAAAAAATTAAAAATGTGTACTTCTGGGGACTACCAAGAATGTTTTGTGGCCCTTAGTAATAATTTAGATATTATGGGCTGTAATATTTACCTACCTGTAAATATTGGTCCAACCACTTTTCTGCTTAATTTATAGGACTTTTGGGTCAGAATCAAGAAAGAAAATATAGAAAAAAATTGTTTGAGCAAGCATTAAAAACATTTCTTCAATGGTCTCTTGCCCAGAAATTTCTTGAGAGCAAAGATCTCACTTTACTCACAGTTCTAACTGAAGCATCAGAACAGTTAATGCCACATATTAGAACTTTAAAAATTCTTCCCAAATAAATCTAAGAATAAATTGTTGCAAAACAAATACCATCTAATTCAGATAATATAAGTCACAGTACTTGTAAAACAAACAGTTAAATTATATCCTACACAATTAAACCAAAATATGGATAAGGCATTGAAACGACCAGAAGGGATAAACTTTGGAATAAGTGGATCAATAATATTATGTGTGGGTACTGACAAAGAGGTCGTGAATATCAGAAGACAGAGCAAAATAGAATGTTAAAAATCTAAAGCAAAGAATAATAAATGATGTGAGAAGCAATTTAGAGAACACAGTAATAAAGAGGGTCAAATGATCAGATAGCCAGCAATCAGGGATACTGTGGAACTATGGAATTAAGAATTTAAGAAAAGGAGGAGAAAGCATATAAGGCAGAAAGGAGCAGCAAAGTCAGTGATGCACTTTTTTTTTTTTTTTTTTTTTTTTTTTTTGAGACGGAGTCTCACTCTATTGCCCAGGCTGGGAGTGCAGTGGTGTGATCTAGGCTAGTTGCAACTTCCACCTCCCAGGTTCAAGTGATACTCCTACCTCAGCCTCCCAAGTAGCTGGGATTACAGGAGCCCACCACCATGCTTAGCTAATTTTTTTTTTTTAACTTTTAGTAGAGATGGGGTTTCACCATGTTTGCCAGGCTGGTCTCGAAATCTTGACCTCAGGTAATCCACCAGCCTCAGCCTCCTAAAGTTCTGGGATTACAGGCGTGAGCCACTGCACCTGGCGACACCTTTTTATGGTTGCACTGTCATTGCTGTGAATTGTCTCATAAGAGTGAGTAGTAATCAAATAAACTGTGGAATGTATATCCTTATGTTTGAATCCCAGTTCATTTATAATCTACATGAGCTTGGAAGTTTAATTAACCTCTCTGAGCTCAATCTCTCTTGTTTTAAAATTGGTATTAGTAGCTATATCATCATGGTGTTTTAAGGAGTGAACATATTAGTCTACACAACGAATGTACCAATAGGTTTTACACATAGTTATATTATAGATGCTGTCATTTGACTACTATTTTTATTTTTTTATTTTTTTTAATTTTATTATTATTATACTTTAAGTTTTAGGGTACATGTGCACAATGTGCAGGTTAGTTACATATGTATACATGTGCCATGCTGGTGTGCTACACCCATTAACTCGTCATTTAGCATTGGGTGTATCTCCTAATGCTATCCCTCCCCCCTCCCCCCACCCTACAACAGTCCCCAGAGGGTGGTGTTCCCCTTCCTGTGTCCATGTGTTCTCATTGTTCAATTCCCATCTATGAGTGAGAACATGTAGTGTTTGGTTTTTTGTCCTTGCGATAGTTTACTGAGAATGATGATTTCCAATTTCATCCATGTCCCTACAAAGGACATGAACTCATCATTTTTTATGGCTGCATAGTATTCCATGGTGCATACGTGCCACATTTTCTTAATCCAGTCTATCATTGTTGGACATTTGGGTTGGTTCCAAGTCTTTGCTATTGTGAATAGTGCCGCAATAAACATACGTGTGCATGTGTCTTTATAGCAGCATGATTTATAGTCCTTTGGGTATACACCCAGTAATGGGATGGCTGGGTCAAATGGTGTTTCTAGTTCTAGATCCCTGAGGAATCGCAACACTGACTTCCACAATGGTTGAACTAGTTTTTAAAGATGTAACTGAATTTGTTCATTTGGGTCCTCAGTCAATGTAGTGCCAAATAGAATTAGATGTACGAGAGATTTTTTAAAGAAAATACTTGTGAAGAGAAAGAAGGAACAGAAGTAGGCACTAAGTGACTTAAGCTGAAGATCAGCTATGATGTTTGTGAAAGGGTGAAGGAAGGTGAATGAAGGAAGAAAGGGAGGGATAGAGGAAGGGAGAGGGAAGAAGGGAGATATGGGTAAAAAAGTCCTATGCCACAGTTACGATACACTGTTGGACAGGCCAATGAGATTTCTCCAAGAAAAAGTTGCCAGTTAGGAAAGTCTGGTCTTAGGCCAGAAGGACTCATCTTATACTCCTTTTGTCCTCAGACATTGGCTGGAAGCAGCCCAAAGAAAGTGTGACATTAGCAGAATGTCATAGCTGAAGGCTGTCAGTCAGCTGTTCTCCTCACGAAATGTCCTGCTGAGTGTAAATGTGAGAGTGCATTCCTTGGCTTCTACAGTTCATCTCTGGCACTGCACAGATCCATGTATGTTCAGAGAGCTGCTTGTCCATAGTTCCCATGAAACTATCTTCTTCAGAAAAAACTTAAGACATGAGGAAAGAAGATGAATTATAGCACTAGTAGTTGCTATTAATCTTGGTGCTATGAAAAATAACCTTTATTTCCTTCCTCCATTATCTATTCCAAATAATTCTCAGCATCAGCTATCCCCGTGGCAGAGCTTTCTGGCTTATCTGGTACTATAGAGCAAACTTTCATTCCTGAGTTAACTGAGACTTGCTACTCTTCTCAGGAGGTGACTGCTCCAAGTCTCTTTTCATAGTCACAATGAGCAAGGAAATGCCTAGAGAGGCCCAAATGGATCCCCTTGGTTCTACACATATCTCTGCTTGTCCCCATCATATAAATGTCTTAGCCTGTAATTAGTGTCAATCACCCTTGAGAAGACATTAACTCTCCTTCTCACCTGATGATCACTGGATGTCAGTAATTCAAAGTTCCTTTGTTGCTGCCATACCATGTAGCCCAACGGAAGCTTTGTTGTATCCTCTTATAGGAGTGTTCTCCCTTTGGGGGCCAGCACATCTAAATATGTAAACAAAACCACCTCTATAATATGTAGGGTCCATTGCAAGATCAAAATGTGGGGTCCCTTGTTTAAGAAAAATGAGCCATTAAACAAACTAATATATAAAGCATTTTTTTCTCCCACATCCTCTCTCAACATGCTATAAAGGTTTCTTTATTTTGCTTAATTTGCTATTTAATGTGGTTCTACTTATGGAAAAAATAAAATTTAAATAGTTAGCATTACCATTCATATTTATTTGGTGCAGTGCCAGTTTCAAACATAATGTAAGAGCTCATAATTTGTATACAAAATCACTGCAATTACACAATTCCTATTTTTGTAGCTTGCATATGTATATACAATTTGTTCCCAGAAGAGTGGAAGCACTGCACAAAACCAATTTCACTTTTTATTTCACTTCTTGATACCTGCATGTTCTACCAGAATGTTTTTTCATTTACAAGAAAGAAGCAATAAAAACAGGAGCTATGATTTGCCCTATCTTTCCTTTGCCTTCTTTTATACTTTTAACTTTAAAGGTTTGATTAATACAGGAAAGTAACATGCATAAGAAAGGATATAATAGGATCCCTTAAGGAGGGGACATGCATGCTTCATTATCCCATAGGCCTTCGCTTACCCAACATAAATAAGTTCAACGATATAATTATTAAGAATTTTAAGGCTGGGTGCGGTGGCTCGCGCCTGTAATCCCAGTACTTTGGGGGCTGAGGTGGGCCGATCACAAGGTCAGGAGTTCGAGACCAGCCTGGCCAACATGGTGAAACACCGCCTCTACTAAAAATACAAAAAAATACCTGGGCGTGGTAGTGGGCACCTGTAATCCCAGCTACTAGGGAGGCTGAGGCAGGAGAATTGCTTGAACCCAGGAGGCGGAGGTTGCAGTGAGCTGAGATTGCACAACTCCAGCCCGGGTGACAGTGTGAAACTCCATCTCAAAAAAAAAAAAAAATAATAATAATAATAATTTTAAGAGGTTGAGAGCAGAACATTTTATCAAATGTGGGCCCCTTTGCAAATGCACAAGTTCAATGTCCAGGAACTCAACCCTCCCTACAGAGCTTGGACCACTTCAAGTGGTCCAAGAAAACAAGAAGTGATACAAGAGTTTGGAAACTGGCTCAGTCACTGACTGGCAGGGAAGGAGGACCCAGTAAAGTGAGATCTGATGGGCACATCTCCAAGGCTGTTATACTGAGACACAGGAAAGATAAGCCAATTACACAATATTACACAACCTGATGATAAAGAAATAAATATTTTCTCAGGAATATTTAATGCTAGTCTTCAGCTCATTTTTGCATATCAATGTAAATAGGCAAATTAGTATATATAAGAAAGTAAGCAGTGAAAGTAAAAAAAATAGGAAGTAGCATTTATGATTTATTTTATTTAGAAGTGATAATTTTAAAACTCTATTGTTATTTTACATTCAAAGAAATTCAGATCAGGAAATTATTATATTGATCCAAAAATTGAAATTTCTATTCAAGAAGTTTCCTGCTGAATATTTATTTGCCATTTTGGGTCAATATTGCTTTCTGGTTTGTTGGTAGTTACAATTAGTGGCCCTGAATGCTTGGACACTGACTTCCACATTAGTCTTCCCACTCAACTCTTGGAAAGAGATGTGTTTTCTTGACACAGAATTTGGCTTAAGGTTCAGAGGATTCCTGAAAGAGCCCTGTCAAGTGTGGATAAAGTCACTGATAGTCATGTGTCTCTGTTAGGGACCATCAGGTCTACTGGAAGATATTGTGAGATATGCTGAATAAATTTATAATCGCTTTGGTCAATTCTTCCATTTAGTTCTCTATCCTTGTACAGATAAGCCAAGGGCTTAATCTAATCTTAGGAAGAACATATTGAGTCGTAGTTCTTCCTCTACTCAACTCGGTGTGAGATGACTTAAAAGTCATACTAAAGATGAACTGTGAGATCATTTTCAAAAGCAGAGGATACATGTGATACTCTTGGTCAGATATTCTTGAATACTGCTTTGATAAGTTTTGCTACCTACTGCATGACATATTTGTTCATTAATATAACATGTTTATTAAAAGCCTCGACATTAGTGATATGAGGCTAAGAAATCAGATAAGTTATCTTCCCTCAAGAAACATAATTTGAGCAGCCACTGTTTTCTTCTTTCCCAACAACTATTCCCTTCAGATGAGTAAGCGAAGTTCTTTTAATTCAGGGACATATAATCTAGTTCTGGCCAATGAGATACAACAGAAACTCTATAGAGAACATTAGTGAACAGAATTTTCTCCTTGACAAAAGAAAGAACCATAAAAGACATTTGACTTCTCACTTCTTCCCTGCATTTGACATAACTACGTAAAGACAGTGCCTAGAGCTGTATTGGGCATATTGCAACAGGAAAGAGGTAAGGCTGAGAACAAGTCAATTTACTGACAATGGAGTAATGAAAAATAGAAACAAACAAACAAACAAAAAAACCACGAAAGCCTAGATCAAAATGAAAAATGGAACAGGAGGGGAAGAAATCTGTTAGAGTCTCAAGATGTTATGTGTGTTTGCTCACTAAGAGATTAGCATTTGTGAAGAAGGCCTAATAAACATAATTTTATGTATTTATTTATTTGAAACAGAGTCTCACTCTGTTACCTGGGGTGGAGTGCAGTGGCGCGATCTCACGACAACCTCCACCTCCTGGGTTCAAGCCATCCTCCCACCTCAGCCTCCCAAGTAGCTGGGACTACAGGCAGGTGCTACCATGCCCAGATAATCTGTGTATTTTTTGTAGAGGCAAGGTCTTGCCATGTTGCCCAAGCAGGTCTTAAGCTTCTGGGCTCAAGCAATCTACCCAACTCAGCCTCCCAAAGTGTTGGGATTACAGACCTGAGCTACCATGACTGTCCTTTATATATATATTTAATAGAAATTTCACAGCCAGAAAAGGTTATTGAATACTCATTGATATTGCAGGTGAATCATATGAGATAATCACAAAATCCCAATTTTTCTGGGCAATTTTAATTTCAAACATACTGATATAAGAACTTCACTGTTATCTGCATTTAAACTTCAAAGGTCACAGATCCTGATTCTTCACTATAGGGAAATATAAACATTAAATAAAAATAGTTTGCTACAGTCATGTAAAAAATGGTGAGTGAATAAAATAGGAGGCTCTATTGAGGAAGTTCATTCATTATTTGAAATGTTATTATTTGGCAATACTTTGAGGCATCTGGACTCTCCCATTGATTCTACAATGAGTACACAGTGATGTAATCATATATTATATTAGAAGGTTTTAAACCCTATCACCTAAGTATAGTTTACAGTGTTTGAGGCTTTGTTACAAAGATGCCATAATTCTTAAATCACTGTCCAATGCTGAAAGCAACTCTAATTATCGATGTAAACAGATTTTCAATGATTCACCATTGCATAGTTCTAATATTGAATAGGACATTCTCCAGAGAAATCTCTGTTGTAATCCATCTACATTTCCACATCTATTCAATCAGGAATTTAATTAAGGAGTCTGGGGATCATAAAAGGAAACCACAGCTGAGACTCCTCTGGATGAAATAATTCAACTCCAGCCCAAAGATGCAGGAATTCCTGTTTCTTACAAACTAGTAAATGCTTTCCCTTTTCATAAATAGGACTCCTGTTTTCCTTGATATGTTTATTAAAAGTGAAGCTCCAAAGACAATGCCTAGGAAGACCAAACATCAGCATTGCATCTCTCTGGTGGATTGCTGGCATTTGAAAGGGAAGCCCCAAATTGGAGGATTTTCACTTCTACTTTAATATCAGCTCTTCCCTTTCTGTCAAAAAAAGAGAACTAAGAGATGTGACTCAAAAGTTATTCAATAAAATGAGATTCTAGATCCAGGCTCTCTGTCATTTTGCATTAACTTTATCTCTGGGATAATTCTTGGCTCAAAGGACTATTATATCTGAGTTACCCATGTTAGCACAAGAACCAATACTGTCATCTTTCTTTAACCGTGCAAATTTGATTTTCATCACCTACTTGCTCTATCAATCTGCTGCCCAAGACTCATTGAACCAGGATAGTTGTGCAGAAAAAGAGAATGAATTCCAGTGTTTTCAAACCATCTCTGATATTTTTATTTCAAGCATAGAAATGCTCGTTAGGAAATGGGAGTTAACAAATATATGTAGGCATATATATGATTCCTCATCTCCCAACCATAACTTGGTACACTCAGAAAATTGGATACTGTAATGTCTTAAATGTAAAACAGGTTTACCTAATTATTTTGTGTGCCAATACTTATAAATGATTTTTATATGAAATATGAAAAGTCTCATTTAATGTTTTCCATTGAGTTTGTTAAATGTAAAGTTTATTTTTAAATGCCAATTGAGATATTAAAGTTTAATTGTTAAATTCTAACTATAGAGTCATCTAAAAAACCTGGCAAGTACTCCTCAAAAATGTCATCACAAAGAAGAAAAATTTGAGATACTATTACAGCCAATAGGTGCCTTAGGTTATATGATTTTAAAAAATGTAATAAGGTATCCTGAAGTAGATCCTGGAACAGAAAAGACATATTTGATAAACATTTAAAAATGTTGAACAAAGTATGGACTTTAGTTAATTATGATGTATCAATATGGATTTACTAACTGTGACTAAAGAATCATACAAATGTAAGGTGTCAATAATAAAGGAAACTAGCTGTGGAGTGTATGAAAACTCTCAGTGCTATTGTCTCAAATTTGTCTAACCAGAAATAATTATAAAATAAAATTTAACAAAACTACAAAAAACTCCCACCCAGACTAGGCAAAAGCGAAGCCAGATTTTTTTGTTGGTGTAAGGTGAAGGGCACTAAAAATGATTTATTTTATTATTTACAACTTCCTTTAATGATGAATTTTACAAAGTAATTCAAAAAATTTGAAAATATCACTCAATGATTCATTCAGAATGGATTACAATACCTGGACTTTTGTTTCAACATTAAATAATGATAGGCAGCTAGATTTCTTGAGCATTGTGTCATATTTAAAACTTTTGGTTCTATTTTTCTGCATTATCCCTCATTGTCATTTGCCAACTGTATATTGAAAGTGTTTCTGCAAAGCATACTCCAGACTAGGTTTTTTCATATTGCTGCTTTTAATCTTCAGTTTGCTGGTGAACAGATCTTATCTCAGCATTTGATAAGGAAAGAGACACAATAAAATAAAAATATCTACATTCTGAATAAAGGCCTGTCTTTTTATAAAATGTGGATTTAAACCCAACCAATATTTTGTCTGTTCCTTTGAGTTTTTCACATTGTTTTCTATAAAGTTCTCTAGTCGTAATCTTCAAACACCAGAGGCATTAATATAGATGGATTTTAAAGGATTTAAATATTTCTAGGTTACTGTGTCTAAATTCAGTTTACTGAATTGCCTATTAACAGTTACAGACTTTTCCCCTTAAAAAATACTATAATAAAGAAGTTATGGCACTTCTTCACAGACTTATTTATTTCAAATAGGGATCCATCTTATAGTTTGAAATTATTTCTTTTTTGTCTTTATCATATTAAAATAACATTTTCTTTCATAAAATAATAGTGATGATAATGACAATACTAGTTGCTGATCCTTTTAGTATGCCACCACAGCAAACTTTTAAAAATGACAATATCAGGTCAGTTCAGAGGGATTTATAAATTTTATCTTCTATAAATTATATATTTGGCCTCATTTATTTCCATTACAATGAAAGATTTGGATTATATGTCTTCATAATTTTACCTACTGCACCATATTTAGGAGTTACTAACCATAACTACTTGAATTGATGAATGAAATTTACCTCCAAATTTCTTCGAAGTGAAAGAGTAACTTTCTTTCTTCAAGAATATTGAACTCTAAATCTACTCATTAAATAAGTAAATGGGTACCTAGAGCAAATGATTCCGTTATAATGAACCTATTGCAGTACATTTTAATATTATGCAGCACTAATATGTAAGGCATGTACGCATTAATAAATAAAAATGCAGAGGTGATAAATACTCCAAGTTTTTAATGAAGGAGACATATAAGTTATTATTAAATCAAGAGTGTAAAAAATACAGGGAAACCCAGATTTTTTTTCCTAAATGCCATGCTAATTGCAATGTTCTCGCATGAAAGATTGAAGGAGTCGTAAAGGGTTTAATTTTTGTGGAGTGTGATAGCAATCTATAAATAAGTGAATAAATGGAACATAGTTTTAAATTAGAAATTTAACTTAGTTTTATATGTATATTTTACATTTCACATCTTGAGGGTGTTATCTGTTAAGAAAGCATAAATTCTTGGTATTTTAAAAATTTTAAGTATTTTATCAGTTCTTGGTAGTAAAACTATCATATCATCAGAATAAAAACCCCCAAAAAGCTCTTCTCTAAAAACAAAACTGGCAGAATCTAAACAGAATAAGTGAGTTGAGTTTTTACTTTCTAGCCTTAACTGGATGAAAACAATATTGGTGCTATCTATGATCAGAAAATAATTCAGACATTCATTAATTCACTCAGATATTCTACTGGTCCTCACTATAAGCCACATATTGCGTTAGGACCTAGATATAGAAATATAAATATGAGGGCCATCTGCACTTACAGATCTTACATGCTAGGGTAGGGTGTGGTACAAACTGGGATAAACAATTTAAGCCATTTAGTTTTAAATGCGTGCATGTGTGTGTGTATACAAAGAAAACATATACACTAATTAAATATTGAATTATATCTATAAGTACTGCTCTTATTATTACATTGTCATATGAGAACATCAAGTTGTATACCAACATAAGGGTTGTAATCCTCTTTTCAAAAACCAAAAAAACTGTACATAAATGTCTATACATATGTTTGTTGGGATACATATAATTTCATTAAAAATGAACAAAAACATACTAGTTTGTTAAGTATCATCAGATTGCATAAGCATCTGAAAAATAAAATTCTATCTGTAATTATAATTTGAAATTAGATGTAAAAGATTGAACAAGCATATGTTTAAGGACTAGAACGCCAAATGTGCAAAGAAAAATCTCCACTTAATTAACTTAGATGATTATGAGTAATTTTCTTCACATATTTATGTTCTTATTCTAATAGAGCTTAATATAGCAACAGAGTTGCAATATATATATATATCTACAGATTTCAGAATTAGATTTAAATATTAAAACAATTAAAAACACAATACATATGTCAATGTAAAATGATATTAAAGATGCTGTTGGTAAAACATAAAAAAAGAAATAAATACAGAAGAGTTGAGATTTGAATAGGTATTTTTATTGTTGTTGCTATTTGCATTTTGCACCTTCTCCCCCAGTTAAACTGAAAGCTCACATTGATTTTTCTTTGGGTTTCTAATATGAGAGCCAGTGCCCCACTTGTAGTTTGTGCTTAGCAAATACTTGCTGAACAATGAGTCCTATACTAAGGAAGAACCTGGAAATGTACAGTCTCAGAGTGACAGTGTGTGTTTTATTACTTCCCTTGACAACAATTGAAAAATATACAACCTCTGCTATCTTAATCTACATACAACTTCTTGAAAATATAAATGAAAACATCTTGTCTTAAATGCAATGAAATGGTATTAAGACATATTCATTTTCCTGATGTGTTGGGCACTCCTAAAAACCCATAGGGGATTGTAAAAATCCATTGCAATGTAATGAATGACCCAGGGCTTTGTATTATTTAGGGACATACTCTATGATGGTGGTCTCATTTCTTCCATGTTAACTGAACTAGCAGCCTGTTATGTTTAAGAACTATCATTTCCTTCATTTTTTTTCTTTTTTAATTCTTAGGGATATTCTCAGTGAACAGGAAAAATCAGGCATTCAAAAAGAGTTATTGGATGAATGAATAAAATACATTATGGAATGGTTGTAACCTCAGCTAGAGGATCATATATCTCAAATGGCAAATATAGTAAAAAATATTCATATCACTGGCTACTCAAGGTAAAATGTACTAGTTTGTCTCCTTAATACAGATGCATTCAAAGTATTACCATTAAACAGAAATATTAAAAGATTTGTCTACAAATATATTATTTTAGGGATGGAGATATCAAATGTGTTGTACATATCTCAGTAAACGGAATTTTAATTTTTCTCTTGACATTAAGATCTCTGTTAGAAAAGTGAATTAATGTATGATTATAATGACAATACTTTTGCTCTTCTTTTAAATAACCTTAAATGCATAAAATGCATATAAATCTTTTCATGAAGATTTTTATTTTTATTTTATTTTTATGTACAGCTTTGACATCACAAAATATCTTAAAATTGTATATTCAGGAATAATATTTTTTACAATGATTTATTCCAGATAAAATAATCAGTTACATTACTCTCTAAATGAATAATCTTATCTGTTGATGTCAGTGAATAAGGAGTTCCCAGTACCTCACTATGTTTAACTGATGTATGAAAGCTGCCTTGATGGAATTCTGATGAGCCCTTAGGGTTCAACATCACTTTATTTATCACAAAATCTTTATCCATAAATTAGGGTTACAAAATTGATTAGATGAATTGTCTACCAGTCACCATTAAGCATCTGCTTAGTTTACTAGCAATTATTCCATTTGGTAACCTTAACAAGCAAAGAAATAGTATTAATTCTGGGTATATCTTCCATAAATATCATGTGGAAAATAGCTATTTCTAGCCAATCATTTGAGTAACATTCATATAAAATTACAAATCATATAATTGGATCTTTTAAATGTCACATTGATTGCCTCTTTATTAAGTTTGCATGTATTATCTGTTCATTGTGTTGTTATTAAATTGCCACCATTTGCTTTGATGACTATGTGTCCTTATTATCACAGCTATACCCCAATATAATTTTTTGGCTCTATACTTTTCTAGTCCACTCTTAGGATCATATTTATGAGGAAATATCAAAACCTTATATTTAAAATTGGCAGTGTGTTTAGTGTGTTTAGTATTCATTTACTTCTTACATTTGGAAGGAATCTTGTATACTACATTGTCCAATCACTGTCATATAAAGAAAATGTAATGAAAATAAAGTTTAAAATAATTACAGTCAAGATCTACTGTTATTTTATTCTACTGGAGAAAACTTTCTGGATATCGAACACTCTAGGTTGACTACCAAATTTGAATTTGCTGTGAAAAATAGTACTTGATGGTATTTATCTCTAGATCCATCTTTTTCCCACTATAACTGAAATCTTCTTGGCAATAGAATCTGCTATCTACTTCTGTCACTGTTATATTATCTTTATCACAGTGTTCTGCCCTGGTGGGAAATAAATAAATAAATAAATAAATGAATCTATGAGACACCATTTACTACAGATGATAATTTTGTGAAAGACACATTTCCTTCTTCATCAAACATTTATTAAGTTCTTCTATGTTCCAGGAAGTGGGGCCATGGAGATAATGGGGAAAATTCTCCTGCAGGAGCTCATGATCTAGTGGAGGAGGCTGACATAAAGATCTTAAGCTCTGAAAGAAGCATAAGATATGTTTAAGTGTCCAACTAGTATATGCTTTAGCTGAGAGTTTGTGTGAAGATATCTGCCAGATTAAACAAATAGACTGAGGAGAGGAGAGAATAAGTGCCCAATTCCTGTAATAAGCTCAGTGTGGATTTACATGAGGGACTGGTGAGAGGGATAAGGGAAGACTGGAGAGGTAGACTAGTGGGAGATAAACAGGAGAGTCTTTATGCCAGATGAAAGAAAATTTTTGAAAGTATTAAGTGGAAATAACCTCATTATGTACACCTATAAAAGACCAGTACTCTACATTCTGAATTCAGTTATGTATCCAGCATTGCCCTTTTGGAGGGATATAGCAGTTAATTTATGCATAGTGTTTATATAGAGACAATAGAATTATTCTGCTTATGACTGTTTCCTTTTGAAGAGATTCTAATAGATTGATTGCAAATATGGACCTGAATCTTTCCCTCTGTATCTATGCTCCTTTTAGTGAAATTTGCAAACCATCCTAAGAAGTGGAGTCTATTTCTCCACACTTCAAATTAGAGCTGGCCCTGTGACTTGTGTTGGCCAATAGAAAGCTGCAGAAATAATTGTGTACCAGCTCAAGTCCGGGCTCAAGAGGCCTTGTGCACCTCTACCTTCATTCCTGGACCCCACATCCCTCCCATTAGCACCACCATCACTAGGAGAACATGTACCAGATAGCATGCTAGATGATGGAACCACATGGAGCAGAGTCAAGTCATCCAAGCTAAAAGCATCTGAGACCAAGTTACCCCTCATTTTCCTGCCAACTAACCACACACTCCTGAATAAGCCTGAGTTCAATCATGTGTAGCCCAGATAACATCTGTTTTGAAGATGCATAGACTTGTGAGCAAATACAAATGCTTATTGTTGCATGCTCAATGTTTTTGTGTTTTTGAGTTTTTGTGCAATGTGGAATGCACATTTTGATAAGGGGTAACATACATAGGCAGTATACAGTATTTTAATACATTATTTTATCTGATGGTCATATGTACTCTGCAAGGCAAATATTTTAACCTGAGTTTTGTAGATGATAAATGTGAGGATTGAACAGTTGATTTTATTTCTCCATTGCCACAAAAATGCTAAGTTGAAAAGCTGAGCTTTAAGTTCTGACTAATTATTGCTAAAGCCCAGGCTCTTCTCCATCAACTATGTCTTTTAAAATTCTCCTTTTTGAGAAAAGATAATAAAGCCAAGTTCTTTAGGCCTACAGTGTAAGTGAAGAAATGACTTGACTCTCAATAAACAAAGCATGTTTATACAATGATTTAATCATAAATGAGTTTTCATTTCCAGAAGACTGCAGTTTTCACCAGATAATTCAGCCCCCTAGGCAGGTAATTAAATAATCATTCTTTAAAAAACATAATTGTTCTTAGAAGGGAAGCTATGAAAAATAGTATGTTGTGAAATCATTAGGAAAGGTTAGTAATTTCATCAGAATTACTGCTATTGGTATTCTCACCGAGAACTACCCAATTACCAAAGATAGTGAACTCTGAGATTAAAAACAGATTTCTCTTCTCTCAACTTAAGGAAAACAACAAAGATTTTTTGCTTTTTTTTCTTATATTATTATTTTCTTTAAAAGTGACAGGGCATCGCTGTGTCACCCAAGTTGGAGTACGGTGGCTTGATCATAGCTCACTGTAGCCTCGAATGCCTAGGCTCAAGCAATCCTCCCACCTCAGCCTCTAGAGTACCTAGGAGTACAGACACACATCACCATGCCTATCTTTTTAAAAAAATTTTGTTGAGATGGGGTCTTGCTCTGTTGCTCAAACTCCTGGCCTCAAGCTGTGCTCCTGCCTCAGGCTCTCAATGTGCTATGATTACAGGCATGAGGCACTGCACCTGGCCATTTCTTTTTTAAAAATCAAAATTATAATTTCCTTTTCTTTGGCCCAGAATACAAAAACATGGTACATATTTTCACATTCACAGGAAGAAGAAATGCTAGCTGTGTAAGACATACAATGTGATATTTAAACGATAATCTTACGTTTAATCCTGCCAGTTGGAAAACAGGGTATAGCAAGAAAATAAGATTTAACTTGCTACAGGAATGCATTTGCACTTGGTTTCTTATTTTTCCATTAATTGAAGCTTGCCAAATACTGCTGTAAACAACTACATCTTTATTTCTAGTTAAAATATAATGTTATAGGTCAAATTAGCTGTTACAAAAACTATTCAATGGTTTAGAAGAAGTTTCCTATCATTTTTGTCGTTTATCTTTTATTTCCCAAGAATCATTTAAAAAATTTTATTTTTTTCCCCACCAGGATAGTTTTAAAGCATATTCTGGGGAAATAGGTTCCAATCCATAATGTTTATTATTTCAATCCAGAATGTTAAGCCTATGGATAACAGTTTTGCATTTTGTATTTATTGGGGATTTGTTGGGATAGAAGAGTTGTTTGTTCAATTCCATAAATATGACATAATAAAAAGTTATTTCAAGGTGGCAAAAGCGAGTACATGCATATGTTTGTGTATCTGTGTATATTTCTTAACAAATCCTTCATTATCTTCCTCCATGATATACTTTCTCTCTCAACCATAGCTAGACAAAATTCACTTCACATATAGTTTTATTTTCTATTATTTCAATAGCCATATTTTCCCCCAAATCTCAGTATTGTTTTCTATAGGACCTAGTCATATTTTTTTCACTCTGGAAATGTGTCATATTCATTATTCTTCTGTTTTGAATGTTATTACTTCATTTGTGTCTTTGAGCTTCCTAAATATCATTTTGAAATCTTGTTAACTTGGTCCATAAAACTGATTTTCCTTGCAGTAAATCTATGTCTGATTTATTTTAGTTTTTAATATTTATTTATTTTTGAGATGGAGTTTCACTCTTGTCACCAAGGCTGGAGTGCAGTGGCACAACTTCGGCTCACTGCAACCTCCACCTCCCAGATTCAAGCTAGTCTCCTGCCTTATCCTCCCGAGTACCTAGGATTACAGGCACCTGCCACCATGCCTGGCTAATTTATTTACTGTCCTTTTTAAAATAAGAATATATATATATATACACACATATATATGTATATATATATATACACACACATATATAGTGTGTGTGTATATATATATATATATATATATATATATATATATGAAAATGGTTTAAAG
The DNA here is from genome assembly GCF_000001405.40 of Homo sapiens. NCBI lineage: Eukaryota > Metazoa > Chordata > Mammalia > Primates > Hominidae > Homo > Homo sapiens. The sequence goes on along the minus strand of NC_000011.10, from coordinate 25,385,536 downwards.
TCTTACTTTGTGAGGAAGTTTTAGTTTGATCCCTTAGTTTTCTGTTTGATCCCTTAATTCTTATGTCTCTCTTCCACTATGCTTACTTATACCTGTTGAGTGAGAATGTGTTACAGCAGCTTGATCCTGAATTTCTATAGTCAAAATACATATTTTACATTAGAGTTTTAGGGCTCTTTTTATGGGAGATAGTGTGACTATCAGATATTCATTCAACAAGATAGTAGCTCATCTCAGATACAAATTAAATGCTGAAAATTTATCAGATGTGTGAGTTGTTACCAGGCATGAAATTTGGGAGTATTGGGGATTATTTTATAAGTAGCAAAGTCTCAACATAGTCTTCATTTTAACCTATGAACTTGGCTCCAGTTGTATGTTGTCTAAGCATTTTTTGTTCTTATAGTTATCCAAATCTGAATTCCAGTCTGCCCCTGATTGTGGTAAAGTTTAGTAAAGAGCAATCTTCTACTTTAAATCTTTCCTGCTTCTGATACAAGAAAATATTTATTTTGTTTTTAAGCCAAGTATCTTTTTTGTCACATGTGCTTTGTTTTGTTTTGTTTTGTTAATGCTGCGTATTACATCACCAGGATCATATTGATCTCTAAGAGTATTGAGTCCACTATTAACTTCTGAATATTATTTAATATATGATATACACTTGCAAAATAGTTGTCTTGTTCCTCTTTATATCCTCAGATTTTTTTCTAAATATTTTGAAACAGTCCTATCAAATTATAAAATTTTCTCCCTTTATCAAATCGAAGGTAGTTTTCATTAAAGTGTAATTCCAAAATTATGTGGATCAGAAGTTAGTGACCACCCAGTCTGTAGCTTCTCAAGTTTGATTCTTTAGGTATTCTTAGAGAATATAACTTGGTTATTCTAATTAAATATTTAATATTTTAGTTATATTATCATATTAGGTCCTATTTTAAAAAACTCTGACTTTTAATTGTCTAGCATAATAATATCAATTCCGTGGGCATCCTTTTCAAAAACACTGACTCTTCTCCAAATGTTATTTTCACATTAGAAGCACTGTGTTTGATAAGTGCATAAAATCCAACAGAATTTCTCAATTTTTTTGTGAAAGATAATATCCTGGAAGATGTAAGTGTTAAATAGAGATGAGTAAAACACAATTCTGGTCCTTCATCATCTTATTTCATATAAACGTTCTAAAATAAGTAGTCCATAAATTATAATACAAGAAAATACTATATGCCAGTTTTATTAGTGTCTTAGTAAAATTAATTATTTTAAGGATATTCTCAAGAAAGGTATTCTTACCCCAAAACCTATATTTATATGATTAAAAGAAGAATATAGAATACATTGTTGGAATGAGAATGAGTTCTGCAGTTATACATGCCTGACCTGAAACCTTGGCTCTATCATTTACTAGCACGTGATCTGACCATTCAAACACAAGAGTCCTAATCATTGGAAGGAAAATAATAATAGTTCCTGGCCCATAGAATTGATAACAATACTGAGATAATGGAAGTAATGCACTTAGAAAGTGTTTTGGAAAAAATAAGGAAGTGGTTAATAAGGATCAGCTGACATTAATCATAATTATGAGTATAATTTTCAACAATTTTCTTATTCTGTTTTCATTTCTTCACTTGTAATGACTAGCCTAGAATACCTAATTTTTTTTCCTTCACTGTACATTTTCAAGTTGAACATGACCTTCAAGTTCCAGACCCAAATTCTTCTCCTTTTGAAACTTTTTACAGAACACCCCCGTAATTGAACTCTCTTCAATTCCATAGTCACATTTGTTTGCAGTTTGATATTCTGCTTTTTAAAATTTAGTATTCTAAAATTGTTTTAAAAAATTAGAGTCCTTAAGGAAGCTATATGTTGAATAATGTCAAAAATTATGTTCATCCCAATGCCAGATACATTTTTTTCCACACAGAATATACTTTTTAAATTTTAGCTTCAATAGCTTCTCTCATCATGAGAGACAAGACCACAAGTAGACCAGCACACTCCAAACAGATATCCAGAAAGAAGGCATTGAGAGTGGACAGAGTGGGGATACAGACCCCGGGCTGAAAGGGGAGGAAGCTGAGAACCCTGCACAGGGATGCTGAACACCAGGACTCATTCCTGGCCCTAAGCAGCTCCTAGAGAAGTGAGTGAAATAAGCATGGAGTGGCCCACTGTTGTCATGAACCTCCGGGATCCTCACTGTGGGAGAACCCACAACACCCATGGACAACTGAGCTGACATGAAGAACTCCTCCGAGAGTTGGCGGAGACAGAATGTCAATTTGTATGTAGCCAAGAGGGTTTGGAATGGAAATGGCTGCTCTGGAGCACAGCCATAGGCACCCATCCCTCAAGGCTGCCCATTCTCTTTAGGTGGTTCTAGCCTTTGTTGGCTGCTGAATCTGGAGAGAACAGAGCTCTCTTGCCCTAGGGATAGGGCCAGTCTGATCTGAGTGCCAGCCATTACCAGGGTTCAAACCTGGCCACACTCAGGTGCAGTGCAGCCTCAATTTGCCAGCAGCCACTAGCATAGATCTTTCACCAGCAGATCCCAAGTAACCATCAAAGCACTTTTGCAGAGGAACTCCTGCCAACATGCAACCCGCATAAGCAAATACCTGCCCACAGCCTTCCCCTTCCAGTGTACACTCACCTGCAGTATTCCTCTGCCAGTGCACACTAGCCCATAACTTCCCCCCACCACCCAATGAGCACATACACACTAATGGAACCTTTACTACCCCACAGGCGCACACATGAGCAGGGGCCTACTGCCACCCCACTAGAGTACTTTTGCTGCAAGACTCTGTCAGGGTGTTGTTGTCAGCAGACTGGGAACACCTTGGCCCCTTTAGTGAAGTGAGTACTTAACCTCTAGAAGCCAGAGAATAAGGCCACAAGCCTGGTCCTGGGATCCCAGGATTAGAGCTTGTAGCCCAGGAGCGCTGAGCTGAGCTGTGCCCCCCAGAAAGCATCAAGAAACCAAGCCAATTGATTAAACCCAACTTATGCCAGTATCAAAGAATATAAAAGCAAAAAGCCCCACCTGAACTACAGAAACTTCAAAAATTAAAGAAAAATCACCCACACAGATAAGAAAAAAATAGCAGAATTCTGGAAACTTCTAAAAGTAAGAGTGGCTTTTTACCTCTAAACAATCATACCAGCCCCCCAGCAATGGTTCTTAACCAGACTAAAATGGCTGAAATTGTAGACATAGAATTTAAAATATGGATGGCAAGAAGGCTCATCAACATATAGGAAAAATTCGAGGAACACAGTAAAACAGACCAAGAGTTGAAAGACAACATAGCCATTTTAAGAAAGAACCAAATTGAACCTCTTGAAGTGAAAAATTTACTACAGGAATTTCAGAATACAATTGGAAAAATTAACAACAAAATAGACCAAGCCAAGAATAGAATCTCAGATCTCAAAGCTGACTCCTTTGAATCAACATGTGCAGACAAATATATATATATATTAAAAAAAAAAAACTACCAAGAGGTGAACAAAACTTCTGAGAAATATGGGATTATGTAAAGAGACAAAACATATGACTCACTGCCCTTCCTGAAAGAGATGGAGAGAGAACAAACAACTTGGAAAACATATTTATGGATATTTTCAGTGAAAAATTTCCCAACCTAACCTGAGAAGTTGACATGCAAATTTAGAAAATTCAGAGAACCCCTTAGGGATACACCAAAGATGACCATCTCCAAGATACATTGTCATCAGATTCTCCAAATTCAATGCAAAAATAAAAATCATTGTGGAAGTCAGTGTGGTGATTCCTCAGGGATCTAGAACTAGAAATACAATTTGACCCAGCCATCCCATTACTGGGTATATACCCAAAGGATTATAAATCATGCTGCTATAAAGACACATGCACACGTATGTTTATTGCGGCACTATTCACACACAATAGCAAAGACTTGGAACCAACCCAAATGTCCATCAATGATAGACTGGATCAAGAAAATGTGGCACATATATACCATGGAATACTATGCAGCCATAAAAAAGGATGAGTTCATGTCTTTTGTAGGGACATGGATGAAGCTGGAAACCATCATTCTCAGCAAACTATGGCAAGGACAAAAAACCAAACACCGCATGTTCTCACTCATAGGTGAGAATTGAACAATGAGAACACACGGACACAGGAAGGGGAACATCACACACCGGGGCCTGTTTTAGGGTGGGAGGAGGGGGGAGGGATAGCATTTGGAGATATACGTAATGTTAAATGACGAGTTACTGGGTGCAGCACACCAACATGGCACAAGTATACATATGTAACTAACCTGCACACTGTGCACATGTACCCTGAAACTTAAAGTATAATTAAAAAAAAGTCTTAGAAGCAGCTAGAAAAGGGGGAAGTCATGTACAAATGAAACCTCATCAGACTAACAGTAGAACTTTCAGCACAAACCTTACAAGACAGAAGAGATTAGGAGACTATTTTCAGCACCCTTAAAAAAAAGAAATTCCAGCCAAGAATTTCATATGCAGCAAAACTAAGCTTCATAAGCAAAAAAGAAATAACATGTCTTTCAGACAAATGTTAAAGGAATTTGTTACCACCAGACCTGCATTACAAGAGGTCCTTTAGGGAGTCCTAAACGTGGAAATGAAAGAAGGATATCTGCCCATACAAAAACATACTTAGGTATATAGCCCACTGACACTATGAAGTAATTGTACAATCAAGTATACATAACACTCAGGCAACAGCAAGATGACAAGCTCAAGTTCTCACATATCACTATTAACCTTGAACTTAAGTAGGCTAAACACCCATCTTAAAAGACACAGAGTAGCAGTTTGGGTAAAGAAGCAAGGTCCAACTGTATCCTGTTTTCAAGAGATCTATCTCACATGCAGTGATATGCATAGGTTCAAAATAAAGGGATGGAGAAAGATCTATTAAACATGTAATAAACCTGCATATATATCTCCTTAACATAAAAGTTTAGAAAGAAAAAAATAAATTAGCTTAATACCCACAATCAAACCTGAATGTATATGATAGTATAATACATAAGCTGTACACATACCCACTTACAGAAAATTTTCAAAATCCATATTTCTTTCATATCCATATCTATGCCATCATATTCCTTAGTGTTTTACTGAATTTGAGTCTAATAAAATAAATTAGTCCTTTTTATTAATAGAGTATTTGGTTGAAATACTGAAGTGAAGCAAAATCTCAAAAAAATTTTGTTTGGTTGGAGCAGTGAGGGGCTCCACTGAAGTGACGCAAAATCTCAAAATAAAAAAAAAAGAGGAAATTGTATTTAAGCCACTTGAAGAAAAATTACAAGCCAAATAAGTTCTTAACATTTAGCATGCTATTGAGTGACAATTAAATTAGTTGTTCCTACACATATATGAATGTAAAAGTTATAGTAGGAAGAAACTCCCATTACTTACCGTTTGCTCAAGGGATAACATGGTTTGAGATGGAAAAATTGAACAATCCTCGGAGAGGACAGGCCTGATTTGAATATTCATTTCATGATCAGGCCAAGTTTATATTGATTGAAAATCTGATTCCTCATTAGAAACAGTTTGGTATAATAAATATCATTCCCTTTTTTTTTTTTTTTAACAACTGTTATATGTCATTTGTTGCAGAACAATTTTTGGATGTGGCTAACTTGAAAAATGGAACAACTGAGTTGTGTTATCTTTATTACTGGTTAGATGATTTTAGCTTGATATTTGTTCGAATCATTCTTGAACCTAAGCATAGTTAGCAGAGAGTTTTAACATAAACTGTTTGGCTTTTTCTATTAAACAAAATAATTTAAGGAATTTGGATAGGAAAGGTTGAAGGCAGTTTGACATTAAAATCAAGAGGCACCTTAAGTAGCATAACACTTCACTAGTATTCATCAACTAAAGCACAGGCTTGCTCATACCTACATGCGTGACTTTGTTCATGAACTTAAATTAGGTATGCTGTCAGTTTGTCTTTCTTTTTCTAGATTCTATCAAACTGAAAAATAGTATTACAGTAAGTGTACCAAGTGATCAGGCTTGTTGTGAGGGGAACAGTGGTTGCCGATGAGAAACATGTCATGCTATACAAATTTTCTCTTTTGAAAGTCAGTCATAACAATGTAACCTTTCTGCATTTGAACGAGTATTTTACTTTTTCAGGCAACATTAAGTATCTATCCACACCATTATAGAAGATGATCTCTTATATGATGATACTTGAAGCAACCCACTCTCAAGAACACCTCTCTGCATCTCTACCCTGGCCTCTGAATGCACCAAAAATGTCACCATTGAAGTTTGTTTCAGTTATTCATCTATCAAGCATTCATTGAGTATTTCATGAACCACATATAAAGAAATAAGGTAAAATACTTGACATCAAAGACCTCATTGTCTAATGGAAAACGGATATAAATGATGCAATACACTAAATTATATTAAATTGTATATATCACTATTTAAACTAAAGCATATTAAGTGAAATAAGCCTGGCACAGAAAGACAAATACAGCATAATCTCACTCATATGTGGAATTTTAAAAAATTGATGTCATAAAGTAGATAGTAGAATAGTGTTTACCAGAGGCCCGGAAGCATAGGTAGGAGGAAGAGAGAGAAAAGGTTGATCAACAGGTTCAAAGCCACAGTTAAATAGGAGGAATAAGTCCTATTGTTTCATTGCATAGTACGGCGACTTTAGTTAACAATAAGATATATATTTCAGAATAGCTAGAAAAGAGGATTTTGAATGTTTCTTACACAAAGGAATGATAAAAGTTTATGGTAATAGATATGCTAATTACCGTAATTTAATCATCACCCATTGTAAACATGTATTGTAACATCACACTGTATCTGATAAATATAACAATAATTATGTGTGAATTAAAAATAAAATATAACTTAAAAAGCTTATATAAAAAGCATATTGGACCTTCACATAAAATACATATTTTCTGAGGAAAAATACTGGACAATATTTGGAAGACATAAGTACTTAATGGGTAATAGAATATCATTACATTTAGATCATGATCAGTTTTATAAAGCATGTTTTTCTAAGTCTACTAAGATTTATTGAGATATAAATCATGTGTTTTACAATTTATCATTTCAAAACACAAAATTCAACATTTTTATATTCATGTAGTTGTGTAGCAATAAGGATAAACTAATTTAAAAACATTTTCATCACCCTCTAAAGAAAGCTCATATCCTGAGGACAAGGTAGTAGTCCAGCTGTTTAAAAAAATTTTCGCAACACTTTGGTACTAGTATATCAAAAGAAAGGGATAAATTAACAGACAAAATGTATCATGTATTCAACACACCACAGAAAGATAATGAACAGCTCATGGTAACAGAGAATGAAAATCAAGATATGAAATGTGAAGGCCTCTTTAGTAAGCTTTCATCATCCCTCATGGGTGGATGGGAAATGTCCAAGCACAGGATTCAAGTCAGAGAGACTGAACATCAAGGAAATAAAACAGGTGTCTGTTTTGACAAGGTCAGGGACCGGCTTGAAAAAATCCTTAGTTCATAGGGTGGAAACATCTGTGTGGGTGCCTGTGAAGATTTTCATTTCCACGAATCTTTGGAACCTTCTGAATCTAGATATGGCACAACCCTCCCCATTAAGTAGTAGCAACCGTCTTCTCTATGATGGAAGAAAATGTGGAGGTCTGTCTCCCACAAAGCAGTATCTGCTCTCTTCAGGACTTACTTCTCTTCTTCTCTGATTTAGCAGGCCTGTAACTAGGGCTACTCACAGCATAACCTAACAAGACACATGCTAGGCATGATGTCATGGAGGAAAATTGTATAATATTCCTAAGGAGTTGCAAGACCTAACCAGCATGTATAACACTTTACATTCCACCACTACTCAACAGTATAGATCATCATGTATGTACACACAAATCTTCATTATCAGTCAGTCTAGGATGAGTTGTGTTTTGCTAATAACAAATGACTCTGTAATCTCAGAATCTAATTGACTTACCGTACTTACACTGGTTTCTTTCTCACTCATGTTGCATCCACCTAGGAGGAGCTACTACTCTACTCCCTAAATTCTACTGTGGGACTCAGTCTGATGGAGCAAGCCAAATCTGTGACAATGGTGTCTTCATACAGAATATAGAGTCAGTATGCACTGACTCTTGAAGCCTCTTTGTGAAAGGGCACATGTTATTTCTCCTCACATTTCATTGCCAAAGCAAGGCTTACAACCAAGTTTGCCATCAGTAGGGCAAGTAAGTATTTTAGAATAAGCAGGGAACATTTTAAACACTAATACAATCTTCCACATCTAACTATTTATTTTTAATGGCTGAAAAGTATCCCATAGTATGAATATACTCTAATTTATTTAATTATTTTCCTGTTGATGAATATTTCAGTTGTCTCTGGTGTTTCACCATTACAAAATATCAGGGCTGAATGTGTATCAATAGCTACATTACACTTATCAACATATTATTTTTAACATTACCATTTAATAAATACAAAGTATAGATTTTTTCAGATCTGCCAGTCTTGTGGTCATGCTATTTAGCCTTTTTGTTACATTTTTTATTTTTCATATTTTTGTAAATAGCTTCATTATTTCAAAAATACCTGACAAAAGCTTTTCTAAAATATTCATCATTTCAGTGGTGAGTCAGGGTACAGAGCCACCTTTATCTTTGGTCATTGGAAAATAAACATTTCTATGTGTAGCAAGGGCTATCCTACCATGGAGAAAGGAGGTCTTCCATGCTTTGCCACTGCTGTGCTCCACACCATTTTACGTCTTTTCTCCTTCCAGACCCAGTTTCCACAAGAAATAAATTCTTTATAAGCTTTGTTACTACATTTTGTCTAATAGCTGAGTTCTGATCAACTCTGGGATATTTCCTTTTCTTCCATGTCCATCCTAAATACTAACTCAGAGCTGATGCTTCCTTTTTGAATGGAATAATGTCATTTGTTCCAACTCACAGAACAAAATATAAAATCTGTGTAACATGTGTATCAATACAGAGATTAGTTATACATATTTTTAAGCCGACATATTTACTTGTGACTCTGTTTAAATTTGATTAACAATAATTGTCTAAGCAATCTGATGTAATCACAGCTAGCATATAGGATGAAATCACAGTTTACATATTCAAAATTAAACATAATGTTTTATGATCTTTTATAAATAATACAGTTTTAAAAGTTTTCAATCATTCTCAAGAGTAATGATGCAATAAGAACTGAAAGTTTGTATGCTAGAAAGAGACCTTAAATTGAAGACAATAGTTAGTCCATGATTACTGAGGATGAGGGAATGTTAGATGGGTATTCCTTCTGGACACAGGTAGAGGAATTGGTCATATATAAGAGTTGAAAAGCTTTTTCTCCTATCATAGGAGAAATAGACAGGTGTATAGGGTTAGATGCTGGCAGGTTTGAAGATTTGATGGAGATCAATTAAAGGTTTTCAGAACGAATGGGCTAAGAATGGTAGAATGTTATGTTTAAGAATTACAGTTCTGACATCAGGCACTGAAAGTTCACACTTGGGCTTTAATATGTAGGAATTGTTTGATCCTCAGCAAGGTACTTCAACTCATGGTGCACCAATTATTTTTAGCTGTAAAATGAGTATAACAATAGAATGTAGGTCAAACATTAATAACAAAGATTAAATGAAATAATACAGGTAAATTAATTAATACAACCACTGACATAACTGAAATGTATAGGTTAGCTACAATAATAATATTCCTCTATAGAATCAGAGGTGAAGTCAACTGCTATAATTGCTGAGGTGAGTGTTCAGGTGTTTGATCAATTTGAAAAAGGTTTGAAATTGCTAGTAGTTTTCTGAGAGGGAATAGGTGGTAGTGGGGAAAATCTGTCTCAGTAGGAGAAATATTTTATTACTGACATTGTTTAGACTCGTGAGAGAATACTAATAATAACAAAAGACTGACATTTAGCTGGCTTGATTTTTTTTATTTAAAATTATCTTTAAACACTGCACCAACTTATGGCCTGCAACTAGAAGAGACTGCCCCCACAATACCGATCCACTCCACTCACTAGAAATAGCCATCATGGGAAGTTAGAGATAAAATAGACAATAGAGCAATATGTTTTTCAGGAAGTGTTTAAAGTTACCTGATTTTTAGTTATAAATTAATAATGAGTCAAACTACCCTCCAAAAACGATCACTTTCCTGATTTGAGGCATTGAAGAATACATAATTGGCTTCCCCTTGAGCAGAGTTTCAGCAGACAAATGAAGATTTAGAAAACTTTGGATCATAAGGAAGATAGTGCAGAATGATGAAACATTGAGTCTAACCCAAATTAAGAAGAAAATATATCAAGATGTGGTTGATATGTAATGAAACAGAAAAAGATATTTGAAAACGATGAGATGGAAAATAGCCACATCCACTTCCTAATTGGTCCGAGAATTGTAGGGAGGTGTCTAGAGCATGTAGTTGCACAGAGCAAAGCCACAAATCCCCAAAGCCCAAAAAGGGCAGCTTCTCTCAGAATGGAAGTAGGGATTGTCAGACCATAGCACTTAAGGAGTGAGAAAACACCAAGGAAGAGAGGAGATGGGCCATTAATTACCCATAAAGAGAATTAAGCAAATAGGGGCCCAAAGATGGCAAATGTAGAAGTGTATTATGGTGAGTTAAAGTAGGGGGATCCAAAGACACACAGCTACACAATTTCTTCTGCTTCCCACCAAAATGGGATGATCTCATAATTTCAATGCCTCAAGGAAAAATAAAGTGTCAAAGTCACAGTATATTAAATCAGTAACATACATTTTGAAAATATTTTACTATTTCTATGTAAAATAACTCATTTTTATAAATATAGACATTGAAAATACATATAAACAATTTTATAGAGATATTTGCCACTACCAACAAGCTTTAATTTTGTATACACAGTTTCAGAATACAGGCAAATAATTCTGCTGTGAGTTTTTTTTAATCTTCCTCTGCTTCATGTGTATTAAAAGAAAATGCACACACATATATGTATACGTATTGTTTGCAGGGCTCTGATATATCTCTTTTTATTTTATCTTTTGATCAAATAATATGGTGCAAGATTGGCAAGACCATTTGTTTTAATGTGGTTTTTATGTTCAGGATCAAATGCACAGACAGGGGCCACCACCACCAATGAGACTTTTTAGTTCCATAAAAATAATGGACTTAATCAGTAGAGAAGATTGAGAAATAGGACAGACATTGAAGAAGTCAGATATTCCATTTTCATATTTATAGTGGGGAAAAACAGCTGAACTTCTTTGCTTGAAAAAAAATTGAATAAAATTGCTCATAATCTGATAATGTGTTGTGTGTGTGTGGGGGTGTATCAACAATTGTTCAGTTGCTCTATAATTTGAGTCTTGGAGTATCATAAAAGAGCATTTCAAGTAATGGAAAAAAATAATCAATTCACTAAAAATGTCTCAACTTAGTTCTTTAGTCAGTGTTAAATTAAGCTGATAATAGAGTTTCAAGGTCAAAATCATCTTCCTGTCCACATAAACTTATCATTCAGCTCATTTGAATGCCATATCTATCATCAATTTCATTTTAGTGTCCTCTAATTGATTTTATAAAGAGATTTTTAAGTATTTTCTCATCTGGAAGTGATATTTATTTGCTTGGTTTTCAAGAATGGCTATATTTTAAACATATAGAATACATTTTTTCTAGTTGTTCAGAATGCAGAATTTAAAAAACATAACTAAATGTCTGGCTAACAGAGCACTATATAGTGACTTACATTTTAGGGATGCAGGATTAAGAGTAATATTTTTCAATTCTAAAGGAGGAATTACTTTAATCTTCTTGTTGATGAAACAGAACACGAGGTAAGAGTAAACCCACTGAATTTGGGACCAAAAAAGACCTTTGAAATTTTGACTCTTGCAACTGTTAGCTATATCATATTTAACAAATTTATCCAACTCTCTGAACTGCAGTGTCCAGCATTGTCCTCTCAAATGGGACAATAATACCTGCCAAAATCTGTTTAAACATCAAAGAAATTATTCATCAAAATGAGAAATAAGATCTGATATGTATTTACTGTTTGTTATGGGCCAGGCATTTTGCTAAGCACATCAGATGCATAATATTATTAAATATTCTCAGCAATCTTAGTAAGAAGTTGGTATTATGATCTTAGCTTTACAGAAAAATAAAATCAGGAATGTTGAGTAACTTGACAACACTCAGAAGTTAGTATATGACAGATCTAAGAATTAAACTCACATTTATACGATGCAAAACCCTATGCTTTTATGCACTACATTATATGGTGTTTAGAGTTTGTACATGGTAGACCCTCTATAAATATTTTCCAAGATAAAAATATCACTATCTCCACTTATCTTCACTGAAAATTTAAGTGCCATAAAAATATCAAAGAAGCTGGATCTCACAAACCCTGAACAACAGAAGTATATATTAGACCCCAAAAGAAATGTATTAATTCATTTCATCATTCATCCGTATATTCAGCAACTTTATTGGAAGCCCATTTCACAATGTGCATTGCTATCAGTGCTAGCCATAGAGAAGTGACCAAGAATGAATGCATTCCTATTCTCTGGAAGCTTACAGCCCAATGAGAAAGATACATAGTAAGCATGTGATCAAAATCCAGGTGTAGAACAAAAAAAGTCGGGGGACTACAGGAATAAAATCATAATTGCCCTGTGGAAGAGATGTTTTTAGTCGATACCTAAAAGATGTGTAAGAATCAACTGGTGGATGAAGTAAGTGAATTCCTATAATCATATTAGACATTGGGTGGTAATAGAATGAATGTGACTAGTAAGAGGAGGAAAAGGAGCAGTGGTATATCAAAAAAGATTTGCATGTCAAAGATATGGATTGTAGAGGAAATGACTCTCTGTATAATATTTTATAATAGTTTATGCCAGTGTGGCAGACAGACATCTTTTTATGAGCAATATTATGTACATCTATTCAAATACATTGCCATCTTTGAATAAGTTCCTGGGCAAGAATTAACACACATTCCAATGAATTAGCTAGGTCACACTGAAAAAAAAAAAAGAATAATCTTTTTTAGTTTTCTTAGCGGCAAGCATTGGGAATATATCAGAATTTACTTTTCAATTTACTATTTTTCACAGCTACATCTTGAATTCTACATTTGGTATTGATATACAGTATCCCCCTTATCTGTGGGGGATACATTCCAAGACCCCCAGTGAATGCCTGGAGCCGTTGATAGTGCCTAATCTTTTACACACTATGAATACACCTATGATAAAGTTTAATTTGTAAATTAGACACATTAAAATATTAACAACAATAATTGATAGTAAAATAGAACAATTATAACAATACAGCGTAATGAAAGGTATGTGAATGTGGTCTCTCTCTGAAGCTATCTTATTATACTGTATGTATTGTTCTTCTGGTGTTGATATGAGATTATAAAATCCCTACATAATGGGATAAAGTGAGGTGAAAAATGTAGGCAATATGATTAAGCATTAGGCTACTACTGAACTTGAATGTAAGCACTGCAATATCACAACAGTCAATCTGAAAAAGGGTGATACACGTCTCAGACAGAAAAAAGTGGGATGGTGCGAGATTTCATCATGCTCCACTACTCAGAATGACTTGTAATTAAAAACTTATGAATTGTTTGTATCTGGCATTTTTCATTTGCATTTTCTGGACCACAATTAACTGTGGGTAACTGAAACTTCAGAGAGTAAAATTGCAGATAAGGGGAAGACTACTGTAGTATGTGGAGGTTAGAAAGTTCAGGTGAAAAAAGAGATTTAGGATGCAGAAAGATTAGTGAGGCTATTTGCATGAAGAACAATTTTAAATGTATGGTAAAGCATTATGAACATTAATGTATTTATAAGTAAGTGTCAGTATTATAAATACATTTCCCTTTTCCTTTTGCTTTTCTATATTTCACATGCCCTTTATTATCAGCATATGTTGAGCTTAATATAAAGGAAACTCCCTAAATAATCAGTTTGGTGTATGTTGGCTTGCATTTCTTGCAATTCATTGAATAAAAATGAAAGCACTGGAAAGTGTGAGGCTAGGAAATAACTATTTTAAAAGGACTAATTTAAATATCCAGGTGGTATTTGCTTTTCTGTGCCTAGCTCATTTCACTTAACACAATACCCTCCAGATTCATCCATGTTGTTGCAAATGACAGAAATCCATTCTTTTTATTGCTAGATAGTATTCCATTCTTTAAATTGACCACATTTCCTTTTTTTCTTTTTAAAAAAGGTATTTTAGATTCAGGAAGAACATGTGCAATTTTGTTACATATATATATTGTAGAATTCTGGAGTTTGGGCTTCTATTGAACTCATCCCTCACATAGTGAACATAGTACCCAACAGAGAGTTATTCAACCCTTTCCTCCTTCCTCCCTCCCCCATTTTGGAGCCTCCAGTGTCTGTTGTTCCCATCTTTATGCCTGTGTGTATCTATTGTTTAGCTGTCACTTATAGGTGAGAATGTGCGGTTATATACTATGTTTTCTTTATCCATTCATCCAGTGATGGATGCTTTAGTTTGATCTCATATCTTGGCTAATGTGAATAGTGTTGCGATAACTATCAAAGTTATCCCTTTAATATACCAATTTTCTTGCCTTTGGATAAATTCCCAGTAGTAGAGTTGCTGGATATTCTCATTCATGTCCAGAAGCTTAAAAAGTTGTCTCATGTAGGTTAAGAGTAGAATGATAATTACCAGAGTCTGCAAAGAGGTGGGCAGGGGGTATTAAGAGAGATTGGCTAATGGGTACAAACACAGTTAGACCGAGGGAATAAGTCCTAGTGTTCAGTAGCATAGCACAGTGACTATATTAACAATATATTGCATATTTCAAAATAGCTTGAAGAGATTTGAAATGTTCTCAATGCAATTAAATAATAAATATTCTAGATGATGGCTATCTTAAATACTCTTAAATGGCCATTACACATTGTATGCAAGTATCAAAACATCACATGTACACCATAAATATGTACAATTATTATGTATCTTTTTTTTTAAATCCAGATGAGGTAATAGGAAATAATGTCTGGTAATAATTATAACCATTATCAACAGCAACGTCATTGCTATCATAGCCAAAACCACAATTTATTGAGCATTTAATTCATACTTAAGACTGTGCTAGTTGCTATATTTTTTACACGTAATCCATAAACAACACTCTAGAGTCCATATTATTACTATTTACCTTCCACACATCAGCAATCCCATTTTCGGATAGGTTATACCACTCCTCAAATTATATGACTAATAATTATCTATAATAACTCTGATCAGTCTGACTCCAAAGCTTGAGGTCACAGTTGTTAATTGTTAATCGTAATTAATTCCTTGTCATATACCAGGATAGATAGTGAGATATCAGGTGGCAGGGGAAGTTCAAGAAGAAGTAATGAATAAGTTTGGTATGGTTGAATAAGTTTTGCTTGGTAATGTCAATACCCCAGGGCTATGATCTAGGGGAATAGGCTTTACAAATTTAGCCCTGAGAAATTAGGCAAGTTCAGTTCCAGTTTGAAAAGTAAGGACAGCAGAAGTCAAGGCCAGAGGCAGACTTTGAAACAGAGATTAAGGAATACTGTTCCAATGAAATGGCACATGCAGAATGAGGCAAATGTTAACAGAAGTGGCAAGACCATTACTGTGTCCCACAGTACTTCTCTGAGAAAAAAGAAAATCATATTACTTCACCAATGATTTTACAACACTAGAAAAATTTATTTCAATATGTAAAATCAAGAACTTTCCTAGTTAAATTCCAGATCTTAGTGGTTAGTAGTTATATAAAAGGTGAAAATATATTATTTAAAGAGTTTGAGGCTGGACATGGTGGCTCATGCCTGTACTCTTAGCACTTTGGGAAGCTGAGGCAGGAGAGTCACTTGAGGCCAGTAGTTTGAGACCAGCCTGGACAACATAGTAAACCCTGTCTCTACAAAAATAAAAACAAAATATTATTTGGGTATGATGGTATGCTCCTGCAGTGCTAGCTACTCAGGATGTTGTGGCAGAAAGATTGCTTGAGCCAGGAGTTTGGGGCTGCAGTGAGCTATGATCAAGTCACTGCACTCCAGCCTGGGTGACAGAGTGATACCTTGTCTCTAAAATAATAACAATAATAATAAAATAAAAGATTGCTATCAAATACTTATTGCATGGGACCATTTAGACGCTTCATCTTATTTAGTCCACACTACAAGAAAATGAGATGTCTTATTATTTATGTTATCTATGAAGATGCAAGCTGTGCAAGCTTAAAGACATTGCCATATTTCAAATTAAGGCCCCAAAGCCTGCATTGTGTTATACATATTGTTTCTCCATAATCACATGCTTAGCCACATTATTTATTTTCCTAAAAGAGAAAAGGAGGCAAAACTCATGATGGGAGGTTACTTGTCTTTCTACCTATCTTAGAGATATTGAGTGGCTACTCATTGAGGAGCTGGACCATTTAAGACAAAAGCAGAGTAAGCGGCTTTTGATCTTATTCTTACATAATGAATGATGTTTGTTCTTCCAAATTCATATTGGATTTCTCTGTCTGACATTATATATAGAGAAGGATGCTGTGGAAAATACAAGGGATTTAATTGAGATAGACATGAATTCCAACACCACCATTTATTTGTGATATTAAGTTAGGCAGCTGCCATTGGCAGAGTGTCAAAATCTCTTTAAGATCCTAATTTTAATTATTTTGGATATATATCCAGAAGTAGGATTGCTGGATCATATAGTAATTATATTTTTACTTAATTTTTATATAATTTTCTATAGCAACTGCACCATTTTGTGTTCCCACCAACAGTGTACAAGGGTTCTAATTTTCCACATTCTTGCCAATGCTTGTGAACTTTCATAAAACAGTATATTGGCCTAAAAGCAGACATATACACTAATGGAAGAAACTGGAGAGCTCAGAAATGAAGTCCCATGTATAAAGTCAACTGATCCTTGACAAGGGTGTCAGAAATATACAATGGGGAATGAATAATCTGTAACAAATGGTTTTGAGAAAAGTGAATATCCACATGCAAAAGAATGAAATTAAAACTTTATCTTATACCATATACCATACACAAAACCAACTCAACATATAAATAATTAAATATAAGTCCTGAAGCTGTAAATTGCCAAGAATAAAACATAGGAGAAAAGCTTTCTGTTATTGATCTTGGCAATTATTCCTTGAATATGACACCAAAAGTACATGCAACAAAAAGAAAATTAGACAAATGGGACTATATCAAACTGAAAATCTCTGCAGAGCAAAGGAAATAGAGTGAAAAGGTAGACTAGTGATATGGCTTGGTTCAGTGTCCCCATCCAAATCCCATCTTGTTGCTCCCAAAATTTACACATGTTGAGGGAAGGACCTAGTGGGAGATGACTGAATCATGGCAGCAGGTCTTTCCCATGCTGTTCTTATGATAGTGGAGGAGTCTCATGAGATCTAGTGGTTTTAAAAATGAAAGTTTCTCCGCACAAACTCTCTCTTTGCCTGCTGCCATCCACAAAAGATGTGACTTTCTCCTCCTTGCCTTCTGCCATGATTGTGAGGCCTCCCCAGCCATGTGGAACTATAAGTCCAATAAACCTCTTACTTTGTAAATTGCCTACTCTTGGGTATGTCTTTATCAGCAGTTTGAAAATGCACTAATATAGTAAATTTGTACCACTAGAGTGGGACACCGCTGAAAAGATACCCAATAATGTGGAAGCGACTTTGGAACTGGGTAACAGGCAGAAGTTGGAACAGTTTGTAGGGCTCAGAAAAAGACAGAAAAACAGGGACAGTTTGGAACTCCCTAGAGACCTGTTGAATGGCTTTAACCAAAATGGTGATAATTATATGGGCAATGATATCCAGGCTGAGGTGGTCTCAGACGGAGGTGAGGAATTTGTTGGGAACTGGAGCAAAGGTGACTCTTGTTATGTTTTAGCAAAGAGACTGGTGGCATTTTGCCCCTGCCGTAGAGATGTGTGGAACTTTGAACTTGAGAGAGATGATTTAGGCTATCTGGTGAAGAAATTTCTAAGCAGCAAAGCATTCTAGAGGTGACTTGGGTGCTGTTAAAGACATTCAGTTTGAAAAGGGAAGCAGAGCATAAAAGTTTGGACAGTTTGCAGCCTGAAAATGAGATAGAAAAGAAAATCCCATTTTCTGAGGAGAAATTAAAGTCTGCTGCAGAAATCTGCACAAGTAACGAGGAGCTGAATGTAAATCCTCAAGATAATAGGGAAAATGTCTCCAGGACATGTCAGAGGTCTTCAGGGCAGTCCTTCCCACTACAGGCCCAGAGGTCTAGAAGGAAAAAGTGGTTTTGTGGGCCAGGCCCAGTGTTCCCCTGCTGTGTGCAGCATAGAGACTTGGTCTCTGCTTCCCACCTGCTCCAGCAGTGGCTGAAAGGGGCCAAGGTACAGTTGGGCCATGGCTTCAGAGAGTGCAAGCCCCAAGCCTTGGCAGCTTCCATGTGGTGTTGAGCCTGCCAGTGCACAGAAGTCAGGAATTGAGGTCTGGGAACCTTCGTCTAGACTTTGGAAGACATATGTAAATGCCTGGATGCCCAGGCAAAAGATTGCTATAGGGGTGGGTTTTTCTTTTTTTTCTTTTGTTTTGTTTTATGTTTTTGTTTTTGAGGTTTTTTTTTCCCCATACTTTAAGTTCTAGGGCACATGTGCACAACATGCAGGTTTGTTACATATGTATACATGTGCCATGTTGGTGTGCTGCACACATTAACTCGTCATGTACATTAGGTATATCTCCTAATGCTATCGCTCCCCTCTCCCTCCACCCCACAACAGGCCCTGGTGTGTGATGTTCCCCTTCCTGTGTCCATGTGTTCTCATTGTTCAATTCCCATCCATGAGTGAGAACACGCGGTGTTTGGTTTTTTGTCCTTGCGATAGTTTGCTGAGGATGATGGTTTCCAGCTTCATCCATGTCCCTACAAAGGACAGGAACTCATCATTTTTTATGGCTGCATAGTATTCCATGGTGTATACATGCCACATTTTCTTAATCCAGTCTGTCATTGATGGACATTTGGGTTGGTTCCAAGTCTTTCCTATTGTGAATAGTGCCACAATAAACATACATGTGCATGTGTCTTTATAGCAGCATGATTTATAATCCGTTGGGTATATATGGTATTTATATACCATGGCTGGGTCAAATGGTATTTCTAGTTCTAAATCCTTGAGGAATTGCCACAGTCTTCCACAATGGTTGAACTTGTTTACAGCCCCACCAACTGTTTAAAAGTGTTCCTATTTCTCCACATCCTCTCCAGTACCTGTTGTTTCCTGACTTTTTAATGATCGCCATTCTAACTGGTGTGAGATGGTATCTCATTGTGGTTTTGATTTGCATTTCTCTGATGGCCAGTGATGATGAGCATTTTTTCATGTGTCTTTTGGCTGCATAAATGTCTTCTTTTGAGAAGTGTCTGTTCATATCCTTTGCCCACTTTTTGATGGGGTTGTTTTTTTCTTGTAAATTTGTTTGAGTTCTTTGTAAATTCTGGATATTAGCCCTTTGTCAGATGAGTAGGTTGCAAAAATTTTTTTCCATTCTGTAGGTTGCCTGTTCACTCTGATGGTAGTTTCTTTTGCTGTGCAGAAGCTCTTTAGTTTAATTAGATCCCATTTGTCAATTTTGGCTTTTGTTGCCATTGCTTTTGGTGTTTTAGACATGAAGTCCTTGCCCATGCCTATGTCCTGAATGGTATTGCCTAGGTTTTCTTCTAGAGTTTTTATGGTTTTAGGTCTAACATGTAAGTCTTTAATCCATCTTGAATTAATATTTGTATAAGGTGTAAGGAAGGGGTCCAGTTTCAGCTTTCTACATATGGCTAGCCAGTTTTCCCAGCACCATTTATTAAATAGGTAATCCTTTCCCCATTTCTTGTTTTTGTCAGGTTTGTCAAAGATCAGATGGTTGTAGATGTGTGGTATTATTACTGAGGGCTCTGTTCTGTTCCATTGGTCTATATGTCTGTTTTGATACCAGTACCATGCTGTTTTGGTTACTGTAGCCTTGCAGTATAGTTTGAAGTCAGGTAGCGTGATGCTACCAGCTTTGTTCTTTTGGCTTAGGATTGACTTGGAAATGTGGGCTCTTTTTCGGTTTTTCATGGAGAACCTCTGCTAGGGCAGTGTAGAAGGAAAATGTGGAGTGGGATCACCCATACGGAGTCCCTACTGGGGTACCACCTAGTGGAGCTGTGAGAAGAGGGCTGCCATCCTGCAGACCCCAGAATGGTAGACCCACTTTCAGCTTGCACCATGCAACTGGAAAAGCCACAGACATTCAATGCAAGCCCATGAGGGTGGCCGGGAGGGAGGCTGTACCCTGCAAAGCCACAGGGGCAGAGCTGCCCAAGACTACAGTAACCCACCTCTTGCATCAGCATGACCTGGGTGTGAGACACGGAATCAAAGGAGATCATTTTGGAGCTTTAAGATTTGACTGCCCTGCTGGATTTCGGAATTGCATGGAGCCTGTAGCTCCTTTGTTTTGGCCCATTTCTCCCATTTGGAATTGCTGTATTTACCCAATGCCTGTGCTTTCATTGTATCTAGAGAGTAACTAACTTGCTTTTGAATTTACAGGTTCATAGGTGGAAGGGACTTGCCTTGCCTTGTCTTGGATGTGACTTTGGACTGTGGAATTTTGAGTTCAATCTGAAACTATTTAAGACTTAAAAGGGGCCTGTTGGGAAGGCAAAATTGGTTTTGAAGTGTGAAAATATCAGATATGGAAGGGGCCAGTGGTGAAATGATATAGTTTAGCTCTCTGTCCCCACCCAAATCTCATTTTGCAGCTCCCATAATTCCCACATATTGTGGGAAGGACCTGATGGGAGATGACTGAATCATGAAGGCAGGTCCTTCCCATGCTGTTCTTGTGATAGTGAATGGGTCTCATGAGATCTGATCATTCTAAATTGAGAGATTCTCATTACAAGCTCTCTCTTTTCCTGCTGCCATCCATGTGAGATGTGACTTGTTCCTCCTTGCCTTCCACCGTGACTGTGAGGCTTTCCCAGTCATGTGAACTGTAAGTCCAATAAACCTCTTTCTTTTGTAAATTGCCCAGTCTCAGGTATATCCTTATCAGCAGCATGAAAATGGACTAATACACCTACAGAATGAGAGAAGATATTTGCAAACCATATACCTATGGGGTTAATATCCAAAATATATATGAAACTCCAACTCAACAGTAAAAATAAAAAAGTTGAAAATCAAGATATAATCCAATTAAAAAATGAATACAGGACTCAAATACACATTTATTAAGAAAAATATGCAAATGCTCAACAGGTATATGAGATTATGCTCAACATCCTTAATTATCAGTGAAGTGCAAATAAAAACTACATTAGATATCATTTCACAACCTGTTAGGACAAATTTATTTTTGAGTTTATCTAACTCAGCTTAAATATTTAAAGTGTCATCTGAATATTAAACAATGAGATAATCAAATATTTATTATTCATGATTCAATTCTCCTCTCCTAGTTTCATTGATTTGTTTTTAAGCTAAACCCATCAGCTTGTGTGCATGACAATTTCCAGTATGCCTTTTAGGAGATGGACAAGAAGTGAAATTCTCTTAGCACCAAAAACTCTAACACCTTCTTTTGTGGCAGACTGTATGGACCAGACTTTCACTCTATGTAAATCTGTTATTGGTTCACCATGAAAGAGGAGAGCTTAGTATTTGCTGATTCATAGAAAATATCCCATAGTTTCCCTAGGAAGCCTAGGAGGTCTCATTAGCTTTTCTTTTGGACTGTGGAATGATTTTTCCTCAGGTGGATGGCAAGTAAAAGATAAGGACGCATGTGAATAATGGTGGGTAACAAATTAAGCGAGGGCATTTTAAAAAACTTGAGAGGACAACATTATGCCGGAAAAAAAAAATAGTCTGGTAATACTGTCCTCTGCAGTTGAGAGACAGCACTGGAAACATTTGAGTAAGAAATATGCTTTACGAACAAGTCACCAGTGTTTCCTTCCTTCCCTTCCTTCCCTCTCTTCCTTCCTTCCTTCATTTTTTCTTCTTTCTTTCCTAATTAATTAATATTTGTAGAGACTATGTTGCCCAGGCTGATCTCAAACTCCTGGGCTCAAGTGATCCTCTTGCCTGGGCCTTTCAAAGTGCTGGGATTACAGACATGTGCCATTGCACCCAGGCAAACCACTAGTGATTTTTAGGAAATGTCATAAACCTTCAAGATCATGGAATAATAGGGTTTGGATCTGAGTCCTCATCTAAATCTTATGTTGAATTGTAATTCCCAAGGTTGGAGAGGGGTGATTGGACGATGGGGGTGGATTTCTCTTCAACAATTTAGTAGCATCATGTTGGTACTGTCCTTGCAGTAGTGAATGAGTTCTTGGGAGAACTGGTTATTTAATTTAAAGCACTCCCTCATCCTGCTCTCTTCTGTTCCTGCTTTCGCCATGTGATGTGCCTGCTCACACTTCAAGTTCCTCCATGATTATAAGTTTCCTGAGATCTCCCCAGAAACCAAGTAGATTCTGCTATGCTTCCTGGACAGCCTGAAGAACCAAAAGCCAATTAAAACTCTTTTCATTGTAAATTAATGAATCTCAGGTATTTATTTAGAGCAATGCAAGAAAGGACTAATCTAGGGAGTATAAATTCTTATTTTGTCTTTTATGTTTGTGCCTGTGAGGAAACTGAGCCTCAGATGGATCAGAGAGTAATGAATACAGGAGTTATCACTCTTCCTTGTTAAATTAATCAATAAAATGCCAGCGATAATGAGAGATTTCTGTTTTATATGACTCATTCATTGTCCTCTTCTGGTTCTTCAATTCCCTTTCCACAATTATTTTTTCTCTTTTTATAATATCATTTATTTGCCAGACATGCAAGTAAATCAATAAATATTTGGCTTGAATTTTAACTTTATCATACGAACCATTGTTTCCTTTCTGTTTAAAATGAAGATAATAACTACCTTACAAGTTTGAATGAATCATAGAAGATAATGGATGTAATCATATCTATCATGATTTCTAGTACAATAAAGATACAGCACAAATTTCTTCTTTCTTTTCCTCTTTTCTATGTTGTAGTCTCTTGCAATTTATAACTTAAGTAACATCAGTTAACCACTTTTAGCAAGAATTTTCTAAATTTCCTTATGAGTATTAAATGGACGCATACTACTTTGAAAAGAGTACCAGGAATTAGTGAACTATCATAATAAATATCATCATGATGATAAATAACTTTTATATTTTGAATTATTTATTTATTTATTTTGCTCAGACCATTCCCCATAACAAAGCTAACATCTTTTATAAAATAATATGTAAATTTGGTTTTAGGAGAACTACCTCATTTTATCATTTTGCCATTCATTCTAGTGGGTATTTTTGCCCTAAAAGTAGATGTCACATGAAAATGAAGAGAAACTTCATCCAAGACATAGACTAGTAACTGATAGAAACAAGAAGTAAAGCCAAGTGGATCTCACTCTTAAACCTATGTGTTTAACCAATGATATTTTTAAAAACCTGATAATGATTATACTACACCTCACAAGGGTGCTGTGAGGATTCTCAATGTTTAAGGTTGGTTATGACTCTTAATAGCCTGAGTTATTCAGTAAAAATTTAATCTTATTGAGTTTCGGGTTCTCAGTTGTAAATTCTAGATGATTTTACATTTGCATATTAGCTTAAACAGGATTATTATAAAGATGAAAGTTATCATATGTCTTTAGAAATTTTAATACCTCTATAGAAGGCAATCTACTTTTACTCCTGATTGATAACTCTGCATCAATCCTATGTTTAGGAAATTTTATGTTTGCTGCTGAAGCACCACTCTATTCGTAATTGATGATAGGAAGAGAATTAAAAGAAAATAAAAAGTCTGTTCGACTGAGACATAACTCTAGTTTTGATTCATGACATTTCAAATAGATCTTGAAGAGTACAGGGGAGAAATTTCATGTAACAATGCAGCGCTTCCCTCAAAGACACACTAGCTATATTTAGAGAGATTAGGAGATAATTAAATGAAAATAGTAGCTACCCTAAAAACAGTATCATGAAAGCTTGTGTAGCCTGTCCACAATGATTTTTGGCCTATTTTTCCTATTAGAATTAAATGCATGGAAAATGTGTAAAGCTCAGCCACATGAAATACAATTAATGTTTGTGTGTACTGCAGTCAACCCTTTGGGGACCACTGTTCATAACCAAAATATATGGATTAAGGTGCCTTTTTTTTTCATTGCTGATTACAGTGAATTCTCATTTTTTAATGCTATAGTGTTGGTTTGATAACAGTATCAGCGAACTATGTTGTTGTTGTTGTTTTTCCCAGACTGTATTAATTCTCATGTTGAACATCTTGCATAATGTGGCTAAAATTCCTCTCTTTAAGAAATGGTTTTCTATTTCTATGAACATATAAGAGCTGCTAATACTACAACGAGGAGGAAGAAATTTCTCTTCAAATGTCGTTTTGGTAGTATAGAGCTTAATGTAGAGCTTAACATATACTATTTCTAACTGAAATAATCATTCACATGTTAACTCTTTATAATTGAAATTCTCATAATTTTGTATGGATCAATAAATTATTGGTATCATTTTTTTCATGCCATCTCATGGTATAATAAGATTAGTATGTAAGAATTATAATGTGGTTTATTATTCCTCTGCAGCTTGCAATTCACCTTCAGATGCAGTCAGAATCTCCACAGCACCCTTGTAAATTGTAGTATAATTATTATTATTTATTTTAAAAAACAGAAAATGATCAATTTTAAGTGTAAAGTCACCTAACTATTGCCCCTCAACTAGTTATTATGTGATTACAGAAAATAATAGAGTTTAATGTATGCTGGTAGAGTTTTAGAAGGCTTGGAGGGGGCTGTGTCTATTAATAGATTATAAGAGTAGCAAGCAGAAATTTTTAGATGGGAAAAGAATACATGTGAAAGCCAAAAGTAAGTTGTTGTCTAGAGAATATACCAGTCTAACTGTAACAGAGGATTCTCATAAAGCATAGAGAAATAGTGGTGACATAATGACATTTAATCTTGATTGAATCAGTCGGGAATGCCTGAATACAGATCTTGAGCTTTAGTAATTAGAACAACTAAAAATAGGTAAGGGCTGTGTGACTGGCACTAGAATAGACAATTGATGTAAAAATATCTCATTTAGTCTTTTCAGTATGGGGTAGTTAAAATTATTTGGATTATTATTGACATATCAATTAGTGAGACCATTGGCAACTTGAAAATAGAAATATTGCCTATCAAAATTGTGAATTGGTTAAGGACATCTATAGGCAGAATGCTATTAGCCTATTGTAGAAACACGCAGAAAACTGTTAAGTTTGGAAGCATAATTTCCAAAAAAGAGAAATATATGTATGTAAAGATAGATAGAGATAGATAGATGATAAATGTAGATAATGTCAGGACAATCTGAGTAGTTCAGTCAGCAAAAGAAATGTGTGAAAGGCAAAGACCAAATCTGGAGCACTGACAGGAAATTGTAGGCACAGGGTGTGGTTATAAAACACTTGTTAATATCTTTTAATAATTGATGTTGTCATTTCTCAGATGTTCTCTTCTAGACAAAAAGTACTTCTATAAATTTCATAGCACAGAATAAATAATGTGGATGCCTCAGATAGATCTGTGGCTGGCTCAAAGCCTTGCCTAATAGACAAATGATACTTTGTTACATAAGAAGTCTACCACATTTTTAAGAGAACTGCCTCAGTTTGGACTAAAATAGTCATACAATTGAAATTCTGCGACCTCAAATTTCCGTAGATAAGAAATACGTTGAGAAAACTACTCAACTGAAAACACAGACCACATCTCATGGACAAAGAAGGATGCCACAGAAAGCGTGGTCCCAAACACAAAAGACAAAATCAAGAGCCACGCAGAACAATAAAATAAGGAACAGTTCCCCAAAAGGCTCTAATTAGAGAATACTCACTGCTCCTGGAGTCAGCCTAGTTGGTAATGTATGCCTGACTGGTTTTCAGAATGGTCTCAGATATATGATTGCCCTTTGCCTTATGTTCCTCCTCTAACCTTTTGAAGGGGAGTGTTTATGGTGGCTACCCTGTTCGTGTTTCAGCATTGCTTGTTATGTCTTTTTCAGATAGATAGCTTGTCATCCCAATTTGCAGGTTTTTAGACTAAGAGCAGAATCAAACCCCATCCACTTTTGGAACTGTAAAGCAGATTACAAGATCTTGGGGTTGAAGCATGATCCCATGATGGGATGAAATCCCAAGGAAAAGAGTAAGCATATTTTGTAAATGGAGAAAATATATATATATTTTTTTCAGATGGTGAATTTTGGCACTCTAATTTTTAGATGTTTCTTAGGATGCATATGCCACTGAACCCATTAAGAGATTATATCATATTCTTGATTAGTCCCAATGCAAGTACCGGGATGTTTCAGTTGAAAGTGTTGGATTTATTCACCCCTTCCATTCCTCTCCATGAGGAACCCTAAGCTGCTTCTAGTTGGCCATTTTTTCACTCATTTATAAGTGGGATCTAAATGATGAGAACACGTAGAAACATAGAGGGGATTAACACACAGTGGAGCCTTTTGGGAAGTAGGGAGATAATTAGAAAAAAATAACCAATGGGCACTAGGCTTAATAACGGGGTGATGAAATAATCTGTACAACAGACCTCTTGACACAAGTTTACCTATGCAACAAACCTGCACTTGTACCACTGAACATAAAAGTTAAATACATACATACATACATACACACACACACACACACACATATATGTATGTTAGTTCTGTGTCTAACCTGTGAAAGACTTGAACTTTTTGGGTGTATGCTGTTAGAACTCAGAGTATATAGAAAGGGTTGAACAGAGTCAATGTAGAGAACTGAAGTTCCCAAGCCAAAAATAAGCACCTATTGGCAGATATATGATGAGAACTTACCTTGCACTCTCAGCCCTGCTGAATACTGTCACATATTGATTCTGACTGATGTGACTTGGAACAAAAGAACAATCAGCTGAGCTCAGTCAGCACATGAAACATAATACATTATTGTTGATCTAAGTCTTTATATTTAGGTTGTTTTCTTATATGACAATAGATAACCAAAATGATTTATTTAAAACACTCATTTAAATGTAAAAAATACAAACAAATGTATTTTATCTCTCAGACAATAGAGGTTTCCTTTTTGTTTTTTAAATGTCCACTGGTAAAAATCCCTTACCTATCAGACAATAAAAATAATAATACTTTATTTAACTTTACAATTTCTATTTCAAAAATTTAGTTATGAATATGAAGTATATCTCTGCAAGTACAAATTGTCATATCTTTTGGTTCTTTGTCTAATCCTATGCTAGCAATGAATGAAAAGGGTACAAAATTTAGTTTGAGTGGACATAACATTTTAATTTCAGGAATAACTAGCCAATGGCAAATGCAAGTATCCTTTTACTTACGTTCGGAACATGGCCTTAATCAAACAATAGAGACATAAGTCCTAACCTCTGTCTCTAACTTTAGGTTCCGCTTGTCAGTTTCATAACATTTCCTTAAAGAAGGGCTTATTTTTAACTAAGAAGCTACCATGCTATGTCTTCGATCAATTACAGAGCCATCCCGAGGCTGGAAAATCATAGCAGTCAATTGGATACTGGTGTCTCTTTCATGATCTATATGAATGTTTATTCAATCATTGGTAATATTTTAAATAATGTTTAAGGAGTAATATAATTTTTATTAAAAAACATACTTCTATAAACTACTAAAGAAAATAATAGTAGTTAATAGTATCATCTTCAAATTCTAGAAAAACAATTGTGGTACAAAAACATACAACATATTAATATATACTACATAGGCTAATGTTTAGCTATGAGTGACAAAAAGAAATAAGTAGGTGTGGCTTTAAAATACTTATTCATCTATCAGGTGCAATTTGGTAGCATCTCAGAGGCTGGAATAGGATTCTACTCAGTCAGAGAGTCGGGTTCTTTCTATTTTTGTTAATCTATTGTACATGGATTCTATTTCTAAATTTACCACATGATCCACTTCCAATATTATGCTCACAATTCACCAGAGGAAAGAACAAAAGACAGAAGAAAAAAAATGTCCTTGCCCTTTGAAGAAATTTCCTAGAGTTTGCAAATGTCAGTTACATTTTATATTGTACCGGACATAAGTCAGTCATAGAATCACACCTAAGTGTTGGAATTTGAGATATATAGATCTTATTAATGATATTCATGTTCTTATTACTAAGAAGAAAGGGGAAAATGTATATTTGGAAATAAATATAGATTAATTGAGTGATTATTTTAAATGATTTATTAGTTAATTTGTTTTGAGTATTCTGCTTACATGCTACATGGATACTGCCTTTTAAAAAGTTCTGTCATTTTTTTAAATCCAACCAGAGATAAGGCACATTCTTCACTACGTAAAATATTTAACTACATGGTTATTGTACATTTTAATATAACTATGAGCAAAATAAAATCATTCAATCATTCACATGTAAAAATGAGCCTTTGGTTATTAGATAGATACATACATACATGCATACATACATACATGATAAATAGGAAGATATTCTCAAGACTCTCGGAAGATGCTCTTCTTGGAGTAAGACTCTGGAATGTGGAAGGAGCACCTTTTGCAGTAGCTCAGGTACAAATCACAAAGGCATAGGAACCTTTATGGACAATAGTGAATGGTCTATTGTTTCCAGAAATTTGGCTTTGAGTAAAAAGATATGTAAGCACAGTGGCATGTAACTTAGCAGAAGGTATTCTCTCCATGCAGAGACCTTTCTCTATGTCAAAAGGTATTTTAGCATTCCACAAACAAAAGTAGTCTAAAATATATTTTAAAGAACATATCCAACTAGCCCTACTAAATGCATTTAATTTAATAGGCTATTTTAGGGTGGTTTCATACTATTCTTCTTGCTTGTTCTAGGAAGAAAAGCTCTCCTATTAGTTTTTGTTACCATTTCACACACTTCTACATTTTCTAGTTTTTAAATGAAAAGAAATCCTTCTCCCCCTCCTCTCCTTTCCTTTTCACCAAACCATACATAGTTTCATGGACCTTACACAGCTAAAGCCAGCTAGGTGTAGGTTTTTTGACTATGGCAGAATTCTTATGGGAACTGGCTCACAGAATTTTTTGCCTGATGTATTCATCTATTTATAGACAGGTCTTGCTCTGTTGCCCAGGCTGGAGTGCAGTGTCACAGCAGCCTCAAACTCTTGGACTCTAGGGATCCTCCCATCTTATCCTCCCAAGTAGCTAGTATTATAGGTGAGTGCCACCAAGCCGAGCTAATTTATTTTTATTTTTGCTGTGTTGGCCAGACAGTTCTTGAACTCCTGGCCTCAAGTGATCCTCCCATCTTGGCTTCCCAAAGCACTGGGATTACAGGTGTGAGCCAACTAACTTGGTCATTGCCAGATTTGAAGACCTTGAAGCTTATTTCTTTAGCCCTAATCCATTTTCCTTGCCTTTTTCTATTTCTCACATTATCATAGCATTCTTGAGTTATGTGTGCTTCCTACCTTTCTCTTCCCACTAATGCATGCAGTCTCCAACAGTCACTATTTGAATATCTGATCCATGATATCCCTTAACCTATGTCCTTAGTACATCCTCATCACGTTTTACAATCTGCAACTGCCAGACACCAATCAACAAGATAAGGCAACCCATTTCTAAATTTGGCTTCTGGCAGAAAATAATAATAATAACAAGGCTTGGCATTTGGAAAACCGTTTTCTTTGGAAAACCAAAGTCTAAAAAAATTAAGAGTTGCCACCATATAGGATTTTATCCAGTTAAGTTCTTCAAGTTTTTATTTAGGCAACTCTTCTGATTAATCCTGATATGTGACAAATAATTCCAAACACATAGTGCCTTAAAACATGTGTTTATTATGTCTAGTATTTTGCTTGGGGTAGGGGGTTTGGGAATTCAGGCTGGGCTGTGCTGGGTGAGTTTAACTATTACATGGTGTTGATTAAAGTTGCCTGATTGAATTCAGCTGGAAAATGGTGTAGCTGGGAAGATCCTAGGTGGCTGTATTCACACAGTTGTTGCCTTTGCAGGGATGGCCAGAAGACTTGGCTAATCTGTATTTCTTGATCAGAGTGTTTACACATGCTGTTTTCAGGGTAGGCAAACTTCTTAGAGAATAGGTCAGTCCTTCCAGAGAGGGCTCGTAGAGATGGAAAATTGAAGTTGCCGGTTTTTAAACGTCTGGTCTCTAAATACACAACCCTTCTTCCTCAGCATTTTATTGATAAAAGCAGTTTATAGAATTTACCTAGACTAATGGGAGGAATAATAAAATTCAATTCTCAATAATAAAAGTATCAAAGAATACACAGTATTTCTAATCTAACAAAAAAATTTTATTGGATCCCAAAGTAGTGGGAGCAGCACAGTCATGAAGCTGATTGGTAGAGGCTATTAAAGAAATCATTATTTGCATGAGCTTTGGTGTGGGGGTGCAGTTAATATTGAATAAAGTTTCTAAGTGTTAGAGGTCATTTTCATTTTCCACAATAACATGCGTTACAATCCATGCAGTTGTTCTAAATGATGAAGACAGTTGGTCATGTCTAGGGATTCCCTAAAGCAAAATACTCAAGGAAGTTTTAGACCATAGGGTTCTGCTGACCTTGCTAGCATTATCCAATACTGTAAGAATGCTTTGCATTAGACATTCTAAACTTGTGGAAATCCCATGAACTCACTGACAAAATGTACTTTCTCACACCTCTATGACTATGCATAACTCTCAGCATGTGTCTTCAGCGATATCACGTTAATATTTTAAAATG
The DNA here is from genome assembly GCF_000001405.40 of Homo sapiens. Taxonomy (NCBI): domain Eukaryota; kingdom Metazoa; phylum Chordata; class Mammalia; order Primates; family Hominidae; genus Homo; species Homo sapiens. The sequence goes on along the minus strand of NC_000011.10, from coordinate 25,354,489 downwards.
AAGATTACAAGTCACTTCCCTTTTTGATTTTCATTCTGGTTTAGTTTTCATTTTCCTGAGCTCCAATATACCATCATAAATACTTACATTACTTTATCATAATATACTGAATTTGATGTTACCGTTTCAGTTTCTTCTATCAAGCTCTAAGTACTATATGCCAACAGAGATTAAGAGTCAGTTGATTTCCTTTCTTAGCACAGCACTTACTATGATATAGGTACTCAACGAATGTTTGTTGAATGAATAAGTGATTGGACAAATGAAGTATATTTACTTTTTTAAAAAATTTTCAACTACTAAATACCTGTTTTCATCTAATCATTTACTGTCTTCTCCCAAACAACAGGTAGCTTGCTCTCAGCTACTTCGTTTTACCTACCCTGGCTTCATGTGCACTCCCCTCTCTATACTCTGCTCCCATTTTCACCACATCACCATTTAAAACACAATGCAAATCCCGCTATAAATCCAGGTTCACACAGGAGACGCCAGACATGGTTTCTAGTAACACAACTTCCTCCCTCAGTTTCTCAAGACTAGGAACTATAGTGGCTTCCTACTGTTTATCATTCCTGGATTTTCTCTTCATCTTTGTTTGGCTCCTCAACTATTCCATAATAAATTTTTAAAACTAAATTCCTTATCATTTTAAACACTTAGAGATCATTCAATTATCCTGTTTGCACCCAAATACAGCCTCAAAAATGACAGAATTTGTTGACATGAGTGGGAGGATAGCAAAACTTTTGAGGACAGAATTTTTTTTTTCTTCTTGATGTACTGTCACGCGAAAATTACATGTTACTTTGAGAGCTAACATGATTCCACGATAGGCTCGATTCATTTCAATCATATTGGCCACAATCATTACTAGTAATCTATGGAAAAATGTAAATCTTAGCAAATGGACTTGACTATAATGAATGGACAATGTGGTTATAATTGGATACACATAATCAGTAGAATAGCTTTTTATGTCAGTTTGATATCAGGTTTCAGCTACAGAGCTAGTATTAGCTCATAAATCTAGAAGCTTAGTTTCATTGTGTTAAATGAAACTTAATCACCATAATTTAAAATTTATTTTCTATGTTTATACCTATATTTGACATACCTGGCCCATGTTTAACATACAATGTATTCATTTTAAAACAAAAAAACTTTATTCATTAGAAATTGGGAAAAAAAAATATTTCATCTTTAACAAATGTTTGTTACTAAAGAGTCACCTTGCTTCAAAATTTGTAACTGAATTATTCTCAAGTATTGGAAGCTAGAAAGTAGAAATGATAGCTTCATGAGAATTTCAACTACCAATAATACCAATAATAATTATCACATAAAATATTTATTAAAATTCTGTAAGCAGTTAAATCATTTTTTTCAATGTCAGGCTTGCAAAATACAATGGATGGGAATGTATATATAAAATATATACTTCACTAAACCTGTGCTTATTCTGAATATAAAATGTTTAATGTTTCTAATTTCCTAGTAATGATTGAAATGTAATTTTTGATTCTACACAACACTTCTATTATGGTCCTCATGTATGTATCTACATACATGACGAAATAATGACTTTTTGGTCAACAATAGGCCTCATATACAACAGTCACCCCATAAAATTATAGTGGAGTTGCAAAATTCCTATTGCCTAGTAACGTTTTTCGATGATCCTGACCCTGTGTAGGCCTAGATTAATGTGTGTGCTGATGTCTTAGTTTTTAATGAAAAGTTTAAAATGTAAACACATAATAATAATAAATAGAAAACACAGTAGGCAGCTAAATAAAGAAAATATTTTTGTATAGTTGTAGAATGTGTTTGTATTTTAAGCTAAGTTTTATTATAAAGGATCAAATAATTAAAATGTTTACAAAACTTAAAAGTTATAGTTAAATAGGGGTAATTTGTTTCTCAAGAAAGAAAAATATTTTAAAATATATTTAGCGTAGCCGACATGTATAAGTTTTATTAAATTTACTATAGGGTACAGTAATGTTCTAGGCCTTCACATTCACTCATCACTCACTCACTGACTCACCCAGAGCAACTTCGGGTCCTGCAAGTGCTATTCACAGTAACTGCTCTATAAAGGTGTACAATTTTTTTCTTTTATACCCAATTTTTTCTGTACCTTTTCTATGTTTAGATATACACCTATTTAACCATTTGGTTACAAACGTCTATAGTATTGAGTACAGAAGATGCCGTACAGGTTTGTACCGTAGGAGCAATAGGCTATACCATAGAGCTTTACGTGTGTGGTAGTCTTACATCTCCGAGATTTTTGGAAGTACACTCTACAGTGTTCATACAATGATTAAATCACCTACTGATGCATTTCTCAGAGTGTATCCCTGTTGTTAGGCAACACATGACTGTATATGTATATATGTGTTCATGTTGTTTTTATAAACGTATATATATATATATATATGCATCTATACATGTGTATATATATTTATACAGGTATGGTTTTGAACTTGTTTTTCTAAAAAGTATTTCACCTTGGAAACTTAAACTTCTTCTAAGATGGCTGACTAGAAGCAGCTAGAGTGTGCTGCTCTCATGGACAGAATAAAGAGTGGCCAGTAAACACCAGCTCTTCAACTGGAAAATCCGGGTGGACATATCAGGATACATCAAGGAAGCAGCTTGACTCATGGAGAACAGAGACGAGCAAGATAGAACAACCATCCACCCGGAAGTGGTGCAGAAACAAGAGGCTCCCCACTATGGGGAAATGGTGAGTGAGTGAGAGTCCCCAAGGACCCACACTTCTGCCACGAACCTTTGCAACCCGGAGCCCAGATGATCTCCTGTGACCCCACTCACCCACTGGAGCCTCCAGACTCACACCGAGAGCTAGGGAGTCTGGGCAGAGCCACCACTCAGGCAAATGCAGAGTCCTGGGGGCTTTGTTTCCCTGGGCACCCTGGCACCAGCAGCTGCAGCTCTGTCAATGGAGGAAGCCAGGCTCCCTTGCATGCCCCCAAGAAAGGGTCTGAATCCACAGGGCTGAGCAGCAGATAGACTGCAGGCCTTACCTCCATGGCACTGTGATGAACAAGTCCCACTGGCATAGGACCCTAGCACAGCCACCCCAACCTACCCTGAGCTCTCAGGCTGGGAGCAGCTCTTCACTTTCCTGAGATGGAGCCCAGATATAGCAGGCTGGTCTGCCATTTTTGCGGCTCTGCAGCCCCAGCTTCTGCTGCCCTCAGGCTCAGGAGGAAGTGCAGCGATTATGGACTAATGCAGGCTTCCAGCATAGAGCAACTGCCTTACAAAAAAAGTGGCCAGACTGTTTTCTACGTGGGTCCCTACCACTGCTAATCCTCCCCGAGCAGGGACTCACCATCTGGGATCCCAACCCCACCTGGAGTCTCAGGTCAGTTTCAGCCCTGCCCTTCCCCGGGTCAGAGCTCACAGAGGGAGCAAGCAGCCCTGACATTTCTGCTGCTCCAAAGCCCCTGCTACCACTTCCCTCAGGCTCAGCAGACTCAGGAGGGAGCAAAGTGATTAAGAACTAATGTGGACCTCCAGCCCAGTGCAGCTCCCTTATGAGAAAGAAGTCAGACTATTTCCCACATGGGTCCCTGTCCCTGTTATTCCTCACTGGGCAGGGCCTCTCGACCCGGGCCCCCAGAACAACCACCCTGCCCCTGTCTGAACACTTTAGTCTGTAGTGACTCTGCCTTTCTCTGGGGAGGAAATTCCAGCGACAACCCACACAGCCCCTCTGCCATTGCAGCTGCCGTGGTACCTCCCTTACTGCCCTTGGTTGGGGAAGAAACAAATGGCCTGGTTGCTAAGCTGGCACCTCCAGCACACTGCAACCACCATGTAGAGAGAAGCCAGTCCCTTTTTTTATGTAAGACCACCCCCTACAATCTTCACCAGGCAGAACCCCACCCTGTTGGGACAGCAGAGCAACACGCTCTATCACCAGCTGAGCATTCCCTCTGGTGCACCTCTGTGATTCCCTGCGGAGTGGCTCCCAGAGGCAATGGATAACCCCTCTGCCACTGTCACTGCAGCAATTCTGGGGAAGGAACAAAGAGCCTGAGGGCTTTACTCATGCTTCCAGCAAGCCTCAGTAACCCCATAGTCCCTCCTTCCTTGTGAGCCCCCAGCCATGCCCTCTTCAGGAAGCAGAGCCCTGGCTCAGGCCAGCAGCATAGCTTTCCCACCTGATGGGTGAACATCCTCGTGAGTAGTGCTGCATTTCTCTGAGAAGGAGCTCCCAGAGGCAATCAAAAGCCCCTTTGCCCCTGCCACTGCAATGGTACTGCCCTTGATGCACTCAGAGAACTGGGGAAGCAGCAAAGACCCTGAGTGCTTTACCCACATCTCTAGCAAGCCACAGCTGCCCTCAGGAGAGGAGGCAATTCTGTCACTAGCACGAGCCCTCTGCCCTGCCCTGCTTGTCACCAGGCGGGGCCCCCTGGCTTGGGCCCACAATGTAGCCAATCACACTGATGGATAGTGGCTCTGCTTTTTCTCTGGGGTGGATCCCTAAGAGACAAGGGAAAGGCTCTTGGCCATAGTTACTCCTAAGGTTCCTTCCCATGCTGCCTCCACACTAGGGAAGGAACATAAAACCTGAGCAAGCCCAAGGGCTGCAGTGTGCAGCCTGGGAGTGCCAAGCCAAGATCTGCAGCCAGCTCTTCAGTGGGAGAGGAGCACATGCTTTCAGAGCACTGAGAGAGAGCACAGCTCCTACAGAGGAGCCTGGTGATGAAGAGCCTACCAACTGGCCATTATGCTTAAGCACCATCTACTGGATCATAGCTCAAACTTCGACACCAAAAGTACTTTGCTAATCATAGCCCCCCTTGAAATCAAGGACAATAATTCTGCTACAAATAAAGAACTTGCATGAAGCCATGACCTTCTAAAAACATCCAGAAAAGAAATAAACTGACTGTACTCAAATTACCCCACAGTTAAAGGAATGTCGGCCCATACAGATGAGAAAGAACTAGTGCAAAACTCTGGCAACTCAAAAAGCCAGAGTGTCTTCTTTCTGCCAAACAATCACACAAGTTCCACAGCAAAGGTTATTAACTAGGTTTAAATGGCTAAAATTACAGACATGGAATTCAGAATATAGGTAGAAGCAAAGATCAGCAAAATTCAGGAGAAAGTCAAGACCCAATCCAAGGAATCTAAGGATGACAATAAAATGATACAAGAGATAAAAGGTGAAATGGCCAATTTAAGAATGAACCAAATACATCTTATAGATCTGAAAAACCCACTTCAAGAATGTCATAACACAATTGCAAATACTAACAGCAGAATAGACCAAGCTAAGGAAAGAATCTCAGAGCTCAAAGAATGGTTCTTTAAACTATCTCAGTCAGATAAAAACAAAGGAAAAAGAATAAAAAGAATGAACCAAACCTCAGAGAAATATGGGATTAGGTAAAGAGACCAAATCAATGACTCATTGGCATTCCAGAAAGAGAGGGAAAGCAAACAAGCAACTTGGAAAACATATTTGAGAATATTGTCCATGAAAATTTCCCCAACATCACTAGAGAGGCCAATATTGAAATTCAGGAAATGTAGAGAACTCCTGCAAGATACTATACAAAACAGCCATCCCCAAGACACATAATCATTGGATTCTCCAAGGTGGACATGAAAGAAGAAATATTACGGGAGGTAGAAAGAAGGGACAGGTCACCTCCAAAGGGGAACCCATCAGGCTAACAGCAGACCCTTCAGCAGAGACCCTATAAGCCAGGAGAGATTAGGGGCCTATATTCAGCATTCTTAAAGAAAGAAATTCTAACCCAGAATTTCACATCCAACCAAACTAATCTTCACAAAAAAAAGTAGAAATAAGATCCTTTTCAGACAAGCAAATTCTAAGGGAATTCACCACCACTAGAGCTGCCTTAAAACAGATACTTAAGGGAATGCTAAATGTAGAACAGAAAGACTAATACCTGCCACCACAAATCACACAAGTATAGAGACCATTGACACTATAAAGCAAGCACACAATCAAGTCTCTGTAATAACCAGTTAATAACACGATGACAGGATCAAATCAGCACATATTAATGTTAACCTTGAATGTAAATGGGGTAAATATCCCAACAAAAAGACGCAGACTGGCAAGTTAGATAAAGAAGCAAGACCCAACTAACTTATGCTGTCTTCAAGAGACCCATCTCACATGCAATGACTCCTAATTAATTTAAAGTAAAGAGATGGATAAAAACAGAAAAAAAAAGAGATTGTTATTCTAATTTCAGACAAAACAGACTTTAAACCAACAACGAATTACATAATGGTAAAGGGTTAAATTCCACAAGAAGACATAACTATCCTAAATATATATGTGCCCAACATAGGAGCACCCAGATTCGTAAAGCAAGTTTAGACCTATGAAGAGACTTAGATAACCACACAATAATAGTGGGAGACTTCAACACCCAACTCACAGTATTAGACAGATCAGTGAGGCAGAAAACTAACAAACGTATTCAGAACCTGAACTCAACACTTGAACAAATGGGCCTAACAGATGTCTACATAAATCTCCACCCAAAACTAACAGAATATACATTCTCCTCATCACCTCATAACATATATTCTAAAATTGAACAAAAAATTGGCCATAAAACAGTCCTTTGCAAATTCAAAAAAACCAGAATCTTAGAAAACACACTCTTGGACCACACCATAATAAAAATATAAATGAATATTTTTAAAAATCACTAAAATGATACAATTATATGTAAATTAATCAACCACTATCTGAATAACGTTTTGGTAAACACTGAAATTAAGGCCAAAATCAACAAATTCTTTGAAACTAATGAGAACAAAGATACAGCATACCAGAATGCCTGGGACACAGCTAAGCATTTGATGCTATTTCTGTCATACTACCAATGACATTCTTCTCAGAATTAGTAAAAAAAAACTACTTTAAAATGCATATGGAACCAAAAATAAACAAATGGCCAAGACAATCCTAAGCAAATAGAACAAACCTGAAGATATCATGTTACCTGACTTCAAACTATACTATAAGACTGCAGTAACCAAAACAGCATGTTACTGGAAAAAAAAAAAAAAAGACACTTAGAATGATGGAACAAAATAGAGACGGCAGAAATGATGCCATACATGCACAACCATCTGACAAATGTCAAGAAAACAAGCAAATCACTGAGGCAAATGGAACAATAACAAGCAATGGGGAAAGGACTCCCTATTCAATAAATGGTACCGGGATAACTGGCTAGCCACAGGCAGAAGACTGAAACTAGAATTCTTCTTTACACCATACAGAAAAATCAAGATGGATTAAAGAGTTAAACGTGGCTGGGCACGGTGGCTCACGCCTGTAATCCCAACACTTTGGGAGGCTAAGGAGGTTGGATCATGAGGTCAGGAGGTCGAGACCAGCCTGGCCAACATAGTGAAACCCCATCTCTACTAAAAATACAAAAAAATTAGCTAGGCATGGTGGCGCACGCCTGTAGTCCCAGCTACTCAGGAGGCTGAGGCAGGAGAATTGCTTGAACCCAGGAGGCGGAGGTTGCAGTGAGCCAAGATCAGGTCACTGCACTACAGCCTGTGGGACAGAGCAAGACTCCATCTCCAAAAAAAAATAAAAGAAAAAAAAAAGAAAAAAAGAGTTAAACATAAAACATAACACTATAAAAACCCTGGAAAATAACGTAGGATATACCCTTCTGGATATAGGCCCTGGCAAAATTTTAATGGCAAAGATGCAAAAAGCAACTGTGCCAAAAACAAAAATAGGTAAGTGGAACCTAAACTAAAGAGCTTCTGCACAGCAAAAACAAAACAAAACACCAGAAACCAAAAATCAACAACGGTCAAAAGAGTAAAACAACAACCTACAGAATGGGAAAAAATATTTGCAAACTACATCTGACAAAGATCTAATACCCAGAATCTATAAGGAACTTAAATTAACATACAAAAACCAAACAATCCCATTAAAAAGTGGGCAAAGGACATGAACAGACACTTTTAAAAAGAAGACATACATGCGACCCACAAACATCTGACTAAAAGCTCAATATCACTGATAATTAGAGAAATGCAAATCAAAACCCACAATAATATATCATTTCACACCAGTAAGAATGGCTATTATTTAAAAAGTCATAAAATAACAAATGCTAGTGGGGGGTTAAAAAAAGAGAATGCTTTTACATTGCTGGCACAGATACAAATTAGTTCAGCCCTTGTGGAAAGCAGAATGGTGATTTCGCGAATAACTTAAAACAGAATTATCATTTGACCCAGAGATCTTATTATTGGGTACGTACGCAAAGGAATATAAAACATTCTCCCATAGGTGGAGGCATGCATGTATGTTCATTGAAGCACAATTCACAATAGCAAAGACATTAAATCAACCTAAATGCCCATCAATGGTAGACAGCAAAAGAAAATGTGGTACATACACATCTTGGAATTCTATGCAGCCATAAAAAGAATGAGACTATGTTCTCTGCAGTAACATGAAAGGAGCTGGAGTCCGTTATCCTAAGTGAACTAATGCAAGAACAGAAAACTAAATACTCATGTTCTCACCTATAAATGTGCTCAACTTTGAGAACACATGAATGCAAAGAAGCAAACAACAGACACCAGGCCCTAGCTGAGGGTAGAAAGTGGGAGGAGGAAAAGAATCAAAAAATTTTCTATCAGGTACCATGCTTATTACCTGTGTGACAAAATAATCTGTATACCAAACCCTTGAGACACACAATTCACCTATATAACAAGCCTGCACATGTACCCTGAGCCTAAAATAAGTTAAAAAAACAAAACCAAAAACTATGTCACCTCGTAATGAGCTTTTTTTAATTGAAAAAATACTTTAACAAAAATTGAAATTTAAGAGCTTAATTGATATAATTATTTTGTTCATGACTTGTTTATCAATTTATTAATTTATATAAATATTATTTTGTTTATGATTGCACTATTCTTTAATTAACTAACACTACATTCAGACCTTAACATGTGCCAGAAAATGAGTATGTAAATTTAAAAAAAAAGAGAGAGAGAGACACTGATTTTAAGGGGTTCAGAGACAAGGAAATGGATATTTTATTGGATTTTTTATTTTTTATTTTATATTGTCATATTATCTTAAAAATGAACATTTTGGAATCTGCACATCATCAATCATTAAATCATTGTATTAAACTATGCTTCTACTGTTGATGATTTATTAATATTTTATTTCTCTATATTACATATAGATGTATAATAGAAATATAAAATAATTATGTATTGAATGTTTTCCACATGATATACAGTGTATAGTAAAGCTTTAGGTGTATAGTAAAGCTCTACTTTATATAGAGTAGTACACACATATATATGTATATATACATATACTAGCATTATGTAATACTAGTAATATATACTAACACTAGTATATATAGTATTTTTAATTTATTATATTTTAATACAATATTTATGTGAATGCTATTTTTTGTTTAACAATGCATTCTAGAAATAGGATAGCTGGAACAAAAGCTGATCATTTTAGAGCTCATGGCATTTGAAAAGGGACTGAAGAGATATGAGCAAGGTGACAATGGAGAGAACTGGATGAAAAGCACTCTAGGTTGAGGGAATCTCAAAAGCCCTAAAGCATAGGGCAGGCCTGCCAAGTTGCAAAAATCATGGCTAGCTGATGTGGCAGGGACAGAGCAGTAAGGAAGAAGGATAAAAAGGAATGCAAAATGAGAGGTAGCTGAAGGTAAATCATGTAGTTAGCATTTTAAATCACTTTAAGGACATTGTCATAATTTTAGAGAGAAGGGACCTTATTAGAAGGTTTCAAGCAGAGGAAGGAAACAATCTCAATTATATTTTAACAGAATTCCTTGGATATTTGGATGACTGTATATTGCGTGACGAGGGAGTAGCAGAGGAATGAGTTAGTGAGCTAGAAAGCTATTACAATAATTTAAGTAAAAGATGGTCATGGCTTGGACACTGGTCAAAGAAAGGTGACAAAAATTGTTTGATAGTTCTAGATTCTAGATGTATGTATAAGCAATTGTCAAAACAAATTGTGACAATTGGCAATGGGATATGAGAGAAAAAGAGGCATCAAGAATGACTCCAAGATTTTTCATATAAATGAGAAAAATGAAATTGTTGTTCACTGTAATCATAAAGAATTCTTGCTCCAAATTTTCCTTATGCTGCCCATGCCCTAGAGAGGTTTTCTATACTTTAAATCAGCAAGTCCAACTTCAATTTCAAATTAGGAATATTGAAGGTCAACAATCATCTGAGAACTAGTATTTGAGGAAAATGCATGTATAAAACAGATACTTATTTAACTCATCTATTCAGCTGAATTCTTGCAAAAGAAATGTAGATTATAAATAAGTCTTTGTAAATGTTTATTCCTTGAGATGTTAATAAGTAACATGCATGAAACAGCAAAAACAGCAGCAGTATTGACAGCACAGGGATTTGGTAGACTATTTGGAATCACCGATTAAAGAAATATAAACAAAGGTATTTACTACAGGACTCTTAAGAGCCTTTAATATATAAATATGCCCTGTGAATTTCCAAGAAAGACACATTATATGTAACATTTCTCAAATGTATTTGATCATAGAATACAACTAAACCTCTTGGAAACATTAAAACTTCTTGGAAATATTTTTGGAGAACAGGTATCAAGCAGAAAATTAGAAAAAAAATAGGAAATCATGAAAAGTTTGGGATATAAAATGGAACAAAATCAAAAAGATAAATGCATGAACCACCACATCAGCCTTTTTCCTGACTTAGAAACGTATACATAAAAGAAACCTTACAATGTAATAAAATAATCTCTCTTAGTTCTATTTTAAATGATTCATTATTATTAAAAAGACTAAAATTACATACTATTGCTACTATCCTGTGAAATACTAGGAGATTTTGAAATATATACATTTTAATAACAAACACATACAAAAATAAATCATGAATAAAGAAAGAAAAAAAGTACATTTTGATAATATTTCCAAGATATAAAACAAGAAGGATTAGCCCTGGATAGAACAGGAATACAATTTGACCCTCAGTTTGAATTTAATGAATTCAGTGAACATGCAGCTTCTATGCAGTTAATGTAGCTGCATAGAAAATGTTGTTCACACTTTCAAAGCGATGCCCTAAGTTAAAAATTAAGCATCATATAACGTTGAACAAAAGAGGATTTTCCAAATAAAATCCCAAGTGATGAAACATAAAACAATGTTAAGATGTAGAAGTTAATGTGCCAGGCACTCTATGTAGGATCTTCATTTTCATACTTTCTAGGATTAGTATATGATTGTTATCACAGTTTGATGAATGATGGTGATTATTGTTCTTTTTTTTTTTCTTTTTTTTTTGAGGCAGAGTCTCACTCTGTCACCCAGGCTGGAGTGTGGTGGTACGATCTTGGCTCACTGCAACCTCCGCCTCCTGGGTTCAAGTGATTCTCCTGCCTCAGCCTCCTGAGTAAGCTGGACTACAGGCGCACCCCACCACACCCGGCTACTTTTTTGTATTTTTAATAGAGATGGGGTTTCATGTTATTGGCCAGGCTGGTCTCAAACTCCTGACCTTGTGATCCACCCACCTTGGCTTCCCACAGTGTTGGAATTACAGGAGTGAGCCGCCCCGCCCAGCCGATTATTGTTCTTATAGTAACTGAATTTCTCTTTCTTTGGAGGAAATATACATTGGTGTCTTTCTTGGGATTGCTGTCAGAGTAAAGGGAAAAGGAAGAGGATGGGTGAGGAAAAGAAAAGGAAGAAAATGGAATGGAGAATAAAGTTTTTTCTAGCTATGTTAAACTCAGGCATATAACAGCAGGGATGTTGTTTTTTACATGTGTTTGTATGGTCTTCCTTTGTGTTGCCATAGCACTGGGCTGTTTAGGACCACTGATAGTTTTTACCAACTAATAGAATAATCACATGCATCTCTTTCCTTCATTCTCCAGAGGGTTCCCTGATTACAAAGATATTCGAATCCATCTCTGTATCACCAACACCTACCCTGGTACCCCTTAGTCCTAACACTAACCTTATATATTGATTCAAAAACATCAACAAAAGATGTGACCATGTATTATATATCACGAACTATGACAGGCATTGATGATACAACATTGACCAATATCAGAGGCATGAGAGCCTGTTCTCGTGGCACGTACGGATTGAGGAAAGACTCTAAAGAACCATAAAAAACCCCACATACTACGTATGCAAGAAACACTACCAAGAAAATTTGTAAAAGGACATCTTTGACAGTCTGCTGTGGTCACATAAGACATCACTAAGAAGTATGGTGTTCCACTATTTAGGCAGTACTTGCCTTCCATTAGTATTTTTAATGTGACAAATTACAGTGATCCCAGACCCAAGCTCTATAACGAGTGATCATGCTGAACCCTAAAGCCTTTTCTCAGAGTACAAGTGAAGAGAGTAAGATCATTTAGGGCAAATTTTTCTCCACGTTGAGTGGTGACTTATAAGAAAGGAAAAGTCAGTGATAAAATTATTACATTTTAGAAATGGTCAATGAAAGGTAGCATAAATGGCAAACAAAGCATTAGAATAATTCTAATTGATTCATATACTTTGAAAACTTCACAAGGGAGGGAGAAGTCCTCCTGTTACTGTCAGTTCATCTTTACTAGAATCTGCCTAAGGCAGGAGAGACATGTTTTCAAGGATATTTTCTGCCTTTCATATCCTGGGTGATATTCATGACCCAATGCAATCCTCAAACCAGATGTTTACTCTGGGACTCATCAAATCTCTTTATGAATAATACAGGAGGATTTTGTGACACTAGCTTTGTGAAGTTCTTCAATTTTAGAAACCAGTACTTTAAAAGTTGCTCAAACCCAGATTTCAATTCTCCTGAAATTTCTCTTTTTTTCTATATTGTTTATTACTCCCCTTTTCTTTTGGGGCTGTATTTCTGATATTTGGATCGTATTCACTTTTAAAGCATTTAATAATGTACTTACCAATTATCTACTGAGCATTTAGTATATGCTAAGTACTTTTTATGTTTTTGACAGAGTCTCTCTCTGTCACCCAGGTTGGAGTGCAGTGGTACGATCTCTGCTCACTGCAACCTCAACCCCACTGGTTCAAGCAGTTCCCCCACCTCAGCCTCTCGAGTAGCTGGGATTACAGGAGCATGCCACCACGTCCGGCTATTTTTTTTTTTTTTTTTTGGTATTTTTAGTAAAGACGGGGTTTCACTATGTTGGGCAGACTGGTCTCAAACTCCTGACTTCAAGCAATTCGCCTGCCTCAGCCTCCCAAAGTGCTGGGATTACAGGCATGAGTCACTGCACCCAACCACTAAGCATTCTTTTAGGCACTGAAAATACACTTTTGAGAAAAACAGATTATATTCCTGCTCATATGGAGCTTATATTCTGACAATAAAAAGTTTATGCAGACATCAAATATGAATATTTTTAAGGACTAAGTTACTGTTTATTATTTATAAGTTTTTAAAATTTGAAGTGAAAGCTAAGATGGACACAAGCATAGAAACAGGAAGTAATTTTTAATGGAACAAAGCCAATTTACTTGTGATAGTCTTATACTATGAAAAACTTCAAAAATCTTTTTTTCACATCCCTTATGAAAAAGTGCTGAAGTGACATACTAAAAGAGAAATGCTTGATGTCAACAAAACCCTGTGTCAACAATGCTATCAATAATTTAAATTATGTAATTACTTTTACATGTAGACATTATATTTATAGAAAGCTTATATTAAGAAATCTTGGCCAGGTGTGATGTCTCACACCTGTAATCTCACCATTTTAGGAGGCTGAGGCAGGAGGATCACTTGAGGCCAAGAGTTCGAGACCAGCCTGGGTAATGTAGTGAGATCCTGTCTCTACAAAAAAATTAGCTGGACATGGTGGCAAACACCTGTAGTCCCAGCTACTCAGGAGGCTGAGGCCAGAGGATCACTTTAGCCCAGGAGTTCAAGGCTGCAATAAACTATGATTGCACCACTGCACTCCAGCCTAGGTTACAAAGCAAGATCCTATGAGTGAGAACATGCAGTGTTTGGTTTTTTGTCCTTGCAATAGTTTGCTGAGAATGATGGTTTCCAGCTTCATCCATGTCCCTACAAAGGACATGAACTCATCATTTTTTATGGCTACGTAGTATTCCATGGTGTATATGTGCCACATTTTCTTAATCCAGTCTATCATTGTTGGACATTTGGGTTGGTGGGAATTGAGCAATGAGAACACTTGGACACAGGAAGGGGAACATCACACACCGGGTCCTGTTGTGGGGTGGGGGGAGCGGGGAGGGATAGCATTAGGAGATATACCTAATGTAAATGACGAGTTAATGGGTGCAGCACACCAACATGGCACATGTATACATAAGTAACAAACCTGCATGGTGTGCACATGTACCCTAGAACTTAAAGTATAATAAAAATATATATATTTATATATATATAAACAAAGCAAGATCCTGTCTCTAGAAAAAAAAAGGTATCTTTACATTTCAAATTGAATATTGTGTAAAGCACAACCTTAAGAGATTATTTTCCTGCTCCGTAAGTCATCTTTATTCTGCTCTTAGTACAGCAGGTAATTTTGCAAACAATCTTTTGTTCATCTTTTTGCCAACTACTCTAAAAATATTGCTATCACCTAAAAGAGTATGAAACATTTATTGGGAAACAATCGTTATAACTCTCCATAGTATTATCTTATTTCTTTAAAAATGAAAAACAAGTATATTTTCAACATTCAACAGTAGTTAGGTCAGATCTATTGTGCGGGTAGAACAGTTAAATTTGGAAATTTCCTCACTTTCCTGCTTGCTACCTAAAATAATTCTTTTATGCCTCTTTACGCACTTCAACTCCGGCATTTCTACTAAGGAAACATTTTGAGAACAGAATCTTCTGCTTACCCCAACTGTCTCTACTGGATTGCGTGTGGGTTGCCAAAATGTAAAATTAAAATAGAAACTATTTTGGTACTCTTTGAAAGCAATCTGTGAATGACCAAGAGTACAGGAAACAAATGCAATTCTAATAGGATACAGAGGATTCACTGGAGAATGGAAAAAAGATCCAGAGTCTAGGGAAAACATCCTGAATTTCAGAAGAGAAATAAGAATAACTCAAAACTTACAGATTACATATTGTGTACCCTTTATGGCCCTGTACCATAAAGATAGCTAACTGAACCACACTCACTCACTACCCCAAAACAACAACAAAACTCTGTAAAGCATATTCTATTTTCAGCATATTCTATTTTCATTTTTTTAAGGTGCAGAAAGTGAAATCAAAATCAAATAATTTACATGAGGTCACTCAGCAGTGTTTTTGCTGGGCTGAGATTTGAAACAAAGACTTTCTGGCTCCAAGAGGAGCCAGTGGTTTTCACTTTTTTACATTAATGGTATGGATAATAGTAATGTCAATATCTTAAAGTTTAAAGTTAGAATGATTCCTATAGAAAGTTGGCACTGGAAGGTTATAATTATGTTTTGATCATCCTACATACGGAAACATCAAACTGCGAGCACAATATTTTATGCAATACATTTTTGGTTTTGATTTATTGTTTTTTTAAACTTTTAATTGTAACATTAAAGTTTACTGAATAATTGGCATATTGCATGATTCATTTTATATATCCTTAGCCTCTGTCTACACTACTCCTAAGTAAAATTCATGGTTGAGAACTTCTTCTGGATGTCTAGTAGTTAGGTAAAATTTTCCTGAACTTCCTTATGTATTCCTTTATAGGCTGAGAAGTAGTCTTATGTAGCTTAATTTCCTTGCTTGGAGGTAATTTTTTGATCGTGTTTCCAAAAGTTTATTTTTCTAGTTGAACTCTAAGTAACTTAAAAGTAATTTTTCAAGGACATAATTTAATATTCATATTTTGAAAACTGTTCCTGCTTAATTATAGATTTGAATCTTCATTATTATTATTATTATTATTAGTATTGACTTTTTATTCTGTAGAGTGGTTTTGTGTTCACAGTAAAATTAAGTGGAAAGTGCAGTATTCCTATATACCCACATCCTTTACACTTGCACAGCTTCCCCCACTAGTGACATCCTTGCATTAGAGTGGTATATTTGTTATAATCTGCAAACCTACATTGACATACAATAACTCAAAGTCTATAATTTACACTAGGTTTCACACTAGGTGTTGTACATTCTATGAGTTTTGACAAATGTATAATGACATATATCTACTAATAGAGTATCATATGGAACAGTTGTTTCATTGACTAAAATTCCTCTGTGTTCTGCCTGTTCATCCCTCCCTCTCCTCAAATCTCTGGGAACCACCAATCTTACTGTCTCCATATTTTTGCCTTTTATGAATGTTATATGGTTGGAATTATATAGTATGCATATTTTTCAGATTATTTTCTTTCACTTAGTAACATGCATTTAAGGTTACTCCTTGTTTTTTAATTGCTTAATAGCTCATGTGCTTTTAGCACTGAATAATATTCCATTCTGTGAATGTATCCCAGTTTATTTATTCACAGACTAAAGAGCTTCTTGGATGCTTCCAAGTTTGGGCAAATAAGACTAAAGCTTTTATAAACATCTGCGTACAGGTTTTGTGTGGACATATTCTTTCCGATTTATTTGAGTCTGGATCTTTCTTCCATTCTCCAAGGAGCAGATTACCAGATCATATGTTAAGATGATGTTTAATTTTGTAAGATACTGCAAAACTGTCTTCCAAAGTGGTTGTACCATTTTGCGTCCTTATCAGTAATAAATGAAGAGTTCCTGTTATCTTACATTTGTACTAGCATTTGGTATTGTCATTGTTATTTTGGCCCTTTTAATTGGTGTTTAGTAATATCTAGTTGTTTTAATTTCCCTAATGACATATGATATTGAGTATCTTTTCATATGCCTTATTTTTTTAGTTAAATATTTTCCATTAGATATTTATTCATTTACTCTAGATTTTTATCAAGAATACCAAAAATAAGTAGGTTAGAATATGACCTACTTTTTTATATTCTAGATGGAATTTATATTCAAATGCACTTTTATCTCTTATACACTTCCACTACTGTGTGCTTGTTTTCCTTTCAATCGTTTATTCCTTTTACTTGTCTGTATCTTTTACGTATTTTACCTATTCTAACAAGGCTTTCATCTCCAAAGCTTTGAATGTTCTAACACACTTTTCCCAAGGCATCATTACTTATTTTTCACTTCTTTTTGTTTTTCTTACCATATTCTCTTTTAGAGGAATTAAAGTAAAAATAACTTTAAGATAAACTCAAGTATACATCTTAAGGGTGAAAAATAATTTAAGTGTCTGTATTTGCAAATTACATGATTGCTTATGTACAAAATCCTAAGGCATCTACAAAAAAACTAGTAAATAAGTAAATTTAGTAAGAACATACAAGGAGAGTGTTCAATAATCTATTGAATTTGTTTTTATTATAAGCAAACTATTAGGAAATGAAATTTTAAAACATGTGTAATTATACCATCAAAATGAAATTCAAGGGATTAAATTTAATAATTAGTGCACAGGTTATCTACATTAACAACTTCAAAATGTTGCTAATGAAAATTAAAGAATACCAAAATAATTGGATTAATGATGCATCCTGCTTATAGATTGGAAGACTCAATATTTTTATACCAAAAATTTGCCTAATAAGCACATAAACACAAACACACATGCACACACACCAAGCTCATTTCAAATCACATTGTTATTTTTAGTAGAACTTGACAACCTGGCTCCAAAATTTAAATAGAAATACAAACGAATTAGCTTGAATTTCTGAAGAAATCATGAGAAAGAGACACTGGGAAATTGGAATGTATACTCTCTGATTTTAAGACTATTATAAAGTTTCAACTATCAAGAGGACATGATCCTCGTATTAGGATGAATAGATGGAGAGATTAAGGAAGAGTACACAGAGCCCAGAAATAAATATACACATAAAAAGCAAATCAATGTTTGAAAACATGCCAAAATAATTAAATACGTATCAAAATACACCATTGAGAAAATAAACATGCAATTTGTAGGCTCAGAAAAAAATATTCTCAATGTGTGTGAAGATATGTAGTTGCATGTATACACATATATATTTGCATATGTATACATATGTGTGAGAGTGACAGAGAGAAACAAGAAATTGGTATACACAACATATAAAGAATTTCTCTAACTTAATAAGTGAAATATAACTAATAGAAATATGGTCAAATAATTGAACACTTTATAAAGGAAGATGTATGAATGATGATAAAATTATTAAATGTACTCAACATCAGTAGTCATCAGTGACTTGAAAATTAAAGCTATAATGCCAGTAGTAGAAGGGCTCACATTTAAAATATTGACCACATCAAATTTTAGTGTGCAGGGGAGGTGATAAGAGCTCTCTCATGTGGTTGATAGGTGGGCATGTAAAATATTGCAGCCACTAAAAAATTCATGGAAGTTTCTTAGAAAACTAAACACGTAACTTCATATTCACCCATTCTAGGAAGAATACATATGCCTGCCAAAGGAATTCCACAAAAATTTTCACAGAAGCTTTATTCATGATAGCTGACAATTTAAAAAAGTTCAAATATTCATCAACAGAATGTAATACAAAGCAAAACAAAAACCAAGTGTGATATATTCGTAAAATAAATATTACTTACCAATAAAAAAGAACAAACTATTGATACATGAAACAATATTAAGGAGAGTCAAAAACATTATTTCAAGTGAAAGAAATCTTTAGAATATGCTAAATTAATCATTGATTAAAATTATTATAACAGATGCTAAATCTTGCTGGTCTTGAGAGAGGTAAGAACTCATTGGCAAGGGCCAAAGAAGATACTTTTTCTTGGGGTGATGATGATGTTCAATATTTTGATAGTTATACATGTGTACTCATTTTTCAAAACTGATCAAATAGCATACTTAATATTTGTTCATTTCACTAATTTTACCTCCACCAATAAAAATAAATATATAAGTATATAAAACTGTTCATTGCCATACACACTGAAGTGTTTAGAAGTGAGGTATACTGAGGCTATAACTAGGGTTGAAATGCATCCAAAATTTGAAGATAGA
The DNA here is from genome assembly GCF_000001405.40 of Homo sapiens. Classification (NCBI taxonomy): domain Eukaryota; kingdom Metazoa; phylum Chordata; class Mammalia; order Primates; family Hominidae; genus Homo; species Homo sapiens. The sequence continues at coordinate 25,335,294 of NC_000011.10, read as the reverse complement.
ATAAGTCCATCCACAAATATCACAGATGAATGAATGGAGAAAGGGCTAGAAGGATAGTTATATGTTAAATCAAATATAGCAAAGTATTTATTGTAGATTATATGTGGTGTATGCATGGTTCTTTCAAATATCCTATATGTCTAAAGGTTTTTATTATAAATCTTTATGGAAAACAGGGCGATAAGTATGTTAAAATAAAGGATATAATTATTTGAAAGCATTCAGTAATCCACACAGTTGGTTTCTAGAAAGTCCTTACAGTATCAGTTTTGATAATGCTGTGAATGTTTTACCCACCAGTATTGATTTGAATCAGTATCTGAAAGGCAAGAAAATTGTCCTTCATGCTAATAATTGTTAATTGTGCTAATAAAGGAGACTATCAGTGTCCCTTTGGGTACAAAAATTTCTAATAAATCTGGTTTTATGAAAATAGAAACACTTGACACATCGTTCTGAATAACAAGGCCCTTCATTTTGCATTTTACAATAATGATGACAAAAATGTCCAAGGACATATGATCTTTCCTATTTAGAGGAAAGACTGTAATATATAACACTTGAAAGTATTTTAGAAATTATCTTTACATAACACTCTTTTTGTTTAAACCTGACTTCCAGGATGGTTTTCTCATTCAAGGGAAAGAATTCAGATGTTTAGTCTGTATTTTCAGTGGATTATTTATTCTCATCTACAAAGAGAAGATAAAACCAGCTCCATTATACCTTTAGAATTATACGAATATACAATATAAGACTTAGAAAATCTTCAATATTGTCTAGATCATTGCTTGTCACATTCTTTTCTGTGGAACCCTAAATGCGTATAAAGAAGCCCCAGAGTTTGACTGAGGAAACCCAGCCCCCATTAAAATTAGAGAAAATTGTCTTTAATCTGTTTTTTTATGTTTATTTCAATCTTTAGAAAATAAAGCTATTCTTTCTCAACCAATAGTCAACTAAAGAATCCCCAAAGCCCACCTATGACTTATACAAGCCCTTTCCACTTCCCCTTGAATATGTTCTGCCTTTTTGTGCCATATCAATGTATACCTTTCATGTACTGGTTTCTGTCTTTGCCTAGAACTCCTGTCTTCCTAAAATGTATTAAAAGAACTGTAACCCAGTTGCCCTGGGCATGCTTTCTCTGGTCCATGGTCATTCACACTTGCTCAGAATAAACCTCTTTGAAATATTTTACAGAGTTTGAATTTTCTGTTAACAATTAGGTTCATTGGGGCCGGACTTGGTGGCTCATACCTGTAATCCCAGTACTTTGGGAGGTTGAGGCAGGAGGATCACGTGAGGTCAGGAGTTTGAGATCAGCCAACACGGCAAAACCCAATCTCTACTAAAAATACAAAAATTGGCTGGGTGTGGTAGTGGGCGCCCGCAATCCCAGCTACTCAGGAGACTGGGGCATGAGAATTGCTTGAACCTGGGAGGTGGAAGTTGCAGTGAGCCAAGATAGTGTCACTGCACTCCAGATTGGGTGACAGAGAGAGACTCTGTCTCAAAATAAATAATTTTTTTAAAAGACACACACAATTAGGTTCATTTATAGCTTTATGGGCAGCAGTCAATCTACAGTTCACATAACAAGCAGCTTCAAGAGACAATTACATAGTACAAGGAAGAAAGTAGCAGGTAACTGTTGTCTCTCATGCCTTTCTGAGCCTGATGATGTAGGAGCCCTTTAGAAGGCTCATAGTCCTCAGATATAAAGTATATTTTCTTTCTCAAACTAAAGGCATTGCCTACATTTGTCTTGCTAACTAATGTCAGTTTTTTGTTTGTTTGTTTGTTTGCTTAAGGAATAAAATATGCCTAAATATAATGGAGAAAGAACCTAGAGCGCTAACTTGCAAGTAATAGTTACTCAGTAAACGTTAGCTGGGCTTGATGGATATATTAGAGTAAAAGTCCTAGGTCACTGCTTTAGAACCAGGAATTAATCAGTGATAGAGACAATTTGGCCCAATAAGAAAAAAACATTATGGAGGGTCCATTCTAGGACATATACCACATAGACTGCTTTTCTGTCTATAGCTAGGATGGTTGCCAAATCTCGTATTTTAAGCACTGTTCATTAGGATGGATTATTAGCTTTCTAGGACTGTCATTACAAAGTACCACAACAAAAACTGTGGTTTAAGCAACAAACATTTCTCATATTACTGTTGTAGAGGCTAGAAGCTCAAGATCAAGCAGTCAGCAGGATTGGTTATTTCTGACGGTTGTGAGGAAGGATCTGTTTTATGCTTCTCCTTTAGCCTATGGTGGTTTGAAGAAAATCTTTGGGATTTCTTGGCTTACAGAAGCATCACCTTGATCTCTACTTTCATCTTCACAGGACTCTGTCCCAATGTGTGTGTGTGTGTGTGTGTGTGTGTGTGTGTGTGTCTCTGTACAAATTTCCACTTTTATAAGAGCACTGGTCATATTGGGCAAAGGTTTTGCCTTAATGAGCTCATCTTAACTAATCATACCTGCAACAACCATGTTTCTTAATAAGGTCATATTCTGGGGCTTAGGGCTTCACATGGAATTTTGAGGCCACATTATTCAACCTATAACATATGGACTGAAATATTCAACACAGGACATTCTATATAAAAATTCTCTCTTCATATACTGTCGCATTTGAAAAACATATCAACTCCCAAAATCACTTTTTTCCTGAGCCTTTGGATTTTCTCAGGTCTCGAAAAAAATGCCTACTTTTTGGATGAGTTTTCTTTTGAGACTTCATCTTTTTTTATGATAGCCTTGAGTCTGATCTCTGTGTTTATGAGATAACTTAATGGACACAGTTGATTCCTGAGAAATTCCACATAGGTAAAATGAGAGTGTTTCACTAAGTATAATAAGGAATATTTACTTTCACAAAGTGGGACAAGTTTAATACAAACTCTGCTAAATGGGTGAGCTAAGAAGAATTTTTAAAGTGCTATCACATAATGTGTATAGATAAAATTTAACTCACACTATTCATACAGGCAGCAAAAACATTTTTTCTTAACAAATTTAGATTAAAGAATGGAAAGTACATGGAACATTTGTGTTGTACAAACTTTCTTTCTGACATTTGATATCAGTAGGATCATAGTAAAGAACTGAGGGACACCAGACGTAAGTGTGTTGCAGATACTCTAGATAATTTCCATTGAATATGGATGTCAGTAGCCCTATACTCAGGAGCTGTTATATGGCCTATCAGTATGCCATCATTCTTTCTTTTTTTGTATAATATCATGAACCTCAATAGTTCTCTAAAAATAGCTATAATGTATAGGACAACGCTGGTTTAATTGCAGATATGAGCAGTTGCTTTACAATATATCCATTACATCTTTAGCCACAATTTTTAATGACTATATTGGAATTGCTATCCCATTCCTTTTATAATATTAACAGGTGCAATCATAAGAATAAGAATTATAATCATTCTATAAAATTGAGGTATTACAATTATTACCATTATATAGATAAGGAAACTTAGGCAGAAAGAATTTATGTTAGTTTCTCAAGTACATATGCTTAGTGGGTGACAAAGCCAGAATTTGAAATCCTCAACCAATTCAGGCTTAAAGACTAAACTAAGTCCTTTTCTTCCTACACCAAAAGTTAATTCCTTTAATTTCATTTAATTTTGAGATAATAATTCCACTAAAGTATAACTCTTCCTTCATATTTTAACCATGGACAATTAGAGGCACTCATCATTCATTCAACAGAGGATTATTGAACAGGTACTCTATACCAGCAACTATGCCAAACCTGGAGCTTTATCTGTGAATGAGCCAGACAGAAGATCATCTGTCAGGTAGCTGAATTTGGGCTCAAGGGGGATGGGAGCAATAAACAAGAAAATAAACAAAAATAAAATAAACAATAAATAAAGAAATTAGTTTCAGTGCTAAAAAGCAAATAAAAGACAACATGACATAAAATATCATCTGTCAGGTAGCTGAATTTGGGCTAAAAGGGGATGGGAGCAATAAACAAGAAAGTAAACAAAAATAAATAATAAATAAAATAAGCAATAAATAATTAAATAAATAAGTTTCAGTGCTAAAAAGCAAATAAAAGACGACATGACATAAAATACCAAAGAAAAGGGGCTGCATTTAATATAGTGGCAAAAATGTTCCTGAGAAGGTGATATTTGAGTGGAGACTTTGGTTATAAAACTTGGGTTATGAGAGAAATCTAGAGGACAAGTGCTCAGGCAGTAAAAAAAGACAAAGAAGTAATTCATTTGCCTGGTGTTTGCAACAAATGTTGAAGAATGTTGCAATCCATCCAAATCTTAGGATAAATTTCTGAAGATTTTGTATAATTGAAGACATAGGTTAGTTCTGTTTCTTCTTCAAATGCCATGAGACAGTTCTTAAAAAGGCATAAATGGAAGGTCACAAGCTTGTGGTTCCACATCAATTAGAATATTAGATTTGCTGGGCTCTAGGACTCCAGAGGCCAAACTCTCCTTAAAAAACAATTAAGATGATTTCTAAAGTAATCAATATAGAATGTGATCTTTCTTATTTAAAATATTTTAGGGCTTTTTTCCTGCTTATAAACTAATGTGTTATCATATATAATTATACAATCTCTCTATAGATATACAAATATATAAAATAATTTTATTTTAGATTAACTTATGTCTGTACTTTCAATCTTCCTTTATAATTTGCATATTTTTAGCATTATTATTTACAGATTTCTTCCTTTTATGGAATATCAGCTTCATAAGTGCAGAGATAATTATCTATTTTGTTCAGTGATATAAAGTCAAGAAAAATGCCCTAGAAGCTGCTCCCACACTAATTCTCCCTAACTCATCCTAACCCTTTTCATTACACATAGCCAAAGTAAAGGACTGTGCAGTCAGAATTCTTACACAAGAGCCGGGACTGTGCCCTGTAGCCTTTCTGTCCAAACAACTTGAACTTACTGTTTTAGCCTAGCCCTCATGTCTATGTGCGGTGACTGCCGCTGCTTTACTACTTTTAGAGGCCCTCAAAAATCACAAACGGTGCTCAACTCAGTCTCTACAGTTCTCATAACTTCCTAAATCTATTTTCTTCTTCACACTTGACACATACACTTTCTGCCCCCCAGCTCCTTCAGCTATACTCACTCTTTGTTGAGTCTCCCACAATTACCATTGTTCCTGGCCCAGACTTCAATCTGGCCTCCCACATTATTCCTGATACTACATCTGACCCCCATGACTGTATCTCTCTGATCCACCTGACATTCACTCCTTTTCCCCGTATTCCCTTCTTTCCTGTTCCTCACCCTGATCACACTTGTTTTATTGATGTCAGTTCCACCAGGCCTAATTGACACTCACCAGCAAAGGCAGGCTATGCTATAGTATATTCCACATCTATCATTGAGGCTACCACTCTGCCCCGCTCCACTACCTCTCAGCAAGCTGAACTCATTGCCTTAATTCGAGCCCTCAATCTTGCAAAGGGACTAAACGTCAATATTTATACAGACTGTAAGTGTGCCTTCCATATCCCTGCACCACCATGCTGTTATATGGACAGAAAGAGATTTCCTCACTACGCAAGGGTCCTCCATCATTAATGCCTCTTTAATAAAAACTCTTCTCAAGGCCACTTTACTTCCAAAGGAAGTTGGAGTCATTCACTGCAAGGGCCATCAAAAGGCATCAGATCCCATCACTCAGGGCAACGCTTATGCTGATAAGGTAGCTAAAAAAGCAGTTAGCTTTCCAACTTCTGTCCCTCATGGCCATTTTTTCTCCTTCTCATCTGTCACTCCCACCTACTCTCCCACTGAAACTTCCACCTATCAATCTCTTCCCACACAAGGCAAATCATTCTTAGACCAAGGAAAATATCTCCTTCCAGCCTCACAGGCTCATTCTATTCTGTCATCATTTCATAACCTCTTCCATGTAGGTTACAAGCAACTAGCCTGTCTCTTAGAACATCTCATTCCCTTTCCATCATGGAAACCTATCCTCAAGGAAATCACTTCTCAGTGTTCCATCTGCTATTCTACTACTCTTCAGGGATTGTTCAGGCCCCCTCCCTTCCGTATACATCAAGCTGGGGGATTTGCTCCTGCCCAGGACTGGCAAATTGACTTTACTCACATGCCCCGAGTCAGGAAACTAAAATACCTCTTGGTCTGGGGTAGCCACATTCACTGTATGGGTAGAGGCCTTTCCCACAGGGTCTGAGAAGGCCACCGTGGTCATTTCTTCCTTTCTGTGAGACATAATTCCTTGGTTTGACCTTCCCACCTCTATACAGTCTGATAATGGGCCAGCCTTTATTAGCCAAATTGCCCAAGCAGTTTCTCAGGCTCTTGGTATTCAGTGGAACCTTCATACCCCTTACCGTCCTCAATCTTCAGGAAGGGTAGACTGGACTAATGGTCTTTTAAAGACACACCTCACCAAGCTCAGCCTCCAACTTAAAAAGGACTGGACAATACTTTTACCACTATCCCTTCTCAGAATTAGAGCTTGTCCTTGAGATGCCACAGGGTACAGTCCATTTGAACTTTTATATGGACGCACTTTCTTGCTCGGCCCCAACTTCATTACAGACACCAGCCCTCTAGGCGACTATCTTCCAGTCCTCCAGCAGGCTAGACAGGAAATTTGCCAGGCTGCTAATCTCCTCTTGCCTACTCCAGATTCCCAGCCTTATGAAAACACCCTACTGGATGGTCAGTTCTTAAGAATCTGACCCCTCAAACTCTACAACCTCGGTGGATTAGACCCCACTTAATCATCTATAGCACCCCAATGGCTGTTTGTCTTCAGAACCACCCCCGCCCCCGCCATTATGTTCACTGTTCCAGAGTGAAGCTGTGCCTGTCAGCCAGCCAGCCTGATTTCTCCTCTTCCTCCTGGAAGTTGCAAGTACTCTCTCCTACTTCCCTTAAACTCACTCGCATTCTTAAAGGATAATAGTAACCCTTATAAGCCTAATAGATCCTTTCATTTTCATTAGGTTTCTTCTTCCTTACCCTACTGTTTACAAGAGGGCTTTATGCAGTCATCCTCACTACTTGGACTGTGCCCCAAATACTTGTCATCCCTACTATCTTCTGTCTAGTCATACTCCTATTCACCATTCTCATCTACTTATAAATGCCCTGCCCCTGTTTACACTGCTAGTTTACGCTTTTCCTCCAAACCATCATAGTGGATATCTCCTGGTACTATCCCCAATCCGACACTGTTGACTCTTTCTTGGAGTGGATAGATGATCTTTGCTGACAGTGTACCTTCCAATAGTTTCACCCTGATGAAGTCCTATTCTTTACTTTTATACTCACTCTTATTCTCCACCCTCTACCTCTCCCCAGCTATCTCCACCACACTATCAATCTCACGCACTCTCTCCTAGCTGTTTCTAATCCTTCTTTAACAAACAATTGCTGACTTTGCATTTCTGTTTCCTCCAAAATTGACAAGGCCTCGACTTACTCACTGCTGCGAAAGGAAGACTGTATATTTTTAAATGAAGAGCGTTGTTTTTACCTAAATCAATCTGGCCTGATATATGACAACATAAAAAAACTCAAGGATAGAGCCTAAAAATTTGCCAACCAATCAAATAATTATGCTGAACCCCCTTGGGCACTCTCTAATTGGATATCCTGGGTCCTCCCATTCTTAGTCCTTTAATACCTGTTTTTCTCCTCTTATTCAGACATTGTGTCTTCCATTTAGTTTCTCAGTTCTTACAAAACCACATCCAGGCCATCACCAATCATTCTATAGGACAAATGCTCCCTCTAACAACCCCACAATATCACTCCCTACCCCAAAATCTTTCTTCAGTTTAATCTCTCCCACTGTAGGTTCCCACACTGCCCCTAATCCCACTCAAAGCAGCCCTGAGAAACATCGTCCATTATCTCTCCATGCCACCCCCCAAAAATTTTTGCTGCCGCAACACACTTCACCACTATTTTGTTTTATTTTTCTTATTAATATAAGAAGACAGGTATGTCAGGCCTCGGAGCCCAAGCTAAGCCATCATTTCCCTTGTGACCTGCAGTATACATCCAGATGACCTGAAGCAACTAAAGATCCACAAAAGAAGTGAAAATAGCCAGTTCCTGCCTTAAGTGATGACATTCCACCATTGTGATTTGTTCCTGCCCCACCCTAACTGATCAATTAACTTTTTGACAATACACCCTCCCCATCCTTGAGAAGGTACTTTGTAATATCCTGCCCCCCTCCCCACCCTTAAGAAGATACTTTGTAATATTCTGCCCACCCTTGAGAATGTACTGTGTAAGATCTACACCCTGCCCACAAAAAATTGCTCCTAACTCCACTGCCTATCCCAAACCTATAAGAACTAATGATAATCCCACCACCCTTTGCTGACTCTCTTTTTGGACTCAGCCTGCTTGCACCCAGGTGATTAAAAAGCTTTATTGCTCACATAAAGCCTGTTTGGTTGTCTCTTCACACAGACGTGCGTGGCAGTTCCCATGACACCCTCTCTGGGTTTGATTAATTTGCTGGAGCAGTTCTTAGAACTCAGAGCAGATGATAGAAGCAGTTCATCTTAACTCAAGTGTTAAGAAACACTTAAACATTTACCCATTTATTTTAAAGGATATTGCAAAGAATACAGATGAAGAGATGCATAGGGCAAGGTGTGGGGGAAGAGACATAGAGCTTCCATGCCCTCCCTGGGTGTACCACCCTCCAGGAACCTCCACATGTTCAGCTATCTGGAAGCTCACTAAATCCTTCCTCCTGGGTTTTTATGAAAGCTTTGTGACATCAGTATTACTTCTCCCATAGGGTGCGACTCTCTCATGGGAAAATCTTAAGACCCACAATCAGAAAGGAAGGGAAACATAAGAATCAAAGGAAGGCAGGAGAAAGTCAAGGACCTTCCTATGAGGCCTAACACATACAACATTATAACAAAAGACTGTAGCAAGGGCTGAGGGAGTTATAAGCCACGAATCATGGACAAAAACCAATATATATTATAACACCGCAACGTGCTAAATCATTAACTTTTACTTCAGCTTGGAAACAGAAACTGAAACCCAAAATTCAACCCGTGCCTTTTGGCATATTAATTTCGCTTTCCTATTTTTTGGTTTACAAGGTTGATATCAATAAATATTTTTAATAGAGTTTTCACTATACTTTACCCCCAGAATAAACATTAAACCCAGAAACAAACATTATTATATTTCTAGATACCCTTCAATGACTTATTTTGAAAAGGAAAAAGGATTCTTAATTGAGAATATATTTTTGAAACTCCTTGCTATATTACAAATTATGTGAAGGTTTATTTACCATGATTGTGGTCAGCCTTATTTTTAGCAAGAAATATTTTAAAATTTAAAATATTTTTATAGAATCTTACTGATTCATCAAGCAAAATAAAAAAGGTATAATTGAGTGTAACCTAATTTACGAACATATATAGGAATATTATTAATAAAAGATTTTGTACATGCTTTTCTCAATTGATGGTCAAATCTCAATTTTCCAGAATGACTTGAAAAAGAGCTAGCATATATTGAAGCTTACCTGAGACCAGCCCTAGGAACAGATTTTATAGCAGTTAGATATTTTACATAGATGATTCCAATTAGTCCCCAAAATATCTGGTTAAGAAAGTATAAAAACTTGAATTTTGTAAGAGAAAAGATTGAAAATCAAAGAAAATGAACAAATTACCCATAGCTACAAAGTGAGAAATATGGGCTGCAAATCAAGTTGACTCAAAATTACTAATCCCGCAAATCTTTTTGTGTTGTGAGAGGTGAGAAAAGGGCCAGCAGAGATGGAACAGAACTTTGGTTAAATAAAATGTTTGATTAAGTGCATCTCTCACTTTAAATGTTTATTTTTCTATCAACTTAAAATATTTTTAAGCATTTAAAAATTACTTTGTATTTTTAAATTTATTTTGGAGTTGGGGTCTTGCTATGTTGCCCAGGCTAGAGTACAGTGGCTATTGACATGCATGTTCACAGAACACTATAGCCTTAAACTCCTGGCCACAAGCAGTCCTGCCTCAGGCTTCCAAGTAACTGGCACTACAGGTGTGCACCACTGTGACTAGTTTTAAAAATATTTTAGAAATATCTGTGGCTCTGTTTCTGACTCAATAAGGTTCACGAAGTAAATCATTATAATGAATATATTTGTTTGATGGCTGGAAATTTTGCAGAGGCTAAGTGATCATTTGAGATTAGCGACTCTCATGTGTCAGCATGAAAAAACACCACATATACCTTTTTAAAAATTATTCTACTCTTCTTTTATGTTTAAACTACTTTGAGTCAAACAAAGCAACACCCTCTCTTAAAAGACTGCCAGAAACTATCATGAGCAATCTTAATAATTTCAAGCTAAATAGATCTTCTTTATATCAGCTTCTTTGTTCCAATACCACAAGACAAAAAGGTGATGGGTAAAATCATGGTTTTACTGTGTAGTGGCTAAAAGTGTACATTATGGAGCCACATTTTCTGAATTTTCATACTAGATCATTTCTTTAATAGCAACATATTTTAGGTAATTTAATATACCTCTCGGTTTTCCTATCTTTAAAATGGAGATAACAATAGTACCCATATCTTCATTTTTTGGTGAGGATTACCTGAATTAGAAAAGACTTAAGTTGGAAACCTACTTGGGTTTATTGACTCAGAAAACGTCTGCCAATTTATTTCTGTAAGTATAGACAAAAGTCTCAAGTTTCTGATTCTGCAGGTCTCCATCTGCAAAATGGGAATGTTTGATGGAATCCTCTTTTAGAGCAGTGAGAAGATTCTCTCTCAAACTAAAAAAAATTTCAATTGCAATTTATTAAATCTATATGTATATATACGTACATATACAAATATATACTTATTTATTCATATTTAATAAAAATATCTCCAAGAATTCACTTCTATGTGATTCTTTAAGAATGTTAAAAAGAGAATGATTTAAACATGATGTATCTTAGCATTGGAGACAGGCATTCATATCAGAAGGAAACTCACTGTATTGTTCCATTCTCTTGCTTCTAATAAAGACATACCTGAGACTGGGTAGTTTATAAAGGAAAGAGGTTTAATTGACTCACAGTTCAGCATGACTGGTAGGCCTCAGGAAATTTACAGCCATGGCAGAAGGAGAAGCAAACACATCCTTCTTCACATGGCGGTGGCAAGGAGAAATACGCATGCCCAGCAAAGGGGGAAGACCTTGATAAAACCATCAGATCATGTGAGAACTCACTATCAAAAGAACAGGATGGGGGAAAACAACCCCATGATTCAGTTATCTCTATTATTCCCTCCCATGACACGTGGGGATTATGGAAACTACAATTCAAGATGATATTTGGGTGGGGACACAACCCAACCATATTTTTCTGCCGCTGGCTCCTCCAAAATCTCATGTCCTCACAATTCAAAATGCAATCATGCCCTTCCAACAGTCCCCAAAAGTCTTAACTCATTCTAGCATTAACTCAAAAGTCCAAGTCCAAAGTCTCATTTGAGACAAGGCAAATCCCTTCCACTTATGAGCCTGTAAAATCAAAAGCACATTAGTTACTTCCTAGATACAATGGCAGTACAGGCATTGGGTAAATACATCCATTGCAAATGGAAGAAATTGTCCAAATCAAAGGGGCTACAAGCCTCATGCAAGTCCAAAATCCAGTAGAGCAGTTATTAAACCTTAAAGTTCCAAAATGATCTCCTTCGACTTTATGTCTCACATTCATGTCATGCTGATGCCAGAGGTTGACTCCTACAGCCTTGGGCACTTCCAACCTTGTGGCTTTGCAGGGTACAGCCCCCCTTCCTGGCTGCTTTCACAGGCTGGCACTGTCTGAGGCTTTTACAGGTACAAGGTGCAAGCTGTTGGTGGATCTACCATTCTGGTGTTTGGAGGACAGTGGCCCTCTTCTCACAGATCTACTAGGCAGTGCCCCAGTGGGGACTCTGTGTGGAGGCTCCAACCCCATATTTCCCTTCTGAGCTGCACTAGCAGAGATTCTTCTGGAGGGTTCTACCCCTGCAGCACACCTTTGCCTGGACATCCAGGTATTTTCATACATCCTCCGAAATCTAGGCATAGATTCCCCAACCTCAATTCTTGACTTCTGTGTACCCACAGGCCCAACACCACATGGAAGCTGCAGAGGCTTTGGGCTTGCAACCTTTGAAGAACGGTCTGAGCTGTACCTTGGCCCCTTTTAGCCAGGGCTGGAGCAGAAGCAGCTGGGATGCAGAGCACCAAGTCCTGAGGCTGCACAGAGCAAAGGGGGCCCTGGGGTGCTGAGAAAACAAGTTTTCCCTCCTAGCCTCTGGGCCTGTGATGGGAGGGGCTGCCTCGAGGTCTCTGACATGCTCGGGAGACATTTTGTCTATTGTGTTGGTGATTAACATTTGGCTCCTCATTACTTACGCAATTTCTGCAGTGGGCTTAAATTTCTCCCCAGAAAATGGGTTTTTCTTTTCTATCACATTGAAAGCCTGCAAATTTTCTACACTTTAATGCTCTGCTTCCTCTTGGACACTTTGCTGCTTAGAAATTTCTTCCGTCAGATGCCCCAAATCATCTCTTTGAAGTTCAAAGTTCCACAGATCTCTAGGGCAGGGGCAAAATGCCATCAGTCTCTTTGTGTAGCAAGAGCTATGTTTACTCCAGTTCCCAAGAAGTACCTCATCTCCATCTGAGACCACCTTAGCCTGGACTTTTTGTCCATATTACTATCAGCATTTTGGTCAAAGCTATTCGACAAGTCTCTAGGAAGTACCACACTTTCCCAGATCTTTCTGTCTTCTGAGCCCTCCAAGTCTCTAGGAAGTTCCAAGCTTTCCACGTTTTCCTGTTGTCTTCTGAGTCCTATAAATGGTTCCAACCTCTGCCTATTACCCAATGTCGCTTCCACATTTTCAGGTATCTTTACAGCAGCACCCCACTCTTTGTGGTACCAATTTATGATGTTTGTTCTCACCTTGCTAATAAAGACACACCTGAGACTGGGTAATTTATAAAGGAAAGAGGTTTAATTAGCTCACAGTTCAGCTTGGATTGGAGGCATTAGGAAACTTACAATCATGGCAGAAGGGGAAGCAAACACATCCATTCATGAGAATGACCTCTATCAGGAGAACAGGATGGGTGCATCCACCCCCAGGATTCAATTATCTCCACCTGGTCCCTCCCACATCCCATGGAGATTACAGGAACTACAATTCAAGATGAGATTTGCATTGAGACACAGTCAAACCATATCACTCACTGAGACTGTGAAAACTGATATAATTATCAAATTAACTTCTCTAATAAGAAAAGAAGCTGGTATTTTTATGAATGCTGGGGATGGTGAGACACGCATTTTAAATCATTTTATTTTACATCAGCCAGAATATAAGACCTAGCTAAGTCTGTTTTTGCCTATTCAGAAAAGTCAGTTCTCAAGTAAGTATAGCTCAGCATTATTTGAGACCTCATTTTTCTCTCTCTATATAAAAAATGAATACTTACTATTAAAAAAAGCTGGCCACAATGAACCCCTTGTGAAATATCTGTGCCAGAATAGAAAATTTCACTCCCTAAAGATGTCAATGCAGGCTATCCACTGTTGGAAGTCGCTTGTTGTAGTGCAGCAGATATTATTCAGAAAATGTCCATGAGCAGGCACATTTGGGGAAAACTGCATCAGGCAAAATTAAATAGATGTCTTTACAGAAAGGCTTATCAGAGCCATTGACAAATGCGTGGAAACTTTAATAGTGTGCCCTCCATTTATGGGAATACAAAGCAACTCACAGATGAAATCATACCATAGAAAATGAGTGTTAAAAAATTTCATAAGATATAATTTGGAATTTGCCCAATGTGAATTGAAGTTCTACTTTTGTCTTTTATAACCTTGGGGAAATTACTTATCATTCTGAGCCTCCATTTTCTCATCCATAATAAGAGATATAAATATGTATCTTGCATTTATCATTATTTTTACATCTCTTATGCAAAGAATTAATAAAGGTATTTTTAGCATTCAGTATTGACTTACAGAAGATATTTTATCAACTTTACTAAACACTGCACCTGAATATATACGCTAAGATGAACTTTTAATTTGACCAAAGTTCTCGCCTCTTACTGTGTTTCTTGACTTTTCTCAGAGTCTGCCTCAAAGCAATTCTTGCCTTTTTCACTACTTCCTTATTACTTTGCTGCAAATGACTCATGAATCCACATCTAGAACTATACCTACCCTCTTGGTCTAACTTCACATTTCTAGCAGCCTCCTCAATATTTCTTCCTGGTATGTTTAACTTCTTTAAATCATTTAAACATTTTTATTTGTTCTATATATCACAACCTTATATATAGTGAGGATACCTTGAATATATCATAATTCCCTTGATATTTATTTATTCACTTAAAAATATTTTCTGAGAACTGTAAGTTAAAAAAAAAAAAACTACCATAAAGTAAACTCAGTTAAATGGGTTAAAAAGATATGAAACAAATGGCATATCCATGTAAAAGACACAGAAGATGGGAGTGGCTTCAAGATGGCTGACTTGAGGCTTCTGTTCTCCTCTCCTCATCAAAGAAGAACCAAAATAGTAAGAAGAGAATCATGCTTTGAATAGACCATCTAAGAAAAACACTGAAATTCAACAGAGAAGTGACTGGAAACACCTCCAGCAAAAAAAAAAAAAAAAAAAAAAAAAAAAAAGGGAGAAGTAAGTTAAGTCGCCTGCACAGCCAGTACTGGCCTTAAGCCCAGTTTGGCTCCCTAATGTACAGAAACGGTAAGTGAGTGAAACACGGTGTAGTACAGCCACTATAGAAAACAGTGCGAAGATTTCTCAAAAAGCAAAAAGTAGAACTATCCCATGATACAGTAACCTCTATACTGGAAATTTATCCAAGGAAAAGTCATCAGTATGTCAAAAAAGATAACCTTCACTTCCATGTTTATTGCAGCACTACTCACAGGAGCAAAGATATGAAATCAACCTAAGTGTCTATCAACAAATGAATGGATGATAAAAATGTTGTATACATACACAATGTAATACTAGCTGGCCAAAATAATAAAATTATATCATTTGCAGCAGCATAGATAAAACTGAAGGGCATTATGTTAAGTGAAATAAGCCAGGCACAGACTGACAAATATTGCATGTACTCATTTGTAAGAGAACTAGAATAGTTAATCTCATTGAGGAAGAGGGTATAATGATTGATACCAGAGGATAGGAATGAGGTGTGAGGGGCAGATAAAAAGAAGTTGGTTAATAAGTACCAACATACAGTTAAATAGAATAAATATGTTCTAATGTTCTGTAGCCGAGTACGGTGACTATGATTAACAATTATTATATGTTTCAAAATAGCTAGAAGATAGGGCTTGAAATGTTCCCAACAAATAGAAAGGATAATTACTTGAGTTGATGGACACTGCAAATACCCTGATTTGATCATTACACAGTCTACGCATGTATCAAAATATCACATGTACCCTATACATATGTACAAATATCATGTCTCAATTAAAAAGTAAATATAAATATAAAGTAAAAGGTAAATCACAGCATACTTCTTTAAAAAAAAGAATGAAAGGCAGGCACAGCAGAATTGTGAAGACATGGAAAGCACCAAATTGATGTAAACCAATTAAAATCAGTAATAAGTACTTAAATTATTAAAATTAAAAGTCATTAATATTATTTAATAATTTTATTTAATTATAAATATAATATACTAATAAAATGCTATAGATGAATCAGCAGAGTGACTTAACACGGTCTGACCATTAGTTCGAACTACTTCCATTATTTTCCTTCACTAAGATTTTCTACATGCAACAAACAGATAGTCATTCAAAATATTTATATCTAATTCTGATCTCATCTAAGTGCAGTGTGAGTCATCCCTTTCAAAAATGAAATTCAGGTATGGTAATGACTTGCAATGACCTTCCATAATTTAAAAAAACTATTTTATTCACCTTTTTATTGCTAACCCATATAAGAATGCCTGGCATAATAAAGGTTCAATAAATCATTCATATATAGCTTTTAAGGAGGATTATACATTTAGGTTAACATCATAGAATAATTTAAAAGCATTATGATAGCTGTGTTTATTTTGCCTTTATATTGGTCAGAACTTTTGCTGGCAAATGACAGAATTCAAGTTTAATTTGACTTAAAGAAATAAAAATATCATTGGCCCATGTAACTACAAATTTATGGGCTAATTTATTTGAAAGAAGTACTGGCTTAAAGGATTAAAATTATGCACTTAGAACACAATCTCTTTCTCTTGACTACTCTTTTATATGTTGGTTTTATTCTTAGGAAAGCTCTAACTACAAAATAGCAGTGTTTGTCTCTGTTAGTTCTAGCTTTTTACCCTACCATCTTTTCGTTCAGTTAAATGAGAACATTTCCATCTGAATACTTTGAGCAGAACTGCTAGACTTAACTCTAGCTGTCTTAATTAAGATCACATGTTAATACTTGAACAAACAACTTTGATTCTATTAGACTAAGCCTAGACTACTATAATTTGGAACATTTTTCTTAAAGATATACCTGGGTGCTTTAATGAGAACAATGATAAATGTTGAGGAGAATTACATGCATCTTTAACTTGCTAGGTAAAGTAAAATTCCTCTGTGTTGCTTGCACTAATATATCACAGTAGTAAATTAATTTGTGAAAATTGTTGAATACATTTTTATGAGTATATTTGGTTAAATAGCCTTAGAAAAAATATACATTTTATTTATAGAATTCTTAATTTTCCATAAAAGACAAAAAAACCCTGAGGCTTGTTAAAATTTGAGAATATCTAGAAAATCAGAAATATATAACAACCATATTATAGATTATAAAATATCTGTTCATAAATGCTGTGGAGTAAAATAAAGCACATATTGTTGACTCAGTAGGCAAAGACATGTAATCTGTCTCTCTAGATTTTTCTGCGGGAGGAATATGAGTTTATATTAGAGAGTTGACAACTAATGCAATGTAGACTGAACAGGGAATTGAATTACAGTCACTAAAAGGATTAAATCAGTTCGTTATCTCTGATAAGCTGAGATAAGGATATTGGGCTTTAGGTTTAGCACGTTACATTTATTAAGTATTTATTATGTATCAAGCACCCTGCTCACCCATGTAATGCTCACAACAACTCCGTGTGATAACTATCATCATCGGCCCCACATTACAGCTGAAAATCTATCCATAAGACAAGTTCAGGAATACATGTCAGATAATATAATTACACAGATGAATATGTGTTTCTCCCCTTTGCTTCCAGGATTATGACTAGAGTATCCCTTTACTGCTTCCTTCATTGTACCCTTGAATCAGACATGTTTCCTTGCTTTCAGGAAAACGTGGTGTAAATGTTAAATGGTGGTATAAATATCACTTACATATGGTGTAAATATCAGTAACCTGATTCTCTGCAGAACATTTTGACAGCTTATTTTATTTCCACATTTAAAACTTGCCTAGGACAACATTTAAAGTTGGGAAAAATGTGTATTTGAGGCCCAACTTTTTTTTTTCCTTTTAGAATGTGTTGTACCTGACTTACTAAAATAATAATTTATGTATTTGTCAACCAATACCTTATCTGTGTTGAACCCAAATAATTAGACTTTTATAGGATTTTTGTTTTGTTTTAAAATTTTTAGGTTTTTTTTTTTTCCTTGTGGGCTGACTTTCCAGCAAAGTAGATCTAAACTATTTTCGAAGCAGTAGCTTTAGGAAATTAAATCATGTTAAAATGATTCACTACTTATGCATAGATGTCAAACAGGTTTCAAATCTGAGTCAAACATAATTGAGACTGCCTGTCTGAATTGCTGTACTGAAATCAAATCCAAGGTCTTGGAGAACCCCAGGTCTTCCATAGGAATGTAGGAATCACAAGTGGAACTATAAAATCGAAGATCTGTCATAACTGATTTGTATAGCACATAATGAATCAATACAAGTTTAGAGCTTGTCATACCATATGGAAAAAATAACTTTTTGGTATTAATCTACAGATATATTATCTGCAAATGTGTTTTGTTTTATAATATTTGTCAGCGTAAACTTGTTTTCAATGAAAGAATAGAAAGATGCAGAGATAAGAATTTGACTTTGGCAAGTGGCACTATTATACAGAAATTCTAGAGTTGATTTTTATCTTAGGAAAATTTTGATTTTTATTTATTTTTATTTATTGCTTTTAAATAGACTGTATTTTTAGAGCAGTTTTAGATTATTCACACTAAAATTGAGTAGAAGATATAGATATTTCCCAAATACTCCCTGCCACCACATATGCACAGCTTTGCCAACTATCAACATAGTGGTACCAGAGTGGTACCATTGTTACAATCTATGAAAATACATGTATATATAATTTTCAGCCAATGCCCATAGTTTGCACTAGGATTCACTCTTAGTGGTGTATCTATCATTAAGGTGCCCTAAAAATCTTCTGTGGTTCAAATGTTCGTTTCTCCCTCTTCCTTAACCTCTGGAAAACACTGATCCTTTTAATATCTATAGTTTTGCCAGTAGCTGGAATAATACAGAATATATCCTTTCAAATTGTCTTATTTCACTTAGTAATATGCATTTATGGTCTCTTTTCAACTTATTTGGGTAACAAGTAAGGCATGCTATTGCTGGATCATATGGTCAGGAATATTATTTTTAAAAAAGAACTTTCTCAATCTAAGAATATATCTGATAAAAATAGAGATTGTAACATAATAAAATGAGGCTATTATATAATTTTCAGTAATTTGCTTTTCAGGATATATTAGAGAGTATAAGACACAGGTTGTTTTCTAGCTTAGATTTCTACTAGCAAAAGAGTATATCCACTTCGCAGATGCAGTGAGTGTACACAGCTGACATTCGTTTCCTATTCCAGACATTTTAGCAGCCCATAGTCAATAACTGAGTATGATAAAGTAAAATTTCCAACCTCCTTATCTGAAGATATGGCCAAACTTGTGGTGCAAGTAAAGCTCAAGAGTTGCCAATGGGATAAGACACTAGCTGAGGTCCCATATTGCTTAAATCTGCTCCTTGCCCTCTCCTGCTTCCCTCATCCCCTTTCTTTTGACAGCGCCCCTTCACGAAATCCCTTACTCACTGACTCAATACCTGCTTCTAAAGAAATTGACCAAACATATGGAAAATTTTTAAAAATTGAATTAATATTAAAGGATGAGCTGGGCATGGTGGCTCACACCTGTAATCCCAGCACTTTGAGAGGCCAAGGTGGGTGGATCACCTGAGATCAGGAGTTTGAGACCAGCCTGGCACAAAGGTGAAACCCTGTCTCTACCAAAAATACAAAATTAGCCGGATGTGGTGATTGCATACGTGTAATCCCAGCTACGTGGGAGGCTGAGGCAGGAGAATGGCTTGAACCTTGGAGGTGGAGGTTGCAGTGAGCCAAGATTGCTTCACTGTACTCCAGCCTGGGTAACAAGAGTAAAATACCCCCTTAAAAAATAAAAATGAAAATAGAAAATAATAATAATATTTAAGGATACTGTATTTTAAGTTAGGCATCATGGAATTTGGGGGAAATTCACTTAACAAAAACAATATATGCCAAGTAGTAAAGATAGTTATGAAACTATAATCTGGAAGTGTTGCAAATGATGGTTTTCAGTGTCATTTTATGAATCAACAAGCATATATACAAAAGGTTAGCAAGAATTATAAAGACTTTTACACATTAAAATGACTCTGGCAAAAAGAGCTTTGGAGAATACTGAAGCAAAAGAGTAAGAAATAGACTTGGATCGAGATAATTGAACTTGGAAATGCTCTGCCTGTAATGATTCAGTGACTCTTATAAAAATTTTATTCTGGCATGAAGACCATTAGTGACCCAGTCCTTTCCCACCTCTTTGGCTTCCACTCCTGTTACTCTAATTTAAAATAAATAAGCCTCTAAGCCTAGTTCATACAGCCTACGCACTAGGCATAGAGGCTTATTTATTTTATGTACCCTTGACACGCAATCTTCATTTGTGTGTTTCTGTGCCTTATTTGTTACAAACTGCTTCATCCACTGAGAATGCCTCACCATTTTCTCTACAGGAGATAAAAAGATTAAAAATAATGAATAGAACCTCAGGGATCTGTGAGACAATATCAAAAGTTCTCACATATCTGTAATTGGAGTGCCAGAAGGAGAGATCAGAGAGACTGGAAAATAATAACATATGTTTGAAGATATCGCAGCTCAAAATTTCCCCAATATGGAGAAAGGTAGATGTTTACACATTCTAAAAGACCAGAAAATTATGAGAAGGATAATATATGCCATAGTCAAACTGCTGAAAATAAGACAGTAAGAATATTTTGAAATCCAACCGAGAAAAGATGACATGTTATATAGGGGAAACAAATCCAATGAATGTCCAATGCTTATTAGAAAATATGGATACCAGAAGACTGTGTTCCAATAATGGAATGCTAAGCATAATTATTAAGAAATAAAGACATTGAGCGTGACATAAAAATCTGAGTAAATATAAAATACTATTTTCCATCTTAATTTCTTTAAAAATACATTTGAATTTTGAAGTAAAGCAAAAATTACACTGTAAAATTGTAAGGAATATAATTATTACATATGCTACATATAAAAATTATAACATGGTATGACTGTAACTAGGCCTATATACAGGCAAAGTTCCAAATTTTATATGAAATAATAGAACATTCATTATAAATAAGCTGCAAATATTAATAAAATATATGTTCCCAGAGAAACCAGTAAATAATTTTCCAAAACTTGTAGCTAAATACTCCATGTACAAATTATATTAAATTCTAGAAATTATTTGAATAATCTAAGGTTCAAAAAAAGGACAATTTTAAAGGGTAAAAAAGAAAACCAGTAATAAAATGGTAAATCTTAATCTAATCGTATAAATATAGTTCTTTCGAGAAACAGAACCAAATAGAATATACATGTATTTGCATCTACTTATAGATTTCTATACTTGTATAATGATGTTAATAGATACAGATAAAGTAATTTATTTTAAAATATTGGTCATGCAATTATGGGGGCTGGCAAGTACAAAATCCTTTGGGTAGGCCCATGGGCTGGAAACTGGTAAAAGTTGAGATGCCTTTTTTTTTTTTTTTTTTTTTTTTGACACAGAGTCTCACTCTGTTGCCTAGGCTGGAGTGCAGTGGCACGATCTCGGCTCACTGCAACCTCTGCCTCCTGGGTTCAAGCGATTCTCCTGCCTCAGCCTCCTGAGCAGCTGGGATTACAGATGTGCACCAACACACTGGGCTATTTTTTGTATTTTTAGTAGAGATGGAGTTTCACCGTGTTGGTCAGCCTGGTCTCGAACTCCTGACCTCGTGATCTGCCTGCCTCGACCTCCCAAGAGATGCTATTTTAAGGCAGAATTTCTTCTCAACAAAATTTCAGTTTTTGTTCTTAAGGACTTCAACTGATTGAATGAGCCTAACCATAATTTCAACCCTAAACTCTTTCTTAAGTCAAATCATAGTTGGTGTTAAACACATCTAAAAATACCTTCACTGCAACACTTAGATTAGTGTTTAATTCAATAACTGGGTGCCATAACTTAGCCAAATGATTACATAAATTAATAATCACAACTGAGTACAGTAAATATCACTGGACAAAACATTCCACCTAAAGATAGAGTTTGTCAACATAAGTTTAAAAGAAAAGCAAAGGTCAACCTCAATGCTATCTAAAAGATGTGTAATATAACAATAATAATATTGTCATTTGAAAATATGTGCTTGAAAATGTTTTACAATGCAAAGGTCAATAATCAAATGATAGAGTGGCACATTAATATCAGATAATATAGACTTTGAGAAAAAATGTATTACTAAAGAAAAAGATGGCCATTTCTCAAAAATTGAAAAGATCAATTAATCACAGTGACAAAAAAAGCAAAAAACTGTTTGGTCTAATAAAAGAGTTTCAAGAAATATGAAGCAAAAATGTGGAATTCATATGGAGAGAAATTTTACCAATAATAGAATTTTACACTGTTTCACTACAATTGTTAAAATAATCTGATGAAATATTAGTAAAGCCAGCTACCTTGACCTACATGATAATCATACAGCTCTATATTTACCCAGCAACGCCAGAGTACATATTATTTTGAAATGTAAACAGTATGTTCACATATACATTATATAGTGGTCCTTAAAAAATATATTAAATGTAAAATCTTTGAAATCACGCAGAGTATATTCTCTCATCTAAATAGATTTAAATTAAAATTTACAAACATATGTAGAGAGCCTCCCTGTATTTGATAAACAACAAATTTCCAAATAAATCATGAATCAACTAATTAATTACAAATAAAATTATAGATTTTAAACTGAAAACAATGAATATAAAATATATCAAAACCTGTGGAATGCAGTGAAAGCAATGATTTGAGGAAATGTATAGCTTTAAATGCTTGTGCTGGAACAGACAGATACACAATAAACTAAAATTCTGCATTTAGATTTTAAAAACAATATCAAAATATGCCAAATGTAAGCATTAGGAAAAAAATAACAAAGATAAAACAGAAATTAATAAAGTAAAAAACAGTAAAAATATTAGCAAAGTCCAAAAATTGGTACTGTGAAAAAAATCAACAGTATTGATAAACACCTTGCTAGATTAGGGGAGAAGAAATTAAAAAGTGAAAAATAAAACAGACTACTGATATCAAGAGGTGTAAAGAGGAATCATCATTAGAGATAGTATGGAAAATAAAACGATCATAAGGAAATAATAGTTACAACTTAAAACCAATAAATTTGACAACTTAAATGGAGAAAAATCCTTAAAAAGTACAACTTACTGAATCAGACACAAGATGAAGCAGAAAAAATTGTCCTTACATCTATTTAAAATTTGAATCAATTATGAAAACATTCCTATAAAAAAACCTAAAGCTCAGATAGTTTTATTAGGAAATTCTATTAAACAAGAAAGAAATAGAACAAATCTAAAAAAGTATCTTTCTGAAAATATGAGAAGAAAATAGGTTTAGCTATTACCAAAAACATAAATTAAACAAAGTAAGATAAAATTTAAAATTTCCCTCATGAACACAGAAACAAAATGTTGTAAGTATATTAGCAAACTGATTGCACCACTACATAAGAATATTTCATTGCAAAATTTTATTTATTCCAAGAATGCAAAGTTTCTATAACATTCAGAAATCAATCACAGTGATTCACCATACTAACAGAATTTTTAAAAATCAGATGCTCGATAAATGCAGAAAACATTTTATAATGATCAAAATCTATTTATAATACAAGTTATTTGTCAACTAGATATATAAGAAAATGTTCTTAAACAGACAATGCAAAAATATGACAAGCCTATATCTAGTCATACTTAATTTTGTTGCACTGTGGGAGTTAAATGTTGCAGCCCAGAATTGTTCTAGGAGTTTTCTTTTTTGCAATAAAGCAAAAAAAAAAAGATTAAAATATAAAAATCAGGAAGGATTATGCAAAAATATCTAAATTTGCAGATGCCAAAATTAAAATCTTCTGGAATTCACAAAATACTAATAGAGCTTATGAGTGAATTATTAAGGTGACAGATGTAAGATAAATATACGAAAATAAATAGCAATTTGTACATTAAAACACAAAATTTGGAAAACTAACTTAAAAATATAATACGGTACTTTTAAAACTGTTAACATGGAATAAATTCATCATTACATGCAAGACCTTCACACTGAAAAACACTGCTTAGAAGAAACCAAGTAACATGGAAATAGAATGAGAAACATGCCATTTTTTCTGGATCATGAGGTTCACTAGTTTTAATTTATTTATGGATTCAATGCGATCCCAATCACAATCCAAGACTGCTTTTTATAAAAATGGACAACTCTTAAAACAGATATAAAAATTTAAAGGATCTAGAGTATTCAAAGTAATCTTTGTATTTTTATTTTATAATATATTTCATTCTATCACAGTATGAATGATACCTCACAGTTATAAGTCATTAGTTGGCTATGTCTTTATTTGGGAAATGCTTCTTTTCTCTATTAAACTGTAATTCCCAGAGGGAAGGGATCTAGACTATTTAGCTTCCCCGCTGTATCTTCATTGCTGGGACCAGGGTATGACATAATTGTGACCAATAATTTTTTAAATTGATACGTAATGTTGTACGTATTTATGGGTTACATATGAGTATTTGTTGCCTAATCATGTGTGTAATGAGCAAGTCAGAGTATTTGAGGTTTCCATCACCTTGAGTGTTTATCATTTCTATGAGTTGGAAACATTTCAAGTCCCCTCTTTTAGCTACTTAGAAACATATAATATATTGTTGCCAACTGTAATCACCCTACTGTGGTCCCAGCCATTAGAAGACACAAGTTCTAATGTTTGTATTTTTTTCAAATTAGTCATTCTCTCTTCATGCCTTCTCCCACTCACCACCTTTCCCAACCTCTGGTATTTTTTATTCTATTTTTTTTTAAATCTCCATGAGATCAACTTTTTTAGATCCTACCTAGAAGTGAAAACATTGCAATATTTGTTTTTGTGCCTGGCTATTTTCACTTCATATAATGACCTCCAGTTCCATATATGTTGCTCAGAATGGCATGATTTCACTTTTTATGGTTAAATAGGATTCCATTGTGTATATATACCACATTTTCTTTGTCTAGTAGTCTGATGATGAACACTTAAGTTAATTACATATCTATCCTATTGTGAATAGTGCTGAAACAAACATGCAATGAAGGTAACTATTTGAAATACTGATTCCTTCCTTCCTTCCTCCCTCCCTCTTTCTTTCTCCCTCCCTCTTTCTTTCTCTTTTTTCTTTTCTTTTCTTTCTCTTTCTTTCTTTCTTTCTCTTCTTTCCTTCATTAGTTCTTTCTTCTTTCTTTCTCTCTGTCCTTCCTTCCTTCCTTTCTTCTTTCTTTTGTTCTTTCTCTTTCTCTCTTTTTCTTTCTTTCACAAACAACTAGCAATGAGATTGCTAGATTGTATAATAGTTCAATTTTTAGTTTTTGAGGAATCTCCATGCGTTCTCCGTAGTGACTATACTAAGTTACATTACCACCAACAATGTAAAAGCATTTCCTTTTCTCTGCATCCGTGTCAGTGTCTGTTATTTTTCATCTTTTTAATAATAACCATTCTGATAGAGAAAGATGTTATCTCACTGTGGTTTTGTTTTGTTTTATGATGCTTGACAATGTTGAACATTTTTTCATATACTCGTTATCCTCTTTGTATGTCTGTTTATGATAAATGTCTATTCATGTCCTTTGCCCACTTTTTACTTTTTAGTGAGATTTTTTAAAAATTGTTGTTGAGTTTCTTATAAATTATGAATATTAGTTTTATGTTGGATTAGTAGTTGGCAAATATTTTCTTCCCTGCAACAGGTTGTCTCTTCACTCTTTTGGTTTTGTTCTTTGCTGAGCAGATGCTTTTTGGTTTAATACAGTCCCATTTGACATCTTTTTCATATACTCATTAGCCTTTGTATGTCTGTTTCTGAGAAATTTCTATTCATGTCCTTTGCCCATTTTTTTACTTTTTAATGAGATTTTTAAAAATTACTGTTGAGTTAATTGAGTTCCTTATAAATTATGAATATTAGTTTTGTATTGGACTAATAGTTTGCAAATATTTTCTTCCATGCAACAGGTTGCATCTTCACTTTTTTTGTTGTGGTCTTTGCTGGGCAGATGCTTTTTGGTTTAATACAGTCCCAATTGACATTTTTTCATATACTCATTAGCCTTTGTATGTCTTCATCTGAGAAATGTCTATTCATGTGCTTTTGGCATCTTGGTCATTAATTCTTTGCTTAGACCAATTTCCTGAAGTGTTTTCCCTATATTTTCTTCTAATAAATTTTATTGTCTCAGGTCTTACGTTTAAGTCCAATCCATCTCTATTAGGCCATTCTCACACTGCTATAAAGAAGTAGCTGAGACTAGGTAATTTATAAAGAAAAGAGGTTCGATTGGCTCACAGTTCTGCAGTTTGTACAGGAAGCATGATGCTGGCATCTACTGGGCTTGTAAGGAGGCCTCAGGAAACTTACAATCATGGTGAAAGCTGAAGGGGGAGGAGGCACATCACATGGCAAGAGCAGGAGCAAGAGGAGGAAGGAAGGTGCCACATACTTCTAAATGACCAGATCTCATGAGAACTCACTCACTCTCATGAGTTCAGTACCAAAGGGATGGTGGTAAACCATTCATGAGAAATCTGCTCCCATGACTTAATAACCTCCCATTAGGCTCCAACTCCAACATTGGAGACTACAATTCAAGATGAGATTTGTGTAGAGACACAATCATCACCGAAGGGGAAGGAAAAGCAAGCACCTTTTTCACATGGTGGAAGGAGAGAGAGAGAGAGCGAGAGGGAAGTACCACATGCTTTCAAACAACCAGATCTCATGAGAACCCACTCTCTATCACGAGAACAACAAGAGCAAAGTCCTCCCTCATGATTCAATAACCTCCCACAAGGTCCGTCCTCCAAAACATGGGGATTACAATTCAATATGAGATTTGGGTGGGGACACTGAGCTAAACAATATAATCCACTTTTGTTGACTTTGTCAAAGATGAGTTGACTGTAGTTAAGTGGCTTTATTTCTGTGTTCTCTGCTCCATTGACGTATTTATCTACTATAATACCAGTACCATGCTGTTTTGGTCATGGTATGCTTTGAAGTCAGGCAGTGCGATGCCTCCAGCTTTGTTATTTTTGCTTAAGATTGCTTTGGCTATTTTGGCTCTTTTTTAGTTCCATATAAATTTTAGGATTGTTTTTTCTAATTCTGTGTAAAATAACATTGATATTTTGATATCAGTTGCATTGAATCTGTAGGTTGTTTTGTTCTGTATGGTCATTTTAACGATATTAGTTTTTCATTTGTTTTCTGAGAGAAGGTCTCACTCTGTCACTTAGGATAGAGTGCAGTGTCATTATCATGACTCTCTGCATCTTTGATCTCCTGGGGTCAAGAGATCCTCTCAACCAACCTCCTGAGTAACTAAGACTACAGGTATGCACCACCACACCTGTCTCATTTTTTAACTTTATTTTTTGTAAAGATGGAATCTCAGTATGTTGCCCAGGCTGGTTGTGAATTTTTGGCTAAAGCAATCCTCCTTCCTTAGCCTCCCAAAGTTTGGTATTACAGGCATGGGCTACTGTGCCCAACATTATAAATTTTTAAATCCATGAGCATAGTAAGTCTTTTCTTTTGTTTGCGCCTCTTCAATTCCTTTCATCAGTACTTTGCAGTTTTCCTTGCAGAGATTTTTCACCTTCTTGGTTAAATTTATTCCTAGGTATTTTATTTTGCTTGTAGATTAATGTAAATTGGATTGCCTTCTTGATTTCTTTATTGGTTAATTCATTGTTGGTATATAGAAATACAGCTAACTGTTGTATATTGGTTTTGTATCCTGCAACTTTACTGAATTTATTAATCGTATCTAAGAGTTTTGTGGAGATATTTATAGATTTTCTAGATATAAGATCATATCATCAGCAAATTGGGTTAATGTGACTTCCTATTTTCCAATTTTCATGCCTTTTATTTTTTTCTCTTGCCTGATTGCTCTGGATGTTCAGTACTTTGTTGAATAGAAGTGGTGAAAGTGGACATCTGTGTCTTGGTTCAGTTTTTAGAGGAAAGTCTTCCAGCGTCTTTCCATTAAGTCCATTCAGTATATGTTTTGCTGTCTGTTTGTCATATGGGGCCTTTGTTATGTTAATGTACATTTCTTCTTTGCCTAGTTTGTTGAGAGTTGTTATCTTGAAGAGATGTTGAATTTTATCAAATGCTTTCTCTGCATCTATTTGTTCTTCACTCTACTGATGTAATGTATCATGTTTATTGATATGTATGTTGATGGAATCCTTGCATATCTGGGATAAATCCTACTTAATCAGGGGATATTACTTTTTTTCTCTTGTTTTTATTATTATTATTATACTGTGAGTTCTGGGATACATGTGCAGAACATGCAGGTTTGTTTGTTACATAGGTATACACTTGTCATGGTGGTTTCCTGCACCCATCAACCCATCATCTACATTAGGTATTTCTCCTAATGTTATCCCTCCCCAGCCTCCCAACCCCTCAACAGGCTCCTGTGTGTGATGTTCCCCTCTCTGTGTCCATGTGTTCTCATGGTTCAACTCCCACTTATGAGTAAGAACATGCGGTGTTTGGTTTACTGTTCTTGTGTTAGTTTGCTGAGAATGATGATTTCCAGCTTCATCCATGTCTCTGCAAAGGACATGAGCTCATCTTTTTTTATGGCTGCATAGTATTCCATGGTGTATATGTGCCACGTATTCTTTATCCAGTCTAGCATTGATGGGCATTTGGGTTGGTTCCAAGTCTTTGCTATTGTGAACAGTATTGCAATAAATGTACATGTCCATGTGTCTTTTTAGTAGAATGATTTATAATCATTTGGGTATATACCCAGTAATGGGATTGCTGGGTCAAATGGTATTTCTGGTTCTAGATCCTTGAGGAATTGTCACACTGTCTTCCACCATGGTTGAACTAGTTTACACTCCCACCAACAGTGTAAAGCATTCTTAGTTCTCCACATCCTCTTCAGCATCTGTTGTTTTCTGACTTTTTAATGATCGCCATTCTAATTGGTGTGAGATAGTACCTCACTGTGGTTTTGATTTGCATTTCTCTAATGACCATCTTTCTTTCATATGTTTGTGGCCACATAAATGTCTTCTTTTCAGAAGTGACTGTTCATATCCTTCACCCAATTTTTGATAGGGTTGTGTTTTTTTCTTGTAAATTTGTTTAAGTTCCTTGTACATTCTGGATATTAGCCCTTTGTCAGATGGATAGATTGCAAAAATCTTCTCCCATTCTGTAGGTTGCCTGTTCACTCTGATGAGTCTCTTTGGCTGTGCAGAAGCTCTTTAATTTAATTAGATCCCATTTGTCAATTTTGGCTTTTGTTGCCATTACTTTTGGTGTTTTAGTCATGAAGTCTTTGTCCATGCCTATGTCCTGAATGGTATTGCCTAGGTTTTCTTCTAAGGATTTTATGGTTTTAGGTATTATGTTTAAGTCTTTAATCCATCTTGAGTTGATTTTTGTATAAGGTGTAAGCAAGGGATCCAGTTTCAGTTTTCTGCATTTGGCTATCCAGTTTTCCCAACACCATTTATTAAATAGAGAATCCTTTCCCCATTACTTGTTTTTGTCAGGTTTTTCTAAGATCAGATGGTTGTAGATGTGTGGCATTATTTCTGAGGCCTCTGTTCTGTTCCATTGGTCTATACATCTGTTTTGGTACCAGTACCATGCTGTTTTGGTTACTGTAGCCTTGTAGTATAGTTTGCAGTTAGGTAGCGTGATGCCTCCAGCTTTGCTCTTTTTGCTTAGGATTGTCTTGGCTATACAGGTTCTTTTGGTTCCATATGAAATTTAAAGTAGTTTTTTTTCTAATTCTGTGAAGAAAGTCAATGGTAGCTTGATGGGGTGAGCATTGAATCTATATATTACTTTGGGCAGTATGGCCATTTTCATGATATTGCACTAAATACCCACAGGAGAAAGTGGGAAATATCTAAAATCAACACCCCAACATCACAATTAAAAGAACTAGAAAAGCAAGAGCAAACAAATTCAAAAGCTAGCAGAAGACAAGAAATAACTAAGATCAGAGCAGACTGAAGGAGATAGAGACAGAAAAAACCCTTCAAAAATCAATGAATCCAGAAGCTGGTTTTTTGAGAGGATTAACAAAATAGACTGCTAACCAGACTAATAAAGAAGAAAATATAGAAGAATCAAAAAGAGACAATAAATTATGATAAAGGGGATATCACCACTGATCTCACAGAAATACAAACTAACATCAGAGAATACTATAAACACCTCTACATAAATCAACTAGAAATTCAAGAAGAAATGGATAAATTCTTGGACACATACACCCTCCCAAGACTAAACCAGGAAGAAGTTGAATCCCTGAATAGACCAATCATAAGTTCTGAAATCGAGGCAGTAATTAATAGCCTACCAACCAAAAAAAGCCCAGGACGAGACAGATTCACCAGAGGTACAAAGAGGAGCTGGTACCATACCTTCTGAAACTATTGCAAACATTAGAAAAACAGTGACTCCCCCTAACTCATTCTATGAGGCCAGCATCATCCTAATACAAAAACCTGGGAGAGACACAACAAAAAAAGAAAATTTCAGACTAGTATCCCTGATGAACATACCTGAGAAAATCCTCAATAAAAACACTGGCAAACCAAATCCAGCAGCACATCAAAAAGCTTATTCACCACAATCAAGTTGGCTTCATCCCTGAGATGCAAGGCTGGTTCAACATAAGCAAATCAATAACCGTAATCCATCACATAAACGGAACCAATTACAAAAACCACATAATTATCTCCATAGATGCAGAAGAGGCCTTTGATAAAATTCAACACCCCTTCATGCAAAAAACTCTATAAACATGGTACTGATGGAACATATCTTAAAATAAGAAGAGCTATTTTTGACAAACTCACAGCCAATGTCTTACTGAATGGTCAAAAGCTAGAATCATTCCCTTTGAAAACCAACACAAGACAAGGATGCCCTCTCTCACCACTCCTATTCAACATAGTATTGGAAGTTCTGGCCAGAGCAATCAGGAAAGAGAAAGAAATAAAGCGTATTCAAATAGAAAGAGAGGAAGTCAAATTGTCTCTGTTTGCAGATGACATGATCATATTTTATTGAGGATTTTTGCATCTATGTTCTTCAGGAATATTTCCTGGTAATTTTTTCTTTGTTGTTGTTGCATCCTTCTCTGATTTTGGTGTCAGAGTAAAATGGCCTTGCAGAATGAATTACAGAAAATTTTTTACTCTTCAACTTTTTAAAATACTTTAAGGAGAATTGGTGTTAGTTCTGGGGTCCCAGGGTGGTGTACACTGGCAACAGTGTTAGCAGATTTGAATGTTTTGAAGATTTCAACAGTGAAGCCATTCAGTCCTAAACTTTTATTTGTTGAGAGCCTTTTTTATTACTCATTATTTGTTACTGGTCTGTTCTATACCTTCTGAATCAATCTTGGTAGAGTGTATGTGTTCAGGAATTTATCCATTTTTTTTTTAGGTTTGTTAGTTTGTTGGTATAGAGTTGTTCATAATAGTCTCTAATGATCTTTTGTATTTAATGGCTTCTTTTCATTTCTAATATTGTTTATTTGGGATTTCTCTCTTTTTCTTTGTTTAATGTAGTAAGTGGTTTATTGATTTTGTTTATGTTTTCAAGAAAACCCCAGTTTTTCTTTTGTTAATACTTTACATTATTTTTTGACTTTATTTCATTTAGCTCTGCTGTGATCTTCATTTTTTTTCTTTTAATACTTTGGTATTTTCTTTGTTTTTGCTTTTATACTTTGTTAAAGTCCATGATTATATTGTTTATTTGAAATCCTTCTACTTTTATGATGTAGGTACTTACTGCTATCACCTTCCCTCTTAGCACTGCTTTTGCTGAATCTCACTTATTTTAGTATGCTGTGTTTTAATTTTCATTTGTTTCAAAGAATATTTTTATTTTCTTCTTAATTATCATATTGATATGATGCTCATTCAGGAACGTGTTGTTTAACTTTCATGTGTTTGTGTATTTTCTGAGTTTTCTCTCGCCATTGGTTTCTAGTTGTATTCCACTGTGATTGCAAAAGATACTTGATATAATTTATAATTTCTAAAAAATTTGTTGAGACTTCAGTTTTAGCCTTAGATATATACTGAAGAATATTCTATTTGCTTATGAGAAAAAATGTATTTTCTGTAGATATTGAATTAAATATTCTGAACAAGTCTATTAGGTCCATTGAGTCAAATATGCAGTTTAAATCCAATGTTTTCTTATTAATTTTCTGTCTATATGATTTGCTTAATGCTAACAGTGGGGTGTTGAATACCCTACTATTATTGTATTGAAGCTCACATATTTTTTATTGTAAAGATGAGAATATGCAGCACAATTCTAAACTGCAATATTTAACACCTACAGTGCAACAAAATTCAATATAATATTAGATGTAGGTTTACACATCTGGTTGCTCTGTTGTTGGATACATACATGTTTAGAATTGTTATAACCTCTTGCTGAATTGTTTCTTCTATCATTACAAAATTACCTTCTTTGTCTCTTTTTAGAGTGTTTGACTTAAAGCGTGTTTTGTCCAATACAAGTATAGCTACTTCTGATCACTATTGGTTTCCATTTGCATGAACTATTGCTTTTCTTTCTTTCACTTTCAGCCTTTATTTGTCCTTACAGGTGAGATGAGTTTACTGTAGGCAGCATATAGTTGAATTATGTAGTTTTATCCATTTGGCCTATTTATATCTTTTAAGTGGAAAGTTTAATTCATTATATTTAAGGTTACTATTAACATATGGGGGTTTACTCCTGTCGTTTTATTAATTGATTTCTGCTCTTTTGTACATCCTTTGTTCTTTTCTTTCTCTCTTATTGTGTATCATTTTAGTGTTGTGGTTTACTGTATTGTTAACTTTTGAGTCTTTTCTTTGTATGTTCCCTCTACCTGTGGTTCTTATATTTTCAAATATTTCATCGTGGTAGATCTTGTTCTCTCACTTCTGGATGTAGAACTTTCTTAAGCATTTATTTTAGGGTCAGTCTAGCAGCAATAATTTTTCTCAGCTTTTGCCTGTCTTGGAAAGACTTCATTTACACTTCACTTACAAAAGATAACTTACGTGGGTATAGCTGGCAGTGTTTGTTGTTGTTGTTTGTTTCTTTCTTCTAGCACTTTGAATATGACATCCTATTGTCTCCTGGCCTATAAGGTTTCTGCTGAGAAATTCTGTTAATTTGATGGGGATTTCTTTATAAGTGACTAGCCATTTGCTTTTGTCCTTTTTAGATTTCTCTCTTTGTCTTTTACCTTTGACATCTTAATTAAAAAGTGTCATGGAGAAGACCTTTTTGCATTGTATTTGCATGAAAATGTCTGAGCTTCGTATAGCTGAACATCTAAATCTTTTGCTAAACTTCGAAAATTCCTCTATTATTTCATTAAATAGATGGTTTTGAATCATTTTACTTTCTCTCGGCCTTTTGGGACTCAGAAAACTCAAATATTTGGTCACCTTATCTGTACTATATGTCACATAGGATTTGCTTATTTTTCCCCCTCATTTTTGTCTGTCTGAATTGTTTCAAAACCCCTGTCTTCAAGTTCTGAGATTATTTCTTGTGCTTGATCTACTCTATAATTGGAGGTTTCACGTATATTTTTAATTTTATTCAATGACTTGTTTTGTTTCAGAATTTCTCTTTAGTTCTTTACTATTAAATCTCTCCCATTGGTACAGTTGTCATATATATCCTGAATTGTCCTCTTGAATTCTTTGTAGTATTTTTCAGTATTCTCTTGTATCTCACTGATCTTTAAAGTCAATATTTTGAATTATTTTTTCTAGGATTTTATAAATTTCTTTCTGATTGGGATCTATTTCTGAAGAATTTTGTGTTCTGGAGATGACAAATTTGATTTTTCGTGTTTTCTTGTCCTTACATTGATATCTGTGCACCTGTTGTAACAGTTGCTTCTTCCAATTTATGAATTCGATGTTGTAGGGAAAAACTTTTTCCTCAAGTTGAATATATGCAGTTGGTTGATTAGGGCACTTCACTTTGATTGTGTGTGTGTGCAGTAATGTAGTCTCAATATAATTTCTCCAGCTGTAAACAGCATCTTTGGTGACTGAAATTTCCTTGATGGCTTATGGCATCATCATTAATGAAGGCTGTGGTGAAGTTTTACTGGGAACTGAGACACAAGGTGAGTCAGTAACTGAACTACCGTGGTGGCACCAGTGGGGTGAATGTGCCTGCCCTTGGGTCCCAGGGTGGTGTACACTGGCAACAGTGTTAGCAGATTCAGACAGGTTAATTATTGTGCCTCCAGCTGATTCTTGGTAGTACATTGGTGGGCCCTCCAGGTGGCTGAGTTCTCAAGCTTCTGGGCAACAGAAGGGGTTTGGGTTTTGGCAGTAGTAGTGACAGGTAACTCTCTGGGTCCCGAGAGGTGCACATTCATGTTGGTAGTGTCTATGATGGGCTGGGCAAGGTAGTCTCCAGGCCCAGGCCCAAATTGTACATCTAGGTAGGTGCCAGATGTGGTTATAGCAGCAGTGTCAGTTGGCCCAGCCTCAGGTCCCTGAAATGAGTTCCTATATGCCAACTCCAAAGGTATTGCCACATCTTAGCAATCTCCAGTCCTTGGTATCAATTTTGTATTAATCAACTCTTGCACTGCTATAAAGAAATACCTGAGAATATGTAGCTTGTAAAAAAAAACAAAAAAAAAAAACCACGAGGTTTAGGGCTGGGCACAGTGGCTCACGCCTGTAATCCCAGCATTTTGGGAGGCTGAGGTGGGCGGATCACGAGGTCAAGATTTCGAGATCACCCTGGCCAACATGGTGAAACCCCATCTCTACTGAAAAATACAAAAATTACCCGGGCGTGGTGGCGCAAGCCTGTAGTCCTAGCTACTCGGGAGGCTAAGGCAGGAGAATCGCTTGAACATGGGAGGCAGAGGTTGCAGTGAGCTGAGATCGTGCCACTGAACTCCAACTTGGCGACAGAGCGATACTCTGTCTGTCAAAAAAAAAAAAAAAAAAGAGAAAAGAGGTTTCGCCCAAAAAATAGTACATCTAGGTAGGTGCCAGATGTGGTTGTAGCAGCAGTATCAGTTAGCCCAGCCTCAGGTCCCTGAAATGAGTTTTATATGCCAACTCCAAAGGTGTTGCCACATCTTAGCAACCTCCAGTCCTTGGTACCAATTTTCTGTATTAGTCAACTCTTGCACTGCTATAAAGAAACACTTCAGACTGTGTAGCTTGTAAAATAAAGAGGTTTAGTTGGCTCGTGGTTCTGCAAGCCATACAGGAAGCATGATGGGTTATGAGGAGCCTTCAGGAAACTTACAATCATGGCAGAAGGCAAAGGGAGAGTCAGTAGCTGGAGTAGGAGGAAGAATGAAAGGTTGGGTGTCACACACTTTTAAATAAGCTGATCTCATGAGACCTCTATCATGAGAAAAACACTTGGGGGATGGTGTTAAACCATTAGAAACAACCCCCATGATCCAATCACCTCCCACCAAGCCCCACCTCCATCATTGAAGGTTACATTCAACATGAGATTTTGGGGGGACACGAGTTCAAACTATATCAGCATTATTGCATTCAGTGGCAGGAACCATATGCAAGCAAATGAGGAACGTGTGCTTTGCTCATGTTTCAGCCCTGGCATCAGGAGCTCATGTGTGGTTCATGCTTTAGCATTGGCAGTGACAGCTGATACTTCACTTGCCCTCTGGCCCTGGCAGCAGTAGCCTGTTATTTTGCTCATACTTCATCCTGGTCAGCAGTAGCTAGCCATGATAGTGTCTGCAATTAAGGCATACCAGTGGGAATCAAGGGAGATGGAGATGCAGGCATTGCTGTAACCCGTGGTGGGGAGCAGTCAGTTGGCGATTGGGCTCTCAAAATGGCAACATGCTATAATTGCTTAGGACTTGGAAATTGTGGGGAACCCAGCATTAGCTCCTTCTCTGGAGCAGAACTGTCATGCCGTCTCTAGGCAACTCTTTATGTTTCAGGGCCCATGAAGGTTGAGGGGACCTCAGGTGCCTCTGATTGCAGGAGTCCAC
This sequence comes from Homo sapiens, assembly GCF_000001405.40. Classification (NCBI taxonomy): domain Eukaryota; kingdom Metazoa; phylum Chordata; class Mammalia; order Primates; family Hominidae; genus Homo; species Homo sapiens. Next base: position 25,299,439 of record NC_000011.10, on the reverse strand, counting down.
CGTGAAAATGTGGACCACTGGGATTCTCTCACTTAACCTTTCTTCGCATTGTGAAATTTCTCAGGCTCCCAGCAGATTCCAGCTATTCAGACTCCTCACTTCCCTCTCCTTTCTTGATTTTGATATTTCCTGGCACTTCTCTGCTGAATACCAGTGTTCTTTCCTGGATGATTTATTCAAAATGTTCAAAGCAAGCTTGAAAAGAGAAATGTTAGAGGGATTGCAGCAGCTAAATATACAAATAACTACAATGCTGCAATAATTAATATGAGGTGAAAAAATAAATGAATTAATGAAACAGAAAAAAGCAAATAAACAGGCATACTTAAATAGTTGTCTTTTTTTTTTAAATCAAAGCAGTTAAGATATTTCATAAGGAAAGTAAGTCTTTTCAACAAATGTTGCTGGAATAACTGAACATCCCTCCACATAGGAAATTAAACAAACATCAAAATTTTTTGACAGATACTGCATACAATGCACAAAATTATTTAGATGGTTCATGAGTCTAAATATAAAAGATAATTGTATAAAGTTTGTAGTGGAAAACATTGGAAAATATTTTCATGAGTTGTAGGTAGGCAAAATATTTGCAAAACATGTATCACAAAGTATTAATATCCAGGATGTATAAAAGTGTCTATAAACTTTTATAATTAAGTCATATAGAGAAAACCCAATGCAATGGGCAAAAATTGAACTAACAAATTATAATAAATCTAAATGGTTATTATTCAAATAAAAAAGTACTCAACATTATTAGACATCAGGGATTGCACATTACATTATCATGTTACGCAATTCTATACCCTATTATGGCCTTTAACAAACTCATAATAACAAATAGTTGAGAGAATATGAAACAACAGCAATTCTTATACATTGCTATTGGAAAGATAAATGTACATAGTTTGAGAATTAGCCTAGTAGTTCATTACAAAACTAAACATACATTTTTCCTATGATCCAGCAAATCCGCTAGCAGGTATTTAATTAACATAAATGAAAATATATGGTTAAGTGAAAACTTGTACAAAAATGTTGATAGTAGCTTTACTCATAATAGTCACAAAGCAAAAATAATGTTGTCAATCAACAAGAGAATTGATATGTAAACAGTGATATGTATTTACAGTGGAATTTTACTGAGCAATTAAAAGGAGCTCATTATACATGCAACAACAAAAATAAATTTCAAAAATATATGCTAAGTGCAATCACAAACAAAAAGTACATATTGTGTATTTGCATTTCCATTAGGTAAAACTAATTCATAGCAGAAAAATAATCACACACAAAAAAATGAAAATGGTTAGCCTTACTGACTGAGGATGGAGACTGACTAAGTAGGGACAAGAGAGAACTATTTAGGATGATACAACATTCTTACTTTGATAATAGTTTGAGTTCAGTGTATGTAATTGTCACACCCTGTCAATAGAAATGTTAATTTCTTCATTCCAACTTAAGTAAATTTGGTCTTAAAAAAAGACTACAAAACATAGTGAACTAATTAGTGACGTGTTTCAAGAGAATATACTAATATCTCAATTTTTCTTTCCAATATACTTATATTTGATGGATGCATAAAGAGATGAGATAAATTGTTTACTAAAATGCTAATTATAAATCTAAGTGATGAGTATAATGATAAACTACAGGTGGTCACATATATACAATTATAATCGTATATTAACTTCCATATATGTTTGAATGTTTTTAAAAAATGTTGGAAAAAAAAAGAATACCAGAGACAGACTGGAAATCAGCCTGTTCCTTTACTGTAAATAATATATTTGTCACTGCATATGTTTCTGAGGACATGTAGTATGGAATGTTGTAAGAGAAAATTAAGAATAAGATAAATAGTATTACCTAAGAAGTGACTTTTTAAATGTACTCTTAAATCAATAAAGAATTCACTTCAATTGAAATATTTTGAATTTAAGTTCCAAAGCCTCACACTTCTATGAGCTGTTTCTAAGGCACTTGAAGGGGTCTTAGCAATTATTGACATAGTCATATATTTTTGTAAAATTTTTAAATAGGTGATATAATTGTCTTACTTCAGGCTGTTATAACACATATACCATATACTTGATGGCTTAGACAGCAAGCATTTATTTCTCATAATTTTAGAGGCTAGAAGTCCAAAATAAAACTTATAGCAGATTTAATATTTTGTGAAGGTCTTTCTAGTTTTCTAATGGCTGTCTTCTTACTGTATTTTCACATGGCAGACAGCAGAGAAGAAGCAAGCTCTCTCCTGTCTCGACTTATAATAATATCAATCCCATCAAGAAGCTCCATGATCACAATCTAATTATCTTCCAAAGGCCCCATCTCCAGATATCATCACAATGGACTTTAGAGTTTCAACATATGAATTTTGGAAAGACACATTCAATCCATAGTAATAACTGTTTCAGGCAGATGACTTTTTACACTGACTGATGTTTTCTGTTAAATGTCTTGTGCATGGTGGTTTAGGAATGAACATTTAATTTGAGTCTGAGAAATAATTATATGGCTAACACTTCTATCCATATATAACTAAGTTATTGATTGCTCCTCCCATGTATTAATGGTTTCTCAGAACAGCATTGCCAACCATCCACTGTGTCAGGTTATCCACTTTGGGACACAAGGTTGCAGGAAAGAAGGTTTATAGAAAATAAACATCAGTGCCCAATGCTGCAAGGACGAAGATAGTAAAACAAAAACAAAGCAGCTTTCAGAAACCAGGAGTCAGAAGTCAGCTTGCTGAAACTTATTCTTAGTAAGTACAACTCATTCATAAAAGAACCTTGGTAGAGAATTTCCAACATTAATAACAATCCAATCATTTACACAGCATTTCTAAAAACTAGTCATGTATGTGATAGCTTTCTTATGCATCAACAACAAAATCTAGCAAATATTGGTTCATCATGCTAGAGAGAAATATACTTCTTTTTCTTCTCTCTGAAGAAAAAGCATTAAAAATCAGTGTAACATATTGAGTATGCATCAGTAATGAAGATAATTAATAAAACATTGTTATTTTCCTAAATGTTTCTATGCTCGTAGTATTTGCCAAGATTTTGCCATTGGTAATTTGTAGAGATGTATTTCTTATTCCAAATTAGGTTAACTAAATTTATATTAACAGTTGTATTGATATAATACTCTCAAATTTTAAAAGCATCAGTATTTACAAATTCCAGATTAGATCTTGTGCTAAGTCAAATATTTTCCTAGCATTTCATCTGAAATTCTAATGACCTGTTTCTCATGCTGTTACTTACTAGATCCTGTCTGATTTTGAATCCTTCTAATCTAAGTAATTACTGTATTCTAGGATGCATTAAGTAGACATTCAAAAATAGAGAGCCCTGTCTATGATATAACCCAAAGAATATTTAATAAGTGAACATTTTTAAACTTTTTTAAAAAAGGGAACATTAATGTTTCTACATTTTTTTCCTCTTTCAGGTGGCCTCAGGGTAACTGGACAATGCCTGGTTGATGGTGGAGACTAACTTAAGAGTTTGAATAATTATGTTTTGGCATTTCTATATGTTTTCTTGGGAGAGGAAAGCAGCCATTGCTGGCCTTAAATGGCTTAGGCAATGGGAAGGGCTTGTAGCTTTGGTATTTATTGTGTTTAGGGGTTAGGATTGGGTAAGAGTTTCTCTTGCCTACTGCCTGAGTTTACATGGTTTGACCTTCCCTGCTGGTGCCAAGGAAAGCACGTTCAATGTTTCTTTTTGGATTTCCTATATATGAGGCAAGAGGAAAAGAAGAAAGTGTAGGGTGTGAAACGTGCCATTGATCTAACATCAAAAATGGAGTCACTTTATTGCATCATATTTAGAAGCATTAATCAAAATGAGGAGGACATTTCCATAGTAAACAGAATATCACAGAAGTATCATTTCTTTTGTGTTTGTGAAGGGTCATATATATAAAAAAAGAAAGAAGGAAAAAAGGGAAAAATTTGGTGAGAGAGTAGAAACAAGATAATGTACATGAACCTGCTGCTTAAAATTTCCAAAGTTAATTCTGAACAACAGCCCACAGAATATTTCCTTGTTCCTACGTATTGACGATCTTATACTTGAGAGTTTTCTATTTTTCTGGAGCCTCCTTTTAAGGACTATTGTGGTTATATTGTTAACACTCAGATAATACAAAATAATCTGCCTATTTTTAGGTCACCTGATTAGAATCTTTAATTCCAACAGCAATTTTAATTTTCCTTTACTATGTAACATGACATGTTCAGAAGTTTTGAGAATTAGGATGTGAGTATATTTGGGGGATCATTATCTGCCTACCACAAGTGTACATGGAGTGACAGGGTCTGGCCATTATGCTCAAGGTAAGACTCCTGTGGGGCAATTTTTAGGCTAGAGCTTGCCATTAGTATGACTGAAAGTTTCTCTGTGTTGCACAGCACTGTGAGGATAGTTCTTCCTGATCTTTCTTTCTCCCTGACTTCTTTCACTGTCGTCAGATTATCATTGTTGTTTGAAAGCTTTTCCTGTTTATACCGCTTCCTCCTCTATCTTTCACAGGTGTTACCTTTTAATAAATCTCCTGTAAATCTAAATCTGTTTTAGTGTCTCCTTCATGGAGGACTCAGGTTGACACAATGAATCTTTGAAAGATATTAAGCCAACGAGAGATAATTCATTGTTTCCAATCTGGAGAAGGATATTAATTATTGGTTTAGGTAATACTTAATAAATTCACTTACTTAAACTTACCAATTAATACACATTTGATAATTCACCACATCACATCAGAAACATGATGAGTGAATACCATTCACATTAAAATATTTGCAAAAACTTAATCAGACTTGATAATTAAGAAGTACTAACTGATTGATCATACTGAATAACAAACAGAATCAATTCATATCAATGACACACAATGATAGAAAAGTAAATCTATTTTCTCTAAAATGTCATCCTTATTACTAGAAGCAGTAGGTTAACTATGAGACACATTCTTATAGGCAATAAGACCTGACTAATCTGTTTTGTTTCTTCCACCTTAGATTAAGGAGGCTCAAGAAATAGTAATTCAAGCTAAAATAAATTTATGTTCAAGAAACATCGAGGGCTTCTACGAAATAATGGATTTTAAATAAGAAATTTAATTTTATGAAACTCTTAGAATTGGCTAGTCCATGTGAAAATTTCAAGTCATATCCTGTGATAAGATCTGACTGTGATTATTCCGGTTTAAGGAGCAGAGCTGTGGGTCTGCTATCTCTGCCTAACTAGAAAGCCATTTATAGTAAGTGGCACCCTGGATAAGACTCTATTTAAATAGTATGTACATGCACCTGGGAGTTGAGAAGTGCGAGAACAATGGCTGCACTTGCAGAGCATTTTTCCCTAGTGACTTGCTGCTTTTCCAGTGTGTAGGAGTCTGAACATCATTAATGGAGCAAGGTCAGGTAGGTTATAGATGTCTTTACACACAAAAGTGACTTGGGAATTAAAAAAAAATTAAAGCTCTTGAACTGGTCAGTTCAATTGATGAAGTCTTTTATTTTGGACCCCCTAAAAATGTTTTGGCTTAAATTCATCTATTGAAATGCTGTTTTCTTGCCATAGACATATCACACTTTATTTAAAAGTCAGCTTATGACCATGTCTAGAATATAACAACTACACTATAAAATGTGAAAAAAAAGTATCTATGACAATAAAATTAATGTTTCTCTCAGGTTAAAATAGAGCAATACAAAAAGCCCACGTAAGAAAATTAGAAATGTTTATGTTGTTAAGAATCTACTGGCATTACTATTTTCATTATTACTTGTACAATTACTGCTATTAACAACTTCAAAGTGCATCAATCAAATTTTAAACAATTAACTAAATGTTCACAATCATCTTCCGGAATCCAAGTTATTTTTATGGTACAAGTAAACCTTTACCTCTATCAATGGTTCATTTCACTAATCTCATTAAATATTTTTCAGTTTGTTAACTGTGCTTCAGTTCTTATCTCCATGAGCAGAATACCACTAACTGGGTCATTGTGAGAGCTAAATAAGTTACAACTCTGGCAGGCAAAGAGAAACTTCTTAATCAAAGATTATTAAGATTTATTGTTATTACTATTGTAGTTGAAGATGAGAAACAGGTGCATATAATTGGAAGGAAATGATTGTTATTATTATTCTGGATCTGTAACAGAGGTATGTGGATTTAAAACAATACTTCAATACTTAGTTTAAAAATTTTAAAATAAGACAAATATTTCTAAATAGCATAAATTATGCTCCAGCTACAGAAATTATCTATTTTTTTCTAGGAACTTTCTTTAGAAACTTCTGAAGAGTGGTAATTGAGAGATTTTTATTTTCTTTAATGATTAAGATGTTAAAGCCTATGGAAATATACTCAGGGTGTGATGTATAATTTATTTTATAGCTGCTTATATTTTTAAAACTAAATTTTATATAAGTTTGTATAGTAACATAAAATACCTATTTTCTGTACACTTATTCAACAATTCTATTCCCAGATATAGAATTTACATGTAATATCCAAGAATATCAAAATCATACTATAACTATCCTATAAAAGAGAATAAATAACTTACTAAACTTAAGCTATGTAGTTTTAATTGAGCTGATTAATTTTTCCTTGTAAACACTTGTCTTCGGAATATGTGAAGGAGCTTTATAGCCATACTATAAAACTATTTTCATTTATCAAAAAGTATTTATACTGATTTCTTTACGTGTGTCTTTGACTTTTCTTTGGGGATTTTTTTTAAATGTTAAAGCATGAACCAAGTTTCTCTCTTGCCACAAAACAGAACGTTTAATTAGAACAATTTTTATAAATTAGTAACATTGATTATAGAAATATGCATAAAAGTTACTTGAGAACATAGAGTATGTTAGATATTAAGAAATTATTGGGATGTCCAGTTCAAAAATGTTGGCCGAAAAGGATTCATCACCCACCCTAATGGGAAATCAGAAGCAAACATACCGTGGTGAGATTATCACCAGTAGTGTTGCAGAACACAAACATGACGATGGGAGAGTTTCCTGACCACACAGAAGTGAAAAACCTCCAAGCAAATGATAAGAAAATTGGACTTTTATATCCACGATGTCCCTGTCCCCAATATGTGCAGCACCAAGGACCTGGAAAAATTTCCCCTGACTCTTAGTTTCTACACTAAATAAGAAGTGAGATTGAGGTGGACAAGTAACTTCCCCACCATTTTTAGTTCCCTGGCAGCAGACCTATCCTTTTCTTCACTCAAGGGAAGCATTTGGAGTGCCTACAGAGATAAATATCCTTGAGGACATCCAGAGACAAAAGGGAAAGGAAGACCACCATCCCCAGCCCTGGAAACTCTGCTCTAACTTGGTGAAAGGAGATGCCAAAGCAGCACCACACTGTAGAAGGTGTGTTCCACAGGTCCCCTGGCCACAAACCCCTAGCCAGCCCTCCCACACTACTGTGATATCCCCTTTGAGACATCTCCAACTGGGAGAGATAACACTCTGATTTTTTTTTTTTCTAGAACTGAGGCACAGCTCAGCCTAAAGCATCATCAAATGCCAATGAGGAGGCAGTGATCTTATAGAAAAAAGTAACCAACAGGTAAATAAAAATCTCCAAGCAAACATTAAAAAAAAAGCCAGATAGAGAAGACTAGAATAAATAAATAATGCAAACACTTTCAATGCAAAGACTAGATGTACATTCACAAGAAACAATGCAAACAGAAAACCATGACCTCCTTAAACTGACAAAACTAGAAACAGTAACTGACCCTAACAAGATGGCAATATGTTATTAGCTCCCTGATGAAGAATTCAAAATAACAGTTTTAAGGAAACTCAGTGACCTTGAAGATAACACAGAGAAGCAACTCAGAAATTAATAATCACAGAAATTAATGAAAAGATTGAAATAATAAAAACAAACAAACAGGAATCTTGAAATAAATAGATTTGACAAACTGAAAAATGCATTAGAGACAACAGCAGACTGGATAAAGCAGAGGAAATAATTAATGACCTAAAAGACAGGCTATTTGAAAATGTAATCAGAGAAGGAAAAAGAAAAAAGAATGAAAAGAAACAAAGATTATCTATAATATACAAAAAATTACCTCAATAGATGAAATCTAAAAATTATTGTTTAAAAGTGAGTAGAACAAGAGTAAGGAAGAAATATAAAGCTTATTCAAACAAATAACCACAGAAAATAATCAAAAACTCGAGAAAGAGATAAATATGTAGGTACAGGAAGGTCAGAAAACACACGACAGTTTCAACCTCAATAAAACCAACATAAGACACAATGATCAAACTCTGAAAGGCCAGTGGCAAAGACAGGACCCTAAAAGCAGCAGGGGAAAATAAGCGAATAACATGTAAAGGAGCTCTACTTTGTTTGGCAAGAGACTTCTAAATAGAAAGTATATAGGTCAGAAGAGAATGGAACAACATTTTTAAAGTACTGAAAGGAAAAAAAAATGCCATCCAAGCATGCTGTTTTCAGCAGAGCTGTTCTTCAAATATGGAGATATAAACTATTTCCCAGACCAAAAATTAAAAAAAACAAACTGAGAGAATTCACTAACACCAGCTCTGTCTCATAAGAAATTCTGAGTGAATTTCTTCAATCCGATGAAAAAGAACCACTAGCATGCAAAAACAAAACATATGGTATAAAAACCATTGGTAAAATATACACAGAAAACCCAGAATACTCTAACACTGAAATTGTGGTGTGCAATCCACTCATAATCGTAGTATGAAGTTTAAAAGACAAATCTATGAAAAAAAATACCTACAACAACCCGAGAAGCAATACACAATATAAAAATGTGTAAATTGAGACAACAAAAAGTCAAAACATGGTGAGGGGATGGAGTTAAATTGTAGATGTTTCTTTTTCTTTTATTCTATTGTCATTTTTTTATATTTTCTTTGTGATCTAAGAGAAGTTATAATCTCTTTAAAATAACGAGTTATATCTAAAAGATTTTTTGCAAGACTCATCGTAACCCCAGTACAAAAACATAATAGATTCACTAAAAATAAAAAATGTAATGAAATAAAACATACTACCATAAAAATTACTTAGGCAAATGTAAGACTGAAAAAAAGGAAGAAAGAGAGAAGCTATGAAACATTCAGATAAGTGGCAACAAAACAGCAGTAGTAAGTTTTTCCTCATCAATAATAACACTGAATATAATTGTACTCAATTGTTCAATTAAAAGAGATAAAGTGGCTGAATGGATTAAGAAACAAGACCCAACTATATAGTGCCTATGAGAAGCTGACATCTCCCATAAAGACACACAGAAAAAGGAAGTGAAAGGACAGAAAAGATATTCTATATAAATACAGACCAGAAAAATCAGAAGTAGCTATATTTATATCAGATAAAACAGACTACAAATAAAATACTGAAAATAGAGATGAAGAATGTCACTACATAAAAATAAAGCAGTCAATTTATCATGAGAATATAACAATAATAAATATCTATGCACACAACACTGGAGCTCCCAAGTATATAAAGCAAGCATTAATAGTTAATGGAATAGATAAACCATAATATAATAATAGCACGGATATTTAAAAAAAACTTCCATAAACCTGGAATGAATAATGAAATCAAAGCATGGATAAAAAGTCTTCTATCAAAGAAAAGCCCAGGACACGATGGCTTCACTGCTAAAATCTGCCAAATATTTTTTAAAAACTATTATTAATTCTATTGACATTACTAGAAAAAAATTAAAGAAGAAGAAATACTTTAAAATGCATTCTATGAGGTTAGCATTACCCTGATGCCAAAACCAGATAGTGATGCAACAAAAAAAGAAAACTGCAGATTAATATCAATGATAAACATAGATGCAGAAATTCTCAACAAAATAATAGCAAATGGAATTCAATAGCACATTAAAAATATCATTCTCTGTGATCAAGTGTGATTCATTCCAGGAGTATAAGGATTGTTCAACATACACAAATCAATAAACATGACAAATCACATTAACAGGTTTAAGAACAAAAAACATACAATTATTTCAATAGAAGCTGTGAAAACATTGGATAAAATTCAACATCCCTTTGTGACTAAAAATTTTTTTCGACAAACTAGTGTAATAGAAGGAAATACCTCATAATAATAAAGACCAATATGACAAAGCCATGGCTAATATCGTACTGAACAGGAAAAAAAATTTGAAATCCTTTCCTCCAAGATCTGGAACAAGACAATGATGTTCACTTTTATCACACTTCTGCAACATACTACTGGAAGTCCTGGCCAGAACAATTAAGCAAGAGAAAGAAAGGGCATTCAAATTGGAAGGAAAGAAGCCAAATTAGCCCTTTTTGAAAATGACATGATCTTATACCTAGAAAAACTTAAAGACTCCATAAAAAAAACACAAACAAATAAAATCTGTTGGCACTGATAAACAAATTTCATTAATTTGAAGAATATAAAAGCAACATACAAAAATCAGTAGCATTTAGATATGTCAACAGTGAACAATTTGAAAAAGGAATCTAGTAAGTAATCTCATATACAGTAGCTATAAAGAATATAAAATGCCTAGGAATCAATTTAACCAAAGAAATGAAAGATGTATATAAGCAAAACTATAAAACACTGATGAGAGAAATTGAAAAGAATACCAAAAAAGAAAATATATTACAGGCTTATGAATTGAAATAATTAATATTGTTAAAGTGACAATTCTGCCAAATTAAATTTACAGATTCTATGCAATTTCTGTCAAAATATCAATGACAATTTTTGCAGAAGTAGAAAAATAAATTCTAAAATGTATGTAGAATGACAAAAGACTAGATAGCCAAAACAATTCTGAGCAAAAAGAACAAATCTGAACACATCAAACTAAGTGATTTTAAAATATACTACAAAGCTACAGTAACCAAATTGCATGGTACTGTCATAAAGACAGACACATACGCCAATGGAAATTAATGGAGAACACAGAAATAAATCCACACAGTTATAGTAAACTCACTTTTGGTACAGGTTCCAAGGATATATAGTGGGGAAAAGATAGCCTCTTCAATAAGTATTCTTGGGAAAACTGGGTAACCAGTTGCAGAAGAATGAAACCAGACCTCTGTCTCTTACCATATGCAAAACAATCAAATGAAATTGAATTAAATAAATAAAGACCTGAAACTACAAAATTACTAGAATACAACTTTGGGGAAATAATGTAGGACATTATTCTGGGCAAAGATCTTTTGAGTGTGACTTCAAAACACAAGTAACTAAAGAAAAAATAGACAAATTGGGATTACATCAAGATAAAAAACTTCCACACAACAAAGGAAATAATCAACAAAATTAAGAGACAACATGCAAAATGGGAGAAAATATTTGCAAACTACCAATCTGATTCATCTAGAATTAATAACCAGAATATATAGGGAGCTCAAATACTCAGTAGTAATAAAACAGTAATAACAGTAATAATCTTGCCCCCAAGTCCTGAGAGAATTGCTATAATTTAGGGCCATATTAGTAGGGAATGTGGAATACTATGAAGCAACCTGACTAATGTTACCTAGTGCTATTCTCTTCTCAAAATAATCCTACTTGAGACAGATGTGTCACTTACAGAGCACAGTAAAGCATGTTCAAAACAATAAGCAGAGTTTCATATGATATGAATAACTATCCAAGCCACCCTACAGTGAGCCATGCTGCATTTTCACTAATCCATGGACTATGGCTTATGGTCTGACTGTTTAGTAGGTCCAGGGGCAAGCCTCAGACTGGCTATAAATCAAGCCACTCCATTGGGATGAGGCATTTAGATAAAAAATGGTTTCTGCTCCAGATAAGCTTTTTGTTACCCTGTGAATACTTACCAGAAAAAGCCCCTACACTGATGAAAAGGAACAAAACCAAAAAACAGAACACTCTTGTCAGTAAAATGCAGAAACTGAATTGTTTTCCATCCCAGATCAAGCATATGTGCAACTAATTAATTCCTAGATCAGCAAGAGGAAGTCTCCTAAGGATTCAGACACCACCTAGACTGGGCCTACACACATGATTGCCATTGCCATTAGAAAATGCTGAAACAGGATGAAAAATTGTCTCACCTGTCAGACCTTGGCTAATGCTAAAAATACTGCCTAGGATCTGATACTTCCAGCAAAGAGCCCAGGACATTCTTGGACTACAGATCATGTTTGGTCTATTATTTCCCCCAGGTGTTGCTGTTTACCTGACCCCACCAGATGAAGTTCCATGGGAGATATAAAAAATTGCAGAGCTGAAACCTCTTTATTTCATCTTGCTTATACTCTGGCTTTAAATACATAAAGGTTTGATTGCAAATTTTGATTTTGTTCTTTGTCTTAACTGCCCACTTTGATATCTTGTGGCTCCACAGTTCCCCAGAAAGATGATAAGAAGAATTTTCATCAGAAAATGTAGTCCCTGTTAATGTTACTTCTCCTAAAAATAATGCTTTGGGACAATTTGAATCCACATGGCCTCAAGACAGCCTATTCTGAAACAGCTTACATGTAAGATCAGAAACTATGAAACTGCTAGAAGAAAACATTGGAGAAATGCTGCAAGACATTTGTCTGGCAAAACATTTTTTGAATAAGACCTGAAAAACATAGGGAACAAAAGCAAAAATGGAAACAAAATTGCATCAAGCTAAACAGTTTCTGCACAGAAAATCAACAAACTAGAAAGACAACTTATTGAATGAGAAAAAAATATTGCAAACTATTCATCTGACAAGGGATTAATAAGGAATATATAAGGAACTGAAACTACTCAATAGTAAAAAATAAAAGCATAAAAATCTAATTACAATATGTGTAAATAATCTGAAAAGACTTTTCTCAAAAGCAGATATACAAATGGCTACCAGGTATATGAAAGAATCAATGTCACTAAACATCAGAGAAATGCAGATCATAACCACAATGAGATATGACCTTACCCCAGTTAAAATTGCTTTTATCAAAAAGAATGGAAATAACAAGTGAGAATTTGGAGAAAGGAAAACCTTTGTACTATGGTGGGTTATGTAAATTAGTATAACCACTATGGACAACTGTACGGAGGTTCTTCATAAACCTAAAAGCAGAACTACCATATGATTTGGCAATCCAACCGCCTGGTATACACCTAACATAAATGAAATCAGTATATTGAATAGATACCTGCACTTCTATGTTTATTGCAGCACTCTTTAAAATAGCCAAAATATGGAGTCAACCTTAGGGTTCATCAATGAATGAATGGATAATGAAAATGGAGTATACAATGGAATATTACTCAGCCTCAAACAATGAAACCCTGTTATTTGCTGAAACATGTGGAAACTGGATTTCATTAAGTGAAAAAAGCCAAGGGCAGACATGTTCTCACTCTTATGAGGAAGCTAAAAAAGCAGATCTCTTGAAGATAGACAGCATAATAGTGGTTGCCAGAGGCCAGGAAAGGTAGGGGGAAAGAAGAGAAGACAGGTTGATTAATGGGTACAAACATACAGTTTCATAGACGAAATAAAACCTAGTGCTTGATGAACCAATAGGGTAACTGTAGTTAACAATAATATATTGTAAGTATCAAGATAGTTAGAAGATAATAATTTAAATGTTTCTAATTTAAGAACAGGCAAAGATTTAAGGTGCGCTATGATGGAGAATGTAAATTACAAATTATGTTGATTTGATCTTTATAATTATATAATGTTGTTATATACAATTATAATGATTTGATCTCTACAAATTATATAAATGTATCAAATTATCACATGTACCCAACAAATTGTGCATCTATTATGCATCAATAAAAATTAAATAATAAATTAATGTCTTCAGTACAAATTGCAGGCATACCTTGCTTTATTATGCTTCACTTTATTGAGCTTCACTTGTATAGGTACTTTTTACAAATCCACTTAGTTATTCTAACAATATTTCAAATTTTTTATTATTATTATAATACCTGTTATGGTGATCTTTAATTAGTGATCTTTGTTACTATTGTAATTGCTTTAAGGCACCATGAACCATGACTTTATAAGATTGTGAAGTTAATTGGTAAACTAAATTGCATGTGTTCTGTCTGCTCCACCAGCCAGCCATTTCCCTGACTCTCTTCCTCTCCTTGGCCCTTCCTATTCCCTGAGAAACAACAACATTAAAATTAGGTCAGTTTATAATGTTATGATGGCCCCTACTTGTTCAAGTGAAAGAAAGAATTGAATGTCTCTCACTTTATATCAAAAGCTAGAAATAATTAAGTTTAGTAAGGAAGGTGTATCTAAAGCCAAAATAGGCTGAAAGCTAGGCCTCTTACACCAAACATTTAGCCAAGTTGTGAATGTAGAATAAAAAGTTATTGAAGGGAATTAAAAGTGTTACTTCAGTGAACATGCAAATAATCAGAAACCGCTTATTACTAACATGTTGAAAGTTCCAGTGGTTCAAATAGAATATCAAATCATACACAGCATTACCTTAAGCCAAAGCCTATTCCAGAGCAAGGCCATAATTCTCTTCATTTCTGTGAAGGCTGAGAGAGGTTAATAAGTTGCAAAAGGAAAATTTGAATGTGGCAGAACTTGGTTCATGAGGTTTAAGGAAAGAAGCTGTCTCTATAACAAAAGTGCAAGGTGAAGTAGCAAGTTCTGATATAGAAGTTACAGTAAGTTACCCAAGAACTCTAGCTAATGGATGGAGGTTGCTGCATGGAACAATAGATATTTAATGTAGACAAAACAGCTTTCTATTGGAAGAGGAGGCCATCTGGGACATGCATTTTGAGAGAGGCAATGTCCATGTCTGGCTTCAAAGCTTCAAAGCTTCAAAGGACAAGGTGACTCTCTTGTTAGGTGCTAAATGCAGCTGGTGACATTAAATTGAAGCCAGTACTCATTTGCCACTCCAAAAAAGCCCATAGCCCTTATGAATTACACTAAATGTACTCTGTTTGTGCCCTATATATGGAAAAGCAAAGCCTGAATGACAGCACCTCTTTTCTAGTATGATTTACTGAATACTTTAGGCCCACTGTGGAGACCTACTGCTCAAAAATATATATTATTTTCAAAATATTACTGTTCATTAACAATGCAACTGGGTACCAAAGAACTCTGATAGAAATGTTCAAGGATATTAATGTTGTTTTTATGCCTGCTAACCCAACATCCATTCTGCAGCCCACGTATCAAGGAGTCATTTTGACTTTCAATTCTTATTATAATACATTCCATAACGCTACAACTACATTAGATAGTGATTCCTCTGATGGATTTGGGTGAGTCCATTGAAAACCTTGAGAAAAAACATCATCATTCTAGATGCCATTAAGAACATCTTTGATTCATGGGAGTAGGTAAAAATGTTAATATTAACAACAATTTGAAAGAAAATTGATTTTAAACCTCATGGATGAATTTGAGGGATTCAAGACTTCAGTGGAGGAAGTCACCACAGATGTGGTGGAAATAGCAAGAGAATTAAAATTAGAAGTTGAGCCTGAAGATATAAGCGATAGAATGTCATGACCAAACTTAAACAGATAAGGATGAGCACAAAATGTAGTTTCTTGATATGAACTCTTCCCCTGGTGAAGATGCTGTGAATATTGTTGAAATGAGAACAAATGGTTTAGAATATTATGTAAACTTAGTTGACAAAGCAGCAGCAAGTTTTGAGATGATTGACTCCAATTTTGAAATAAGTTCTACTGTGGGTAAAATGCTATCAGACAGCATCACATTCTACAGAGAATTATTTTTGGGAAATGAAGAGTTAGTGCAGCAAACTTCATTGTTGTCTTATTTTAAGAAATTGCCACAGCCACCCTAACCTTCAGCAACCACCACCAAGATCAGTCTACATCCAGCTACATTGAGGCAAGACCCACCACTAGCAAGATACTTATAATTTGCTGTAGGGTAAGATGATTACTAATATTTTTTAGCAATAAACAATTTTTAATTATGGCATGTACCTTGTTTTTTTCAGACATAATGCTATTGAACTCTTCATAAAGTGGAGTATAGTATAAACATAATTTTTATATAAACTGGAAATATAAAAAAATATGATTCACTTTATTGTGATATTTGCGTTATTGTTGTGGTCTTGAATCATGCCTATCATATCTCTCAGGTATGCACATTCTATAAAAAAGATTATCCCAGTGGCTCAAGCCCCATTTTTTTTTTTTTATTTTTGAGACAGGGTCTCTTTTACTAAGGCTGGAGCGCAGTGGTGTGATCGTGGCTCACTGCATCCTCAACCTCTTGGGCTCAGGCCATCCTCCTACCTCAGTCTCCCAAGTAGCTAGGACTACAGAAGTGCATCACCACTAATGGCTAATCATTTTTAGTCTTTGTAGAGATGGGATCTCGGTATGTTACTCAGGCTGGCCTCAAACTCCTGAGCTTAAGTAATCTCCTGATTTAGCCTTCCAAAATACTGGAATTACAGGTGTGAGCCACAGTACCTGGCCTTGAGCCACATTCTTTAAGCATACAACCCCATCCCAATGGTACATACAAACCCTATATTCTGAGTTGTTTTTCTCTGCAACTCATTATTTTCTCTACAGTTACCCTAAACTATTTGTTCTCTTGAACCTGAATCCACTTCATCTCTCAGATAGTAAATCCACATTAAAGCAGGATTCTCTTTCCAAATATTTGTGATCTGTCTTCTGTTTCTATGTACCCAGACAGAGAATGAAGAGTATAGGTTAAGAGTTTTATTTCTGTATGATATGGACTGTGGGTTTGTCATAAATAGCTCTTATTATTTTTAGATACATCCCATCAATACCTAACTTATTGAGAGTTTTTAGCACAAAGCGCTGTTGAATTTTGTTGAAGGCCTTTTCTGCATCTATTGAGATAATTATGTGGTTTTTGTCTTTGGTTCTGTTTATTGATTTGCATATGTTGAACAGGCCTTGCATCCCAGGGATGAAGCCCACTTGATCATGGTGAATAAGCTTTTTGATATGCTGCTGGATTTGGTTTGCCAGTATTTTATTGAGGATTTTTGCATTGATGTTCATCAGGGATATTGGTCTAAAATTCTCTTTTTTTGTTGGGTCTCTACCAGGCTTTGGTATCAGGATGAAGCTGGCCTCATAAAATGAGTTAGGGAGGATTCCCTCTTTTTCTATTGATTGCAATAGTTTCAGAAGATATGGTACCAGTTCCTCCTTGTACCTCTGGTAGAAGTCCGTTGTGAATCCATCTAGTCCTGGGCTTTTTTTGCTTGGTAAGCTATTAATTATTGCCTCAATTTGAGAGCCTGTTATTGGTCTATTAAGAGATTCAACTTCCTCCTGGTTTAGTCTTGGGAGGGTGTATGTGTCCAGGAATTTATCCATTTCGTCTAGATTTTCTAGTTTATTTGCATAGAGGTGTTTATAGTATTCTCTGATGGTAGTTTGTATTTCTGTGGGATAGGTGGTGATATCCCCTTTGTCATTTTTTACTGTGACTATTTGATTCTTCTCTCCTTTCTTATTTATTAGTCTTGCTAGTGGTCAATCAAATTTGTTGATCTTTAAAAAAACCAGCTCCTGGTTTCATTGATGTTATGTAGGTTTTTTTGTGTCTCTACATCAGAGTGAACAAGCAACCTACAGAATGGGAGAAAATTTTTGCAATCTACTCATCTGACAAAGAGCTCATATCCAGAATCTACAAAGAACTCAAACAAATTTACAACAACAAAAAAAACCCCATCAAAAAGTGGGTGAAGGATATGAACAGACACTTCTCAAAAGAAGACATTTATGTAGCCAATAGACACATGAAAAAATGCTCATCATCACTGGCCATCAGAGAAATGCAAATCAAAACCACAGTGAGATATCATCTCACACCACTTAGAATAGCGATCATTAAAAAGTCAGGAAACAGGAGGAGGCAGCCAAGATGGCCGAATAGGAACAGCTCTAGTCTACAGCTCCCAGCATGAGCGATGCAGAAAACGGGTGATTTCTGCATTTCCATCTGAGGTAACGGGTTCATCTCACTAGGGAGTGCCAGACAGTGGGCGCAGGACAGTGGGTGCAGCGCACTGTGCATGAGCCAAAGCAGGGTGAGGCATTGCCTCACTGGGGAAGCATAAGGGGTCAGGGAGTTCCCTTTCCTAGTCAAAGAAACAGGTGACAGATGGCACCTGGAAAATCAGGTCACTCCCACCCGAATACTGCGCTTTTCCGACAGCCTTAAAAACGGCACACCAGGAGATGATACACTGTACATGGCTCAGAGGATCCTACACTCATGGAATCTCGCTGACTGCTAGCACAGCAGTCTGAGATCAAACTGCAAGGCGGCAGTGAGGCTGGGGGAGTGGCACCCACCATTGCCCAGGCTTGCTTAGGTAAACAAAGCAGCGGGGAAGCTCAAACTGGGTGGAGCCCACCACAGCTCAAGGGGGCCTGCCTGCCTCTGTAGGCTCCACCTTTGGGGGCAGGGCACAGACAAACAAAAAGACAGCAGTAACCTCTGCAGACTTAAATGTCCCTGTGTGACAGCTTTGAAGAGAGCAGTGGTTCTCCCAGCACGCAGCTGGAGATCTGAGAATGGGCAGATTGCCTCCTCAAGTGGGTCCCTGACCCCTGACCCCTGAGCAGCCTAACTGGGAGGCACCCCCCAGTAGGGGCAGACTGACACCTCACATGGCTGTGTACTCCTCTGAGACAAAACTTCCAGAGGAACGATCAGACAGCAGCATTCGCGGTTCAGGAAAATCTGCTGTTCTGCAGCTGCTGCTGCTGATACCCAGGCAAACAGGGTCTGGAGTGGACCTCTAGCAAACCCCAACAGACCTGCAGCTGAGGGTCCTATCTGTTAGAAAGAAAACTAACAAACAGAAAGGACATCCACACCAAAAACCCATCTGTACATCACCATCATCAAAGACCAAAAGTAGATAAAACCACAAAGATGGGGAAAACACAGAGCAGAAAAACTGGAAACTCTAAAAAGCAGAGCACCTCTCCTCCTCCAAAGGAATGCAATTCCTCACCAGCAATGGAACAAAGCTGACAGAGAATGACTTTGACGAATTGAGAGAAGAAGGCTTCAGACGATCAAACTACTCTGAGCTACAGGAGGAAATTCAAACCAAAGGCAAAGAAGTTAAAAACTTTGAAAAAGATTTAGACGAATGTATAACTAGAATAAACAATACAGAGAAGTGCTTAAAGGAGCTGATGGAGCTGAAAGCCAAGGCTCAAGAAGAATGCAGAAGGCTCAGGAGCCGATGCGGTCAACTGGAAGAAAGGGTATCAGTGATGGAAGATGAAATGAATGAAATGAAGCGAGAAGGGAAGTTTAGAGAAAAAAGAATAAAAAGAAATGAACAAAGCCTCCAAGAAATATGGGACTATGTGAAAAGATGAAAACTACATCTGATTGGTGTACCTGAAAGTGACGGGGAGAATGGAACCAAGTTGGAAAACACTCTCCAGGATATTATCCAAGAGAACTTCCCCAATTTACCAAGGCAGGCCAATATTCGGATTCAGGAAATACAGAGAAAACCATAAAGATACTCCTTGAGAAGAGCAACTCCAAGACACATAATTGTAAGATTCACCAAAGTTGAAATGGAGGAAAAAATGTTAAGGGCAGCCACAGAGAAAGGCAGGGTTACCCACAAAGGGAAGCCCATCAGACTAACAGCGGATCTCTCGGCAGAAACTCTACAAGCCAGAAGAGAGTGGGGGCCAATATTCAACATTCTTAAAGAAAAGAATTTTCAATCCAGAATTTCATATCCAGCCAAACGAAGCTTCATAAGTGAAGGAGAAATCAAATACTTTACAGACAAGCAAATGCTGAGAGATTTTGTCACCACCAGGCCTGCCCTAAAAGAGCTCCTGAAGGAAGCACTAAACATGGAAAGGAACAACTGGTACCAGCTGCTGCAAAATCATGCCAAATTGTAAAGACCATCGAGACTAGGAAGAAACTGCATCAACTAATGAGCAAAATAACCAGCTAACATCATAATGACAGGATCAAATTCACACCTAACAATATTAACTTAAAATGTAAATGGACTAAATGCTCCAATTAAAAGACACAGACTGGCAAATTGGATAAAGAGTCAAGACCCATCAATGTGCTGTATTCAGGAAACCCATCTCACATGCAGAGACACACATAGGCTCAAAATAAAAGGATGGAGGAAGATCTACCAAGCAAATGGAAAACAAAAAAGGCAGGAGTTGCAATCCTAGTCTCTGATAAAACAGACTTTAAACCAACAAAGATCAAAAGAGACAAGGCCATTACTTAATGGTAAAGGGATCAATTCAACAAGAAGAGCTAACTATCCTAAATATATATGCACCCAATACAGGAGCATGCAGATTCATAAAGCAAGTCCTGAGTGACCTACAAAGAGATTTAGACTCCCACACAATAATAATGGGAGACTTTAACACCCCACTGTCAACATTAGATAGATCAACGAGACAGAAAGTTCACAAGGATACCCAGGAATTGAACTCAGCTCTGCACCCAGCAGACCTAATAGACATCTACAGAACTCTCCACCCCAAATCAACAGAATATACATTTTTTTCAGCACCACACCACACCTATTCCAAAATTGACCACATAGTTGGAAGTAAAGCACTCCTCAGCAAATGTAAAAGAACAGAAATTATAACAAACTGTCTCTCAGACCACAGTGCAATCACACTAGAACTCAGGATTAAGAAAATCACTCAAAACCACTCAACTACATGGAAACTGAACAAACTGCTCCTGAATGACTACTGGGTACATAAGGAAATGAAGGCAGAAATAAAGACGTTCTTTGAAAGCAATGAGAAAAAAGACACAACATACCAGAATCTCTGAGACACATTCAAAGCAGTGTGTAGAGGGAAATGTATAGCACTAAATGCCCACAGGAGAAAGCAGGAAGGATCCAAAATTGACACCCTGACATCACAATTAAAAGAACTAGAAAAGCAAGAGCAAACACATGCAAAAGCTAGCAGAAGGCAAGAAATAACTAAAATCAGAACAGAACTGAAGGAAATAGAGACACAAAAAACCCTTCAAAAAATTAACAAATCCAGGAGCTGGTTTTTTGAAAGGATCAACAAAATTGATAGACCACTAGCAAGACTAATAAAGAAGAAAAGAGAGAAGAATCAAATAGATGCAATAAAAAATGATAAAGGGGATATCACCACTGATCCCACAGAAATACAATCTACCATCAGAGAATACTACAAACACCTCTACGCAAATAAACTAGAAAATCTAGAATATATGGATAAATTCCTCGACACATACACCCTCACAGGACCAAACCAGGAAGAAGTTGAATCTCTGAATAGACCAATAACAGGAGCTGAAATTGTGGCAATAATCAATAGCTTACCAAACAAAAGAGTCCAGGACCAGATGGATTCACAGCCGAATTCTACCAGAGGTAGAAGGAGGAACTGGTACCATATCTTCTGAAATTATTGCAATCAATAGAAAAAGAGGGAATCCTCCCTAACTCATTTTATGAGGCCAGCATCATCCTGACACCAAAGCCTGGCAGAGACACAACCAAAAAAGAGAATTTTAGACCAATATCCTTGATGAACATTGATGCAAGAATCCTCAATAAAATACTGGCAAACTGAATCCAGCAGCACATCAAAAAGCTCATCCACCATGATCAAGTGGACTTCATCCCTGGGATGCAAGGCTGGTTCAATATATGCAAATCAATAAATGTAATCCAGCATATAAACAGAAGCAAAGACAAAAACCACATGATTATCTCAATAGATGCAGAAAAGGCCTTTGACAAAATTCAACAACCCTTCATGCTAAAAACTCTCAATAAATTAGGTATTGATGGGACGTATCTCAAAATAATAAGAGCTGTCTATGACAAACCCACAGCCAATATCATACTGAATGGGCAAAAACTGGAAGCATTCCCTTTGAAAACTGGCACAAGACAGGGATGCCCTCTCTTACCACTCCTATTCAACATAGTGTTGGAACTTCTGGCCAGGGCAATTAGGCAGGAGAAGGAAATAAAGGGTATTCAGTTAGGAAAAGAGGAAGTCAAATTGTCCCTATTTGCAGATGACATGATTGCATATCTAGAAAACCCCATTGTCTCAGCCCAAAATCTCCTTAAGCTGATAAGCAACTTTAGCAAAGTCTCAGGATACAAAATCAATGTACAAAAATCACAAGCATTCTTATACACCAATAACAGACAAACAGAGAACCAAATCATGAGTGAACTCCCATTCACAATTGCTTCAAAGAGAATAAAATACCTAGGAATCCAACTTACAAGGGACGTGAAGGACCTCTTCAAGAAGAACTACAGACCACTGCTCAATGAAATAAAAGAGGATACCAAGAAATGGAAGAACATTCCATGTCATGAGTAGGAAGAATCAGTATCGTGAAAATGGCCATACTGCCCAAGGTAATTTATAGATTCAATGCCATCCCCATCAAGCTACCAATGACTTTCTTCACAGAATTGGAAAAAACTACTTTAAAGTTCATATGGAACCAAAAAAGAGCCCGCATCACCAAGTCAATCCTAAGCCAAAAGAACAAAGCTGGAGGCATCACGCTACCTGACTTCAAACTATACTACAAGGCTACAGTAACCAAAACACCATGGTACTGGTACCAAAACAGAGATAAAGATCAATGGAACAGAATAGAGCCCTCAGAAATAATGCCACATATCTACAACTATCTGATCTTTGACAAACCTGAGAAAAACAAGCAATGGGGAAAGGATTCCCTATTTAATAAATGGTGCTGGGAAAACTGGCTAGCCTTATGAAGAAAGCTGAAACTGGATCCCTTCCTTACACCTTATACAAAAATTAATTAAAGATGGATTAAAGACTTAAACGTTAGACCTAAAACCATAAAAACCCTAGAAGAAAACCTAGGCATTACCATTCAGGACATAGGCGTAGGCAAGGACTTCATGTCTAAAACACCAAAAGCAATGGCAACAAAAGACAAAATTGACAAATGGGATCTAATTAAACTAAAGAGCTTATGCACAGCAAAAGAAACTACCATCAGAGTGAACAGGCAACCTACAGAATGGGAGAATATTTTTGCAATCTACTCATCTGACAAAGGGCTAATATCCAGAATCTACAATGAACTCAAACAAATTTATAAGAAAAAAACAAACAACCCCATCAAAAAGTGGGCAAAGGGCATGAACAGACACTTCTCAAAAGAAGACATTTATGCAGCCAAAAAACACATGAAAAAACGCTCACCATCACTGGCCATCAGAGAAATGCAAATCAAAACCACAATGAGATACCATCTCACACCAGTTAGAATGGCAATCATTAAAAAGTTAGGAAACAACAGGTGCTGGAGAGGATGTTGAGAAATAGGAACACTTTTACACTTTTGGTGGGACTGTAAACTAGTTCAACCATTGTGGAAGTCAGTGTGGCGATTCCTCAGGGATTTAGAACTAGAAATGCCATTTTACCCAGCCATCCCATTACTGGGTATATACCCAAAGGACTATAAATCATGCTGCTCTAAAGACACATGCACACGTATGGTTATTGCAACACTATTCACAATAGCAAAGACTTGGAACCAACCGAGATGTCCAACAATGATAGACTGGATTAAGAAAATGTGGCACATATACACCATGGAATACTATGCAGCCATAAAAAATGATGAGCTCATGTCCTTTGTAGGGACATGGATGAAATTGGAAATCATCAGTCTCAGTAAACTATCACAAGGACAAAAAACCAAACACCGCATGTTCTCACTCATAGGTGGGAATTGAACAATGAGAACACATGGACACAGGAAGGGCAACATCACACTCTGGGGACTGTTGTTGAGTGGGGGGTAGGGGCACGGATAGCATTAGGAGATATCCGTAATGCTAAATGATGAGTTAATGGGTGCAGCACACCAGCATGGCACACGTATACATACATAAGTAACCTGCACATTGTGTACCTGTACTCTAAAAGTATAATAAAATAAAATAAAATAAAAAAATAAAAAAATAAAAAGAAAGGAAACAACAGGTGCTGGAGAGGATGTGGAGAAATAGGAACACTTTTACACTGTTGGTGGGACTGTAAGCTAGTTTAACCATTGTGGAAGTCAGTGTGGCAATTCCTCAGGGATCTAGAACTAGAAATACCATATGACCCAGCCATCCCATTACTAGGTATGTACGCAAAGGAATATAAATCATGCTACTATAAATACACATGCACACCTATGTTTATTGGAGCACTACTCACAATAGCAAAGACTTGGAACCAACCCAAATGTCCAACAATGATTGACTGGATTAAGAAAATGTGACACGTATACACCATGGAATACTATGCAGCCATAAAAAATGATGAGTTCATGTCCTTCCTAGGGACATGGATAAAGCTGGAAACCATCATTCTTAGCAAACTATCGCAAAGACGAAAAACCAAACACCACATGCTCTCACTCATGTGGGAACTGAACAATGAGAACACTTGGATACAGGAAGGGGAACATCACACCCTGGGGCCTGTTGTGGGGTGGGGGGAGGGGGGAGGGATAGCATTAGGAGATATACGTAATGTAAATGACGAGTTAATGGGTGCAGCACACCAACATGGCACATGTATACATATGTAACAAACCTGCACGTTGGGCACATGTGCCCTAGAACTTAAGGTATGATAAAAAAATAATATATATATATATATATATATATATAAAGAGTTTTATTTCTGGTATCAGAAAGGCATGAGTTTAAATCTTAACAAATTGCAAACAAAAATCATGATGAAGATGATCATGTTCATGATAATGATCATGATGTCAAAAAAAGTAGTAGAAAATCCCACTAAGCGGAAAGGAAAATGTTGAAAGGCAACAACACATGAGATAGCAAGAAGTGATTGAAGTCAACATATTTTAAAATTCTTACGATGTTGTGAAGAAAGGTAGAAATACAGACAAATTTTAGATATTAAATATTACCATTAAAATTTAAGAGTAACACTAATATAAAAATATAATCTATAACTTTCAAAGCATTAACGACATAATAAAAATAACATCTATATGGCTGGGGGTGGTGTCTCATGCCTGTAACCCCAGCATTTTGGGCAGCTGAGGAGAGCAGATCACCTGAGGTCAAGAATTTGAGACCAGCCTGTCCAACATGGTGAAACCTCGTTTCTACTAAAAATACAAAAATTAGCCGGGTGTGGTGGCGGTCACCTATAATTCCAGCTACTCAGGAAGCTGAGGCAGGAGAATGGCTGGAACCCGGGAGGCGGCAGAGGTTGCAGTGAGCCAAGACCATGCCATTGCACTCCAGCTTGGGCAACAGAGCAAGATTCTATCTCAAAAAAAAAAAAAAATCAGCAGACTGTACATTTAATATTGGTGCACTTTATGTATGTTATGCCTCATTTTTTGTTTCAAATGAACTAGAAAATGGGAACAGAAATGGTACCAAATAACCGAAGAATCTTGGATTAACTTTTGTGTTTCATCGTTATAACTGTACTTATTTTCACCAATATTTTACTTTATGGATATATGTTCATTCCATACCATCCAGAAGTCAGTCTGGTCAGCCATGCATCTCTTATGTGCACTTGACTTTGCTTTTGGGCTTCCTCTCTTGATAATGGACACTTTTTTTTACAGTACTGGGTAAACTCTTCTTTCCAGATTATAATTTTGGATGGTATCTATTTTTCAATTATTATCTAAAATATTGTTTCCCTTTTCATGTTTTCAATTAATATTATGGAGATGTTCAGGGCTGAAATAATTTTACACATCATCTTAAATGAGATCTAATCCTCTTACATTAGAGTCTGTAAAATAAAATGTTGGCTTATATTTTTCCATGAGCTTTAGACATTAGATTCCAGGAGAACTGAAAACTGGAAGACAAAATATCTCAATTGCTTGCAATGCATGAGAATGTTAGCAGAATATTCATTTTTTCAAAATGCCATTTAGTTTGTCTAAGAATACAATGTGTGTCCTTTGTTTCTGAGCCTATATTCTGTTAGGAGTAAATTAAGCTTTCTAGACTATTCACTTTTAATGATAAAGGAAACAAAATAAATAAAATTATCTTCTGCAGTCCATTAAGTGTTCTCATCCAGAAGTTTGAACATTACTGTATTATCCTTCTGAAGAAAAAAAAAATTGTCCTAGCAAAAGTTTGCAAAGTATCCTAAATAAAGAAAGAGGACTTTGGAAAATCATAACAGAACAAAGAATAAAGACTGCAACTTCGGAACCCTAAAGACATACTGCATAAACAAAGTCCAATTGTCTGCTAACTGTTCTGTTAAACTGAAGTTTAATCTAATTCTTTCCAATTATCTGATCAAAAGGTGCTTAACTTTTTAACCTCATTTTGCTTAATAACAAAGTGAGTAATTATAGGACTATGGTGAGGGTCCAATACAAGAACTGGAAAGCACTCAGTGCACTAATTCTTGCAAAAAAATGGCTTAATAAAGAGTAAATAAGCACAACATCACACACAGTATCAATAACAAGAAACAGGACAGAGGATATAGAGAAAGGCAAGATACTTATGATTTTGTCTCCCCTGAATTGTTTTCTGAATTACTATTTTATTCAGAACTCAATTATGAATCTCAATCTTTTGTAAAGTTCTCATTAAGTGCACTAGACAGAGACAATCTTTGCTCTGTAAGAACTCATCTCTTCTGTATACTTCCTATGAATTTTGCAGTATATTGATTTTTAAGCATTTTCCATATTGTCCTACAATTATTTGTACATGTCTTTGTTTTTACCAATAGATACTAAATTCCAGGAGAATTGAAAACTTTTAAAAATTATGTTTGATCTCTAACACTTTAGCACATAATGTAATACATATAATGGCCAGAAGGGTAGTTTTTTTATTTAATCTTCTTATAACTTTATTTGAATTAAAGAGAAAATGTTCTTAAGCAAGATAATTACCAAGAAAATGCCATTGGATCAGATTAGTATATGACTTTGGACCTGGAATATATTAAGAGTCAAATTGGAGTTCCACTCAATTCTACCTGATGTAAAACATCAACAACAACAACAACAACAACAACAAACTTAGAACAATTATGGAATCACTGGTTAAAAAAATAAGGATAATCTTAAGTTCGCTTAAGAGATGTGATGTATTTCTTATATACTGTGGCCCATTTGTGCACCGCATACCCCACGTCAACTGAGCCACCTGTGTAAGTGTTGGCACTGTACAACCATGCCTTGACCAAGTCCTAAATAATCTTTACCAAGGACACATATTTTTAAAGCCTGGGGCTGCCTTCATTTCAGACACTTTCGTTATCTCTACATCTCAAAATCTTTTTCTTTTATGAACTGTGATCTGCCACATGAATTAAAATTAAAAGTAACATTTGTAAAGCGATTTGCAGTTTGTAGATTTAATGCATACAATTTTGCATAATTATTTTACTAGATTTTCACTTTGATTGAAATTTGTATTATTTATTACCATTGTTCCTATCTAGTAAGAAAGAAAATGAAACAGACATAATTAAAAATACAAAACAAACAAAAAACAACAACAAAACATCAACAATAACAAAACTTGCCCAACGTCACAAAAGTAGTAGTCTTAATCTAAGAGCATACAGTCTTTTAGGGCCAAATTTTATTCTTCTTTTTAAATATCAGTTATTTTCACCTATATTTCCATGGCAACTTTTACATATGGCATAGCAATTAGGATGTTATGTTTTGTCTTATTGTTGAATCATTCTTATGTTGAATGCACATGCATATCTCTAATTTATAAAGAGCATGAGGAAGGGCATATGTTGTTTCTATAACAGTTGGCTGAATTAAAACAGTTGACTTCATTTTATGAGATCATTTTCATGTTCATCATAATTTAGTTTAGGACTCATATGGTAAACCTTTTGAGGTTGTAAGAACAAAGATCATTTACAAGACACAGACTGCAAGGCAATAAAGCTTGGACAAGAAAAAGTTTAAAAATAATTAGATATGAAATCTAGGAACTTATGGCCAAAGGAATAAAAATACTGGGATTGAAATTTAGAAAAGAGAGACCATAGTGTGCTGAAATACTTGAACCCATGAAGATTAAGTTGGATTAAAAGGTGATTATAAAACAATAGAGAAGACATTTTGCTTTGATTCAGGAAAGATGAAAAAAATTGTGTGTATTTTTGGACAGAAAAAAACTGTTTTCTCTGATGATTAATGATCAAAGAAGACACATTATGGGTATTCTCTGATGTTAATTATAGAGAAACATAATTGTGGAGATGCCTCAACATCTTCCAGAGAAGTGCGACAATATGATAGAATTGATCAGCACACTTTATATTACTAGGATATCAAGAATTATCATTATTTTTTGTCCACTTATTTTAACTCTTCTATTTTTTCAAAATTTGTTTTCACTATTAGATTCATCTCCATTTGAATCTAAACATATTTAACTTCTTCCCATTATGAAAAATCAAAGCAAAACAAAGCATAAAGCTTTAACGTCTTTGCTTGGATGTCACTCAGTGGGCCACGATTTGGAACATACTTCTCTACTTCATATTCCTAAACTTCTTTTCTCCAGTGTTAATTTATTTTAGGTAAACTTTTCCAAAAAACAACCAATTGTCTTAACTAGAAATTTGAACATCATCTGTGTATAATCCCTCTCCCCACAAAACTTTTGAACCCACCAATAACCAAGTGCTCTTTCTTTCATCTGCCAAGTACTTATCAAATCTCTCAGCTTCTATTCCTATTGACTGATTGTATATTTGTACTAGCTTAATAATTTCCTACTTGAAGTACTGATATAATTTAATTGATATAGTTCAGATTTTCTCTCTGCAATCAATTTCCCGCATTGCTAGTAGAGTAATATTTTTAAGTGCCTATCTTATTTTTATTTTACCCTACTCTTGTCTCCACGATTTACCCATTTAATTTTCCTTCACCTGGAATACAAATCTATACTTACTTTTCCCATTTGTTAAGCTAACTTGTATTTGTAGGTTTCATTTTAAATACAATTTCTTCAGAAAACAAACTCTAGGTTCTTGGCCCCGTTAACAATACTCATCAATTCTTTAATCTCTGTTGTTTTGTCAAGACTGTCTAGATAATGCGACAATAATCAGTATCATAAAATCTCAGTGTCTGTAAAAGCATATTTCTCACCCATATCACATATTCATTGTGGCTTGAGGGGCCTATGGGAGAGCTCTCATTCAGATGACCACTCATAGACCCAAGGTGATACAGACTATCCCTTTTAAGATGTAAAATCTGTAAAAAAAAAAAAAAAAAAAAGCCCCCTAGATCAACTTGACACAAAAAGGAAGAGCCTGTAGAAACTTTAAAGCTTATCACTGCCTAAGAAGGCATGTACAACACTTCTTATTTTTTATTTCCTTCCCCAGAGCCAGTCACATAATGGGCCCAACTCCAAAGTACCTAGTCAGTGTAGTCTTCCAAGTGCCAGGATAGGAGAAGAGCTAAATATTATTGAGTACTTGTAATCTATATGTTCCCTGTATTATATTGTAAGCTACACAAAGGAAGGAACTTGGTCTATTTTATTCACTGCTATACCTGGTACAGTGCCTTGTATCATAAGAGGTTAAACCATAAACACATATTAAATGAATAAAATAATGTCATATTTCAGTTGACAGCATTGCTCATTGGTTCCAAATACCAAATCTATCACTTACTGAGGGATTTTAACCAAATGAACATGTCACCTATGAAACAGAGGTCATATGGTACCTACCCATCAGAATCTTTACAATGATATTGTGCTTAAAAATATCTTAATTTTTATAGGATTATGTGCGTTTGCCATTGTTAATATATTATTGTTAACTGAAACTCAAATTACTAGTCTACATATAAATATTTAAAATATAAACTTATCAAGTAATCATTACACATATTATCATTGCTAGTTGCCATTTTGAAACAATAATTTACATGGAATATTAGAACTAGTGCAAGCTTAACATTCTTATGTACAGATTAGGAGACTACAGCCAAAATAAGTGAACTAGTATCCCAAAGTTTACACTACAAGTTAATGGCAATGCCCAAACATATACCTAAATCCCTTCTCTAATTTTTGTTTAATATAATCTATATGGAAACTCACAAATGTAAACAATTTTAATGCAGATAAATTATTTAAGCAGGCAAGGAAATGCACCAAGAAAAATAATAAAATGTTGATAGAAAATTATAACAATTTAGTCAATAATTCTATGACATAAAAATTGAAATTTATGATCACTTAGAACTCAAATATTCATCCTACTTGGACTTTCACTCAAGAGCATTAAGACTCATGCAATCATCTTGCAAATAAATTTGTGTCTACAATGTTTTAAATAACCTTTCAAAATTCCAGCTCTCCTAAAAAATTGTTTCATCATGTCCTTTGTTTTCTTTATGAAATAGTTTTATTATAGTTGAAACAGGAAAATAGACATCCAGGGTCCCATGACAAACATTCCCTTGCTTTATACAAAACTTAAAATGAAAATGTCATCATCAACTATTGATCTTCATTAATGGTTTTGTATCTTGTACAGAATAAAATGACACTCAATAACTTTCAAGTTTTAGAATAGACAAAGCATACTAATGAAGAGACAGACAGATCAGTGAAAATTGCTTTGATTATTTCATTGGAATGATGATTTATATACTCTATATAATATTCTAATCAATGCTTTTCAAGAGAAGTGGCACCCAATTTGTTTTATTAGGAGCAATTGTATAAAAAGGAAGAATAGACGGCATTTTCATCATCATTTTTATTCTACTTTTATGTTACACCACATGGTCAACCCAGAAATAAGTATGTCTTAAGTATAATCTAGATGCTCAAATTTGTACTTTAGAAATTTATAAAATATTAGATCTGTAACATAAGACTATATTTTAACAGAAAAAAATAACTGACTGAACCTATTTTACAGTTATGTCACCAGATTTAATTTGTTAATTTCTTCTCAGTCAAAAATCACTTATGATAAATTTTTATGGTAATATCTAAGATTATCACATAAAATCGGTTTTAAAAAGTAAATAAAATTGAAGAACTGCAGTTTCGCTGAAGATATCTTTAGTTCATTATTTTTTAACATGCAAAGAAATTAAGATTGAAGGCAGATGTTACAAATAAAAATCAACTTTTTTTTTTTGAGACAGAGTCTTCGTTGCCCAGCCTGGAGTGCAGTGGCATGATCTCA
This sequence comes from Homo sapiens, assembly GCF_000001405.40. Taxonomy (NCBI): domain Eukaryota; kingdom Metazoa; phylum Chordata; class Mammalia; order Primates; family Hominidae; genus Homo; species Homo sapiens. The sequence goes on along the minus strand of NC_000011.10, from coordinate 25,268,054 downwards.
GCTCATGCAACTTCCACCTTCTGAGTTCAAGCAATTCTCCTGCCTCAGCCTCCCAAGTAGCTGGGATTACAGGTGCATGCCACCAGAACCAGCTATTTTTTGTATTTTTAGTAGAGATGGGATTTTACCATGTTGGCCAGGCTGGTCTCAAATTCCTGACCTCAAATGATCTGCCCGCCTCAGCCTCCCAAAGTGCTGGGATTACAGGCATGAACCACTGTGCCCTGCCTGAAAATCAACTTTTAATCTTGGTCTTTTATCAAGGCTCCCTGGGTACATGGTTTGGTAAATTTGATCCAACTGTCATATTACCTTACAATGTAAATTTACAGAAGCCCAGTGAGATAATTTTATAATTTTTATTAATGTGCTTAACATTTTTTAAAAAATGAAATAAGTGGCAAAATATGCTAATTAAATAAAATCCCCAAGGTAATATTTGCATACTGGTATTATAGGAAGACAGAAAAGTCCACTAAACATCCCTGAATAAAAAAAAAAAATCTGTAAAACAATTTTGGGGAGGAGATTTTCATGAAGAGGAAGTAGTATGTGCCAGAGATGAGAGAAGGACTAAATTTTATATGCATTAGGAGACAAAAGATGGCCCGTGGGACCAGACTCAGAAACAAGTAGAAGTGTCAGGAGGTGAGAATTGACAGGCAAGTGTCACATCATTTACGGTCTTGTAGACTAAAGTAAGAAATAGGATTATATTTTAAGTGCAATTGGAAGCCATTGTAAGGTTTTTAAAATGCCCATGATGGCCGGGTGCAGTGGCTCACGCCTGTAATCCCAACACTTTGGGGGGCCGAGGCGGCCGGATCACGAGGTCAGCAGATCGAGACCATCCCGGCGAACACGGTGAAACCCCATCTCTACTAAAAAATAGAAAAAATTACCCGGACATGGTGGTGGGCACCTGTAGTCCCAGCTACTCGGGTGGCTGAGGCAGGAGAATGGCGTGAACCCAGGCGGCGGAGCTTGCAGTAAGCCGAGATTGCGCCACTGCACTCCAGTCTGGGCAACAGAGTGAGACTCCGTCTTAAAAAAAAAAAAAATGCCCATGACATGAACAATGTAGATCATTAGACTGCTCTGTGGAAGAAGATTAATTCTAAAAACTTGAATTGTGTTTTTATAAATATTATATATGTAAATTTAACAATTGTGTATTTCTATAAACAAACATGATCACACAACAGAAATTTTTGAGATAAAGTGTTAACTAGATCTTACTCCATTCTACTTAAATTACATGTGTTAGTTTTATTATGGGCCTACCAGAATACCTTTACAGAAGGGGGTCACATATCCTCTACACAACCTGTAGATAACAGAAAGTTGAATGCATTGTTTACATGGAGAACACCACCTTGGTCTAGCTCCGATCGTGTCTCAGAGGTAGAAAGGTGAGATTTGAATTTATTGAGAATTTGAAGTTTAGTTGAAGGCAGGCCTTTCAATATAAGGGTTTGTGGTGTGAGCTGTGGGGGTGGGCTGTGGGGCGGGGCCATATTTGGATGCATAAGAATAAAGACATAACAATGCCACAACCTTCTAGGCAAAGATCAGAAAAAACAAACTTGTAATTGCACAAGTTGAGTTAATTATGTGAGAGGCAGCACACACGACATGAGGAACCATGGGGTTTCTCAATAAGAGGATGTTAGAAATGATTTATTACAGGGTTTGGGCTGGTATTAGGTTATTTGTGGAAGGATTTCAGGAAGAGGAGCTTTGTTCTGGATTGGAGGATTTCAGGTAGTGAGGGTAATTATGCAACTGAGTATTTCAATAATCTTATATAGGAAGAGAGCATAGACTGAAATTAAAATTGTAATCGATAAAGAAATGGCAGCTATTCAGTTTAGCTGAGAGAGGGAAATATATCATATCTTGTGGTTTGAATAATGTTCATGTTTTTGTTTCTTTTCAGACATGTTCCAAGTTGGTCTTGTTTTGTCTTAATCTATCGTGGTGACAGAATGGTCTTGTCTGAAAATGATGTTCTGCACAGATGTTTATGTTCCGTAGGAAAACAGCAAATTCTATCTGATATTACCAGGAGAGATTCTAGATATCAGAGGCTGTTTTTCAATTGGTTAAGACTGATGGAAATATCGAAGTATAGGTTTTAAGGTTTTGGATTCAGAAAAGTCTTACGGCATACACAGTCTGTTAAGGCTCTCTATTGAAGAATTGGTGACTCTTTTGAGAAATCAGCATAATTAGCAATCAAGACACCTGGATGAGAATCTCCAAGAATTGAAAAGTTAGGACAATAAGACAGAAGAATACAAAAATCATCTCAATTAATACACTAAGCTGTAGGAGAAAGGAGTACCTAGTTTTATTTTTAGTGTTCATGATAGATACTTTTGGTTTCTAATGAACAAGCAATACATACAAAATATAGAAGTAAATGCCACTAAATGCAAAGCAAAGGGAAAGTTTGAGTGGAAACTTAGCCACTTATCGTTTTGAGGTTTGGAGAGGTAAGAATGCCGTTTTTTCTGCAAGTTAGAGAGAAGTTTAAAATGACCATGGTCAAATGGAATGCCTCCCCTAAGAAAAAACAAACATACACTAAAGAGGTATATATGAGACATATGTCAAGAGTCAGAAGAGTTGTTCAAAGCCAGTTGGAGGCTGTATTATCCATCCCAGAGAATAGCATAATGCAAAATCCCCAGAGGGCATGTGTAGAATTGATAAGTAAGAGGAGTTTCCAAATAATCTAATTAAAGTGTTTTTTTGTAAATATGAGAGGAAGGGGAGAGAGAGAAAGAGGAAGAGAGGGAGAGAGAGAGCGAGAGAGAGAGAGAGAGCGAGAGAGAGAGAGAGAGGGAGAGAGAGAGTGAGAGACTAAATGTATGTGAATATTGGCCACACAGAACTTACCAGCATTAGGTCGTAACACTAAAGAAGTTAGACAGTGCCTTCTTGTCTTATTTTGCTGATACTCTGCCCACTCCCTACTAACTCTGAAAGAGACAGAAAAACATAAAGTCCAGAAAAGAGAAAGTGAAAGAAGCAAGGTGATGGCCTGATGAAGTAACAGTTTATCCCCCATACCCTGCTGCCATCTTTGCAATAGTTCTAAATTGGGAGGTCAATCTTCAGCTAGGCAAAAAGGAACAACTTTAAATTGAATGAAACATTAAAGTTTTAATGATAGATATTTTCTAATATTTAACATCCATGATGAATTGTTAAAATACATGGAAATGATTAGACAAAATAAGGAACTTTCCTGAGGATAAGAGAACAGAGATCTCACAGAGATATGAAGAGTGGTTAGCACAGTAATGAGCAGAATAAATAGGCATTTACTATTCTCTTGTCTATAATCTACTACTTCGAAAAAGACAATGGGACAAGTTAGTGTGTATGTATTTGTTCAAAACCACACCTTAGGCGGACTGGTCAATTATTGTTAACAAGAATATGCATTGAAAGTTGGATTTTTTGTGGGGAAGTAGAGGAAGATTAGCGAGGTAGACAGGAATTAGTATAAATCAAAACTCAACACTCCAGAGGCAACTATAACAAGGTATAAGCCCCGTTTATTTGAAGTCTGCATCATATGGTTTATTAATTAGAAATGGCTGATAGAAATGATTTTTTTCCACTGGTAAAAATAGTGGAATTTGAAAAATATATATTTACTAAAAGTATAGAAAGGCATTCCTGCCTTATATGTACAGGATATAAAAATCTAGGAAAGTCAGATTTTATACTCCTAAGAAAGATTTTCTAAGCTTAGGTTCTTTAAGTCATCTTTCCACTTGCTAATTCAGATGCTACTTGGATGCCTGACTGCAGGTAGCTGACTAATTGATGTTGGAAGCAAGCCCCCCAAAATCTGGCCATAAACTGGCCCCAAAACTGGCCATAAACAAAATATCTGCAGCACTGTAACATGTTCATAATGGCCCTAACGCCCACGCTGGAAGGTTGTGGGTTTACGGGAATGAGGGAAAGGAACAACTGGCCTGCTGAGGGTAAAAAACTGCTTAAAGGCATTCTTAAGCCACAGACAATAGCATGAGTGATCTATGTCTTAAGAGTGCATTCCTGCTGCAGTTAACCACCCCAACCTATTCCTTTAACTTGGCCCATCCCTTCGTTTCCTATAAGGGATACTTTTAGTTAATTTAATATCTATAGAAACAATGCTAATGACTGGTTTTCTGTTAATAAATATGTGGGCAAATCTCTGTTCGGGGCTCTCAGCTCTGAAGGCTGTGAGACCCCTGATTTCCCACTTCACATTTCTATATTTCTGGGTGTGTGTCTTTAATTCCTCTAGTGCCACTGGGTTAGGGTCTCCCTAACTGAGCTGGTTTTGGCAAATTGAATCCTGCCTCTAGACTATTATTGCATTTGTTTCTGGTAAATGTTTTACACAAGGTGCTGATGGAATGCATAAAAGGGCAGAGAGGTGGAGCTTCACCAAGTTTACAGAAGAGGAAACATTGTTTTATGCTTCCATTTTTAAACATTTATTCCTGTTTGTTTTGTTTTAATAAATGACTGAATTTGTAGCAGAATTTGGCCATAGATTTGGTTTCAAAATAAACTGGTAGAAGGTTGTGGGGAAAAGACTTATAGTATTTACTTACTTCCAACTGTAGAAAGCTAACAATATTTATTAAAGAATCCAATATCTGCACAAGACCAGTTTAAGTTTGTTTGTTTTTACAAAAGAAAAAACTCTCATTTATTCTACTGGGATGAATTGGTCTTGTTATGAGGCTAGAGAAAAGATCTTTTCAACTTTTGAAACTCAAGAACATTGAACCTGTGTTGTTCCCCCTAGTTAAATTTCCTTGATGGCTGGCTTCTCTTTCCAGATTTAAATAAGAGCCAAACTGCTCACTAATACTTAAAGCCCATCACAATTTGGCTCAACTTGTCCCACAAAAAGCACAGTTTAAATACGCATTTTTTTCCTTTTACTTTGATTCAATAATTTCCTGTTGAATATATACCATCTGCCAGATTCAGAACTAGTTTTATCAGCAATTGTCCCACCCTTGAAGACCCTGAAAGGCTGATGGCCAGAATTAGCTTCATGGCTATAGGAATAAAGTGCTTTAGGCATTTGGGTGAATGGTTGACTAACTCTGGAGGATTCTGGGACAATTTTTTCCCCAACTTTATCATGCTTCTTTATACATCTCTGAATTCACTCACGCTGTTGCTTTTCTGTCGAATATCCTCCCTCCTGTCTGCTCTAACTTTCTGGCAAAAGTCTTCTCATTTTTAAGGATTTTGTTCAGATGTCTCATCTATAAAATCTTCCTGATACCATTTTTCTCTTCTTCTGGCAGAACTTGCTATTCCATCCAGTGTAGTATCATCACTTTATTCACAAATCTATTATGCACAGAGTAAATTACGTAGAAAATCCATGTGTGCATGGTTGTCCCTGCAAATAGATGGTGAATCCTTTGATATCTAGAAGAATGCCTGGCATGTAAAAGATGGTTTAAGGTTAGTAAAATCCTTGATACATATTTTTAAGAAATTTCAGTTTCTGGCCAACTGCAGTGGCTCACACCTGTAATCCCAGCACTTTGGGAGGCTGGGGTGGGAGGATCATTTAGCTCAGGAGTTCTAGACCAACCATGGCAACCCATATCAAATTTTTTTTTAATAAAAAGAAATTTCAGTTTCTGAGTGTTCCCTTCAAGACCCAATCAGTGTTATGGCTCTAGTAAATGCTTGTGTAAGCCCATCTCTAGGTGATAATATCGTGTCATTCTATTTTGTGTTCACAGGCTACCTGTCAAACACAATCACTCCACAAATGAATACTAAACACACAAGGAGACACTAGAAGATCAAGTAGAAACAATCTATCTAAATTATTTATCACAATTTTATAGTGTTCTATTTATCACATCTCTATATAGTGTTCTATTTATCACATCTCTATATAGTGTTCTATTTATCACAACTCTATATAGTGTTCTATTATCACAACTCTAAGTGTTCTATTGATGACTTTTATTTTTATAATAATATTGAATGAAGCCCTAGCCAGCACTGAAAGTCAGTAAATAACAAGACACAACAATATCTATTGTACTCATTTAATGCATGAGAAAGCTAAGACCCAGAGAAAATAAGTGATTTTATAATCCTAATTATAAATGTTTGGATTTGAAGTAGAGGGTAACTTTTAGTCTTAAAGTACTTTCTTATTTCTACTGTAGCATCCTATTTCTTATTCTATTGTAGCATTCTATTTCTATAGTCATGGTCTGAATATCTAACTTATTACTCTCATATCCTAATGAGAAGAAAGCATGTTACCACAGTAAACTTTGGAATTCACAAACTTAACTCTCGTGATTTCTAATATATTACACATTTCAGTCTTTTAAATTAATTTCTCAAATTTTTTATCTTTAATTTGTGACTTACAGGGGCCTATAGTAGATAGCATGAGTAACAGCTTGTAGTCAAGGCCAGAGTTTATTCCCAATATGGTAGTATGTTCTATTTATTTTTTCTCTATTTATCATTAAACCCAGAATAACAAAAATATTTCTTTTGCAAGAGATGGCCATGTCAGAAAAGATATTGTGCAACTGTTTCAATAAGCAACCAGACAATATGAAAATTGCCTACAGAATAAGAAAAAATATATAGTTATAGTTAAAAAGTTAATTTGTGGTGTGGATCTATGGTATCACATTAGAGACTTTTGGTGGATTTTTAACTCAGGAAAATGTATACAGCTGTGTAAAAACATTCTCTATTTATGATTGTGGGGGTTTAAAAGGCCTTAGACATATGGTTTATGAATGCTAAGTAGCTATTTTTTAATTGAAAAAAGAAAAAAGGCAAAAGCTAAAGATATTCAATAGAGGTTTGCTTCAGAAATTTATTTAAGAAAAAATATTCATGAAAAAAAGTGTAGGGAGAGATAGGCTTTGAGCTTTGTATTCATTTATTAAAATGTTGTCAAATTATTCTTTATATTACAGGAAATGTATAGATCATAATAAGTAATACACACACACACACACACACACACAGACACACACAAATACATACAAGAGACCTAACTTGTATCCTGTGAGTCCAAAACTTCCTTAACACTGTATACGTCCCTTTTTGAAACACACATCACATGTAGAGCTATTTAGCCTCTTGGTTCAGTAAAGCCAGGAACCACATGAATATTTATTACTATGAAATCTTCAGGACTTGACACAGTGCAAGCCATAACATAGATGCTCAAAAATTTTTTTAATATATTAGAGAGGTACAAATACATATATAAAATAAAATTACAATTTTATGTGATACATGTTATGACAGAGAGATATAGGACTCAATTTAAGTGTCCAACAACAAATAAATAGATAAGAAAACTAGTATTCCATTGTATGTATACAAAAGAGAATATTATTCAGCCATAAAGGAGAAGGCAATCCTGTCATTTGCAAAGGCGTGGATTAACCTGTAGAACATATGTTATGTGAAATCAGCCAGATACAGAAAGACAAATACCACATGATTTTACTCATATATGGAATCCAAAAAGGTTTATCTCAGAGCAGTAGAGGTAGAATATTGGTTACTAGAATCTGGGAATGTTAAGGAAGGGAGAAAAAGTTGAAGAAGTTGATCAACCCACATGTACAAAGTTATGGTTAGCTAGGAGGAATAAGTTCTGGTGTTCTACTGCACAGTAAGGTCACTATAGTTAACGATAATACATTATCTTTTAGACTTCCAAGTAGCCTAAAAGAGAAGGTTTTAAATGTTCTCACTACAGAAAAATGATAAATATTTGAGATAATGGATTTGCTAATTACTGCAATTTGATCATTAAATGGTGTTCACACGTATGGAAACATCACCTTTACCCCCACAAATATGTACAATTATTATGTGTCAATTAAAAATAAAACTAAAAAATTACAAAATGTCTTACTCTTTATGTAAAGTTTAGTAATAAAGAAAGTTGAATTATTCACAATTTGAACATTATTAAATCTATTAATTCATTAATTCAATCACTTATTTTATTTTAAAAACAATTATTGCTTGATGCACAGTGCTAGGGTATTTGGAAATTTATAGAAAAATACAACACGGGTATAAACAAATAAAATTTTGTCTATTTTACGTGTTTTCAACCACTGAAGAAACTTGTTTTCACTGAGTTAGAGAATGCATGCTAGCTGGAAATCTATATTTATTTATTGTTACTGAAACGTTTCTACAAATGTGTATTAAAGTACATTTGTTTTAGTGATTGCTTCTAAATGCAAATACATGCAATGGGAAATATAAACAGTATCCTTTAAACAACCTATACTCCACTTAAAGTCAACTTACACATCACAGTTTATCCATTTTTTATTTTCATTTTTGACACGGTGTTGCCTGCAAATTTGGGGGAGCACTCTCCTTCCCTCATTTCATTATACTTATAAATTTATGTTGGAAGAGGGGAGCCATCTTTGATTTAAATGTGCTTATGTCCCCAGCAGAATACAAGGCATTAAGGAAAGAAAAAGAAAAATCCTATATTAGTGCCTCTGAATAAAATTTTCAGGATAATTTATATTCTAAACTTGAAAGAAAATTTTCTAGTTGTTTATTTCCCCTTATCTGCCATTTTCTTTAAACTCAACCTATTTGATCACTTTAACTAACTCACCTTACTACCCAATTCATCAAATTACCTGGACCAGGTGAATTTTCTATGCTTATTAATTCTTATTAATTAAAAATAGCACACATTCTTTTAAAAGCTTTTTTAATAAAACATACAAGTGTAATGACATACACCTCAGAAATAGTCACCACAATGCTGGCTTATTGTTTCAGAATACTTCATTTTCTCCATTTTTATTTTCTCAACTAAAACTAGGTATCTTTGTTTTGTTCTGGCTCTCATCGAAATTTTCTGTCAACTTCTGATGATTTTTACAGACAAAATGTGCTTTCTCTCACATCCCCTCCATCCCCCTGTATCACCATCAGAGTTTTACCTTCTATATACAAAGATCGTAGTACCAAATAAACATTCAAGAAAACAAATATTTTCTTCTTTTATATAAGCCCACTTTTACCCCTTAAAGGCTGACACAAAACTATATTAAAATGATGATACTGTAGGCAAATCTTTTGAATTTCAGTAGTCTCATGGCTGGCATATATAGCTTAGATTAATCATTTTCAAGTTTACTTGATTGAAATATTTGTCTGGAGAATACTAAAAAAAAAATTCTTTAGCCTCATCGAATAATTATTGAACATGAAATTTCTGGCTTTGAGTCTGAAGCAACAGCTTGTTTCAACAAATCTCTGTACAATCTTGTCTAGGAAACACTTCATAACATATTCAACAAGTGCCTTTCTGGTATTTAAGATATACTGATAGAAAATTGTGGAGCCTTTATTTGGGTTAGCTCCATAGAATTCACTTTTGAGTTGGAAAGGATCTTAGAGGTAGGTAATCTAAGTTTCTTATTTAATCCTCTTAAATAGGTTTGCTGAAGTTAGCTGACCCTTTTTCATTTCCTCTTGAAAATATTCACAACAGGGTAGTTGTGATGCAAATATAACAAAAACAAACAAACAAACAAAAAAAACACTTAAAATTTTTTAAGACTCCGATGAGTTTGGGACTTCAGGAAAAATCAAGGCGGCACCAGTTCCTACCAACCACCATTCCATTTCTTCACTTGAACAGCATTAGTTACAGTCCAGATGGGGGAATTCTTATCTTGGAAGAAGTTCCTAATTGTCATTTGTCTTAGACCAGTGTAAACAAACCAGCCAGTCACAACCTTGCTAAACCTATTAGCTTTTAGAATCCAATATTCTGGCAAGAATATGCCTTGATAGTACCTCTCAGCCCATAAGACAGAGAGAGAGAGAGACAGAGAGAGAGAGAGAGAGAGAGAGAGAGAGAGAGAGTGTGTGTGTGTGTGTGTGTGTTTATATATGGCGGGGAAAAAAAAAACAACAACCTTACATTCCAAAGTTTCATACTGGTTACTGGGTTCATTGCCACTACTTCATGGATATTTAGTTTACAACTATTTTGTCCGCTCTCTCTGGAAGCCATAGGCAAAGCTTAGTTTATAATTATTGGGGAATAACTGCTGAATTTTTAGCTGTTTTGAGTTGATTGACACCACTGTACAACAACTCATTATGAAAAAACTATTTAACTAATTTACTATCTTGTGAAAAGTATACATTGAAAATTCTGTTCATACTGCATTTATTGAGTACAATCAAAAGCAATAGATAGTCTTTAATTATGTTAAATTATGACTGCTGTTATTAATTGTCAAAATATCGAGTATATGTTACTTTCATAGTGATATATGCCTTTTGCAATTTCATTTGGTTATTTTATTACAAATGTGTAAGATTTATTAATTTAAGAGATTGTATGTAATATTTCATTATTTCCGTGTTTACATAAATTTTGAAAGATTGCATGATTTCTTTGCAGTAATCTATCATGAGGCTGTGGAAGTAGTTTGAAGAACATATTATGAGTTTTCTTAGAATGTAGAATGGTTGTAGCCCATCCAACTTAAAAAAATGATTACATACTTTGCAATCAGAAGTAAACATGGCATGTTTTTCTAATTCCAACTTTAAAAACTAAAGAAAAAACCCTCTTATTCACTTAGTAACAGTTCAAGCCTGTATCTAGCTTAAATACCGGGGTTAGTGGAATTTGTTCTATTTATAAACAGAATAATTAGACACAAATCTAAAATAATTTTTTGACTGACATTTAACTTTAATTATACTGATTTTTTCCTTTTGATCAAAATGACTTTTGATCCTTAATCTTCACATTTGTCATTAGATTCTTTGTAGTATATTCAGATTTTTTCTGTACAATTATTGTTCATATATTAAATGACAATTTCTCACAATTCCATAATCAATCAAATTTCTTCTATATTAGAACTCATTTCCTCCAAATTCAATAATCACTTGCTTAGGAAATAGTCATTTGACCTTATCAAAATACACGGTGCACATAGGTAATGTATATTTCTCCTAGTACTGAACATCGGCTAAAGTTACCAAAACAGTTTACAAAAATTAATTTATGAAAACCAATCCTACACACAATGGATGTTTACAAATTCTAGTTTCAGTGAAACATATTTAAATTAGTTATCTTACTACACATTTCAATAGAAAATAATGGAAAAGTTATGTATATGGTTATACCAGTCCCTTGAGGCACTCACATTAGCTTCGCAACACATCTCCTGGGTGAATGCTAATTTTTTATCAAACCATATCAACATTTCTCACACTATGTAACTATTATCTTAAAGTAAAAGTGCTCCTTCAATAATAGAGGATTACATACTTGGGTGTTTCTGAAAATAAGTCTACTGTGAAGCAATCAGCTGTTAGTAAGAAAGTCACAATACTGTGTCCTGATTTTGTTTTGAATGAAAAGACTTTATGGAATATAATGACAAAAACTGAAGTAGAAGTATCTCTATACTCAGTGGGGCAAAGGCAATGGTGGCCATATTCCAAGAGGATATTTTCAGAGCAAACTCTCAGTTTTATCTGAAGAAAAGCCCTAGAGTACTGAGTCAGCCTCAAGGTTCGTAAGGTTATGGAAAAATACGAATACTGAAGTTCTCAGACTCAAAATTTGCACAAAAATTTTTAAAAGAAGTATTTGCATTGTGTATTTCAGTGGAGTGAATAAGATAGATGCCATATTAACACAACCAAACAGTACTGTCATTTGATATTAATGGCTGGATGATGAACTCCTTGCAAAACTGTAAATAGCGCCTAATGGAGATCTTACACTGACCCAGGTGTTATGATGTAAAATAATGGCTTGTCACAGATTTTGTTGTCTTCTAGATATTCAGAAAGATTAGAAAAGAAGCACAGCAAAATGAAAATAGTGGACACTCTGGAGTCATTAAAATTTGGGTTTATATTCTGAGTCACAGTAAGATGTTACTTGCCTCCCAGAAATTAATTTCCTTTTGTTGGCTCAATTTTGTAAGATGTTATATTGACAAGAATGAGACCACATTTTATGACTATTTTGAAGGTTAAGTGAGATAATATATTTAAATCACCTAACATAGTGTCTAGCTCATGACCGCCCATTCATTCGATCCTTGTATATAATAGGCAATTTGCCAGGCACATCTCTAGGCATAGGTAGGACATTGATTATCAAAGCTAACTTGCTGGCTCCATGGAGTGTTTATACTGGAGGCAAAGATAGACAGCAGAAAAATACATAGTGAAATATATGAGTGATGGACACTTGAAATAAAAGCAAAAGAAATAAAGAGAAAGCACTAAAAGGTAGTGAGGAGATGAGCATTATACATGTTTAGGCAAAAAAGCCTCCAGGAAGAGTCTATGGAAAGAGACTGTGCTGGACAGGTTTGAGGGCCAACAAACCCGGAAAAGACTGGGCAAGGGGAAGACCATATAGAACCACTGCACCTAAAAATTTTAGATTTTTTTAAAATAGGTTGTCTAGAAGGGAGTTAAGTATTGAAATCAGATAATTTGATTCATATATTGAACTAATATTATAATTACTGTGTGGAAATAGACTTTAGAGCTAAGAGCAGCAGCAGGAAGAGTAATTAGCTGTCCAATTAGTAGTAGTCAAGGTGAGAGAGAAACATAAATTAGATAGAGTGTTAGCAATGGGTGTGATGAGATGGATTCAATGATGTGATATATTTTGAAACTGTAGTTGATAAATGTGCTAATGGAATCATGATGGGGTGTGAACGAATTAAAAGGATTAAAGATGACTTTAAAGTTTGCAGCAGCTATCATGTTTGAGTATTTACTGTATGCTAGAATATAAACTCTAAGAGGTAGTTGTAATTATTTTTCTCATCCTCATTACAGAGGTAAGTCTCTAGAGCCAGTGCACTTAAACTCTGTAATACAGTGCCTCAGCAGAACTAACATTACTGGCCAGTAAGTTGATCTTCTAAATATATGACAAAAATAGTGACAACACATTTTGATTTCATGTGATACTTACATGTGGCAACTTTATAAAACTTAAGGTTTAGAGAAAGGACTGTGAATATTCTTAACCATTTAATCTGCTCTCTCCTAAAGGATAATCAGAATGTTTACCTGGGTTAAAAAAATTAAGTAATATTATAATTATGTATATTTCTTCTAATTGAAAATTTGAGCCAAGATGAAATTGAAGGCTTTCTATTGACTATGTCTAATAATTTTAAAATGCAGATGTGATTGTGACTTACTAATTTTGTTTCAAATGACTGATAAGTTATTCTTACTATTAATTAGCCTATGACCTCAGAATTGGTGTTAGACACATCACATACATTAGATTAAAAACATCAGATCATAAGTGCAATTACAAAAAGTACCCATTATCCAACAATGTGTTACTATTTCTTTTATTAATTCTTATTAATTCAAAATAATGTAATTCTATTATTTTTACTTTTAAAATAATTGATATTCCTAAATAAAAAACTTCTAATAATAAAATATACTATTTATTGTGCACTCACCAAAATCAAGTACAAAATTAAATAACTGGCATATGTTACTCACATATGTCAATTTTTATATCACAACTTCTTCTCCAACAACTCTACAAAATAGACATTGCTTACATCAATTTGCTACAGGAACTATAAAGATTAGAAGGTTAAGTAATTGGTAAATGCCCAAGCTGAGAATCATTTCTCCACTTTCTGGAATTCCAAGGCCCATGCTGTTAACCCATAAGCTCTGACAATTCCCATATCATCCCCTTGGAGGCTGTAAGAAGTTCATGAGTAAGTACAGAACCTGATGGATGTTTCTAATACTTTCATATTACTTGAAATCTAATAGTCTTGTTTCTATACGTATATCTTTTAATATATATGCATAGTATATGCATATAAATGTATACATACACATATATTATTATATTTTAATATACCCAAAGTTGATTATCTTGTGAAACTCAGGCTGTTGATGCCTTAGTCAGGATGTTCTAACAATGTGTTAGTATTCTGTGTTACTTTGAGCAAGTACTACGAATTACCTGGAGCCTAGTTGCTCTCATGCACAATATTTCTTTGACTAAAGTGCAGCTCTCTAAATACAGACATAACTTGAAATAGAGAAGAATGTGCTTTTTCAGTTGGTTAATTTCTCAACAGTTTGGCTAGTCCTCAACTTGATTTCCAGTAAATCCAGAGAAAGGCCAGGGAGGTCCTGCAACAATGTCTTGTAAAAAGTAGCCCTGCCATCCCAGGGCCTTTCTCTACACTCTTGGATAATGAGCACTTCATTTCTGTTTCCAATTCAAGGAATAAGCAATTATGCAGAACTGGCGGCAGGCAAGAATATAGGTTCCTTTGCAGAGCTTTTAACTTGCAAGATCTCTCATGCCACATTATGTATTTAGAATGCAGTATCTTAAGTCTATCGATTGATCTTCATAATAATCATAAATTTGGAGACTCTGATCCTCATTTAACATATGAGAGAAATGAGTCTCTGAGCAAGGTCTAAATCTTGCCCCCGCCACTCCCTAGGGTGACCTTGAAAGTTCTTTTTTTCTCTAACTCTCAGTTTTCCCATGGATAAAAAGAAAATAACAATATTATCAACCTCAGATTTTTTTTTAATGAGGATTACATAATATGACAGATACAAATCTTAAACTGGAATTTCACAAGTGGCAAACTCTCACAAAATGCTAGGTTTTGTTCTTCAGTAAATCACACTGATGCCACAATGTTAATAAGTTGTAAAATTAGATTTTAAATAAAGATCGTCTTATTCTATATCAAAAGCTTATATTCCCTCTATACTAGAGCTGCTTCGCAAATAACATGCTTTGTTTACTTTTAGTCTTACAATCATTATTTTATATAGGAGCAATATTTTATTGTTATAGGGATTAAGAGACATTTTACTATGCCTCGACATTGTAAATTGTACCATATTAGGTACTTGCTAGGTCACTGGATGGAGTCAAGCTGCCAAAGTTATATCCTGCTTCTATTCTGGGCAGGTAATGCCACAGTTTAACCTATGTTTAGACTTTCTAATTTACAGAATGGGAACAACGATCTCAAAGCCTTCTCTTCAGAATTAAATGAATTTGTTTGTGTATATGAATCCTTATATGTATATATAATGGATGTATATATATGCATGTATATGTGTTTGTTAAAATATAAAATCCATGCCATGTTTCACATTTGGAATCTAACCTCACTTCCATGGAAATATAATCTAGGAAAAAGATCAAGTTTTTAATATACATTGTACACTTCCTTTCAGTAATGTGTTTATCCTGTTCTTTTCTTGCTTTGTTTTTGAATATGTTTGGGTAGTGTATGATTGTTGATTTCTTTCAAGATCTTATTTACTAAGAGCTAGGCTTTTTGTTGAACATTAATGAGCTATATAAATAAACATTCCTATGATTGATGAATTATACAAATTCAAAGAATGATGTTAAAATTCAAGAGCACATATCTTTAGTATTTTTTAATAAAACTTTTGACAGTGGTGTTAACTATTTAAACATGGCTGGAATTTCATATTCTAAATAAAATATTCCTTTTGGTGACTTATAAATTTTAGACTAACAGTTTACTGCTTGCTTTCCCATGAATTTTTCTGTGTAATATTATTATTGACATATTGCAGACATATCTATACTAAGGTGTGTAACAAATAACATAAGATAAATTGCTCTTAAATGATTGCTTAGAAACTAAATCTTACACATCGCTAAGTTGATCTAGCACTGTTTAACTATGTCAGAGTTGGTTACATATTTATATTACTGTTATTTGTGAATGCTTTTAATTGCTTTCATCTCTGCAAATCTACAATAAAGCCCTAAACAATGATTTCAGCTTAAATTGATTAAATCTTCTAATCATGTAGAACTAGATTGAGTTTGTATCGCATGATTTTTAGTTACAACTATGGACAGTGTTTCCTGGTTAGATTATAAAGCCTTTGGGAGAAGGTGTCAACTCTTGACCTCAAGTGATCCGCTCCTCTTGGCTTCCCAAAGTGTTGGGTTTACAGATGTGAGCCACCGCACCCAGCCTATACCATATCATTCTGTGTGTGTTTTGCTGTTTGTAAAATCAGGATGGCATTAGTTTCTCAAGTAACCAATATCAAGTTCAAAACAAAACAAGAAGAACAACAATAAAAAACAGATTTCATTCCTGTGTTTTATTTAGAATATAACATTTGCAATGAATCCAATCATTTCATCCTGCTTTGGGCTCTCATTTGTGGATGTTCTGCCTTGCATGTGTCTGCTAAATTTTCAGGAAGTTTCTGAGAAATTCCTCCAATCTTTACTGCGTACACTTCATTGGCAAGAACTTGATACTTGACCAAACCTATCAGCAAGGGGTGTTGGGAAATGTAGTCTTTATTCTGCTATGCTGTGTTCCCATGCATTAATTTCAGCTTTTATTATTCTTAGAGAAAATACTGAATATTTATCTACATCTAGTGGTTTTCTCCACAGTAGCATCAATAATAATATTCATAGTAATTGAATAGAATCAGTAATTATAAACACAATTAACTTATACTTGTCATAAATTCATTTTTGTGAAGTCAGAAGCAATTTCTCTTTACTGACTCATTAAGACCTTCTCTTCCCTTTCTCACCCTACACTTAAATATTATTTTTATGCAGCAATAGTCCCAAGAGGAGCAGTGAAGCTAGTGTAGGTTTAGGTTTTTGTATAATTTGACATTGAAGAAAGCTATTTTACTATTTTGAGTTCATTTGCTTAATAAATATGATGACATGTAATATTGTTCAACAAATATTCACTTATTTGCCCTTCCTTTATGAGAAGAGTTTTACTTCCCCAATTCATTTATGTTGGCTTTGGTCATGTAACATGCTATGGCCAAGAGAATGTTAGAGGAACTGACAGTAACAGGGGCCGGAAATGTGATTAGCTTTGGTGTCCCAATCTGCCATGAGAAGAATTTGGCTTAGCTGCTTTTGGCCTGGTCAAGAGCATAAGATATATTGAGAAAATCTGAATTCAACCCACAGCCTGAAAGAGAACCATAGTCTGTCTCAATCACACCTCAACTAATCCAAAGATCCACGAGGTAAAAGTAAATGTGTATTGTAAGCCCCTGAGAATTTTATGTTCACTTGTTGTATAGCAAAATATGATGGACACCACTATTAATTTATCTCATCCAATTTAATAAATTTCTTTTTTTCTATTAATACTGTCATTTAACAGACACCAAGCAATTCTATCCTTGGGACACATTTCATCAAAGTCCTCCTATCTGGATGAGATGTTTCTGCTTGGGCTTTTTCTTCTAGATTAATCCATATCAAATTAGGTTTTAACTGGCAAGGCTGTAACACACATTGAAATGCTGAAGAACTTTCAATCAAAACGATACCACAAGGCAATTTCAGTAAGATTACTTTTGTCATTTAATGTGCTGAAGATCCAAGAAGGAATATAGCCATATAAATCTTCAAGGAAACTTTACATTTCCTTGATTTAATTGAGGTTAAGACCTAGATTTCTGGTCAGCTGCAAATCTGCAGGGCAGCTTTGCTGTTGGTGAGATGGTTTTGGTCTATCCAAAAGTACTTCAACCACTACTTCCATACAAACATATGTGCATATGCCAAATAAAATTTCTGTTACCCTGCTTTGTTTGAAACTAACTGATTTCTTTTCTTCAATCTTTATATAGTTGATATATGAGCGTAGGTTAGTTAATTCTGAAGAGCTATGAACACAAAATAACTAATAGTACCTCCTTTTACTTTTCCTGTGTTGATATCAATCTTCTTCATGGAATTAAATTACTATAGCATTATTAATAATTGCTTTTTTCTGAAGTTTCTTCCAATGCCAACCCAAAATAATCCTAGAAACATGGTTGCTTGCAAATTGTGAGGATTGATTTCTAAGTATAAATTAAGCATATATTGATTGCCTATCAATGCATTGGGTTTACCTGTAATTTAATGAAACTGAAAGATTTTAAGCTTTATAAAACTGAAAACAACAAACAAAATTGCATCATTTAATCAAGGGTTTGAAAAATACTTCAGAACTATAAACTGCCAATTTTTTTCAGAAATATATAATTCACTGATTATTTCTTCTTCCTGCAAGGACAGGTATTTGTTTCAAAACTTGTTTATGTACTTAAAAAATTGCTAAAATCTCATTTTGTCTAATATAATATTTTTCTAATGTGAAAACTTAAATCTTACCTCTGGAACAAATGTTTTACTTCAGGAAGGCAAGTTTTTTTAGTTTCAGGAAAGCAACTAAATTTGTTAAACATCAGAGGAAAACTAAGAACATTTTTTTCACCTTTTAAATTCCCACTGCATACTATTTTATCTAAAAATATTTCATAAAATATAAGTTAATAAATACCAATTTGGAAACTCTTGATAATTTCATTCCTTATACTTCATAACTCATTACATCATTTTGTCTACTTTGGTACAATTAAAAGTATGAAGATCTAGCTAAGGCCCAGTGCCTTGCTGGTTTGAAAGCTACAAACGAGAACAAGAAAACGTCTCTACTCTCCACTTCTTCACAATGCAAAAAGCTCCTTTTAAGTGATGCAAGTTGATTAGTACTTTATTCTACCTAAAGGGTTTGGATTTGCCTCTGACAAGTACTGAATAAAGAAACAATATTGAGCCAGTAATAGTCAAAAGATATATTTAGCTTTGTTTGTAATAAGCCATTATTTTTAAAGAAAGCTATTATATTCACATATTTTTATTGTATTTTTTCAAAGGATGATTCAAATAAAGTTGGGAGCAAGAAAATTAAAGTGTTTAAGACAGTTAATTCTGAGATTAGGAACATGGGAAATTTTCATTTCTTCTTTGAACTAGTTTTTGGTTCCTCAATCTTAAAAATTTCAATGGAAAACATATTATTAAATTGGACATTCAGATAATGGATTATTAACATAGAAACATAAATATAAAAATACCAATCTGAGTAGAAATGATGAGATTTTAAATGAAGGAGGTGCACTTTCATGTAAAGTGTACTTTAAACGTAGGCTGGAGGAGACCTAGCTTACCAGCCCACTTCTGTATTACACAAAAGGGAGGATAAGGAGGAGAGGAAGGAGGAGAAAGAGGCCACAGGCACCTTTTATAAATGAATCTTCTTTCTCACAGTGAATTGCAGATTATTCTTCATGAATGTAGAGATAGTTTTCACTTGAAATTTGTGGGGTTTTTTTGTTATTGTCAGAAAAAGTACATTATTACAAAGTCTGAATGACACAAGTGTGGTAACTACAAATTATTTTCTAGATTTTTGAAAGATAATTATAAACTGGTAAACTACCATTCAACCCAGCAATCCTACTACTGGGTGTATACACAAAGGAAAATAAATTGTTCTACCAAAAACACACATGCACTCATAGGTTCATTGCTGCACTATCTACAAAAGCAAAGACATGGAATCAACCTGGATGTCCATCAACACTGGACTGGATAAAGAAAATGTGGTATATATACACCACGGAATACAATGTAACCATAAAAAAAATCATATCCTTTGCAGCAACATGGATGCAGCTGGAGGTCATTGTCCTAAGCAAATTAATGCAGGAACGGAAAAACAAATACTGCATGCTCTCACTTGTAAGTGGGAGCCACACATTGAGTATACATGGACATAAAGATGAGAACAATAGAGATCAGGGACTACTAGAGGTGAAGAAGGTAAAGAGGAGGTAAGAGTTGAAAAACTACCTATGGGGTACTGTGCTCACTACATGGGTTAACAGGATCATTTGTACACCAAACCTCAGTGACACACAATTTACCCATGTAAAAAACTGCACACATACCCCCCTCAAAACTAAAACAGAGTTGAAAAAACAAGAAAAGTTGATATTTAGAAAGTTTAAAGCTCAGTGTTGAGAGGAAGCAATCTATTCTTTTAATCCATGTAAGTACCTATGGCCGGCAGTGGAGAGAGGAGGGTACTTATCAGGAAGCTGAATGCTTGCAGAAATCCTTAGATCTGAGATTCTCTCACACTCTCCAAACTGACAAATCCCAAGACCAGTAAATGGCTTACTGCTCATCCTGAAAATGAATTTTCTTCAAAATCCTAAGTTACTGTGGTCTTAGAATAAAACTATGGCACCTCAAACATAAAGAGATCTTTCTGAGTGTGTATGGGTGGGGGAACACAATTACACAAGAAATATTTATATGAATTTCTCTAAGTATTACAAGTTAAGAAAGTGCATGGTTTGATACTAGCATTATTTATTTTGACAACATGACTTATTTTTAGTACTGTATTTTACTTATATAATATGCTCATGGGGAACACAGTACATTTTATAAACAGATTTTCCTACTCTTTTGAGCCTCGTAATACCATAAATATTCCCATTTTTAAATAATTACTTGACTTATTCCAGTGAAAGTAAACATACTGACTATTACTCACTGGCATTACAGAACCATAGGAAGGGTATTGAGTCACAGCATTTATAGTTGCTGGAAAAAGAAAGTAATCTCAGAAAGAAAAAGAGCTAGAGAGGTTGTCCCAAAATTCTATTTGCCCATATTTCTGGCTTATTCCAGATAAATGCCTCCATAAAAGTGACATTTGAAGAGATACACATAAAATTGCAAATAACCCATGTGACTATTCAAGGAAACAATATTCCAGTCATATAAATTGCTCAGAAAGAAGAATGGACTCTGCCTAATTTGAATTTCAGAAAGGTTTGTGTGACTATTCAGAAAAGGAGTGGTACAGAGTGAAATCAAGGGACAGATGTGAAATCATTCATTGTGAAGTGGAGTCTTTGGATGATTTTGAACATAATTTCATTTAAATTGTATGCATCTGGGTGAAGTTTAAAATATTTACTAAAGAAGATCAAATGGTGAAGCAGGAAGATTTTTAGGAATCTATTTCAGTATTCCAGGCTATAAATGAAGGTTTAGTCTGAGGAGGCAATATTGAAAGCAATGATAATTGGTTGTATTCATAAGTTTTGAACTTCTAGTATATGAATACAGTTTGAGAATACGATATAACAGACTAAAGTGCCTTCAAATCCCAAATCTCCTTTCTCTTTAACACTGATTAATTCTAAAGTTCCATACTGGGAGGTGTTCAACAAAAGTTAATTTTTAAATGGTGTTTCTGTTGTACAAGTAAGTATCCAGAAATCTAAATCCTTGCTTATGTTACTAGTTCTATAACCATCTCCTATGTGGATTGTTTTCTTGATAATCCTAAATTTGAAAAAGAAACAAGTCACAAATGAATCCATTATCGCCAATCTTTTTTTAAATATTATAATTTAATGTACCTTGCATGACTCAGTCTCTTTCAGGAGTATACGTGAAAGTTAAAATACCTAAGTATCAATGTGACACAATCATAAGGATTAAAAAAGCCCACATATTGCTTATTTTAAAATCTATAAAGATACTGCTAGCAAAGTAGTAATTTCTTTATTAAAAACTAAAAATGCCTTTGTATTTACACATTTTATAATTTAATGTAGTACATAGACAAATCCTATAATTCCTTAAGGTAATTAAAATAATTTTAACACTGTACATTTCTATGATTTATAATGTATAATTATCTTAAAGATGTAAAGGAATTTAAATAACCTTATTTCCTTATTCCTTATTATTTTGGATAAATCATTTAGAATACATGTAATCATTCCAAAGTGCTTTAACTATTGAAATATTTCCAAATCAGTGAATAAATGTAGTGATAAGATCAACTTTATACAGTTGTTATAAGTATTAGATATGATAATAAATATAAAGCTTTTAAAACAGTGTGTGGTACAAAATAAGGATTTAATAGATATATTTTAATTATATTAGGTATTTTGCATTTATATAAAATGTCTTTTGTCATTGTGTCAGAATGACCTCACCAACTTTTAAAATTCTTTCCACAGAAGATAGTATAATTTAATGGGAATAATACGAATACAATGTAAAAATCAAAATAATAATAAGTCTTAGGAGTAGGATTTCCTTTAGCCTGCTCTATGACCAGCTTTTCCATATCAGAAAAAGGAGGATAATCAACCTGAATTACTTCCCTACCTCCTTAAATTGCTTTAAGGCTTATATGAGTGATCACATAGTAAAGTACGTATGCAAGCTGTTGATTCTGCTTTCATATGTTTCCACTTAAGTTATATACTTTGTTGTGGGAAGTCAGGGACCCTGAACAGAGGGACCGGCTGAAGCCATGGCAGAAGAACATAAATTGTGAAGATTTCATGGATATTTATTTGTTCCCCAAATTAATACTTTTATAATTTCTTACGCCTGTCTTTACTGCAATCTCTGAACATAAATTGTGAAGATTTCATGGACACTTACCACTTCCCCAATCAATAATCTTGTGATTTCCTATGCCTGTCTTTAATCTCTTAATCCCATCATCTTAGTAAGCTGAGGATGAATGTCACCTTAGGAACCTGTGATGATTGTGTTAACTGCACAAATTGTTTAACCAATATGAAATCTGGGCACCTTGAAAAAAGAACAGGATAACAGCGATGTTCAGGGAACAAGGGAGATAACCTTAAAGTCTGGCTGCCCATGAGCTGGGCGGAACAGAGCCATATTTCTCTTCTTTCAAAAGCAAATAGGAGAAATATCGCTGTATTCTTTTTCTCAGCATGGAACATCCCTGAGAAAGAGAATGCTTTCCCAGGGGGAGGCCTCTGAAATGGCCACTTTGGGAACGTCTGTCTTTTATGGTTGTAGATAAGGGATGAAATAAGCCCCGGTCTCCCGTAGCGCTCCCAGGCTTATTAGGACAAGGAAATTCCTGCCTAATAAATTTGGTCAGACCAGTTGTCTGCTCTCAAACCGTGTCTCCTGATAAAATGTTATCAATGACAATGCATGCCCCAAACTTCATTAGCAATTTTAATTTCACCCCAGTCCTGTGATCTCGCTCTGCCTCCATTTGCCTTGTGATATTTTATTACCTTGTGAAGCATGTGATCTCTGTGACCCACACCCTATTTGTACACTCCCTCCCTTTTTGAAAATCACTAATAAAAACTTGCTGGTTTTGCAGCTTGAGGGGCATCATGGAACCTACCGACATGTGATGTCACCCCCGGATGCCCAACTTTAAAATTTCTCTCTTTTTTACTCTTTCTGTTTATTTATCAGACCAGCCGACACTTAGGGAAAATAGAAAAGGACGCTTGTGACATATCGGGGGTGGTTTCCCCTGATATCACTTGCTAATTGGAGTAAACATCCATGGATACTGGAAATTTACTAATTAATAAAAATTAAAGTGCAACGGTAGTAGTTGTTGTTTCTTCTTAGTTCTGGAATTATAAGGTTTATTACTGAGTTTGTCTATGATAAAAAATCTAGTAATTCAAAACTTCTTATACATATCATATTACTTGAGAACAAGAAAACTTTGGGAATTTAGTGATTCTATGATAACTCTAAGCAATTTAGCCTTTTTACATCTAGAAACCTGAGCTTCTCTCTCCTAAATTTTCTCTACGGCATGGCCTCTGGTTCAATACCTGTATACTTAAAAACTTAAAAACAGCCGATTTAAATATTAAAAATAAATATATTATTTGAATATATTTTGTTTATTATTATTATTAATGATTATTATTTTAGCAACAATACAAAGAAAAATTAGTTCTTCAAAAATTGCTTACACTATGGGTCCCATATATTTCCTTGTTTGTAGCTTTTGTTCAAATCAACTTTAGTACATAACCCAGAATAATTCATGACAATTATCATAACACAGATTCAAGAAAATGACCAAATTATTTTCTTGGGTGAATTCTTTCTATCAAAACTCATGTTCACAAAAGAGGTTTCTAATATTTGTGCCCATGGTCATCTTGTGAAATTGCATTTTCATAGCAAAGGCTTTCTAGGTCATATAACTTCTGACAAATGATTGCTTTGCTTTCTCCTATCATAAGCCACTGAGGTACTTATGGCACTAAGTAACTGATAACATTTGAACACAAGTTTTTGATACTGCTCTGTCTATAGCATACAAAATATAATATTCATGATTTAGATGAGATTATGACTAAAGAAATTTCACAATATTTTCTTGACATTTTATGTTTCATATTCCTGTAAAACTTAGAACTATGCCAGTAATGATTACTGTTTATCTAAGTAGTAGGAAATGATCTGTTAATAGAAAATTTGGTACCTTGCAATTTGAAAGGGGCCTAATAACTGAGTGATAAGAATAGAATGAGTTGATTCCAAAGTTGGGTCCATGAAACCCTGTGAGAGTTTCAATTAGTTTGTTTTGCCTCTGTGATAAATGAATAAACAAACGTACATGTCTTCTGATATTTTTATGGCATATGAAAATATATGTATATACTAACTCTAGTATTTTATGAATTTATTGTTAACATATTTCTAGAAAAAAAGCAGATGATTGGGCAATTTTCAACTTCAATGTATGCAATAAATCCTAAAGGCAGAAGTTGAGCCCTGGACTGGATGTCTTCTACTTATCTTTTCAGATAAAGCTTCTACCGTTTTCTGCTCTGCTTGGTGCCTAGGGTGGATGCTGACTAGGGTGGATGACTAATCACCTGCAGGCTTCTGGTTCTGTTTGCTTTGACCCATGGAGAGAAGTGACAGTAGCTAGAACTAAGTGAAAATAACAAGGCCAGTTTATTTATTCCCATAGCCTCCTCCCCTGTTGGATCTCCTTAGGAAGCTGTACTTCTGTGCTCAAAGACTACCATCCTTCTACTCACAGAACTACATGTCCAGGCAGATAACTGCTTCCTCCTTTCCCCATAGGAGCTGTAATGGTATCTACCTCATGCTGATACTGGCCCTGATGCAGTGAATAGCCCTTGTGGTTTCCCTTTCTCCTTCACACACCTTTGAAAATAGTTTTTTTTTCTTTTTTTTTTTTCTTTTATACCAACTCTCTGTGAATTGCCTAATTGGGGTGTGTAATTTGTTTTCTGCCATGACTGTGATTGATACAACCCATTTCCAGGTTTTGTTATTTCTTTAAACCCAAACAGAATTCACTGGTTTTTCTTTTTTGAGACACTGCTCTATTCCCTATATTATCCTGTATTACTTGATGTATCTCAGTAATAGCTATAGATATCATTCTCAATGATATCTATATATATATATATATATATATATACACACACACACACGAGAGAGAGAAAGAGATGATTGTCTCTCTCTCTCTTCAATTAGCAGAGCAGCTGTTAGTGGATTATATAATGTACATTTGCAAATATGATTCCTTACCCAGAAATGTCCTTTTCCTCTCTGTCTGCCATGAAAACTGCTATTATTCCTCCAAATCTCAGATAATATGAAACCTCTTCCACTATACCTTCCTGAAAGTACTCTTCCATTCCAGGTTCAAATAATTACTCCATCCTTCCTAAGACATATGTTCTTGTTTCTTGTTTTACTTTGATCACTTTGTTATGGTTTATTTACATGTTAATTTATCCAAACTCAGATTGCTCCATGAAAGTAGAAATATGTCTTATTCATTTACCTACTCCAAAAGATTAGTATAGGACTTGATTCAGAGCAAGTGCTCAATAGATGTTTGTTAATCAGATTAGTATAAATGTAATGTCTGATAATTACTTCCATTTCCATCCATGTTGCTGCAAATGACCAAATTTCATTCTTTTTTAGGTTTAATAATATTCCTTTGTGCATATATACCACATTTTCTTTATTCATTCATCTCTTAATGGGCATTTAGTTTTATTCCATATTTTAGGTATTGTGATACAGTGCTGCAATATGCATGTGAGTGCAGATGTCTTTTCCATGTTGGTGTGTTGTTTTCTTGACATATCTGGAGCTGTCAGGGTATAGAGAGCACTTGCTGTGCTGTCCTGTACTGCTTAACCATGGCCGGCAGTGGAGAAAGTAGGGTACTTATCAGGAAGTTGAGTGTGGTCAGAAATACTGGGATCTGAGATTCCCTCACACTCAGTAAACTGAAAACACCCAAGGCCTGTGAATGGCTTACTGACAATTCTGAAAATGTTTCTTCAGCACCCTATGTCACTATGGTCTTAATATAAAACTATGGCATCTCAAACATAAAGGCATCTTTCTGAGTGTATGTGTTGTGGGGGGTGGGGTTTGGGAGCACAATTATGCAAGCAATACTTTGGTGGGGGTTTTATTGTTCTTTGCTTTTTACGTGAATTTCTGTAAATATTACAAGTTAAAAAAGTGCATAGTTTGATACTAGCGTCATTTATTTTAACAAAATAAATTCTTTTTTAGTACCAAATTTTGACAGGCTTTATATATATAATATGCTCATGGAGAACATAGTATGTTATAAAAACAGATTAAACAGATTTTTTTACTCTTTTGAGCCTCATAATACCATAAATATTTCCATTTTTTAAATAATTACTTGACTAGTTCCAGTGAAAATCAGTACACTGATTATAATTCACTGGCATTACAGAGCCATAGACTGGTTACAAATGCCCAGATTACCTCTTACACAATGAGGTGCATCACTCCCCAGTGACCTCTTTTCTCTCAGTTTACACCCAGGACTAGATATTTTAGTACTAGCTTCTAAAACAGTTAATACTTCATTTTTGTATTCAGATAATTTAAACTGAAAATGACAGACAGGCTTTCTACAAAATCCTTACCCTAGGGTCATGACCTAGGCATAAGTAGTGCTTTGAAATAACAAAACAAAACAACAACAAAAAACCACCTTCGACATACAAACACATATTTAGTAAAATACTGTAGTATCTGAAACAGAGACTATTTTCTCAAAGTATATTTCTTATTGTGATATATATGGTTTAAAATATATATTTTTTCTAGCCACAGATAGACAGCAGTAGCAGTTATATTTAAAATGATATTTATTGGCCATGTTTTCATTCTAGAAATACTCAATTATTAGTTCAATCAATTCTGAAGATGCTTATTGAAGATGATTTTAGTAAATAGGATGGGACTTCCAGACTCTGTTTTTTAATACGAAACAACTTTACTTTATAAGTGGAAATACATTTTAATAATTATTTTTTCCTCTATCTCTTACATTTTCTTTTTTGAAAAAGTAGGCAAATTTGCACATAAACCCCTGTTGTTATACTCTTCTCTCCAATGCCATCTCTTACTCATATTTCTTATCACCTTAATTTCCCATGAAGATGCAGTTAGGAGTAAGAAATTCTGGTTAATATTCAGAATTTTTTTCAGTAATAATTCTCAGGCTTCAAAGAACAGCTATCTCTTCTATGCTTCAGAACACAAACAAAAAGTATGTATAAATGATCTCAGATTCATCCTCTGCAATATATATTTAAAATTATAAAGAAAACATGCTTCTCTTTGGTTTAGGAGAAAGGCTACTCATAAAAGACTAAAGCAAAATCCTAGCCTGTGTTTTTCCAGTATTTATTTCTGGCAGTCAAATGATCTTTCTATAGATGATCTCAGACCCATCATAAGCAACATATATTTAAAATTACAAAGAAAGCATGCTTCTCTTGGGTCTATAAAAAAGGTTTCAGATAAACGACTAAAATAGACTCAAAGGATGCATAATTTTCCAGTACAGTATTTATTTCTGACAAATAGAATCGTTATGCAAAATTATGAAAACTATTATTCCAAAAATTTATGTGCCTAATGAATGTCAAAATTGGAGCAATTAGCATATTGATATTTTTTACAAATTCAACAATTATTTGAATTTTGCCATTAAGTTGACCACATTTGCACCCACATTGGAAGAAATGTGAGACTAAACTCATTATTCAATATTACACTATTTGAAATAAAACACCAATTGTAAATTCAATACAATGTTCCTGATGATAATTTAATCACAGAAATTAATAAATCCATCTACGTTTTACCCTTCATCATCAGTGTCCACGTTATACAGAAACTCATTTACATGGTATTTCTTCAGGTTTGAGATTTACACAAGCAGTTGTTTTACAAGGTATTTGATTTTAGTTACAAAAGAAATGCAGATGGTGAAACAGATTGCTGTCATATTCTCCCTTGTTTATTTACACTTTTGCTATTGTAACTTCCATCTGAAACTTTCTACCAAGAACTGAGTAGATAATATGAAAATAGTTTGATCACAATGATGTCTTCATCCTCGTGTTATTCTGCTGTGTAACATTCATCCCCACCTCCATGCTTTTGTCTCTGCTCAATTTCTCCATCTAGAACATCCTTTCCACATCTTTCACCTCTTCAGCACAAGTATAACCATCATTAGGAACTCCATTGGTGGAGACTTATATTAATCACAGGTCAATAAAAGGGTGTATAACTGAATTTAGTATTTGTCTTCTATTGCTCTATCATCTTATCTTTTCAGGAATCAATACTATAACATTCGATTGAATTATCAAAACTACATTTATTGAGCCCAGCTATTGTATCCATTATTTATTTATTTCATGCCCACTGCTCTTAGCCCCACCTAAGCCCATTAAATGCTGTAAACAAAGACGTGAATAGAACAAATCCTACTGTAAATAAAAATAAAATATGTGAAAGGTATCTAGCAGAGTGACTGATATATAGTAGATTTAGTAAATGAAATAGTGCATTTATGATAAATGCTTTGTGATGCTCCAAGTTTAATTACAAGTGTCTAGAACTTTTTATAGAAACATCTTGTATTTTATTTGTTGCAGTAATTCAGAGGTGCAACAAATAAATTCAGAGGTAGCTGTGGAGTGATATTTGTCAGTCAATGATACATTATCATTTGAAAGCATGATTAACAGATGTCACTTAATGCCTCTCCTAATCATAATTTCTTTTTTATTATTATTTTTAATTTTTGTGGGTACATGGAAGGTGCATATATTTATAGAGTACATAATGTGTTTTCACATATCTCCTTCAAGTTACAAACAATCCCATTATACTCTTTAAGTTATTTCAAAATGCACAATCAAGTTATTATTGACTATTGTTACCCTATTGCATCATCAAATAGTAGCTCTTATTCATTTTTTAATATTTTTTGTACCCATTTACCATTCTCACCTCCCCCCAGCCCCCAGATCAAACAATGGACAAAAGATCTGAATAATCATTTCTCAAAAGAAGTCATAATTTCTTTTGAGAACATCAACCCACAGGTCTTGACTCACTTCCCAGCTCATTCATTTAGGTTTGGAAAACTCACCAAATGAGGAGTCAATTGAAACATGGAGCCTGTTGATAAAAAGGAATCTGGATGATGGAGTTGGGTTATTTAGAATAATGAAGCCAAAAATAAAAAGGACAACCTATCTGAGCCATAGACAGTAAAAATATGTAAAAACAAAACCCAAAACACTTAATATGCTGAGAAAGTACTATGAAAAATAATAGCAGTGAGAAGCAGAAAGGAAAGAACTCCCTGTTCATATAAGGTCAAGAAACTAGCTTGAATTCTGATGGCTTTCCAATTGGAAAAAAAAAGTCAAATATATTTTATATTCTGTTCCTTAA
Source organism: Homo sapiens (assembly GCF_000001405.40). Classification (NCBI taxonomy): domain Eukaryota; kingdom Metazoa; phylum Chordata; class Mammalia; order Primates; family Hominidae; genus Homo; species Homo sapiens. The sequence continues at coordinate 25,238,416 of NC_000011.10, read as the reverse complement.
TTCTTATGATATATAATCATTGTCTATAGTAAATATTCTCTTCTTAATTTATGAAAATTTCAATATTTATTTCCCTTGACACCAAAATTTTGAAAAAGCAACCTGAAAAGATAACCAAAATATTACTTATTTGGACAGATATTAAAGAAGAGATATGCAAAATTAGCATTTCCAGGTAAATTCTTGTTTTTAATCTATTAATTTCAACTAGTTCATAGGTAAAGGTCAGAAAGTAATCACATTATTAAGCATAATGTGCAATTTCAAAAAATATAATGATAATATTTTAAGGTTTACAAGATGGTGACATTGTTCAAAGCAAGTAAAATCAAAATATTTTATGATTGAGCCTTTATTATGTACTAGGCTCTGTGCCTGAGGAAGAAGACAATTGCCTTCCCTTTTATGATCTGGGCAGGTTACTGGGGCAGGCACAGAGATAATTAACTAAGATGATGCTGTGATTGTATTGATAGAGATGTATGCAGAGTATTAGGGGGTAACAAAGCAGATATGACATTCCACACTTTAAAGAAATGAAACTGTTACTTTTCTCCTACAACAATGAGTAAAAGAGGTATTTCAGGAACATCTGTGCTTATAAACTTCAGATAAACGAGAAGCCTGTACTTACTTGTACAGTGTACATCCCTGTTATACACTATCTCTAGCTAAAACCCCCACAAATATTGATTATAATCAGTTTCTTACATTTCATTCTAAATTATTATTTTTTTTCAATCCCCTGGCAAGATGACAATACTCATAAAATCAAATTTTTCTATATTTGGAGATTGCAACACTGCAGCTGAACATGTCTGGAAAACAACACCGATGAGCTGCACTTTAAATCTATGATCACTAACCTCAAATGTGCTTTTATGCTGCCCAGTGACCATGCAGTAAGTGCCATTTCTGCCTTCTCTCCTATTCTCCTAGATGACTATTTCTAATTTCTCCTCTTTTCCGAAACTCCCAGGAACAACCCCCATCCATCATTCTCAGCTGATGACCTTTCTCTCTAACTAGTTGAGAAAATCAAAGCATTTTGAAGATAAACTCTACAAAGTCTAGCCTACTTGCAGTGCACTCTTCCAATTCCAAAATTCCCAATTTCTCTTCCTGATTTGTTTTTAGCCCTGAAACGAGTCACCATCTGACACACTAGTTAGATTAAAAAACAAACAAACAAAAAACAAAACAAAAAAAACCACACAAGGATGATTTTAGTCTTGATCACTTTTCTACCTCCTTTGCCTAAAGCAGTTTCAGACTTATGGTAATTGTACCTAAATATAGAATAGTTGAGGGAGGTGAGTAGTGCTTTACCAAGTGTGGCCTAAGGATCCTTAAGGGCTACGTGAGGGCACCATGAACTGAGGAGGCAGCTGAGCAGATCACACTCTGACTTTCAAACTCGCCTCAATCAGAGCAGATCCACAGCTATTAACTTTCCTCTCAAGGTATCTGACTTGAGTGACTCTCCCAGTATAACTTAACGTGGACAGTGTTTCTCAATTTGGAGGTTACAGAAACTTTCCAGATGATCTCAATAAAATGTGTAGACCTCCTTGACTGCAATTTCCAAGAAAATCTAGTTTAAAAGTGCTCAAGTGGGGCTCATAAAACTACATTCTAGGAAACTGTGTTTCAGATTTTTTTTCCATCTATAGATTTTGAGAAATACTGTCTTCAAATATTTAAGATGTCAATCTGGATATGGTGATGTGCACTTGCAATCCCAGCTATATGGGAGGCTCAGGAAGGTGAATCCCTTGAGCTCAGGAGTTTGAGGTTAGTCTGAGCAACATAGAGAGATCTCATCTCCAAATTTAAACAAAATAATAAGATATTTTCTCTGGTTTCCAACTCCAATATTTCATATATTTATTGAGAGCTACTGTCTTCCCAAGATCAAAAAAGCATGGTCAGGACAATATTATCACCTGTATTGTTTTATTTTCATGTTCTTTTCAAACATTTGCCCCTGTGCTCAGAGTTTAGAATCTTGTCAACATTTGGGGTAAATGCTGAATATTTTAGGTAACTGCAAATGAAAATAAATGATTAATGGTCAAAATGAATGCTTGCAAATAATGAAATTTGCCTCCATCCTTGACTCAGCTTGTCAATATACATTGTTTATGGTTCCAAAACATTTTCCTGGACTTCATTTATCAAAAGCAACGAAAAAAGTGAAGGCTTTGTGGCAGTCTTAATATCCTGATAGAGTAAAAGCATTTATAGCTCCATTTTTATTAGCATTAAGCATATCTCATATCTGCAATATCATATATCACTGGGATATCATCCTTCATAGCTGGACATGCAAACCAGTTTGGGGAACAATAACATGAACAGATTAGAGCATGTGTTGTCTTCAAAAGACTAAAAAAAGGGGCAAAATTATCAATAAGTTAACTTCCCTTTGATGCTGAGGCGTACTGGAAAAATTAACCTCTAAATGTAGTGACCTCAAATTCAAATGGATGGTTTGACAAAGGATTGATTACATCTTATATAGGCAGTAATAAAAATGAAAAGTTTTATAGCTATATCAAATGTAAATCCAATTCATTTGTGCATTCACTGAGTCATCATTACCGAAATAGTAAATATCACAGCAAAGTTGACTAAGCTCCAATGGACATGGAGCTAGAATAAATTAAGTCTTCAGAGAAGTTTCTTAAAGAGAAATCACTGGAGGAGAGTGGTAGAGCTCTCTCTCACTTTAACTGTGAGTATATTATTTGTCTCAAGAAAGTCTCAGAGGATGGCTCCAGACAAGGATACAGATTTTGATTGATAAAAGTGTCCAGCTCTATAATAAAGAATAATTTGTAAAAGTTTCAATATATTTCAAAAGACTATGATAAATTTGCAAACTGTAAAAAAAAAAAAAAGAACAGAAAGTTTCATCAGAAGCAGGGAAGAAGGCTTTTAGATACTTCTACTCATCTCTACATAGCATTCAAAAGCTTCCGGCTAATTCTGTGATATGTCCCAAAATTCAGTGTCCATTTTCATTTATTTTATGCCTGTTTTCACATATCAAATGTTTATTAAACTTTAAATGTATTAGTATGTAAAGCTCACAACAGTAATGTTGGCATCACAGCTTAACAATGTCCTTATGGTAGCTTAGTATCTTTGCTATACATACTGAGCCTATTTTTTTTGTGCATGCCTACTTCTATGTAAGAAAGCCAGTCTTTATTCATGCTACCACAGGCTTCTTATAATCCTTTTCTGGTGATTTACACACCTGCCTTCATTTTCTCTCTGTTCCCCATCATGCCCTTTACATACACGTGCGTGTGTGCGCGTGCACACACACACACACACACACTTCTAACTTATATATCCCAAGGGACAGTCACTCTAGAGTCCTTGGGATGATGGTCTCTACGGCTGTCTCAGTACTATTCCCTACACCACTCCAAATGAGTTTGGAGATGAATCAGAGAACTCTGTCGACTTTTACCCGGACCTTTCAACTCTTAAAAATTAATAAGGCTAAAAAAAGTAATAAGACTAGGCCAGTGTTCCTTTGTCCGCAGGCAATACCAAAGTCCCTATGTCAAGGTCAGGGTTCAAGGGGGAGATAGGAAAGAATTGCATTTCTTTGGCTTGTTGGATGCCAGTACATGGTTGACTGTGATCCCCCCATACCCTGGCACCAGGAAGAGGTGAAAACAGATACTACTCTCCAGTGTTACATCTGAAGCTACCACAACCTGGACTCTTACTGAGACCAGATATGAATTGATTCAATTGGGCCCCTACAAACCCCCATTGTTATGGCCCCTAATACTGAATAAATGACTGCATTGGATGCCTTGCATATGTGCAGTTCTGCTTGCCTTTGCCCCCATGTCCTGAGGAAATTGCTTTAATTTAGGGTAATTTTGGTAGGGTATGTAGAGTGCCAAGAAGCAATCTGACTAATGGTGTCTAGCGCTACTGTCTACTCAAAGTAATCCAACCTCAGATAGATGCATCGCTTACAGAGCACAGTAAAGACGTTCAACATAATAGGCAGAGCTTCATATGGTATGAATGACTACCCAGGCCATCCAGCAGTGAGCCATATTACATTTTCATTGACTTACGGACTATGGCTAATGGTCTGGTGGTTAGTTCTTCCAATGGCAAGCCTTGGACTGGCTTATAAACCAAGTCCTCCCCGTCCTGATGGAGATGAGGCACTTAGATAAAAAAACGGCTCTGCTTCTGATAAGCTTTTGGTTACGCATGTGAATACTTACCAGAAGGAGAACAAAATTGAAGAACAGAACACTCTTGTCAGCTAAATGTGAAGACTGAATTGTCTTCCATTCCGGATCAAGCATATGTGCAACTAATTAATTCTTAGATTCACAGGATGAATTCTCCTAGAGATTCAGACATCAACTTAGACTGGGCCTACACATGTGGATTGCCATTGCCATTAGAAAACGCTGAAACAGGAAAAAGTGTCTCACCTGCAAGACCCTGACCCATGCTAAATATACTGCCTAGGACCAGATCCTCCCAGGAAAGAGCCCAGGGCATTCTTGACATACAGATTATGTTGGGTCCATCATTTCCTCCATGTGTTCCTCTTTACCTGACCTTGCCAGATGTCATTCCATGAGAAATATGGAAAACTGTAGAGCTGAGGCCTCTTTTTGCATCTTGCTTATACAGTTACGGTAAACTAATAAAGGTTTAATTGCTACATTTGATTTGATTCATTATTCTAATTGACCACTTTGATATCTTGTTGCTCTGCAGTTCCCTGAAAAGATGCTAATAATAATTTTCAGCAGAAATCTAGTCCCTGTTAAAAATGCAATATGACTTCTAAAAATGAAGTCTTGAGACAGTTTGAATCCACATAGCCCATGCCACCCAGAAATAACGTACATGTAAGACCTGAAACTATAAACTAGTAGAAGAAAACATTGGAAAAATGCTTCAGAACATTAATCTGAAAAAGGTTTTTTGAATAAGACCTCAAAAACATAGACAACACAAGCAAAAATAGACAAATGGAATTATATCAAGCTAAAACGCTTCTACACAGCAAAGGAAGAAATCAACAACATAAAGAGACAACTTACTGAATGGGAGAAAAATATTCATCTGACAAAGGATTAATAACCAGGATTTATAAGGAATCGAAACAACAATAGCCAAAAAAAAAAAAAAAACCAGCACAGTAATCTGATTTGAAAATTACAAGTGAACTGAATGGATATTTCTTAAAAGAAGAAGTATTAATGGCTGACAGGTATACGAAAGTGCTCAAAATCACTAATTATCAGGAAAATCCAAGTCAAATTTACAATGAAATATCATCTCATCCCAGGTTAAATGGCTATTATCAAAAAGACAGAAAATAACAGAAGCTGTGAAGAATTCAGAGAAAGGTGAATGATAGTACACTGTTGGTAGGAATGTAAATTAATACAGCTATCTTGGAAAACAATATGGTAGTTTCTCCAAAAAAAAAAACAAAACTAAAAGTAAAACTATCATGTAATCCAGCAATCTCACTTCTGGGTATGTATTTCAAAAAAAAGAAAAATAATATATCGAAGAGGTATCTGCAATTCCATGTTTATTGCAGCACTACTTATAATAGCTAAAGTATAGAATCAACCTAAGTGTCCATCAGCAGATCAATAAATGTTTTAAAAGTATATATATACACTATACAGATATATATATTATATAGAGAAATACAGAGATATAGATATATTTATCTATATATAAATATAGATATCTCTCTATATATCTATATCTATATATCTATATATTATATATATACAGAATATTATTCAGCCATAAAAAGAATAAAATCCTGTCATTTGCTGAAACATGGATGTAACTGGAGAACATCATGTTAAGTAAAATAAGCCAAGCACAGAAAGACAAGTATGCCATCCTCTCACTTACATGTGGGAGTTAAAAAAAGTGTATCTCATGGAGGTAGTAAGTAAAATGGTGGTTACTAGAGGCTGAATGGGGACAAAGAGAAGTTGGTTAGTGAGTACAAAAATATAGTCGGATGGAAAAAATAATTTTGAATTTTGGATAGCATAGTAAGGAAACTATAAGTACAAAGAATTTATTATATATCTTTAAAAATGTAGATGAGAAAATCTGAAATATTCCCAACAAAAAGAAATGATAAATATTTGAGATAAAAAATATCCAAATTACCCTGATTTGATCTTTACACATTGTATGCATGTATCAAAATATCACACGTACCCCCATAAATATCTGCAAAAGTTATGTATCGATAAAAATTAAAAAAAAGAAAGAGTTCTAGTTGGGATGATGAAAATGTAAGTTTGAGAATACCTTAGAGATTTTTCAAGTCACACGATATGCTGCCCTAGTCCTGCATTTAGCATATCCTTAAATGGAAGAATCAAGGGACTTCAGCTGAATATTAAAAAAAAAAATCAACAAACAATAAAAAATACTTTTTATATGCCAGATCTTATCTATTTCCTGTAATATATATCAGTTTCCTTTGATTTACAATATGCTTGGTCTCAAGAGACAGTAATTATTTAGTAACAGAGAAACAAAGCATTTGGGGGTAAACAGAGAAGGGGTAAATTAGTTTTGTTTTGGGCAGAATGAGGTGGCTTCAGTGGAGAATGTAGCATTTGAAGGATAAAGATGGGTTTTTGGAGGTGGAAATACAAGTGAGAGTAACACTGTGGCAGGGAATAACAGGAGGGTTATGGGTATTAGAAATACAGTTTGTATCAATGTAGAGGTTTGGTGTTGCTGAAACTTTAAGTACTTGAATAGAATTGATAGATGATACATCTAGAAAAGTAGACTGCGTTGTTTGTAAAATGTTCAAAATGTTACTTCAGTATGTTAGGGCTTTTTAATAAAGACAGTGTAGAAAAACTAGTACTTTTTGAGGAATACATGGTCTTCAAAAATAGTTATGTTCAGCAGATTAATCTTATGGGGTTGGACTAAAGTAAGGAAACAATTCAGATTAATTTCAAAGAGAATAAAATACCTAGGAATCTAACTTACAAGGGATGTGAAGGACCTCTTTGAGGAGAATTACAAACCACTGCTCAACAAAATAAAAGAGGACACAAACAAATGGAAGAACATTCTATGCTCATGGATAGGAAGTACAATATTGTGAAAACGGCCATACTGCCCAAGGTAATTTATAGATTCACTGTCATCCCCATCAAGCTACCAATGACTTTATTCACAGAATTGGAAAAAACTACTTCAAAGTTCATATGGAACCAAAAAAGCCCGCATTGCCAAGACAATCCTAAGCCAAAAGAACAAAGTTGGAGGCATCACGCTACCTGACTTCAAACTATACTACAAGGCTACAGTAACAAAAACAGAAAGGTACTTGTACCAAAACAGAGATATAGACCAACAGAACATAATACAGCACTTGGAAATAATATCACACCCATCTGATTTTTGACAAACCTGACAAAAACAAGAAATGGGGAAAGGATTCCCTATTTAATAAATTGTGCTGGGAAAATTGGCTAGTCATATGTAGAAAGCTGAAACTGGATCCCTTCCTTACACCTTATACAAAAATTAATTCAAGATGGATTAAAGACTTAACTGTTAGAACTAAAACCATAAACACCCTAGAAGAAAACCTAGGCAATACCATTCAGGACATAGGCATGGGCAAGGACTTCATGACTAAAACACCAAAAGCAATGGCAACGAAAGCCAAAGTTGACAAATGGGACCTAATTAAACTAAAGAGCTTCTGCACAGCAAAGGAAACTACCATCAGAGTGAACAGGCAACCTAGAGAATGGGAGAACATTTTTGGAATCTACTCATCTGACAAAGGGCTAATATCCAGAATCTATAAAGAACTTAAACAAATTTACAAGAAAAAATCAAGCAAACCCATCAACAAGTGGGCAAAGGATATGAACAGACACTTCTCAAAAGAAGACATTTATGCAGCCAACAGACACATGAAAAAATGCTCATCATCACTGGCCATCAGAGAAATGCAAATCAAAACCACAATGAGATACCATCTCACACCAGTTAGAATGGCAATCATTAAAAAGTCAGGAAACAACTGGTGCTGGAGAAGATGTGGAGAAATAGGGATGCTTTTACACAGTTGGTGGGACTGTAAACTAGTTCAACCATTGTGGAAGACAGTGTGGCAATTCCTCAACGAACTAGAACTAGAAATACCGTTTGACCTAGCCATCCTATTACTGGGCATATACCCAGAGGATTATAAATCATGCTGCTATAAAGACACATGCACATGTATGTTTATTGTGGTACTATTCACAATAGCAAAGACTTGGAACCACGCCAAATGTCCAACAATGATAGACTGGATTAAGAAAATGTGGCACATATACACAATGGAATACTATGCAGCCATAAAAAAAGATGAGTTCATGTCCTTTGTAGGGACATAGAATAAGCTGGAAACCATCATTCTGAGCTATCTATCGCCAAGAACAGAAAACCTAACACCACATGTTCTCACTCATAGGTGGGAATTGAACAATGAGAACACTTGGACAGAGGGTGGGGAACATGACACACCAGGGCCTGTCGTGGGGTGGAGGGAGGGAAGAGGGATAGCATTAGGAGGTATACCTAATGTTAAATGACCAATTAATGGGTGCAGCACACCAACATGGCACATGTATACATATGTAACAAACATGTACTTTGTGCACATGTACCCTAGAAGTTAAAGTATACTAAAAAAAAAAGAAAATCAGAATCACAAAACCACCCATATCTACAGAATCAATATCTGCATTTTAACAAGATCCCTAGTTTATTAATTTGCACAGTAAAGTTTGAAAAGTACTGCTCAAGAAACCTCATGAGAATTCATATATTTATCTGTTTCTTTGAAGGCCGGCATAAAGAAGGTGCTCAATAAGTATTGATTAAATAAATGAATAAATGAATTTTACCCTTAAAAAAGTCTTTTACACTTTCCTTTAACTGGTTAAGACTGCTTGGACTAGGTCAGAATAGTATAAGTCAAAAGTGTATTCTGCACTACATTTTTTGTAATTTGAAGAAATTTCTTAACATGAAGGATGGACTGTGAGGATAAGAAATTATGACAGGAAATGAGGTAAGTGTATCCAAAAAATGGATTGATCTTGAGTACTGTTGATTTTGATGTGGGACATGTTCTCAGATGGCAAAATGAGAGCAAAATTCTAAAGTACAGCATTTCAAATCAGCCTCATATCCTTTCACAGTCATTCCCATATTATTCCTCTGTAAAAAGTTTAAATTTCAAAACTTATAAGCACTTGAGCTGAGAAAGTTATAAAAATATATGTTCAAAAAATAAATTCATGTCGAAAACTCTAAGCTCAAAACAGCTAACCTGCAGAAGCAAATTTTGATCTGTGCTTCAGGAGGCATTTATTGTTTTACATGTTCAAAGCTGAACCTAATTATCTTATAAATAACCATGCAAGCAATCATCAACTTAGGCCAACATTAGAGTGTTTGAAACTGATCAAACTGAAGTGAAAAAACATACTCATTGGCTTATTTTGCAAAGGTTAAAACTTTCCATTTTTATTTCAATTAGTGAGTTTTCAGTGTTTGTAAAATGTGTTACATCTATCAGTGCTGTTAATTTCGGCATGCTGATGATTTGCATTTAATTTTTATGAAGACTTTGCAAGTTGTGATGTGGATCAGACTAAGTATTATATACTTATTGTTGACTCTTAGCAATATGAATAAATTGTCTTGTCTCAGAGGTAGGGTCTCCATTTGGGCTGAAAAATAGTCCTATTTGACACTAACACACTGTTACACTAGGGCTTTTTAAAATATTTTACTACAACTAATAAGAAGTGCTATCCTTCACAATTATTGACATATTTATAAAAATTTATGTAGTGGGGAAAAATAGCTGAAGAATGAATTACTAATGCCAAAAATTTTCAGATGTTATTTGAAACATTTATAATTACATTTTGCTTGGTGTTCATATCATCTAGAATAACAAAATTGCTTTGAAAAGGAATAAAACACAATAAAGAACAAAAATGTAGGTTTGCACAAAACATTAAAGAAAATGAAAAGATAAAAGTAGAACTAACAAAGAATGGCAAACTATTTTTTTCTAAGTAATAGATGAAAGAGAATCACTGAGAGAGAATTCAATTTTTTGAGAACAGAAATGGCAACCTATCTGTACTAGGTCAGGATGTTGTAAATTGAAAGTGTAGTCTGCACTACATCTTTTATAGTTTGGAGAGATTCCTTACACAACTGGGTCTTCAGTTTCCTCCTATCTAAGATGAAAAATAAAACCTGTGCCATGAAACTCTGATTTATTTTGTCCTATAGGAGTGAAAAGAGGAAACATGTAAAATCAGTATATAAAATTTCAATAAAGTTTTACACTGTTAATTTCAACAACAGAGCTGTGGGAAAATATGGCAAAATAATCTTATAGATCACTTGATTTGTACTCAGCTTCCTTCAAATTGCTCATGATCTTAACATTTTGACAACATTGAAAAGCATAACTTAAGAGGGGAAATTGTAATTATCATTTATTCCATGTCTGTTATTACACAACATAGAAAATTATGCTCAAATGTATGCAATGGTTGCCCACAGTTGCACAACTAATTGGTATGAAAACTTTAATGGTTGATGTTATGTGTCAATTTGACTATGTCTTTGGCAGCACAGATATTTGGTTAAATATTCTGAGTGTTTCTGTGAGGGTGTTTTTGTATAAGTTTAATGTTTAAACTGGTAGAATGGGTAAAGCAGATGGCCCTCCCTAACATAGTTGAGCCTTACCAAGTAGTCAAAGGCCTAGAATAAAAAAAAAGGAAGTAAGGGGAATTTCTTCTACCCATGGCCTGCAAACTAGGACATACAAATTTTTTCTGCCTTTGGATTCACACAGAAATATTGGTTCTTCCTGAGTTTCCAGCCTTCAAATTGGAACTATATCATTGGCTCTCCTTATTATCTCACCTTGCAGATTTTGGGACTTGTCAGTTTCCTTAATTGCATAAATCAATTTTTATAATAAGTATCTCTTTCTTTTTCTTCTCTCTCTCCACGCACACACATACACACACATCAATATATATACACAAACATACATACATGTATACATATAGTTAAGCTGAAAAGGTAAACTTATATACACTACAAAAAACTTCCCTCCTTTATTCCATGCTCTGGGACGTCTCTATGTGTCTTAACTTATTAAAGATTAAAGGCTCTGAAAAATCTGTAAGAATTAAGTCTTTTCGATGAAATTTAAACAAAAATTTTACAAGTCAACTTAACCATTGAATCACTTATTTCTAGAATATTATCACCTTTTAGTAGTGTATAAATTAATGTTTTCCTTAACAATAGGAACATGCTCTGAGAAATGTGTCCTCAGGCAATATCATCATTGTGTATACATCATACAGTGTGCTTACACAAACCTAGGTGATATAGCCTACTGTATACCTAGGCTCTAATGTGTAGGCTGTTGCTCCTAGGTTACAAACTTATACAACTTGTTACTGTACTAAATACTGTAGGCATTTGCAATACATATCGGTAAGTATTTGTGTGTCTAATCACAGAAATAGTAGAGTTAAAAACAGTATAAAAATATGAAACAGTATATCTGTATAAGGTAGCTGCATTATAATCCTATGGGATCACCATTGTAGATGTGGCCCTTAATTTAACAAAATGTCATTATGCTGTGCATGACTGTACTATAAATCATACTACTCCATGTGTGTTTTGAGAGACTGCAGCAAACCCATCACCTGGAAGCTAGTTAGAAATGTATGTCTTAGGTTCCATTGCAGGTCTACTCTATCAGAATCTTCATTTTAATAAGATCTCCAGTTGAGAAACATGGCTGATTCACTACATGTCTTCTTAAATACTAACTACTGTTTGTGTTAGCCTTGTTTTCCTTTGCTAAGCACCACCTATTGGGCTAGATGACTTCTGTAGCTTTTAATCTGCCCCCAAGACCGTAGTCTCTGTATTCTCTTACTTTAGGACGTATAAATGCAAAGAAGGAATTTATACTCAGAATTTAAACTATTTTGTACTCCTCGAGGAAAAAGGAGATGTAGCTTCTGTACTTTTTCAACATACACAATCTCTAAACACATCTAAATACTTCTGTCACTTCAAGCACTGAAATTTTTGTAATCAAATGGCTTGAATATAAAATCTTATTTCTGTAGTTCTTACCTTATCTTCATGGAGTAACAATGTAAAAAGTAGTGTTTTTATTTACTTCATTTATTTAGTGAAGGTGGTAGAGAAGATATTTCACTTTGGGATATAGCATGGCAGAGATGTTCATGCCCAGTGCCTGCTGGGAGCTGCTGCATCTCTACCTTGAGTGGTTGAATAGGGTCTTTTCAGCAATATTTGCATGGTATAATTTGAGAACTTCTCATGGCTGCACCTTGACCTCCCGGAAATACGGTATACTATTTTATATACTCTTTAAATGTCTCTTGCTGTTTAGTGATACATTTTGACTGTGTCCCCACCCAAATCTCATCTTGAATTGTACCTCCCATAATCCCCATGTGTCATTAGAGGGACCTGGTGGGAGGTAATTGAATCATGAGGTAAATTTTTCCGATGCTGTTCTTTTGACAGAGAATGAGTCTCACGAGATCTGATAGTTTTATAAAGGGCAGTTCGCCTGCACACGCTCTTGCTTGCTGCCATGTAACATGTGCCTTTGCTCCCCCTCTGCCTTCCACCATGATTGTGAAGCCTCCCCAGCCATATGGAACTGTGAGTCAATTAAACCTCTTTTTATTGATAAAATTCCCAGTCTCGTGTATTTCTTCATAGTAATGTGAAAATAGAATGATACAATTAGTTAGTGTGGGATCTTTTTGTTTGCCAATGCAACACATATTTTTCCTAAATATTTTGAAAGTCAGTTAAAATTTTTCTTTAAGTGACGTATATAAGAGTTTCTATACATTAAAAGTTGGATGAGAACAGTGTTAGGCAAACAATAGAAGACATACAGGTAATTATGAATTAATCGATATTATTACTAGATTACGGAAATATTTTATTTTGAGCTGTATCAGCAAAACAGTGGAGAAGAAAGCCCTAAACTTACTTTCTCCCATAAATACACTGATGCAACAACAAATTATGAACAAATACCCTTTGTGAGAAATCCAGAAAAGGATTGAAAGGAAAAAACCTGCACCCCAGGAAAACACAAAACCAGACTTATTAAAGCCAGTAGAATGACTCAGGACAACTTCTATCCAGAATCCCTGCCATTGACATAGTACCATATAATTGAGAAGAGACTTTTAAGCTCCCAGGTTCCTAAGGGATGGAAACAGTTGACCCATGTGTCCAGAACCTCAACTCTTCTGCATGAGCTCCCCAGACTACTGGCTTCTGACTTGTCAGTCTTAGAACAACAACTTGATCAGCACAATAAAATTGCCTTGGAGAGAACAAAGACAATGTCTTGGGTTGGTAGTCACCATAGCTACTTCTGACTACTCAGCAGAGGAAATATTTCAGCAACCATCTTCTCCCTTGAAAGAGAAAGAGAGTTTCTGCATTTACAAGCCCTCAGCTTTTCTGAGGACCACCCAAAGAACTAGTTGCTGCACTGCTTGTCTCAAAGTGCTGATGACACTTGGAATAATCTAATCATTTGGAGGCTAATGAGAACAGGAACACAGATTTTAGCTTACAATTGACAGACCCTCTGCCCAGATCAATACAGAGTATGCAGATTTAAGGAAAAAAAAATAAACAGGAAAAACTAGCTCCCAGCTTCTCTCTAAAGAGTAAAAGTGATGAATGGAACATCCATTGGCCCAACTTTTGTAGCAGCCACAGAACTAGCTTCAGTATTACTTTCACTAGTGCAGTGAAAGGTTTGGCATACTTTAGATATCTAGGTGAGGTGCAAAAAGACAAAGTACATTGGACTAGGATGAAGGGTTGAGAGGCCTATAAAGTATCTGGCCAAGCTGATTGATCTTTTCCTTTAGAAAACCAGTCTCCAAAGATTGGGAGAGGAGGATGTTTTAGCTAATATTCAAACATCAGCACAGAGAGTAAAGGAAGAAGAAGAAATAGGCAAATATGCTCCAAACAAACGAATAAGATAAAGGTTCAGAAACTTAATGAAATGGATACAATTTATTTATTTGAAAATGATTCAAAATAAACATCATGAAGATGCTCACTAAGGTCTGGGAAACTATATATAAACAGAGTCTGAATTTAATGAAGGAGATAAAAAGTAGTATAAAAGTACCAAAAGAAATGCAACTGAAGATCAAAATAATTCAACTGAAAATTCACTAGAAATGTTCAACAACAAACTAGATCAAGTAGAAAAAAAATCGGTAACTCAAAGATATGTCACTAAAAATAATAAGAGGAGCAAAAATAGAGTGAAAAAAAGCTTAAAAGAATTAAAGAACATCATAAAGTAGATCAATCTATGCATAATGGAATTTATAGTAGGAGATAAGAGAAAGGACTAGAAAACATATACAAGGAAATAATAAACAAACATTTTCCAAATCTGGTGGAGGAAATGGAAATCCAGATGTTAGAAGCCTGAAGGGCACAAAATAAAATAAGCCTAAAGGAATCCCCACTGAGACACATTATAATCAAATTGTCAAAAATCAAAGAAAGAGAGATAATTTTGAAAGCCATAACAGAAAAACAACTTGCCACATATGAGAAAAGTCTTATTAGATTATTAGTGAATTTATAAAAGAAACCTTACAGGCCACAGGGAGTATATTCAAGATACTGAAAACATATTTTTTTAAAACTGCCAACCAACTTACCAATTATAATATACATAGCAAAACTGTTCTTCAAAAATGAAGACATAAAATCTCTTAAAAAATAAAGAATGATTTAAAAGTAATTTTATAAGGCCAGCATTTCCTTGATACTAAAGCCAGGCAAAAATATTCCAAGAAAATAATACTGTGGTTCAATACTCCTCATTAGTGTAGATGCAAAAATCTTCAGCAAAATACTAGCAAATTGAATCGAACAGCAGATTTTAAGGATTATGTACAATTACCAAGTGTGATTAAATCCTTGGGCACAAAGGTGGTTCAACTTCTAAAAATCAATCAATGAATGCATTACACTAGCAGAAAGAAAGTTAAAACTTGTATTATTATCTTAATAGATCAGAAGAAGCATTTGACAAAATTTAACACCATTTCATGATAAAAAAACTCTTAACAAGCTACGTATAGAAGGAAACTACTTTAAAAGAAGAACCATATATAAAAATCTCAAAGCTAACATCATAGTCTACGGTGAAAACCTGAATGCTTGTCTTCCAATATTAGAAGTAAAGCAAAGATTCTCACTCTTTAACCTAATTTACGTAATGTTTAAATGTCACTTGTGAAACATATGACTTAACTATTTAAATTACAAGCACTATCTTCATCATACTCTCTCCTATATTGCTGACTTATTTACTTTATAGTATCTATCACTCTGAAGTATTACAGTTATTTATGTGTTCTCTTTTTTATTTCTTACCTTCCTCATCAAAATCTAAGCTCTGTGAAATCAAGAAATTTTTCATGTTGACTTCTGTATCTCCGACAGCTAAACCTGGCAATTAGTGTTATTGTTTTCTTGATAGGCATTTGAACACTTTAAGACTTTTCTCAGTTATGCATTTCTTTGGTCAAAGCATTAAATCTTCTCTGAACCTAGATTCTTCTCTATGAAATTGAGAAAAACTGTCTTCTTTTGATATCTATGTTGATACACTGACAGGGAATGAATAATAAACGTTTCACTTTATGTTTCTCAGCTATCTCAATGCCACTCATAAATACGCTGCCTTTTAATTAAACATTCAAAGATGTAGACTATTTATCCAATTTACTTCTCTTAGTAAGCAGGATGATTTTCACCATGGGTACCCAGGTATTAGGTGCTGGTGCTCCTTAGGGCAAGTGCTACTGTTATAAAATTTTTAATCACTGTTAAAATTGAGAGTGAACATTGTTGAAAATAGAGTTATTCTGTTCTCCCCAGTAAAACTCAAATCTGTAAATTTATAAATTTATAAATTTATAAATCTGAATTAAAAAAATTTGTTAGGAAATAACATTTTATGATTCACAGAGAACAGTTAATATTCTATTGTTTTGGGTATTTGGTGATTAAAAAAATTAGCAATGAGAATCAAGGCTAAAACAACTGCATACTTAATCACCTGCTGAGACAAATTACAACCTTATCTTAGATAACAATAATAATGATTGCATTAGTATAGCCAAGTAAATAGAATTGATTAGAATATGCTGTAAAGTCAAACTTATTTTGTGATATATGCAATTTGTAATCAGTGAAAACTGAAATGATATTTGATTATAGTTAAGAAAGGAGTTAGATATTTTGAAAATGGCAAGAAACACTTTTAAGTTTATAAATCAGAGCTTGAATCCTGGTAGCCTCATTTTCTAACCATGATAGTGGTTAGGAGGGACACTGAAGGTTATCTGAGATAATATTGCAAGAGAGTTGAGCATAAATTTTGACACAATAAATAGTAAAGTATAATGCCTTTTACAAAGACAAATGTTATTTTTAGATTATTTGACATTGGTGATGATTAATCTTCCCAGAATCTGCATGTAAAATATTGTTTAAAATAACGGCAGTAGAAATTTTCCCTTTCTAGTTTTCTTACTAGAAATGTTTTATGGTAACCTTATTATCAGGAAAACACAAACACATAGAAAAAAAAGACAAATACAAAGATAGCCTTTTGTATATGTCATAAATGCTTGGCTTCAGAGTAATTGCTTTAAGATAGGCTTATTGTTCCTGTGAGTAAAAACCTAAGCTATTACACATGGTCCTAAGGAAAATCATGATATTTGCTATGATGGTTAATTATGTGTGTCAAGTTGACTGGGCCAAACTGTACCCAGATAATTGGCCAAACATTACTCTGGGTGTTTTCATGAGGGTGTTTTTGATGAGAATAATATTGAAATCTGTAGACTGAGCAAAGTAGATTGACCTCTGTGTTAGGCTGTTCTTGCAGTGCTATAACGAAATACCTAAGATTAAGTAATTTGTAATTCGTAAAGAAAAGAGATTTAATTGGCTCATGGTTCTGCAGGCTGTACAGGAAGCATGGCATTATCATCTGCTTGGCTTCTGCTGAGGGCCTCAGGAGGCTTACAATCACAGCAAAATATTAAGGGGATGCAGGCATCTCACATGGCAAGAGCAGGAGCAAGAGATAGGGGAGGTGCCACACTTTACAATAACCTGATCTTATGAGAACTCACTCACTATCATTAGGACAGCACCAATCCATGAGGAATCCACCTTCATGACCCAAATAACTCCCACCAGGCCCCATCTCCAACATTGGGGATTGCATTTTAACATGAGAGTTGGATGAGGACAAATATCCAAACTATATAATCCTCTCTAATGTGGATGGGCCTTATCTGATCAGTTGAAGGTCTGAATAGAACATAAGGGTTGACCCTACCCTGAATAAGAAAATTCTTCCTGTTTGATGGTATTTGGCTGGGACATTGGCATTTTCCCACCATCGAATGCAAACTGAAGCAATGACTCTTCCTGGGTCTTGTGCCTCCAAGATCTTTCAACTGAAACAGCACCAACAGCTCTCATAGTTCTTAGGTCTTTGTATGCAAACTGGAGCTAAATTACCAGCTCTGCTTGGTCTCCAGCTTGCTGACTAACACTGCAGATTTTGGGACTTGCCAACCTCCACAATCATGTGAACCAATTCCTTATAATCAGTCGTTTTTAATATATCTGTATGTATGGTAAATACATTTGCCAACTTAGAAAATGAAATAATTGACACTTTGGCTTTCTAAGACTTGAGATCATCTTCATTGTTTTGCAATTAATAATAGTTGTAATAAGCCTACTGAAGATGTCTATCATGTATGTCTAATGTGCAAGTTTACATACATGATTTCCTTCAATTTCCATGATAATTTTATTAGAAGGTTGTTAACTACCTGCGTGGTAAAAATTAGGGGGCTGTTCAATAACCAGTGTTAGGGTATTGTGTCAATAAGAAGGTGGATCCATATTTAGGCTGTCTTATTTGAGAAAAAAAAAGTTTTTAGTATGCTATGCTTTTTTTCATGCTTTCTTGATTCTTAATAGTAATTTAGATGCAATCACAACTAATTAATCCATTTGTCTTTGGAATGAGGCCTTGTCAATTCTCTTTGCATGGTTCTGTGCACTTCTAGGAACACAGGTATTTCTCTCTAACCACATAGATCCAAGCAAGGAATTGACCATTCATTGCCTTCAGAAATACAAATATAATTGATTTGTCCTGTTCTATTACTCTTCTTTTTTTTTTTTTTTTTTTTTTTTTTTTTTTTTTTTTTTGAGATGGAGTCTTGCTTTCGGCTCACTGGAACCTCCTCTGCCTCCCGAGTTCAAGCGATTCTCCTGCCTCAGCCTCCCGAGTAGCTGGGATTACAGGCACATGCCACCACACCCAGCTAATTTTTTGTATTTTTAGTAGAGACGGGGTTTCACCATGTTAGCTAGGATGGCCTCCATCTCCTGACCTCGTGATCTGCCTTCTTCTGCCTCCCAAAGTGCTAGGTTTATAGGCCTGAGCCACTGTGTTCTGCCCACTCTTTATTTTTTAATCTGAAACTTCTCCCCTATATGACATAATATTCTTTGCCATAAAAATTTATTCAGTTGAGATCTATTTTCTATATTTTTTGTATTTTATGTCATGTGTTCTCATATTGAGTGCCACACAACAATTTTGATTTTAATACCATCAAAGAAAGTTAAGTCATGATTCTTTAAGATTTCTTCAATTATTCCTTGTCAAGTCAGGATGATAAGTCACTGTCAATGCTTTCAGTTGTAAAAATCAAGAGTATTATACTTTAGTTCAAGCAAAATTGAATTTTTTTCTGCCCTTTGTTTTATAAATGCCATTTTCAATTTAAAAAATACCCTGCAGCAAACATAAATCAGTGTTTACCCCTTTTGAATAATTTTCTTTCTGTTTTAATTTTTATTTCACCATTTTATTTACATTGAAAAAACAACCCTCTCTGAGACGCTATTTTGCCATAGAATACCCTTATCATGAAATGAAATAATCATCTATGATGTTTACAGTTTTAAAAGCAGTTTTACAAAATTTTTACTTACAATTCTTTCATACTCATTTATACATTCAGTAAACATTTATTGGGAACATAAGAAGTCTTTCCTTAAGTATCTCAAGCTAGTAGGAAAGACAAAGAGGTGAAAAGGGTAATTAAGAATCTAGTGTGATGAGTGCTATTAACCCTGAGACTGTAGTGGCCCATATGTGTGGTTTCTTACCCAGTTAAGAGTGGGACAAATGTAAGAAAATTCATGGGAGATATTACATCTGAATTGAAACTTGAAATGTGCCCATGCAGTACCTAAAGACAGATTCAGGGATAAATCCATTGGTAAAGTCATGGCGACAAGAAGATATTCAGACTAGAAGGGTAGTTAAAAATACAGCTTCTAGAGCTGGAAAGCACAGGTACATAAGTATTCAGTGGCTTCTTAGGAGTTGTACAACCTTGCCCCAGTTATTTACCTCTCTATAATGCAGTCCTCTCATCTATAAAATGGACACAATAATAGTATCCACTCCCGAGGATTTCTATAAGTATTTAATGTATCAGTATATGGAAAATAGAAATGGCCTGACACATAGTAAGCGCTCAGTAATGGTCATTATTATGTCTGGAGTAAGAGGACGTGTACAGTAGTTGAAAACATGAGACACCAAACAGTACAGATGTTGTCCCCTTTGCACACATAAAGTTGAGACTTAAAAAGTGATTTCTAATATTAGACAAACATTTTCTTTTTAAATTATTTATTATTAATTTCAGTTAAATTTTGGATTTATATTTTGTTCAAATGTAACAAAATAAACTTATTTTGAAACATAATTTTCTAATAGATAACTACTAGCCAAGTAGTACTATCATTGCAAAGAGTCACTTATAAATGGAATGCATGTCATCTTTCTAAAACTGTTTGGCAATGAAATCCAGAGCTGTTCAAATTTGGCTCAGCTCACTCACTCTAGCAGTTATAGGCTCCTTTACATAGTTTTGAGCATTATTAAAAATGTTATGCTAGCTTAACACTCCAGAAATCCTACCACTTACATATGAGAATTTCCAAGTAAAAGTCTTCATAGACAGGACTCAACTTCATAATAAACACACTTCCATTTAAAAATGAATGCTTCCTTCCACGTGGGATTCCAATACAACCTAGAAATGCTCCCCTTTGTTTTAGGTTTGTCACTAGTAGAAGATCACTTTTAATTAGAATAGTTATCATTTTATGCTTTACAAATTTATCTAATCTTGCTCTGTTTCCCATACATAACATAATTTAATTTGGTGATAAATTTTTTAATCTCAAAATACTTGAAATCAAATTGAATACATTTAAATATTGGAGCATCAGTTTCTTAAATCAACGTAAATCTGTGGAAAAAGATATTAATGCTAGGTTTTCAAGAATGTCTCAAAATTACTAGACTGGTACTAGCCATAATGAAGACTATGAATTAAAAATACAATTAGTTATTGTTCTTCAGTATAATGTAGAGGGTTTTCAAGTCTTCCTCTTTTGTGGTAGCTCTAAAATTTTTCATTCTATAGTTCAGAGAGAAATGAATGAATGTAGTTCAGAGAGAAATGAATAAATGTGAATATTCAATGTTGAAATACCTAACAAACTAATCTATCAGCAAAGTTGCACAAGAGGGAAATCACATGTGGGCACAAGGCAGCTATCCCAATTAGTCTCTACAAATGCACTGTTATGTCAGTCCCATCTAAGATGACTCTATCTCAGAGTGCATCAGCGCATGCTGGAAATGCTTGGGACTGAATCGCTCAGTTACAACTGCATTTATATTACTATTTGTTTAATTATTTATGTAATGTCCATGTATTTTAACTAGACATGTCCATGTATTTAATACATGTCCATGTATTTAACCTCATGGAGTTAGCATGAGGTTAGCAGTCAGATTTATCTACTCATCTTCAGTGTTTAATAGGTGCCTGACTCATAATAGGATTACAATAAGCATTTTTGTGAGGACAAATAGATGAATGGATGAATGACTTCATTCAGCCACTCTTCAACAGTTCTCAATCCCCTCTTCTTCAAGGTATAAGAACATATTCATCGCCTGAGTTTTTTTGCTCAGTTTCCCTTATGTCTTTCAAAGCACCCTGCAAAATCAACTATCTACAAATTCTACCATTTGCTTCCATTTACCTCAACTTTTCTTTTTGTTCTCTGTGCATCTTTTCTTACTATTCTTGCTAAAGATTCCTAAATTATATGAGAGACAGGTAAAATAACTGGAACATAAGGTATTCCAGAATGTATTATAAAGATAAATATTTCAGAAGGGTTTTCTGTTTTTTCACAAGATTAGTATGCTATGGTTTGGAAAATTTCCTGACAGTTGTAGATGAAGGCTGCAGCCCAAGAGATGGGCTTTGGATCATAATAATCCTTATCTACCATTGAAAATTCATTCATTAAGTTTGGATCCTTTAATACTGTTGTAAGTACAAAGTGTATACATCACCTCACCTTGAAAGGCAAACCAAATGAATTGCTAGGCATTGTGGTGAACCCACATGAATTCTTCATTGTTCATTGAAAACAAAGGGCACAGATGTTTTAAGTGCACGCACAGAATGGGATTTTAGAGCATAAAAATGAAAGAGACAGAGTCATTATTCAAAAACACTATTGTCCCAGGTAATACCAAAGCTAAAGAGTGCCTCTGAAAAACACGAGTAGTTGGCTGGGGTAGGTAATGGTCACTGTTTCTCTCTCAGGTTTTTTCTTTTATGCTAGAAGCTGAAACATCTAGCCCTGTCAAAGATGTCATCAATCCTTCTATGAATAAATTCATACTCTTTAGAGGGAAATGAATACAATTCATTTATATATATATATTCATGTATATGTATTCATATATATTCATATATACATTCACATATATATTCATATATACATTCACATATATATTCATATATATACATATATATTCACACATATATTCATATATATTCACATATATATTTTTATATATTCACATATATATTTTTATATATATTCACATATATATATTCACATATATATTTTTATATATATTCACATATATATATTCACATATATATTTTTATATATATTCACATATATATATTCACATATATATATATTCACATATATATTCACATATATATATTCACATATATATTCACATATATATTCATAAATATATTCACATATATATTTCTATATATTCACATATATATTTATATATATATTCACATATATATTTATATATATTCACATATATATTTATATATATATTCACATATATATTTATATATATATTCACATATATATTTATATATATTCACATATATATTTTTATATATATTCACATATATATTTTTATATATATTCACATATATATTTTTATATATTCACATATATATTTTTATATATTCACATATATATTTTTATATATTCACATATATATTTTTATATATTCACATATATATTTATATATATATTCACATATATATATATGAAGCACCTAAATATATTTAAAATAGGCAATTTCTGTGCTTGAAAATGAGAAAAAATATGCCAAAACTTACAAGACATAAAGTTGCCTTTTGTTGTCACTCTACATTAAGATCATGCTTAGTCTTAGGATTTATGTAGCTACTTATGTCAGAAGACAGTTTATTATTTTTCTTTGAATGATTTCATGCAAGTTCTGCCACAATATTAGAATTTTTTTTTCAACACAAGGCTTCTGTGGCTAATGCTAGACAACCGCCGAATATTTTTTCTTCTTTTCCTGAACTAGACAGGGCGATCCATCCTCAATGAAGGAGCATACTTGGGTTGGAAGTTAATGGGTTTTGGTTTTCTGAGATATTTATCTGGGCAATTGCTTTCATTTTATTATTAGTGTAAACAAATTATGGGAGTATTGGATGGCATGTTTGTTGTTACCTCTACACTTTCAGAAGCTTTTTCTTAGTTCATTTCTTGGTATTAATTATATTACTATTTACAGACAAACCATTGCATCATTTGTTAAGCTGACATATTTTTCTAAATTCCTCTAGCAATATTTCCATCATTTTTGGGTATGATTTTACCCTGGGAATGGAAATGCAACTGGCTTGACAGAATGACCAATATTTTGGGCCATAACACACAGCCTAATGTGAACATTTCTTTTTACTTTTATACAGTGAGACACAGGGAAAGAGAAGGAAAGAAAGAAAGGGAAGAGGAGGGAAGGGGATGGGAGGGGAAGGGATGGAAGGGGAGGGAATAAGAAAGGAAGAAAGGGGAGGGGAGGGGAGGGGAGGGGAGGGGAGGGGAGGGGAGGGGAGGGGAGGGAAGGGAAGGGAAGGGAAGGGAAGGGAAGGGAAGGGAAGGGAAGGGAAGGGAAGGGAAATTTTTCTTTAGATCCTTTAAATTCTCCTGAGGCTTTTTTTGATAATATGAATGGCATTAGCTTGAGCAGTCCACTATTGTTTAAAATGTATTCTGTCCTAATTCCATTCCTTATGATTAACGACACTAAATACTGAAATAGAGATATTTAGAATCAAACCTTCAAACTAGTTCTTGGCTAATTTCTGAATGTAACGGCCAAGTAAAATTCATGAAGTAAAAGTCTTGATTGAGATGAGGGAGTTTGCTGTATGAGTATTCAAGAGCAGGCTTTACAGGCAGAGTAAAGCACCTGGAAGGATGCTGCTCATGCCTCATATGTTCAAAGAAAATCAAAGAATATTATACCACTGGAGGACAATAAAAGAAGAGAAAAATTTTGGAGTGATCAGCAATATAAAGTCTTATCGACCACTGAAATGGCATTGACAATGCATCTATTCCATTCTCTGAGCATTTAAAGTCCTTGTTGACGACATCTCTTAATTTAAGTGGTAGGCCTAATGATTTTCCTCCACCCATCCTATCTCAAAGGTGAGAAGAAGGACACATAGGTGACTCAATAATGATGCAGGTTTTAGGTGGTAAAAGTTATCTCCTACTTGTAGTTCATCGACTTGTCTCTCCTGTGGCTAATACACTGGGGTTACGTGGCTGAATTAGTCTGCCCTCATACTGCTACGAAGAAATACCTAAGACTGGGTAATTTGTGAAGAAAATAGGTTATTTGACTCACAGTTCCACATGGCTGAGGGGCCTTAGGACATTTACAATCATGCCAGAAGGCACTTCTTCAAGGGGCGGCAGGAGAGAGAATGAGTGCCAGCAGGGAAAATGTGAGATGCTTATAAAACTATCTAATTTCGTGAGAACTCACTCTCAGGAGAACAGCATGGGGGCAACCACCCCCAGGATTCATTTACCTCCACACAGTCCCACCCTTGACACATGGGGATTATTACAATCCCAAGTGATATTTGGGTGGGGACACAGAGCCAAACCATATCAGTGGCTGTACTTAAAAAGAATAATTTTTCAGTAGTAATTACATGTATTTTCATGATCAAAATGAAACAATTATTAGATTGTCTTGTGACATTTGCTCAGATGAAAGGAGTAATAAATAAATAGAAGTGAAAATAATGAGACAAAGGAAACTCAGAGCAAACCTTCAATTAGAGTGGGTGTTTCTTCATTTCAGGAACAGAGATCTTCCAACACATTAAGCGTCTGCCTTCCTAATTTTGACCCTAATGTCCTGTCTCTCAATTCAGTGGTCTTTCAGTGATTTATCACATAATGATTTCTTAAAATCAGTATGTGTTGGATGCTATCTTAGGCACTGGCACTATAAAAAATGAATCAGACATAATCTCAAAAAAAAACTCACGTTTACTCATGTGTAAGTGCACGTTGTAGCAACAGTGGGACAAGGACATTTTTAATCTTTTTCTGTAGCTGCTCTCATTCTATTTTCTGAATTTGATAAAGAAAAAGCATGTTGTTATTGTTTTGTTCCAAGATGGCAGATAAGAGGCTTTTAGCATACCTCAGCCACTTGGAAATAGCAAGATGGTGCACAAAGATCAACTCTGTGGGGTTTAATTCAAGAAGGAAAATAGGAGTCTACCAAAATTGTGAAGGATATTCCAGATTCCAGGGAGCAAAACATGAGCAAACAGTCCCTGTGACAGTATCTGGTTGATAAAAGTGAGTGAAGCCCCAGTACATAAGAGCACAAGGATTCTGCTCATAAAAATTTGAACGTAGTGGCACCACAAAAGGATTACACTAGCTCTCCAGCAAAGATCTCTAACAAAAATGGAAACTCAGAGATGACAGATAAGGGATTCAAAGCATGGATTGTAAGGAAGCTCCACAGGATCCAACACAAGGTTGCAAATCAACACAAAGAAACTTCCAAAGCAATCCAGAAAATGAAGAGATAAACATCTTTTATTTTTCTCTGATTTATTCTCTTTTTTCATTTCAATAGTTTTTGGAGTACAGGTGATTTTTGGTTACATAGATGTGTTCTTTAGTAGTGATTTCTGAGATTTTGGTGTACCCATAACTAAACATATTCTTGGACTATAATGGAATAAATAGGAATTAATACCAATAAGATATCTCAAAATTACACAAATACATGAAGATTAAACAACTTGACCTGAATGACTTTGGGGTAGACAACAAAATTAAGGTAGAAATAAAAAAATCTTTGACACAAAAGAAAACAGAAACACAACATACCAAAATCTAAAAGAGGCAGCAAAAGCAGTCTTATGAGAAAAGTTTATAGCACTAAATGCCTACCTCAAAACTTTAAAATGATCTCAAACTAATGGGAAACTAAATTAACTACGGGAACTAAAAAAACAAGAACAAACTAACCCCAAAGCTAGCAGAAGAAAAAAAATAATAACAAACATCATAGCAGAACTGGATTTTGAATAAATTTCTATGGAGGTGATAGTAAGGGAAAATGGCAAGTAGGAGGTAAGACTAACTGCAGCTCCCACTTGGACAAACAGAATAGTGCGTGGAGACCCACATCGTGAACTTTTGCTCCAAAAAATTCTGCAGGAACATACCAGGAAAGCTGAGAAAATCCACAGACCCTTTGAAGGAGGTGTATTGCCACAACCTTTGTGGGACAGCCAAGGAACTGTGAGTCAGCTTGCTTTCTTGGCTCAGAAGCTTGTAGCCTGGGGCACATTCTCAGCCCTGCTCACCTGCTGCCTGAAAATAAACTTGGTGATATTGTGGGGTCATGGTGGAAGGGAGACCAGACTTTTGGGCTATGGAATGCATGAAAGCAGTGGCTGCTGGCTTTCCACCACTTCCCTGGTGATCTGTGTGACACAGAAGAGACAGCCATAATCTCCCTGGAAACATAATTCCGTTGGCCTGGGAACAAAACCCCATACCACACAGCAGCTCCAACAAGCCCCACCCAAGGTGAGTCTGAGCTCAGACACACCTAACTTTGCCCTCAACTGATGGTCTTTCTCTGTCTACCCTGGTAGCTGAAGACAGAGGACATAATTTCAGGAGATCTGTAGCCCCACACACCATCTGATTGTCTGGAGATCAAACCTCAATTCCTTAGAATGGAAGCCAAGGCCCTTAGTAACAGCTCCATTCAGCCTGTCTGTCTCTTACACTGTGACTTAAGTTAGTCTAAATTCCATAAATATACTATCATCAATTTGTTTCCAATATCATTTACTGACTACCTACGATATGCCCCTGTGTTTAATTATAGAAAGACAAAAATAAATAAGATAATACCCCTGCTTTCAATGAACTACAACCTAATGGAAATGGAGTTGTTAGGGAGTAGTAAAGATGGTGGTAGAAACATAAGCACACAATATCAAAATATCACATGTGGAAAGCCTGGATAAATATTTGTATATTTTACCAGCTCAGAGTAGACAAATGGTGTTAGTCCTACCTAGAGCCATAGAAAAGGCACGGTTTAGTTGACAACACCTGGTCTGAATCTTTGAAAGTTATTAGATTAAGTGTATGATATGAACAAAGGCATGGAAGTATGGGATGTTTCCATATTCTTTAATATTTCAGTATTTTTGAAAGAATTGCTTCAATTTCCTGGGGAGTCTCTGAAAATCTACTTATATTTCCAAATGTAGGTCAAATATTCCTCCTTCTGTGATATCTGAACTCAAAATAAACAAATAATAGAACATTAATCAAATAGAATGCCTTACTTGGAGGTTTATTGCTTATTAGAATAAGAAATCTAGAATATATAAAGGAAAAGCCAGGCCGATATAACTATTAAAATTTTACATATTCATTTGGCAAAAAATAAATATAGTAAATAGATAAATAATAAGCCTGGAAAAATTTATATTCTTGTTGATAGAAAAAGGGTTATTTGCAATCATACAAAAAGAACACCAATATTAAGAAGAGAAAACAGATGGCTCAGTTGAAAAGTGGGAAAAGAATATGGGAAGATTATTCAAAGAAAAGTTCAACATCCAAAAGCCACATTAAAAGTAGATGGGAATATGACAGTTAAAATGAAAACAAGGTAAAATACTTTATTAATTCTGGTAAAATCAAAAGAACCTTAAATTGTGATTACTGTTAGAGATGGAGATAAAATAATACTCTCATACATTATAGAAATATTTGAAAATATAATAGCTAATAATAATTTAAAAAAACAGAAAATAAGCCAAAATAGAATAATTTTAGTTTAGGTCAGAGGCTGTTAAAATTTGATTAGCTGAAAAGAGAAATAATTCAAACTGTATTTTTAAATATACAATTTTATGTATATCTCATGTATCTGGTCCTTTTAAACTTTAAATATAAATGTGATAGAAAATTTAATTCTGGCTATTATGAAATATGTAGATAAGAAAAAACATGATATATAAATCAACTAGTAAAGAATATTCTAAAATATAAAAAATAACAAGATAATAATGCTATCGTCAGAATTTCAAAGAACGCATATGCTAGGTTTTCTTCCCTATTGCGGACATCAAATAGACATAGATTTAAAGAAATATTCATTCACATATGCAAATATACACACACACAAACACACATACACACACTCTTTAACTAAAAAAAAGCAAGCTGTATCAGATTAAAAATATATGAAATACAATCAGATAAATTTTAATTATGTGACTGCCGTAATTCTGAAAAACAAAAAAATCGGAGAAATAGCAGAACTAATAACTGATGTTCTATTGTTGTGACCATGTGTATTTTCAGAAGGAAGCGATTTTTCTAGGGAATACTATTATAAAAAATAAGTAAATATAATACTGTTTTTTTATGGTAATTTGTATTTGTTTTTCAATTATCTTTACACTTCTGGTCATAAACTAGACTACAAACAGGTACTCTTAATAAACATGTGATAACAATCGGATTGGTGACTTTTCAAGCAAATGCTTGAGAAGTCACATAAGTGTAAAAATAGAGTTATAAATAGCCCTTAGTTCTGAAAAATATAATGTGGATGTGGATACCCCAGAAAGGACCACTGTATAAAATAGGTAATACTGGAAAGTCTTCAGTCAAGCATTGGACTTTTACTCAAGCCGCAACCCAAATATCATGACAATTTTTTTTTTTTGGCTTTGGATATAAGGGGAAGCTAGCTTATGCTACTCTTCTGGTTGATTTCATTGTGTACAATATTTCTTCAAATATTTTTCAGCATTGCATTTTTGATGAACCACTAGTTTAATACTGGCTTTGTGAAAAAAAGGAATAATTGTACATCACACAAATGTATTGATTAGATGATATCTTGACTTTCAAAAATTATAATATAAGAACATGTATTTCTTTAATAGAATAATTCCCTTTTGAGCAAGTTAAGCATAGCAACCATATGGGAAATTCAATTATGAACGTAGGGAAACTAAACCTCATTTCCCGTAAGTGCCTTATCTAGATGGTTCTGAGATGCATATTTGTTAAGTTCAGCTCTACATGTCCTGCTGTAATAGCTATTTGAGCAGATGACGTTGCTCCATACGTTTATTGTTACCTTTAAATTGTCATTTTTATGAGTAATTACTGCGTTCCAGATATATTGTTCTAGGTGTGATGATGCAGTAATGGACAAAACTGATAAACATACTCTGATGAATTTTTGATTCTAGTAGTGAGAAACGTAATAGACATGTAGACTAACTTTCAATGGTAATAAGTGTCACTGAATATAAGCAAATATAACTGTGAATTAATGGAGGGTTTCTGAAAGGAGATGGAGAAAATGTACGCTTTATCAGATGACCAGAGCTCCAGGAAGACTTCTACATGCCCAAATACAGTCTTGAGCTAAGATATAGAACACAGAGAAGTCATCCATGTGAAAACCTAGAAGAAGAAGATCAGTACTGATAAGAGCAAATAGGGAAAAATTCACTGAGATCAGAGAGTGTTGGGCATGTTTGAATAAAAAGATAAAAGGTCAGTGTGATTTGGCTCTGGGGACAGGATGATATAATTTCTCACTGTACAAAATGTATAAAAATATTTTTTGAAGAACACATTTTTATATAATCAAGAGATAAACATTGGTAGCATTTTGCCATGTTAACTTTCAGCTTCTGCCTTGATATCTTATTTGTTAGATATTTAGGGAGTCCAAGTGTCATTTTTTACATGGACATATTACATAGTGCTAAAGACTGGGTGTTTGGTATAGCCAGCATCCGAATAGTGCACAGTGTAGCCATTAAGTAATTCCTCATCCCTCACCCTTCTCCCCTGCTTCTACTCTTCTGAGTTTCCACTGTCTATTATTCCATTCTCTATGACCATGTGTACCTGTTTTTCAGTTCCCACTTATAAAATTAAACATGTAGTATTTTACTTTTTGTTTTTGAGTTATTACACTTAAGATAATGGCCTCCAGTATTATCCATGTTGCTACAAAATACATATTTTTAATGGCTAAATAGTGTTCTATTGTATATATCTACCACATTTTTAAATCTAATTATCTTTTAATGGACACAGATTCCATATCTTTGCTATTGTGAATAGTGCTATTAGTGGGATTGCTGGATTGAATAGTAGTTCTACTTTAGTTATTTGAGAAATCTCTATACTGTTTTCCATAGAGGTTGTAATAATGCATATTCCCACCAATAGTGTGTAAGTGTTTTCTCTGCATTCTCGCCCACATCTGTTTTTTATTGAATTTTTAATATTAGCCATTCTGAGTGACATAAGATGGTATCTCATTATCACACTGTGGCTTCAATCTGCATTTCTCTGATGATTAATGATGTTGAGATTTCTTTTCACATGTTTAATGGCCATTTATTTGTCTTCTTTTGTAAAATGTCTGTTCATGTCCTTTGCCCACTTTTTAATAGGGTTTTTTATTTTTTGTTGTTGAGTTGTTTGAAATCCTTGTAGTTCTTGGTATTATTCCTTTGTTGGATGCAGTTTGCAAATATTTTCTCCCATTCTACATATATGTGTTCACTCTGTTGTTTATTTTTTTGGCTGTGAAGAAGAATTTTAGTTTAAGTCCCATTTGTCTATTTTTGTTCTTGTTTCATTTGTTTTTGAGATCTTATTAATAAATTCTTTGCTTAGGGCATTCAGAATCATTTTTTTCTAGGTTTTCCTCTAGTATTTTTACAGTTTCAGGTCCTATATTTAAGTCTTTAATCAATCTTGAGTTCATTTTCATGTGTGGTAAGAGATAGGGGTCCAGTTTTATTCTGCATCTGGCTATCCAATATTTCAGCAGTATTTATTGAATAAGATGTCTTTCCTCAGTGTGTGTTTTTGTTGCCTTTGTCAAAGATCAGTTGGCTGTAGATATATGGTTTTATCTTTGTGTTCTCTATTGTGTTCCCTTATAAAACTGAATGCC
This sequence comes from Homo sapiens, assembly GCF_000001405.40. Taxonomy (NCBI): domain Eukaryota; kingdom Metazoa; phylum Chordata; class Mammalia; order Primates; family Hominidae; genus Homo; species Homo sapiens. The sequence goes on along the minus strand of NC_000011.10, from coordinate 25,207,374 downwards.
TTTAATAGCACCCAAGTCACATCTTGAATGCTTTGCTGCTTAGAAACTTCTTCTACCAGATACCCTAAATCAATTCTCTAAAGTTCAAAGTTTCACAAATATCTAGGGCGGGAACAAAGTGCCACCAGTCTCTTTGCTAAAACATAACAAGGGTTATTTTTGCTCCTGCTCCCAACAAATTCCTCATCTCCATCTGAGACCACCTCAGCCTGGACCTTATTGTTCATATCACTATCAGCATTTTCATCAAAGCCATGCAACAAGTGTCTAGAAAGTTCCAAACTTTCCTACATTTTTCTGTCTTCTTATGAGCCCTCCAAACTGTTCCAATCTCTGCCTGTTACCCGTCTCCAAAGTTGCTTCCACATTTTCTGGTATCCTTTCAGCAACACCCCACTCCTGGTACTAATGTACTGTATTAGTCCAGTTTAACTCTGCTGATAAAGACATACCCAAGACTGAGCAATTTATAAAAGAAAGAGGTTTAATGGACTTACAGTTCCACATGGCTGAGAGGCCTCATAATCATGGTGGAAGGCAAGGAGGAGCAAGGCATATCTTATAGGCAGGAGGCAAAGAAAGAGCTTTGCAGGGAAACTCCTATTTTTAAAACCATCAGATCTTGTGAGACTCATTTAGTATTACAAGAACAGTGCAGGAAAGACCCACACCCATAATTCAGTCACCTCCTATTGGGTTCCTCCCATGACACATGGGAATTGTGGGAGTCACAATTCAAATGAGATTTGAATGGGGGCACAGGCAAACCGTATCACATAGTCTGTAATATAATCACATGGAAACATGGCAAGGATGAATAGAAAGTGTGTAGTTCTGTAAGTGAGCATGTGGCCATGCCAAAGAAAGTTGAAGTTTTGTTAATAACATTCTAATTATCAATATATCTTTTATATATAAACACATACATCTGTATAAATGTGTGAATATCTGTGCATATGTATTTACATTTTTCTATCCATCTATTCATCTACCTATGCCTATCTGTACATTCATTCATTCCAAGGAGAGTGTATATACTATGTCATATATATTTATACTAAATATATAAAACATAATATTTAAATAAGCATTTTTTTATGAGTTTTATATTAGTGCTTTGACAAAGTAGCACAAATGTAATGGCTTAAAATAATGTAAGTTTATTATAGAAAATTTATTGAAATCAGAAATCTAAAACGAGTCTTACAGAATTCAAATTAAGTTGTCAGCAGGGCTGCATTGCTTCTGGAGGCTTCTGAGGAAAATCTATTTTCTTGCCATTTCTAGGTTTAGAGGGCATCTGCATTACTCTGCTTATAGCCCCATCTTACATTTTCAAAACTAGCAATGTACCACTGTTAACTTTTTCTCTCTCTGTCTCTCTCTGACCTCTGCTTCTGTAATCATATCTCAACTGACTCTGACCCTCCTGCCTCTGTCTTATATGAACCCTTGTGATTATATTGAACTTATCCAGATAACTCAGGTAATACATGTCTACATTATGTTTAGAATTGTGCATTTTATTCTGATAGTAATAGAAATCCATTATGGTATTTAAGCTAATTACTTTCAAAATATGTACTTTTTATTAATATATCTCTGCATGCTGCATTTAAATGTAGTTTACCACTTTGACAATGTGTCTATCGTGATAACTTAAAGTTCTATACATAGAGAGGATAATTCTCCTATAAATTTATCCTTAAAAAGCAACACATACGCAATTTTAAAAAATATTATTGAAATTTATATGAATCCGTCTTCCTTCAAATGTTAATTTTAATCATGAAATTTCGGACAAATAAAAATGTATGACAACAAAAAATTCTTAATAATATGATACATTAAAATGCTTAATTATACAACCATTACAGGTATTTTTCGAGAACAAAGTATCTGGGGTTGATATGTGCAGCAAACCACCATGACACATGTTTACTTAAGTAACAAACCTACATGTCCTGCACATGTATCCTGGAACTTACGATAAAAGAAATTTTTTTAAAAACTAAATAAATAGAAATCTGGAAAATTTTATGAATCAGAATTACAAAAGAAAATCAAATTGCAATACTAAACATGTTTGTGTGTGAATTCATATTCTGAGTACATTTATGTTGGGGCATATACATATAAACATATATGCCTTTCTCTCTCTCTCAAAAAAAATATATAGGAGATATGTACATATATCTCATTCTCTCCTTGCATTGTGTTTAGCGATGTTTGACCTCCAGTGGACTAGCCTACTGTTAAGATTGTTTCCAGAATTTGTTAGAATCATTAACTAACCTTCCAAATGTAGGTATAATCGCATAGTCAAAGTAAATTGAACATTAAGGCAATCATCCAGAAAACACAGACAAATGATAAGAGCAGATGAAATATTTCGGACACTAAATGTTGATTACCTGAAGTACCTCATTCTGTAACTAGCAATTTTAGAATTGACTGACAAGAAGTAATTTTGAGAGTACCCATGTATCCTTGGAAAATCAGAATAACTGAGTTTGGGCCTCACTTACTTGGTATCTGTGGAAAATCTTTTCCCTCCCTGGCCCTCCATCTTTTTATCTGTGTAGTAAGAGGTTGCATCTGCTGTTTTTCGTACTTTTCTAAAATACTATGAGCCTCACACTAAGGAAAGGACTTTTTGATACTACAGTACATATCCACAGAGAGCAACTGTCCTCAGAATATACACCACCTCCACCACTACCACTATTTAAAGCAACTTAAATTCAAGGAAACAAAACACTACATTACAGGAGCTACTTTTCTCCCAGGAATCAAGCTTTATTCCCTAAAATATTTCTAACAGAGAACTCATTTTTATCCTCCTATTGATGGCACACAGTATTTTATGCAAGTTTTATATATGGGGAATAATGAGACCCAGAAATATTAAGCCACTTGTAAGAATCCACACCAACTGGGAGATGGTGAAGTTGAGATTTGAAGTTGGTTCTTCATGACTACAATAGACTGAAAGTTTAGATCATCTGGAAGGATAACTGAGTTCTTATAACATCCATCTCCACTCATCCTCGAAAATCATCACAAGCAAAAGGTGTCAGGACACACACTTATTAATACTCAGAACTATTTTTTCCAACTATACAAAAATGTATTAAAAGTGCCGATTTGCCAGGCCAGGTGACAGAAGAAACACCTTCATCCATATTAGCTAGAAGACAAAAATTTCCTGCATAGGTGGAGATAGTTCCAAAGTATTAAGTACCATGAGTTGGCCTCAATGCAGGCCTTTACAGGGGGTGTTGAATCAACCAAACTAGGAAACATAACCAGGGGGACATAACTCACCCACTCCTTCAGAATATTTATTCTGCATTTGCCTTCTATTATATTGTCTTCTACTTAATTCAAGAGAAAGAGGGCATTTAATTTTAGCCAAATAAAAATTATACTGCACACTAGTCAACTCTTAGGCATTCCTAATCCAGATATGTTATTTATTAATTCTCACATAAGTATTAGTCATTTTTGCTCTCACGATCTAGAAAAACAAGGAGAAATTATAAATGGATGGTTTATAATATTCTTAACAGCTCAATGTCTCTCTTTATCGTTCTTATAGCATAATTCCAAAATTCTGCTCCTTTTTTATGTCTCATCCTTATTTTCTTCTCTCTTAATTCATGTTTTCCTGTAAACAGTGCGATCAATTACACTCTAAAGCCAAATTCTATATTACTTATATTATGAAGTTCAGGAGAATTATTTTCTGTCTATTTAAAAGGAATGTTTCAAGGGAATCATTGCATGTTTATATCCTTGACTTTGCCTTTTAAATGTTCATTTATCATGCTTTTTTTCTTTAATTGTATTTTGCCTGCTAGTCATTTCAAATTTAGTCAATAAGACAGATTGAGGAAATGAGCATCTGCCATTATTGAAGCTCTAAACAAAATTTAAATAGTTTTGTTCTCCAACTGTCCCCATCATTTATCAAATATCACTCACTGTGACATGATATGCCATTTATCCTAATGACTGTAACAGTGTTACAAGTAGAAATGCCAAACAATTTTTTTTTCTCTTTTAGCCTTGAATTAAATGCATAACTACCAAAAAAAGACAATGCCTAAATGTAATCTTTCACATTTGGTATGGCAATTTTAAAACTTAAATGAATGCAAAGAAGCAATTACAAAAAACAAAATGTAGATACACGTTAAGAACTGTTCACTCTTGGGAATGATCAAAGAAATGTTTATTAAAATAACCTTGAGGTTCTATTTTTGCACTAGGAAAATTTTAGGAAAAATATCAATGTATGCATTACTAACAAAGTTTCAGTAAAATTGAATTATAAATTCAGTTGACTCATAAGTTAGCATTTGAAACTGGTATAAACTTTTGAAAGTAGTAAAGTAAAAAGTCACTGTACTGTAGTCATAAAGACATACATGTGTAAATACATTGTGATCCAAACCCAGAAATTTATTGTGGATTTTAACTCAACAGACACAACATGCTATGTTGTAAGAAGATACTAATTAATGAATCATCTATTATTAAAAATAAAAAACACATTAGACTGGATATAACTGAAAGGCAAAATTATGTTGAAGAGTTATATTAATATTAACATTTACATAGCTATTCAATGTATATTTATGATTAAAATGAAGTATGGATAAGGGAAGATTTTGCAGTTACATAAAATAATAAAATATGATTATATTTCTATAATTATTATATGTTCATACATACATGTTTTCTCAAAGCAAATACCTAGTGGGAACCTAAGAAAGTTTAAGGAGTTATTGATAAACAAGTTTTTGTTCAGGCTGGACATGTTGGCTCACGCCTGTAATCCTAGCACTTTGGGAGGCCAAGGCTGGCAGATCACCCGAGGTCAGGAGTTTGAGACCAGCCTGAGCATCATGGTGAAACCCTGTCTCTACTAAAAATACAAACAAACAAAAAAAAATAGCTGGGTGTGGTGGCACATGCCTGTAGTCCCAGCTACTCGGGAGGCTGAGGCAGGAGAATCATTTGAACCCGGGAGGCAGAGGTTGCAGTGAGCCAAGATCAAGCCACTGCACTCCAGCCTGGGTGACAGAGAATTTGGTAAGGAAGTTGGGGAAGGACTGTGTTCTTCATCTATATTTTCACTCCTAAATATGAGTGATGGCCTTAATTCCTAAAACTCTTGAGCCCAACTCAAAACTATTTAAGACTTCAGCAGGTGGCTTAAATGAAACTTTTGCATATTTTAATTTTTCTCCATCTCTCCCCATTAGGGTAACCAATAATCTCAATTGGCCTGAAAATTTTCTCCTTTAAGCATTGAAAATCCCAAATATCAGAAACATTCAGTCCCAGATAAATCAGAATAAATAGGCCCCTCTATTTTTATTTTTTTTAATCTTGTTGGAATTCCACCTCTTCCTCTGTATTGCAGATTCCCTAACCCTTCCTAAACAGTAATCAATCTCCATCTGCAAATATCTTTGTCTCAGTCTTTTCCCATGTATTACTATTAAAGCAGAGGTAGGGTTTGTCTCATGCTGTATTTGTGGACCCCTGGGATCGGAGTAGAGTGCTAGTGGAGCTGGTAGAGTTTGAATAATAAGAGTCACATTTTGGGGAAAAAAAATTATACAGTGTCCTTCACTTTGGCTGTAGCTGTTTTGTTCCATTGATTGTCTAAAACAAAATAGCACCTATATCACAAGGATTTATTATTTCCTAAAATGTTTCCTGATCACCCACAAGCATATAGGAGAAAATAAGATTTTCTTATTCAAGAAATTTTTATTTTATTTTTGCTAAATTCATGTATTGGCCTTCTAAGAAAGCACCCTAGCCCTGTCTCTGCTGATTTGTTTCACAAACCTTTCATTCATTTGCAAATAGAGATAAGTCAAACTTGATATTCTAAGGCCAAGGCTAGCTGAATGATTCTTTTAAAACCTCTAATCATAAAACTGCATCATTTCACCTTTGTAGACAATCTTAACTACTTGAATTAGCTGAATATCTTAGGATAAATAAATGTTTCAAACATCATCAATATGAATTCCTTGCTAATCAGGTATACAGCACCCTTAAACTAATTTTAAGACTAAATATTTTCTCTCTCTTTCTCCTCCCTTCCTCCCTTCCTTCCTTCCTGCCTGCCTTTTCTTTTTTCCCTCCTTCCCTCCTTCTCCTCTTTCTTCCCTCCCTCCCTTTCTTCCTCTCCTTTTCCTTTCCTTTCCCTTTTCCTTTCCTTTCTCCCTTCCTTTCCTTTCCCCTTTCCTTTCCTTTTCTTCTTTCTTGGCTGCCTGCCTTCCTTCCTTCTTTCCTCCCTCCCTCTCTTTCTCCTTTCCTTCGTCTCTTCCTCCCTCCCTCCCTCCTCCTTCATTCCTTCCTTCCTCCCTCCCTCCCTCCCTCTTCTTTCCTTCTTTCTTTCCTTCTTTCTTTCCTTCCTTCTTTCCTTCCTTCCTTCCTTCTTTCCTTCCTTCCTTTTTTCCTTCCTTCTTTCTTTCCTTCCTTCCTTCTTTCCTTCCTTCCTTCTTTCCTTCCTTCTCTTTCCTTCCTTCCTTCTTTCCTTCCATCCTTATTTCCTTCCTTCCTTCTTTCCTTCGTTCCTTTTCTTTCTTTCTTCCTTTCGTCACATCTAAAACTTCACCTGACACTTCATGGTATATATGAATCAGAGTAGGGGTTAAGAGAAGAGATATGGGAAAGAGTGATTTATGCTATCAATGAAGTCACATAGACGTAATAAATTACCTGTCCTTCTAAAAGCCAACCTTTCAAAGATCAGAAATTCGCCATGCTTTCCTGAGCCACTCAGATTACATTTCATGAATAAATTATAGTTCATGTGGTTCACGAAAATAGGAATTCTGCACTTTAAGAGAACATACATTTATAACTCTCAGCCCTATATATCAATTCTATTATGATATGCTGTGATGCCATTTATCTATATAAAATACCATGAAACATAATGTACAAGTAAGAAAAAGTAAACTGAATCCCTTCTAGAAAACAGAATCATTTTCCTCTTCCTCTTTGAAATAGAAGTTTTAAATTTTCTGCCCCAGTCATTAATTTTTTATTGGTTTTCTTAAAATGTTCACCATCATTACAAAGAACTTAAAACACAAATATAGGTTCTTATTAATAAGATATGAATTATTCCTGGTAAATTCATCTATTTGATGAATGGCTCACCTTGCAGGAAATGTATACATATAAATTATGTTTATTTTTCTCTTCTTTCTCTCTTTCTTGTAGCCAATTCAATACCCAAATGAAATATTCCTATCGGCTCATATTTTGGGGAAATAAAAATAAAGAACTCCTCCCCAAAATATCCTTTTTTTTTTTTTTTTTTTTAAAGAGACTGAATATCACTCTGTCACCCAGCCTGGAGTGCAGTGGTGCCATCATAGTTCACTGTAGTTTCAAACTTTTGGGATTAAGGAATCCTCCTTCCTCACCAGCCTTCTGAGTAGGTGCTCAGCTATTTTTATTTTTTATTTGTAGAGACAGGGTCTCACTGTGTTGCTCAGGCTGGTTTCAAACTATTGAACTTAAGTGATCCTCCTGCCTTAGCATCCCACAGTGCTGGGATTACAGGCATGAGCCACCACATTCAGCTCAAATATCCTTTTTACATTATATATATATATATATATATATATATATATATATATATATATATATATATATATGGTGGAGGTGAGAGGAGAACTAGAATCCATGGAAAATAACTGAGATTGTAATTGTCTCTGATTGTGATTAGCTTCCAATAGCAATGACTGCTGTTTTTCTTGGGTTTTTCTAATCTAGTCCCAGTTCTTCTTTTTCCCACTTCTAATCTGCAAATATACAGGAAAAGTGATCCTAGAAAATGTAGTTTTAGCATACGAAGATATATAAAACCACTGAGACATTTGTTTATTAGAAATTTATGATGGATAATTCAATACTATCAATAAAGTCAGAAAAAAAATCAATCAGTTGTGGTTAATCATTTCTGGCCTATGTTGTGGAGTAACTCTGGAAATGCTTTTCACGCAAGGAATTTCTTTATTCATAAATAGTGGAGGAAACTGGAAAGAGATCTAGTTATATATTGAACGTCAGAGTATATGAGTAACTATGTTAGAAGATTTACACATATTTTCATTTGTAAACATTCCAAAACACATGGAATTAGTTATTATTATTACAGTTTTAAATATGTGGACACTGAGGCTTACAGTAATCTATGTATTTTGTTTCACTTTCATGTACAGAAATTTGTGTTATATGCGTAATTGCAATGTTAGTAAACACAAGACTTAAACATTTGAAATTTATACCACTAGTTGTCTAAAACCATCTTGCCCCAAAATACAATAATAGCAATAAAAATTGTTGTAACCATAGCCCATTATGTAATTTAATGACCTTTTATAGAGCCATCATATCATTAAGCCCTAGGGGCTGCTGGCTCTTATCTTATGACAAAATTATACTCAAATTACGGAGTTAGACACATCTAAATTTGTGACCTGTTTCTAGCATACACAACTGTATGACTTTGGGCAATTTTCTTTAACCTCTTGAAAGCTCTATTTGTTTTACTATAAAACAGAGAATATCAGAATACCTAACACACAAGTTTGTTCTGAGAATTCAATGAGAACATAATGACCTATGTTTAGTAAATATTAAAATATTAAACTAATACATTCCAACTTTTATAATTATAGAGAAAAATTAATATATGTACAAAAATATATGCATCTATAAAATGAAATATAAATATATAATATGATGTGGTGTTATACATATAAATTTTATATATATATACATTTTATTTAACCTTGACTTGAAAATGGATCAGGAATAAAATTAACGCTGGATGTAGTCATCACATGGGTCTAGTTTTTGGAGATAACAACCCCTTTATCCTCTGTACACTGAATTTTTTTCTAGTTTATCCATCTTACTGAGTATGTCCTTTTATAAATTTCCTCAAACTCTTATTGGGAAGATTCAGTTTAAATTTTTAGTAAGAATGCATTTCATATGACATTATTATACCTTAGATCATTTGTAACTTCCAGTGAGTTTGAAGTATTAGTCTGAAATCAAAACACTAGCTGCCTCCATATCTCTCTAAACCACATAAATTCTGATGAATTACTCTGCGTAGAGCCAAGACCAATTTACTGAATATTACTTAGCTGCTTTTAATCATACTTCAACTTGCTTTCTAAATATGATCTTCGCAGCTTAGGCATATCAAAATTCATGCAATACTGTCAAGAGCTTCTCTTTGAGCAAGCTCAACTAAACCCATAAGAGATCCTTGATGATCTACTAGTGGTGATGAGAATTGCTTTTCATTAAAGTTAATATTAGACAATATCTAGCAAGATTTGCAAGATTGACTTCATTCCCTATCATAAAAAGAAATTTTTGCCTAATGTTTTCTAGTAAGTTGTGTAAAGCGGCTCTTTGTCTTTTAATGACGCAGCATGATGGAAAAACCTAGAAATCAAATTTTATGACTGAGCTCCACAAAACCATTATACCTAATAGAATACTGATTGAAGCAAGTAGAAATATGGAGAAACAGTTAGGAATATTCCCAGGATACCTGAAAAGTTAAGTAGCATTACATTTAAATTTCAGCAAAACACACAGGCAATTCTCTTAAGAGTTGCTGTCACCTCATTTCAAGTTGTTCCTAGCCAAGGAAATAAAAATGCTACCATATGACATGTAATAAGAAGCTCTTGGGAAAAGAAGTCACGAGAGCACCAAATGACTCTTTTCAAATGACTCTGTTCAAAAGAATAGTCAAATCTATGTTCAATTCTGTTACTTTTACATTTTGGAAATTATTCTATTTGATACCTATGTATTTACTGTTGTCACTGACTGATATCAACCAGAATGTATACTTTCCTATAATAATAACCACAAATGCCATCACGTCAAAGAAAGTGTGGTTTTCGTATTTTATTGAGGAATTTAGATACTGCTGTGATAGGTATAATTTTGTAATTAATAAGTCATATGTAGTATTACAGATACAAATAATATAAAAACAACATTTTATATTCTGCTATTCCTGCAGATATTCTTACTCCTAACAATTTTTTTTTTATTTTTCTCTTTCTCTGTTTCCCATTTTTCTAGCTATGTTTGTGAGTCTTAACTTTTATTGATTGACTTATAGAATATAGTCATCTAATCAACAATCTCTTTTATTCTTACCTTGCCTTTGATAATACATGCTTACATTACTGTATTAATGTTAATTTTACTATGAATAAATTATTTAACACCATCTCACAAAAAAGATTGCAAAATTTAAAGGTGAAAAAATGTTATCTAGTACCTAAAAAGGTAAAAATCGTAAGACTTGACATACAGTAAAAAATTATAAGACGTAAAAGAATCAGAAAAACATGAGGCATAATGAGAAAAAAATAACTCAATAGAACCAAGGACATGATAAATGATAGATTTAATAGAAAATAATACTGGAACAAGTGATAGAATTATAATCAATATATTCAAGAAGGTAGAAAAAAGCGTAAGTGTGACAAAGAGAAATATAGAATTTGCCATATTTTTGAATGCTATGCTCTGAATGTTTGTTTCCCCAAAATTCATAAGTTGAAGTCTTAATTCCAAATGTGACCAAGTTAGGAGGTGGGATCTTTCAGACGTGATTGGGTCATGGAGGCAGAGCCCTCATGAATGGAATTAAGACCCTTTTAAAAGAGGCCCAAGCCCCTCTCTTCTACAATGGGAGAGCACAGCTAGAAGGAGCCAATTATAAATAAGAAAATAAATCTTCACCAGACACTACATTTGTCAGCTTCCTAACCTTGGACTTTCCAACTTCCAGAACCATGAGAAATAAATTTTTGTTGTTTATAAACCACTCAGTTTGTGGTATTTTGTTATAGAAGCCCAAATGAACTAAGACAGAAAGTGAAAAACAAAACAAAACAAAAAACTCCAATTGAAGTATTATAGACAAAAAATAGAATGCATGTGTTAAATTTGTGGAATACTCAAAATGACAACAGATTAGATATAACGTAGAATAAAATATCTTTAATGACCTTGATGAAACAGCAACAAGTGATATAAAGAGCCATAAGATTAAAAAAACTAACAAACAATATTGTCTTAAGTTGTAGGATAATTTTAAGCAACCTAATAAACATGAAATTTGAATCTTCAAAATAGGGAAGAGAGATAGGAGATAGAAAAAAACATTTAAAAAGTATTGGTTGAAAAATTTTCAAACTTGATAAAACTGTAAATTCACAGATTATATAAGCTAAAATAACCTACCATGTTCATAAAAATGATAAAAACTATATCTAAGAACAACTTAGTTAAATAAATTGAAACCAGTCATGCTTTAAAAATATCTTTAAAACAGCTACAATGAATGATTTATTATGTGCAGAGAAACAAAGATAATAATGACAGATTTATTGAAGGAAATACATGCCAAAAAGGAATGGATTAATATCATTAAATTGCTCAAAGAGTCAACTTAGACTTTCATACCAAAGGAAATTTTATTTCAAACCCAATGATTCAATTAATGGGTTTTTCAGACATGCAAAAGATTAAAAAAAATCATCACCAGAACTAGACTTTAAAAAATAACATAGTCTTTTAGGCAGAAGGGAATTTATACAAGATAGAAACTTGGATCTATGTAAATAAATGAAGAGTACTGAAAATTGTTATTTCAGTAAATGTAATTGTTGTACTATTTAAGTCTCTTTAACAGACAATTATTAGAGGCAAAAATAATAATAATATAGTGTGAGGTTTATTAAGACATACAGATTTCGAAAATATAACAAGATAATAAAAACTAGGAGAAGAAAATGACTATCCTTGTACTCTATGTGAAATGGTTTAATATTATAGAATAAAAACTATGATGAAGATTTTCATTAGAAATGCTAAGGTAAACATTAGCAAAACAAAGGAATATAGCTAGTAGGCTAATAAAGAAGATAAAATATAAGAATGCTCAAATAATCAAAATAAAGCAAAAAAATTGAACAAACCAGAAATGGGACAAATAGAAAACAAGAAAATACATTTAAACCAGGCTTTATACATAATTGAATTAAATGTAACTATTCTATATCCCCAACTAAAAATCATAAATTGAGAGCTTATTTAAAAAACAAAATCTAATGATATGTTGCAGATAAGAAACCTGATTAAAAGAGAAAGTAAAGGATTTAAAAATAAAATGATGGGAAATAGCATACCATGCTAACACTAAGCAAAAAAGCTGGAGTAATTATATCAATATCAGAAGAAGTAGATGGCAGAGGAAGGAATTATACCAAGGTCAAAGACAGTTGTTACACATTACTAAAGACTTTGATAGTTCAAGGACACAGCATTTCTACATAACAGAGCTTTACAAAACATGAATAAAAAACTTAAAGAAGTGAAAAACTTATGGAACTAAATCAAAGAATAGACAATTATAAGACTAGACAATAGAATTTTCTGTCTTTCAACACTTTCAAGAAGTACTGAACTTAAAAAACTTAAGTAAAAAACTGACAGAGCTGAAAAACCTGCAGAATGAAAAACAAATAGATAATTTTAAGAATAGACAATAGAATACTTGTAAGTATTCTGTTAATAATTTTGAGAGATTTCAGTGCTTCTACAAATTGATAAAAAGGTAGACAGCGAATCAAAATGGATATGAAGTATTGAAAAATCTGTCAACAATGTGATATAATTGACATTTATAGAACACCACCCTCAAAATGGCAGAATACTCATTTTTATCAAGTTAACATACAACTTTTAATAAGATAGACAATATTCTGGACCACAAAATAAGTAAAATAAATTTAAACCGATTTGACTAATGCAAAGTGTATTTTGTGACCATGATAAAATTAAATAAAAAAAAGTAATAATGTATTTGAAAAATACCAACACATTGTAACTAAGCAATACACTTCTAATAAACCATGGATTAATAGGAGAATATTTGGAATTATTTTACGATAAATGGAAATTTTAAAAAATACATATAAAATTTGTTTGATTCAGCAAAATAATGAAAATGGAAAAATTTATGGCATTCAATAACTATTACCTGTATTATAAAAGAAGAAATTTATCGACTTAATAACCTAAGCTTCTTTATTAAGAAACCAGAAGAATAGCAGTTGAAATCCAAAGCTACTGGAATAAAATAACTGATAAAGATGAGGTAAGAAAGCAATAAAATAGAAGACAATAATAGAAGACACTTTATGACAGCAAAACCTTTTTCTTTGAAAAATTAATAAAATGTATTATTCTCTAGCCACCAGACTCATCAGAGAAAAAAAAGTTAGAAAAGAAAAAATTCCAATATCAAGATGGAGAGAGAGGACTAGAAGGATCTACAGTGAGTCCTCTCTCTCCATCTTGTGAGGAGATGTATATATACTAAGTAAATTACTTATGTATGCTAATTTATTCAATCGTTGGATAAATAGATAAATTGTGTCCAACAACTGTATCCAACAATTAGATAAATTCCTTAGTAGACATATATAATGACCAAATTAGGTCTATCCCTGGATGGAAAGATTGTTTTAACACAAAAACATAACCAAAATAATTTATTTCATTAACTAACAAAAAATTTTTAAAAACCTGCATGATTGCCTCAGTATATACAGAAAAGGAATTTGACAAATTTAACATCTGTTGTTCATAAAAATTACCAGAAAATTAGGAATAGATGAGAATATCATGAGGCTTTTACAGGGCATATAGTTAAAAACTCTACAACTTACATCAAACTAAATAGTGAAAAACTAAATGCTTTTTCCCTTAAGATTAGAAGGTAAAAATGTCTGCCATAACCTGGCAACTTATTTTCACATTGTAATGCATTTTCTAGTTATTATTATAAGGCAAATACAAGAAATAAAAGTTCTACAAATTGGAAATAAAGAGGTAACATGCTTTATTCATGAGGTTTTGGTCATCTTTGTAAGAAATGTGATAAATTCTACAAAACTCAAAATATCATGAGTTTACCAAGTTTGACTTATACAAGGCAAATATATAAATGTTAATTGCAAGTATATAACAATTAAACAAATATATAACATATAACATTCAACATAACAGAACTACAAGTTGTAAAAAGGAGACTAAAAATTAGCATGCGTAGTATGAGAATTTTCTTGGAAAAGCACATTTAGATCTTATATGTATAGAATTTTTTTTAAATTTATTTTTATAATTATTATTTTTTATTATACTTTAAGTTTTAGGGAACATATGCACATTGTGCAGGTTTGTTACATATGTATACATGTGCTATGTTGGTGTGCTGCACCCAGTAACTCATCACTTAGCATTAGGTATATCTCCTAATGCTATCCCTCCCCACTCCCCTCACCCCACAACAGGCCCCAGTGTGTGATGTTCCCCTTCCTGTGTCCATGTGTTCTCATTGTTCAATTCCCACCTATGAGTGAGAACATGCGGTGTTTGGTTTTTTGTCCTTGCTATAGTTTGCTGAGAATGATGGTTTCCAGCATCATCCATGACCCTACAAAGGACATGAACTCATCATTTTTTATGGCTGCATAGTATTCCATGGTGTATATGTGCCACATTTTCTTAATCCAGTCTATCATTGATGGACATTTGGGTTGGTTCCAAGTCTTTGCTATTGTGAATGGTGTCACAATAAACATACGTGTGAATGCGTCTTTATAGCAGTATGTTTTATAATCCTTTGGGTATATACCCAGCAATGGGATGGCTGGGTCAAATGGTATTTCTAGTTCCAGATCCCTGATGAAAAGCCACACCGACTTCCACGTGGTTGAACAAGTTTACAGTCCCACCAACAGTGTAAAAGTGATCCTATTTCTCCACATCCTCTCCAGTACCTGTTATTTCCTGACTTTTTAATGATCACCATTCTAACTGGTGTGAGGTGGTATCTCATTGTGATTTGGGTTTGCATTTCTCTGATGGCCAGTGATGATGAGCATTTTGTCATGTGTCTTTTGGCTGCATAAATGTCTTCTTTTGAGAAATGTCTGTTCATATCCTTTGCCCACTTGTTGATGGGGTTGTCTGTTTTTTTCTTGTAAATTTGTTTGAGTTCATTATAGATTCTGGATATTAGCCCTTTGTCAGATGAGTAGGTTGTAAAAATTTTCTCCCATTCTGTAGGTTGCCTGTTCACTCTGATGGTAGTTTCTTTTGCTGTGCAGAAGCTCTTTAGTTTAATTAGATCCCATTTGTCAATTTTGGCTTTTGTTGCCATTGCTTTTGGTGCTTTAGACATGAAGTCCTCGCCCATGCCTATGTCCTGAATGGTATTGCCCAGGTTTTCTTCTAGGGTTTTTATGGTTTTAGGTCAAACATTTAAGTCTTTAATCCATATTGAATTAATTGTTGTATAAGGTGTAAGGAAGGGATCCAGTTTCAGCTTTCTACATATGGCTAGCCAGTTTTCCCAGCACCATTTATTAAATAGGGAATCCTTTCCCCATTGCTTGTTTTTGTCAGGTTTGTCAAAGATTGGATGGTTGTAGATGTGTGGTATTATTTCTTAGGGCTCTGTTCTGTTCCATTGGTCTATATCTCTGTTTTGGTACCAGTACCATGCTGTTTTGGTTACTGAAGCCTTGTAGTATAGTTTGAAGTCAGGTAGTGTGATGCCTCCAGCTTTGTTCTTTTTGCTTATGATTGACTTGTCAATGCAGGCTGTTTTTTGGTTCCATATGAACTTTAAAGTAATTTTTTCCAATTCTGTGAAGAAAGTCATCAGTAGCTTGATGGGGATGGCGTTGAATCTATAAATTACCTTGGGCAGTATGGCCATTTTCACGATATCGATTCCTCCTACCCATGAGCATGGAATGTTCTTCCATTTGTTTGTATCCTCTTTTATTTCATTGAGCAGTGGTTTGTAGTTCTCCTTGAAGAGGTCCTTCACGTCCCTTGTAAGTTGGATTCCTAGGTATTTTATTCTCTTTGAAGCAATTGTGCATGGGAGTTCACTCAGGATTTGGCTCTCTGTCTGTTGTTGGTGTATAAGAATGCTTGTGATTTTTGCACATTGATTTTGTATCCTGAGACTTTGCTGAAGTTGCCTATCTATAGAATGTTATACATCACAATGACTTCTGGGTGAGAAGAGTTATAAGCACTTTAAAAAGTATTTTGTGCTTTATGGTTTCTCATCAATAAATGTATTATTTTTGTAGTAACAAAAAAGAAATATTTTAATTGAAAATTTTATGGCATTTGTATAACAGTAAATTTTTATTGCATTTTTATAACAGTAATGAAACATCCAGAAATCTTAATTTTAATAACGTCTAAGTATAGTTCTTCCAAATGTGAAATACTTTGAAATATATGTGACAATAAGTGTATGTTTTCTGTAAATGGTAATCTATAGAACATTCCCAGAAAACATTTTTTAAAACTAAATAATATGTTCTTATATCAGGTGACTAAATGTTGTTAATATGTCAATTTTCTCAAATTTATTCATAGTTCAAGTCCCTGCAGATTATGTTTTAGTAATTTCTCAGTCAATTATAAAATTTATGCTGAAGTTCTAAAGACCTAAAACAATCTTTAGGAAAGGAGACATTGTAGGGTTTACATTACCTGTTTGCAAAATTTTTGATAAAGCAAATAGTGATAGCATTTCTGATATAAGAATTTTAAGAATTTTTGCACCTGTGGTATAGAGACTGAATTCTCAGCAGCCAAAGAGGACTTCAGCATTATGTGAAAGAGGAATCCAGGCCAGACAAAACCAGAATCTTTTTCTTGATAACACTGTAAAATGGAGATTTAGAGACCTACTGAATAGATTTTACACACACACACACACACATATTGATGTATAGAATATACACCACTACCCATAACTTTTAATCCACTTGAATACTTCCCAAAAGATCACACATGACCTAAATTATGGTTAAATTGAAACAAACTTCTAATTTTAAGTGGAAAATTAACTGTGATATAGTCAGTTTCCTAGCACTGGCTGAATCTAAGAATGAACTGTCTCTTGGAAACTGGACTGCTCATGTGTGTTTTGGAAGAAAGTAGGCTGGGCTACATTCTATAGTGCAAATATCTGGTACATAATAGGCATTCAATAAATACTATCTATGAAAACCATATTTAGAGCTCAATGTTAAGAACTTTTTGTAAACATGTGACTTGCATATTTGCAGTTTATTCTCCACAATCCACCTGTAACTCTCTAGGCTCCTAATTTTGTACTTTACGTGTGTATTTGTCCTTTTACTGAATATATTTCTTTTAAATAGTCTCAGGCCGGGTGCGGTGGCTCATGCCTGTAATCCCAGCACTTTGGGAGACGGAGGGAGGATCACCTGAGGTTGGGAGTTCAAGACCAGCCTGACCAACATGGAGAAACCCATTCTCTACCAAAAATACAAAATTAGCCAGGCGTGGTGGCACATGCCTGTAATCCAAGCTTCTCGGGAGGCTGAGGCAAGAGAATCCTTTGAGCCCAGGAGGCAGAGGTTATGGTGAGCAGAGATCCTACCATTGCACTCGAGCCTGGGCAACAAGAGCAAAACTCCATCTAAAAAAAAAAAAAAGTCTCAAATTCTTTAGGATATGAAATAAAAGTATGCAAAATACACACATATACACTAAAAATATAGTTAGCCATAAGCCTGATATTAAATTTTTTGATTATTTTTAAAAATTCTAAGAATCTTAGACTACCATGTAGAAACCCAGAAATAAATGTAAACAAATGAAAAAAAGGGTCTTAATGGAAGGAGACAAGAGTATGATCCCCAAACTCGTTACACATTCGCTCCAACAAGATGAGGTTTCCATTTAAACTAACGAAAAAGTAGATCTAAACAAAATAAAGATGGGAACAACCTTGGAGGCTAAATTATTACAGCCTCCACTTAAGGCCATAGTGAACAATATAACATCAAAAGTCAGACAAATTATTGTTTGTCAGAAATGTATTTAGCTACAAGAAACAAAATATCTAAGTAACAGCTGCTTAAACAAATGTAGATGGATTTTTCTCATTAGGAATATTTGCCATTTTTTATTCGAATGTCGTTTGGTGTCAGAAGAAATACAACCTGCAACTTTATTTTTTCCCCACCATCCTTAGTGAACTGGCATTTGTCTTCCTTTTATCCTTTAATAGTCACAAGATGGCTGCTGAATCTCCAGATTTTCACATGAGGGTTACAGGTACCAGCGATGGATCTTCCCTTTTATCAGGAAAACAAAACTTTTCAAGACTGCAACCCACTCTTACTAACAGATTTCCAGTTAGATATCATTGTTCAGAACTTAGTCACATGGCCAACCCTAAATCAAGAAACATAGTTGTTGAGATTGGATTTAACAATCCTTTTCCATTACATAGGGAGGCCACAAGAAAGGGAAATGTATTTTGTGCAGGATCCCAACAGTGTAGGCCATAATGATACTTATTCTACAGAGTAACTGTAACAATTACATGAGAATGTGTGTCATTATCTGTCAAAAACCCAGTGTTATTTGATTATTAGTGCCATGATATCAGTTATGGCTGCTTATCAACTTAATCTATTATATTATATTGAAGGTAGGAGCTACATTTAATTTGTATATTCATATCGGATACCTCTCATTATTTTGGACAATAAAAATGTAACCAATATTTTGGCAATTGTAGCTTTTACACATAAGCCTTTTCTGTTTTCTTTTCTTTTTTTTTTTCAGTCTTCTAACTTGTATGACCTCAACTATATATCAATCATTAACATTCATTGTAAACTTCATAATTAGACTGTAAGTTTTCTAAGCCTTAGCACTGTGGTTATTCTGGCCTCAATTAACTCTTCAAATTACTAGTGTTCTGGTTATCTCTTAATAAATAAACAAACATAAATTTAATAAGCCAAAAGAGTTGGTCAAGCATGTCAAAAAATCTGGCAACATTTGTCCTTGACATCCTTAAGGAAATGATCAATTTGCTGAACTATATTCCCCAACTTTACATCTGCTTTATATTTTTCTTGATGTATCTAAACAAAGTCTTTAGCTTCTTTATGGCCTAATAAAGAGCCCACCTGACTTCTTAAGCTTTTTTCTTTTTTTTTAATGGGTTATTTCTATGCACTTTCTCTGATCATTTAAAAAAAAACATTTTTTTTAATGTGCCACAGAGGGTAAGTAATTAATTACAAGGAACTTGACATCTTTTTGGATATCAGCAGGTAACTAAGAGCTACAACCTCTTTAGTATTTCTAACAAAGAATAAATCAAGGTAAAGGATATTATCAAAGTTACAACCTTCCTGCAATCAAATGCAGAAAATAAAAGGCTTTGTGAAGAGACAGAACTGGAAAAATAGGTCAAGTTACAACATAACCATACATAATAGAGCCCTTTCAAGAATTCTGAAAGCCTTATCCATTGCATCAATGCCTACAGAGACCTTTATTTCTCATCAGAAAATTAGTAAAAATGGTTAGAAAAGGCCTTTTCATTTTTGATCTGTAAACTCTATTAATATGTTAACAATAAGCACATACATATTTCTTCATTGGTTGTCTGGCAGAGAGTAGGCACTCAATAAAAATTATTAAATGTATTAGTAAAATTTAAATGTGAAAATGTCTAACTAAAATCTGAGAAACAAAACCCTACTACTGGAGGATTAAGTGACTATTTTTCCATGCTTTGGATTATGAACACCCAGACAATATTTCAAAGGCTTTCGACACTTTTACATGTAAACTTTTCCATTTCTGGGAATTCTGACAAACATATTTGGTGATACTACTTTATTCATGTCCAGAGAACACACCCTATTTATTTTTTCTACTCTAAGCTTAGATAATCACCAATAAACATTATAAACCTAGAACCTCTGGTACAAACAAAAGACAATTAATAAATGCTAACTAGTTAACTGACCGCAAATAAAAAGGCAGAAACTGAATCCAAAGAGGCTCAAAATCTTGTCTTACCAAGGTGATCTTCAGGTCTATCACTTCAGAATAAGTATTTAGGAAAGCACATGGGATTTTAGATAATTACTGGATTAGAGCTTATCACTGTAGAGATTGAACCTCAAACTCCAGCTTCTTCATGAAATGCTTAGAAAGCATTTCCCATCCCATTTGATCTTGCTAGAATTTTTTCTCATCAGATAATTGAAGAGTTTAATCAACCTGTTTTTAACATCATTTAGTCCCATGATATTTGATCTATCAAAAATAAAGAAAACGAAAAAGTTAAAGACTAAGAAGGAAACTTCTAGGAGGCTGTTACTTTTATTGTTCCTCAAAGAGGTCCAACAGTTTTAGCAACACTTTTTCTCTCCAAGCTTCACTAAGGTATGCTATACAATTACAATTGTACGTATTTATGGTGTACAGCATGATATTTTGATACATTTGATGATATTTTGATACATGGCAAAATAATTAAATGAAAGTAATATATCAGTCACCTCATATACTTATCATTTGTTTGTGGTAAGAAAATTTAATGTCTAATGACATCAATTTTCAAGTAGTATGAAAATCGTGGTACAGTTTTTTTCTCACTGACTGCTACCGTGTCGTAATTAGATGAGTAATGGTTAGAAAGTTATACACAATGAATATGACCAACATAAGCAATTTGAGTCCTGGAAAGAGGGGAAAGTGATTATGAAGATGAAAAACATTGCAAGAAATATTTGTCAAAAACTTTCAGAATCTGATATAAGACAGGAATCCACAAAATAAAGAAACCTAATGCAAATTGTAAACAAAAATAAATCCACATTAAAACACAACACTATGATGTATTAGTGAGCATAAGGACAAAGAAAAAAATGTCAAAAGTAGTGATAAAATAAGTGGATAATACATTTATAAGAGCAATGAGTAGAGTTGCAGATGACTTTACAACGTAATCGGTTGAGTCCAATAGATAATGCCATGATACCTTTAAAGTGCTTAAAAAACAAAACTGCTAGCCTAGAATTTAACATTTAATGAAAATGTACACCAAGAACAAAATACAGTTTTAGGAATGTTAAAACAAAAATAGAGGTTTTGCAACCAGCAAACCTGCACCAAGGAAACTACTAAAGGATATTTCTCCTGCAGAGGGTTGTAATTTCAAAGGAAATTTCAGAGATACAGAAAATAATATAACATCAATGAAAGGCTAAATATATGGGATAATCTAAATGACTATTGACTATATATAATATAAATAGTAATATCTACTAGGGTTTAAATACTATAGACATAAATTACATGAAAAATAGCATAGATGTTAGAAAGTAGGTAAAAATATTTTTCTTTTGCAGGAAGAAGAGAATAATATCACTCAACATTAGAGTTTCATAAGATAAAGATACAAGTTTGAACCTTTGTGTAACCACCAGACAAAATAGTAAATAAGTACGTAACTATGAAAGAAATACAGTGAAAATGTAATATGTCTTTTAAGTGGTCCATCAAAAAAGATGGAAAAAGGTATATCAGTGATTAAATTTAGTTAAGGCACCTAAATGTTCCAATTACAAATAAAGAATGTTAAATGCATAAAAAAATTGCTATATAGA
This sequence comes from Homo sapiens, assembly GCF_000001405.40. Classification (NCBI taxonomy): domain Eukaryota; kingdom Metazoa; phylum Chordata; class Mammalia; order Primates; family Hominidae; genus Homo; species Homo sapiens. Next base: position 25,185,727 of record NC_000011.10, on the reverse strand, counting down.
TTAAAAGGGACACAGCTGGTTGAAATATAAGGATGGAGAAATGCCGAAATGGAAATAAAAAAATAATATAGCAGGTAGGCACAGTGGCAAATACCTGTAATCCCAGCATTTTGGTAGGCTGAACCAGATGGACCGCACCAGCTTTGCCAACATGCTGAAACTCCGTTTCTTCTAAAAATACAAAAATTAACTGGGCATGGTGGTGTGTGCCTATCATCCCAGCTACCTGGAAAGCTGAGGCAGGAGAATTGCTTGAACCTGGGAGGCAGAGGTTGCAGTGAGCCAAGATCATGTCACTGCACTCCAACCTAGGTGACCGACTGTCTCTAAGAATAATAATAATAATTATATAGCATGCAAATATGCGCACACACACACACACACACACAATTTAATAGATGATAAAATAGACCTTTGTATAAAAATCATTACTAGAAATAGATTATTTTACAATGTTTATAATGTTTAATTTCCCAGGAAAAGATAGCAATTCAAAATGAGTATCCCTAAATTTGTATATATAAATGGATGTAAAGTGGCAGATTTTTATATTCAGGAGAAAAGGACGCTGAGTCAGATCTGTATGCCATCCCTATACTCCTACAAATAATGTTTTTCTGGCTGTGCATCTAACTTTTGTCTATTTGTTTCTTGTCTGAGTAATAGGGACAATAAGCATAATCTATTCAGGATCTCACAGTGATTAAACACAACATGTGAAAGCATCTAACAGTACACACAATACAGAATAAAAATAAACATTTCACAGTATAAAATAGATTTTAACAACTAGAGACATAAGTGGTATTTTTGATGGTAGATACTGGAGGAGGAAAGAATTTGTTAGGACTCTGGTTAGGACAGAATGCTGGAAGCTGGGCTGTTGTCTTGCCTTTGCCATTGACTTGCCTGGTTGGAATACAATGCTGCACTGGGTCAGCACATGTGCTCAAGAAGTCTCAGGCTTCCCAACTGTAAAGTAGTGCTAAAATGTGTGAATCATTACCTTTTATTAATGCCTCTTTCCTGCTATCTGCAACTGAAGATGTTATAAAGATAAAGTGAGGCCATCCCAGAATACAAAGATATGTTTTGTTTTTCCTTAGGAGAATACATTATTTTCTGTGATGTCAGCCCATGATTCCCCAGGCTGGCCTGTATGTGAGGCTGGCCTTATATTTCCACCATATTGTGGAAATTCCATAATCGGCTCTTTGAAAATTAACTGTTTTTCCTCTGGAGCTAGAATAACGTTCTACTGACAGATTATTTTTTTTACTACTAAAATAGACTTTTTTGAGTTGATTTTATTTGTTCCTCTATAATAAAGGGAGAAGATAGCCACCTGTCAGGACCCCTATCACTAGATAATTTTTACTATTTTTGAAAGTCTGGATTTATTTCACTCAATGTTATGTATGTTTGGGTTATATTTAAGTATTTTCTGAGGACAATGTTACTGACAAGATTTCCAGAAACTTCTTCAATTTAAACATAGCTTTTTACATTCAAATATCAGTGAAGCACACCTCTTTTGAAAGAATAGAAGATGGTCAGAATAATTGGAAAATATGTATCTATAACCTTCAGTAGTTTCCTTGTTTCTTTTATTGAATGTCATTACAGTGCTGCATCACTGAAATTAATTCTAGCATTCTTTGCACGTTAATTAAAAATGTTATTCATATTAGTATACGGTGACTATTACTTTCTATTGGAAAATAGTGGACTGAACAAAGAAATTCTAATCCTTATGCAAATTCTAATCTTTGCATAAAAATACATTTATACTTATTTTAATAATTTAAATGAAGACTCTAAGATTATTTAAATCTTAAAAACAAGAATGCTAAACAACTAATGCATCTGTGTGATTGTGATCTTTTGTGAGATTATTCTTCAAAGTCAGTTACATCTGGAGCAGTCAAAGCTGATTAATTACTAAGTCCAGGAAGCTACAGGGTATGAAAGTAACTGCCAAACCCTCAGACATCTTGAAATAGCTTCAATAACATAATGAATATAATTTACATTCTGTAACTTATTAATAAAATTACCAAGAAATTAGCCTCTGGTATTCTCAAATATATGAAGCAAATTCAATTTTGGCAGCATAAGCCAGAAAATGCTTTCAAAATGCTTCCTGGCTACATCAAAAAACATCTTTTTCTTATTTGTGAAAAAAATATTGTGTATCCTCACAGATAAAATAATATAAACAAAACCATATGGTAAACATCTCTAGTGGAAGTTTCTGAAGGAGGTTTATTCACCGTTTTTCTTACACTTCCCTCAGCTCATGAACATTTTATCCTCAATTCTATATCTGCACATAGTGTTAATAAAAATGTTATTAATTTATTGGAACATATATAGAACAAATGTTCAACTGTTTAAATTATTATCTGTCATCTCTGAAGCAGTTAGATATTTAAGATCATCAAAAAATATACTTTCTGCATATACGGCAGTAAATCAAACTTATTTTAATCACACACAGTTTGGAAATTGAGTAAAAATTATGTATTCCTTCTTGTAAATATATGTGCTTCCTATTCTTGGAAAAAATTAACATGCAATAAACACAGGTAAATCACCACTACATAAATCTATACACCACTTACCTGAAATAGGTTAGAATTCCCTGGCCTTCTAAGATCCAACCATGATCTCAAATTTAATAACCTTTTATATAAAGAGACATCTATTTGTTTCTTTTAGCAGAAGGCTAGTCATCCAATGTATCCAAAAGAGGTAGCATACTATTCTATGTTGTTTTTTCCAGAATGTAACCATGAGATGGAGATTGGCTATAGGATGCTATTAGACATTGAATCCACAAACAGTGTGAAAACAGGATCAAACAAGAAGAAGTTGAGTTTTGAAACAGACTAAACTAAGCCTTCAAAAACCACGAAGGGATTTCTGGAGTGAATATAGCATGTTAGAGTTGTCCTGAGACAGGCTGAAATGGCAGGGCTTTACACCTCTGCCTCTCTAAATCACTGTCTGCAAGCTCCCCTGAGAAGTACATGGCATTGAGGGAAATGATCATCTCCTGAATAGAATGACCCTGGGGAGCACACACCTATATATTGTCTGCATACTTCTCTCTCCACCCTTGGACAGCAACTACTTTCTTGAACATGGATATGGTCAGCATAAGAAAGTCTACTCAAATCCACTTTTCTCTATATATTTGAGTGTCTGACCCTCTAGGGTTTTTGGTCCTCTTCCTGAGAGAAAACATGAAAATGAAAGGTGATAAAAAGGTGACTAGAGTTTTTCTCAGTGCTTCAATTGACACACAGATTTCCCTCTTGTATTCTCCATTTCAGATCCCCCTTTGTCAGCAAACACCTTTTGAAGTTCTTTATCCCCAAGGTATTTAAAGCCCTGTCTACCATACACTTCCCAAGCTGGCATGATTGTACCTCTTCATTTACAGTCATGAATGAATATAAAGGTATAAAGAGACAGCAATGGGAATCATTTGAGTCTCATACACGCATTCCTTTTTGCCCCTACTATGAAATTGCAGCCCTGCTTCCTTCTGATTATTAAAATCTATTACCTTTACTAAGCAGTAGTTTCTTGTCTTGCTTGCTAATCCATTGATGCAAAATGTCCAAGCAGGAGCCATAGATTATAATCCAGATTAACACATAGCCTCTAGCAAAATCTTTCTTTCATTAGGGAATGGCATTTCTAGTATTACACAACCAGAGTTGCAGGGATGGGAGTACAATTATCCCAAGTGGTTCACAGGAAATTATGGAGTGTGGGGCATTACTACAAACACCTGGTGGTTCCAGAATCCATATATTTTCTGCACTGGGGAGACAGCACCCTATATCTTTCCTTTAATGTGTATATGCATCCTATGCAGTGTCAATCCATCCTTAAAAAGTACTGCCTCTGATATGGTGGTTGAGCTTTGACTTTAGCAGGTTGTTACAATGTTTTATCGGGTCACCTGGTTTTGGTTGACATGTGATATGACCAACAGATCTCATGATCATGATCATGGGCTGTCTCACAGACCCCCTTGGCTGTAAAATGCCTCCTTGGTCTGGAGCAATATTATATCAGATCTCACGCTAGTGGATCAAAGACTAAATAAATCTTCAGATAGTGGTGCTACCTAGAAGCCCATGAGAAAGAAAATTATAGTCATATATGGAATATGTGTCTATTCCTGAGGAAAAAAAACCTCAGGAACTATTAAGAGACCCATATAATCAACTTGACACCAAGTGGCTGATTAGTCATATCAAAGAGAAGTTCTATATCAGAGGCTCAGCACTGGTGTCTACTAGCCAGCAGTTTTTAGACATGTGGAAGCAACAGTAACTAAATTAGACTTGATAATGGGAATTCATGCTTTTAGGCTCATGTATCTCTTCAATCTCCACCATTTTGGTCAGTTGGTCCAGTTTCCTATTATGCTATTACTGGAGTGGCCATGGGCACTGTGGCTGATACCACCAGGACAGATCATTCTATCTATTTGGGTATTTAGTGCCTCTATCACAGTAGATGCTCTATTATGGGCATTCATATAGGATACAAAGATTTTTATACTTTGTGCCCAAGCCCATATATCTATCCATATGCCTATTTCCTGAACCTACTTATTTATAATCTTCAAATATTTTTGTTTAGCCCTCTGACTAGCCAAGAAGTCATTTTCCATGAATATGAGTGAGCATATGTTCTAAATTTGGGTAAGCTTCTCTTTTCACACAAGGTTGAAAGACACATGCAATGTTTGAACTTCTGCCCAATGGAAAGCATTTTCCTTTCCACTGTCTTTCAAGGTCACCTTTAGTGTGGATATGTGTTTTTCAGTTTGCACTCATGTATGGAATTGACTTATCTATAAAATTAGTTCAGGCTTATTTCCACCAGGGGGATACTTGAGATTACCTATAAGTTGTAAGTATAGATTGAAGAATGAACATTGGTAGGAGTGGTAAGTCCCATGGGGGTCCGGGTTACCTGCTCATATAGTTTGCTGAAACCCCTGGTCATGTGTGTGCACACAATCTCAGGTATAATGCCTCCTTTTTACAATAGTTAGTAGCTCAGCCACAAAAGTTTATGAGTGGTTCTGGCCAAATAGCCATTTGGTGTTTCAGGAGTTAAGTCTGCCAGCACTTTATAGCATAACAGGAACTGTTTTGCCAAAAAAAAAAAAAAAAAGTATTATTCTTCTCACTCCAGATGGCATGGCTTTGTCTAGAACCGCATGGGTCAGCATTATAATTTTCTCATGGGCACTTACCACAAACTCCACATGGAATATATTGAATCATATGTCATATGCCAGCTTGTATGGCATAACATTTAGGACTACTTGCATCACAGTCTGGAACTACTGAATATTATTTTATTTTTCCAGGCCACACCCAAAGTTGGAAGCCTTTTATTTCACCCAGTATATGGGCCAGAGTAATATCCAAATATGTTGAATGTATTTTCCACAAAACCTAAAAAACTCTAACAAGCATTGTGCTTTCTTCTTTGTAGTAGAAGGTGTAAAATACTAAAATACAAATAACACAAAAATGTGTTATACAAATAACACAAAAATGTGTTATACAAATAACACAAAAATGTCTGTCATTTATATGGGATGTTCTGACATGCCTCTGACCTTTTGGGGCTCTTAAATATATCAGTATGGTTCTCTCCTACACACTTCAGTATTTGAGTCATAACAAGACCTTCAGCTTGTTAGCTATATCTTGCTCATCAGGCCAGATTAACATAATATTATCAATGCAATAAGTATATGTGTTATTTTTCAGAATACCCACACTGTTCAGACTTTTTCAAAGTATACTGCAAAGGAAGGTAGGAGAGTTATCATGGCCAAGAGGAAAAATATTGTTGTCTTTTCTATGAAAGCGCACACTCATTCTGTTCCTCATTATTGATTAGGGTAGAAAATGATGAGTTTGCCATATTAATGGCCACATGATATATACTTGAAGTCATAGTAATCTGTCCTAGCCATGTTATTATAAGGCTGCTGCAATCAAAGCTACTATTTGGGTGAACTTGAAGTGATCTGCATTCATCTTTTAGTAGTACTCTGTTTTCTATAGAAGCAGACTCAGGAATTAAGTGGAGACCGCCATAGTTATATCTTTAAGAGTAATACCAACTCTATCATGCTCTGAGAGATAAAATATTGCTTGATTAGAGGAAGTAGTTTCAGAGCCTTTTATTTGCCCTTCCCTGCTATGATAGGTCTTTTCCAAAAGAAAAAGAGAGCAATGTTTGAGTTGCACCACCTACCAAATATTGCAAAACCAATTGTATATTTATGGATGACCAAATATGTCAAAACCAATTGTACATTTATGGAAGAGGAAAATGGCCAATAGGTGGGTTTACAAACCAAGTAAACCCTTTACAAAGCATACCTTGTCTAGGATTCCATTTATTACCTGAATCTCACATGACTCCACTTTCAGAGAGATATCATGTTGACACTTTGAGTTTCTGAGTTTCAAATTCAACTCAGTCCTCACGTCCAAGATTACTTACAATGTCTAACTATTCCCTCTTCCCCTTTGTGCAATTAGCAGATAAATGATCCTAAATTCCTTGGAGAAATAACTGAGGAATTCATTATAATGTATACTTAGTCTAACAAGTTTCTATCTCCTGGGGACATAGACATATTTCCATCATTGACCTTGGGTCCAATACTTACTCAGGATTGAGCTGGTTCTTTAGACCCAAGATCCAATGACTACATTAAGATCATTCTTATTGAGTTAACTACTATCAAGCTATTGGTTATTAATACTTGATTATTTTTTTACTGGCACAATAAGAGGAATACACTTAATGCTACCAATCTATTTTTCCCTCAGGATGCCGTGTCCATTATATTTCTCTGTAATTCTCTGTGGTCCACGACCTCTTGACTCACACTCTCACCTTCCTGGGAATTGTAATAATTGTATTCACCTGAAGTGTGTGATTAAGTGATGCCCCCTGCCCCCTGTTGAGAGGAAGCTTGATTCTATTACCTCCATTGCTCTCAGTGAGCCAGATTATCTAAGACTTTTGTAGGCTAAAAATTAGTCCACCCGTTAGTCTTGACCTACAGAAGAGAAACATCACTGAATTCCGAGTGATGCTTGTGCCTTCTCACCAACATATTAAATGGTTTTGGTAAATAATGTATAACCTATGACTCCTCATGGAATACAACATCTATTAGTTCTTCCAGAACATGCATAGTATATTTATTCTAATATAAGTACCTCCATTAGCTTTCTGCTCCACTAATGGATATTCCAAAATTTCATCTTTTCTCAGTATAAGTCACTTGTTCCATTCTAGAAGTGATCCTAATAATAGATTCATACCATTTTCTAGGTTTCTTGCCAGAGTCTAGGGAATCTTGGGACAGTGCAACCAAATCAATAATCTTCCTATCTAATGTTATGTTCCAACTCCCTTGATCAAGCATTTTGAGAATATATTATCATGTGTATTACACTGGCTTTTTTGAGGTACAAATTTTAACTTTCCTATCAGAACCAGCCCACTCCATGCCAGGGCCTAATGCTACATAACATTATTTATTGACCTGACTTGTGACCAGGAATGGAGAGGGTATGGGTTCAGTTATTTATTTGGGGAAGAAAAGCTTCTGTATTGTTAACTAACAAGGAAAACGTGCTGGCTTTCGCTAGAGAAGAATGAAGACTTTTGTAGGCTAAAAATTCAAGGAGTCAGAATTTTCAGGGCTATTCTCTATATCTCTATGTCATATTCAATAGCCTAGCATTTCCCCAAGAGGGACATAAGCTTGGAATATTAAAGCTGTCTTTGTTGGGCATTTAATTTTATTTCATGTTTATTTTTTCAGAATACAAATTCCTGTATTTGATTTTTGGCCTTCTCTACTTTTTCTCTGCAGGAGATTAGGTTTCTTCATATGCAGCTAAATGATGCTTTTTTTTTAACACCTGGCTTTCAATTGCCTGTTTATTGCCCTCATATGTTTCATATCTTCTGTAGAGCATCATTGGTGCTTGGCAGTAGCCACTTAATCAGTTAATTTATTGCTATTTTTGTTTATATAACTCTTCAATGCCTGAAGTATTACATTTACTTGTGCATTTCCTCCTACTGGGATAATTTCAATTCATCACCACATTATTTTAACAATTTGACTTCAACTTTGAACTACCTACTACCAGGGGTATGTTCCTTAATGCCATGCTAGTGGTGAATGATTCTACTCTCAAATTTCATCTTGAACTACTTCCTGTATCAACTCTTTTAGGTTTAGAAAGGAGGAGTAGTGTAAGTTATCTATTAGGGACCAATACTTGAGAATGAAATGAAGATAAAATCAAAAAATGGCCAGGCATCTTTAACATCACATCTTGATTACCAAATGTGGGCTGCCTTGAGAAGAGCATTGCCTTGGCTAGAGTGGCCCTCTACAAATGAGAACAGTTTTCAAAATACTGATAGCTAATCTTCCCTGCAGGCAGATATGAGCAGGACATTTCTGTATCTTCCCAGCTCATAGAAGTTTGTTTAAGTGGAAGCATTTTAAAAACGAAAAATACATATTTACTTTAACTAAAATGATTAAAAAATTTGGAGATGTGTCTAGTTTAATATCTTATTAAATAGTGCTAACTTATGTTAAAAATAAAATAACTTGGTCAAACATTGAGCAGAATGTGTTGCAGATATAATTATGAAAGAAAAAATCTGTCTTTCTTGCCATGATCTTTGAGCTCTGGTATTGATGGGAGGAAATATGTACTAAAAAGGAAATCAAATAAACGAACAGTTAACATACATTTTGATAATTATAAATGCTGTATACAAACTAGAGGAATTTGAAATGTCTTTGAAAGGGTTTAGTAGATCAAATGGTCAAGAAATGTGTTATTTTAGATGAGAAAGTGTTAGCCATGCAAAATTAGAGCAGAAGCTATTCCAGAAGGAAAAAAAAAAAAAAAAACAGGAACAGAGGAACTGAGGTGGGATAAGTCTGGAGGCATTTTAGTACCAGAAAGTGAGCAATATGATAGAATACAGTGACCCTGGGAGTACATAACTCAAAATGAGGCTATAGATGGAGGCAGCTGCCAGATCACAGAAAGTGTCACATAACATAAATGTCTACTGTCTTAAAAATCTGAGCTAGATAACTCAAAAAAATGAATCCTTTAGCAGTGGGAGTAGTACAAAACGAAGCTAAGAGACTATAAAAAGGTGTATATATAGAGAGAGCTGGTAACCACAGGAAGGCGAATGTGTAAACATCATTGAGAATAAAACATACAGTGAAAGAGAAGGCATGCAATATAAGGGGGTGATGGCTTCAGCAGTGAGTCCTTAAATCTACTCTGTGCCCTGAAATAACAGTGGTGCCAATTCTGGTTATATGCATTTTTATCGGATAAATATTGGCTTTCCTGATGTAATGTAAATGAATATGTAGACATGTACAGATCTAGTCCAGGTGGAAAAACTTCAACATTTAGAAGGCCAGTGCAGTAGGGGTCAGGAAAAAAAATAAAACTTGATAATAGAGATACAAATAAAACTGGGAGAATGTGTATTATCATGAGATCAAAGAGGAAAAAAAGTTACTTTAAATTTTAAATAAAAAGTAAAATTATAAATATTTAAAGCATTCCAACAAGATGTGGAAAAAAGACTTCAATCATCCAGGGATGGCTTCTGCAGAAGAAGAGATAAAAATGTGATGAAAAATATTAAAGGAGGTGATTTATACCATAGCCAGAAAGCTAAGCAGCTTTGGATTTTAATTAGCAAGAAGGGATCACAGATTATTAAAATTTGGTGACAAGAATTTTTAAATATGCATCCTAAAATTAATTTGTTGTCTAGTATATGAACCAAGTCAGTGGAAGAGAGAGTTTTAAGTATTTAATGGTCATGAACTCTGTGCTAGGCAATTTGTATAGCATAGGGGTTAAGAGCACAGAATATAAAACCAGACATCCCGTCTTCAAAGCCTAAATCTCTGAATTAGCCACTGTGTGATCCTGGGCATTTTAAATATTCTCTCAATTTCCTTACTATAAACTGGAGATAAGAGTAATGCTTACCCAAAGTAAGAGGCTTACCACCATGGAATCATGCGATCTTGGCTGCAGGAAAACTGCTTGGCCCTCCCAACCTCTGAAACTGAAATAGAAAGCTGCCAGGAGATGGTGGGACAGAACTTCCCCAGGGAGGGAGCTTGTAAGGGGCCGTACATCCATTCTGAGACCAGACCAAAGCAGGTAAAGCAAAACATCATTTTCAAACCTAACCATTAGCAAACTACATGCTGTCCTGGGATCCAGTGGCACTGGGATAGGGGCAATACGAAAAGTTGTGCTGTCAATTGTTGAGATAGAAGAACAAGTTTGGAATGAGCTAGGAGCATTCTGCAGCCAGGGCTAGGAAGCAAGAGAGGCAGGGGCAACACTGGCCAGTGCCAGGAAGCAAGTGCTGCTGGGATTTGAGATGAGGATGTGAATTGCTGCTGGGACTTGGTTTTGAGTTGGGCGGAGGCTCCTGCAGCCTGATTGGGTGTAGAAGTTAAGTGCAGGCTACGATCACCAGACCAGAGGCTGAAATATAAAGAAAAAATATGTTCCCCACCCATATCTCAGGCTGTGGCAAAGGTGAATGGTCCCACCTTCTCCAGTAATAGGGCTTCTTCATGGCTGCTACTGCCCTCACCTGAGCCCTCTGCTGGGGCCTGAGAATCACCCATCTCCTGTCCACTGGGGCTGGAACCTACTCTTATTATTAGGGTGCCTGAGGCCTAGTCCACCCAGAGTGGCTTCGCCATTCCCTCCAAAACAGAGCACATAGCCTGGGGTCCTGGGAATTGCCCAACCAAATCCATAATCATAGGCACATAAGCACTCCTCTGAGGGGCCTGAGGTTAAACCTAAACACTTGGCTGCTGCACCTCAGCTGGCAACTACTTGTAAGTAGCAACTGCAGGCCTAAACACATTCCCACCCAGCTCATAGCAGTCATTGCAAATATCAATATACAACATTTGAAACCTATAGAATCATCCCACCACTGCTACTGCCATCACCCATGCCACACTGGGTGCAGAAGGGCATGAGAACCCACTGGCCCAGTAGATCTACCACTTTCACTACAAGCATCCAAGAAAGCCACCAGGAGGCCAAAGAATCAGCCGACTACTAACAGCCAATACCAGTGCCAGTGTATATTGTCCTGTGGTACAAAGACAGGCATACACAGCTCACCTCTGCCACAGCTGAGGCCTGAAGACTAGCCTACCTGACATCCCCATCCCCAGCACAACTTTAAAACAGCCTCCACTCTTAACCAGACCCTAGCACACTGAGAAATTCATAGAGACCACTAATGCTATTTACAGCCAACAAAATGATACAGAGATTACACTATTGCACACACACAGAATCAAAGTCAAGTACCCCACCTAACCATCAGCACAGATAAATCTTCAAAGAAATGTCTTCTTTTGAGAAGTATCTGATCATGTTCTTTGCCCACTTTTTGATGAGGTTGTTTTTGTTTTTTTCTTATAAATTTGTTTAAGTTCCTTGTAAATTCTGGATATTAGACCAAACACTGCGTGTTCTCACGCATAAGTGGGAGGTGAACAATGAGAACACATAAACATAGGGAGGGAAACAACACACACTGGAGCCTGTCGGGCAGTAAGGGGAGGGAGAGCATCAGTACAAATAGCTAATGCGTGTGGGGCTTGATACTTCGGTAACTGGTTGATAGGTGAAGCAAACCACCATGGCACATCATGTTTACCTATGTAACAAACCTGTACATTCTTAAAAAAAAAAAAGAGAGAGAGAAAAAAAGAATGAAAAAGAAAAAGTCTTTCCCTATGAGGGAAAATTCAAAAATAAAAAGAAATGACTATTACATCAGATGTGAAGATATCAATGTAAAGGAAGAGAAAACATTAAGAAGCAGAAAATTATGACACTTTTGAAGAAATAAAATAATTCTCCAGCAATAGATCTTAAACAAAAACACATTTTCAAAATTCAGGATAAAGAATTCAAAATATTTATTTTTAAAAACTCGGTGAGATACAAGATAATTATGAGGAAAAATACAGAAAAATAGAAAACTAACTTAGGATATGACTGAGAAATCTAATAAAAAGACAGGTAGTTTAAAAAACAACCACAGGACAGGGTGTGGTGGCTCACACCTGTAATCCCAGCACTTTGGGAGATGAAGGCAGGCAGATCACTTGAGCTCATGAGTTCGAGAACAGCCTGGCCTACATGGTGAAAACCCTCTCTACTAAAAATATAAAAATTAGCTGGGTGTGATGGTGCACACCTGTAATCTCAGCTAATCGGGGAGTTGAGACATGAGAATCTCTTGAACCTGTGAGGTAGAGGGTGTAGTGAGCTGAGATGGTGCCTCTGCACTCCAGCCTGCGCGACAGAGCAAGACTGTCAAAAGAAAAAAAAAAAAAGAAAAGAGATTCTGATGAAATAACTCCAAGAACAGTTTTTATATTTTATTTTCACATTGAAAATCAGTTGGATTTGCGTCAGCCTCAAAAAGTATGTTTATGTAAAATTTAATGAGTACTGGCAGTGAGTTGTACTTTTTTTTTCTAAATGGGAAAAGGCTTAAAATCTTCAACAATAGGCTGGATTAGATAGAAAAACAAATCTCAGAACTTGAAGACAGATATCCTGAAATAATTCAGTCAGATAAAAATAAAGAGGCCTGGCGCGATGGCTCACGTCTGCAATCCCAGCACTTTGGGAGGCTGAGGCGGGCAGATCACCTGAGCTCAGGAGTTCGAGACCAGCCTGGCCAACGTGGTGAAACCTCATCTCTACTAAAAATACAAAAATTAGCCAGTTATGGTGGCAGGTGCCTGTACTGCTAGCTACTCAGGAAGCTGAGGCAGGAAATCTGGGAGGTGGAGGTTTCAGTAAGCCAAGGTTGCACCCTGGCACACCAGCCTGGGCAACAAGAGTGAAACTCCTTCTTAAAAAAAGAAAGAAAGAAAGAAAGAAAGAAATAAAAAAGAATAAGCAAAACATTTATGACATTTGAGATAACATAAAGTGACCAAATTTATCAATTATTGGTATCCTCAAGGAAGTGGAAACAAAGAAATGATTAGAAAACCTATTCAGTAAAATAATAGATGAGAACTTCCCAAGTCTAGCAAGAGATTTAGACATTCACACACAGAAGGCTCAACGACCCCCAGATAGATACAATGCAAAAATGTCTTCTGCAGAGCACATTATAATAAGACTGTGTAAAGTCAAAGATAAAGAGCGAATCCTAAAATCAACAAAAGAAAGGTGCCTAATTACCTATAAAAGAAATCTTATCAGTCTAACAGCAAATTTCTCAGCAGAAACCTCACAGTCCATAAGAGAATGGGATAATATATTCAAAGTCCTAAAATAAAGGAACTATCCCCAATGTATACTATATCCAACGAAATTTTTCTCATAAACGAAGAAAAAATAAAATAATTCCCAGATGATGAAATGTTGAGGGAATTCATTACCATTAGACTGGCCCTAAAAGAAATGTTCAAGAGAGTCCCAAACTTAGCAGCAAAAAGATGACATTTATCATCATGAAAACAAGTGTACAAACTATGAAAGCAATCGCACAAATGAGGAATAGAAGCTACTCAAATGATACCACTACAGGAATACACCAAATCACAATCATGAAACATTAGAAAAAAAGGATGGGAATAAAGAATATACAAAACAAACAAAACAATTAATAATATAACAGAAACAAAGTCTTACATATCAATAATAATCTTGAATGTAAACAAGTTAAATTATGGACTTAAAAGATATGGAATGGCAAAATGGATTTAAAAAATGCTCCAACTATATGCTACTTACAAACAAAACAAAACAAAACAAAAAACCCTCACTTTACCAGTGAAGATACATATAGAGTGAAAGAAAGGGATGGAAAAAGATATTGCATGAAAATGGAAACCAAAAGTGAGCAGGAGTAGCTATGCTTGTGTTAGATATACAGATTTTAACTTAAGAATAGCAAAAAAGTAGTCATTATGTAATGATATTGAAATCAACTAGTGGAGTATTTCACCATCCCATTTTCAGCCTTAGACAGATCCTACAGTCTGTAAATTAATAAAAAAATTGGATATAAACTGGACTTTAGATTAAATGGATCTAAGAAACATTATGAAACATTCTATCTAAAAACCACATGCATTCATACTTATGCTAGTCCATATTATAGCCCATATGCCTAATACATGGGCTATCCTGGAGAATGTTTCATGTTCTGATTTAAAGAATGTATATGAACATGAAACATTCTCCAGCATAGCCCATATGTTTGGCCACCAAAAAACTCTAAGAGGATTTTTTAAAATTAAAATTTAATCAAGTATCTTCTCAGTCTATAATAAAAGAAAACTAAAAATTAATACTAGTAAAAACTTTGGAAACCATATATATATGGTTTATATATATATAATTATATATATGTTTATATATATATATATATATATTATACAACATGCTCCTGAATGACCATTGTGTCAATGAAAAAACTGAGATGAAAATAAAAAAATTATTTGAAACAAATGACAATGAAAACACAACATACAGAAACATGTAGGATAAAGCAAAAACAGTGCTAAGAGGGACATTTATAGCAATAAATGCTTACACAAAAAGGGGAAAGTTTAGAAATTAACAATCCAACAAAATGTCTCAAGAGACTAGAAAAGCAAGAGCAAACTTACTGCAAAATTAACAAAAGAAATAGTAAAGATCTGAGCATAACTATATAAAATATAAAGTAAATTCAAGACAAAAGATTAATAAAATTAAAAGCTGGTTTTTCAAAAAGATTAAACAAACTGATAAAGCATTCACTAGACTTGGCAAGCAAAGGAGATCCGAATAAAATCCAAAATGAAAAATGAGACATTACAACTGATACCTCAGAAATGCAAAAGATTATGAGAGACTATTATTAACAATTATACAACTGGAAAATCTAGAAGACATGGATCCATTCCTGGAAACATACAATTTACCAAGATTAGATGAAGAATAAATAGAAAATATGAAAAAAACCAGTAATGACTAGTGAGTTGAAAGAACAATAAAAAGTCTCACAACAAAGAAAAGCCCAGGACCAGATGAATTCACAAATTATACCAAAAATACAACTAAGAATTAATAACAAGCCTCCTGAAACTATTTTCAAAAATAAAAGAGAAGGGAATTCTCCCAAACTTATTTGACAAAGTCAGCATTATCCTAGATACCAAACCCAGGTAAGGACATAACAAAAATGAAAACTACAGGCCAATATCCCTGATCAACAGAAACATAAAAATCCTAAACAAACTATTAGCAAAGCAAATCAAATGGCACATCAGAAGATAATACGTAATGATCAGGTAGGATTTGTACCATGGACTCAAGAAGAGTTCAACATATACAATCAATAATATGATATATCACATAAACAGAATAAAGAAAAAATATTATTATCTCAATAGATGCAGAAAAACCATTTGATACAATTCAGGCTCATGAAATAGAAAGATTGACATAATAAAAAGGACAATGTTGTTCAAAACAATCTAAGGATTCAATTTAATCTTTATCAAAATACCAATGCCATTTTTCACAGAATTAGATAAACCTATTCTAAAATTCGTAGGGAACCAAAAAAGATCTTGAATGGCCAAATAAATCCTGAGCAAAAGAACAAAGCTGCTTAGTTGTTTGAGGGTTTTTAATATCAACAGATGTTGAAATTTATCAAAAGGCTTTTCTGCATCTATCAAGATAAGTATGTGTTGTTTTTAATTCTGTTTATATAATAATCACATTTATTGATTTGTATCAGTAGAAACAACCTTGCATTCCAGGGATAAAGCCAACTTGATTATGGTGGATGAGTTTTTTTAAGGGCATTGAAGGAACATACTTCAAAATAATAAGATACATCTATGAAAAACTCACAACTAACATCATACAGAATGGGCAAAAGCTGGAAGCATTCCTCTTGAAAAATGGAACAAGATGAGGATGCCTTCTATCACCACTCCTATTGAACACAGTACTAGAAGTCCTGGCCAGAGCAATCAGACAAGAGAAGGAAATAAAAGGCATCCAAATTGGAGGAGAGAAAGTCAAACTCTCCTTGTTTGCATATGACATTTTCCTATATTTAGAACACCCCATAGTCTGCCTAAAATCTCCTTGATCTGACAAACAGCTAGAGAAAAGTTTCATTAAACAAAATAAAAGTATAAAAATCAGCAGCATTCCTATACACCAACAATGTCTAAGCTCAAAGCCAAATCAGGAACACAATGCCATTCACAATTTCCACAAAAAGTAAAAAAGTATCTAGGAATATAGCTAACCAATGAGGTAAAATATCTCTACAAGGAGAATTAAAAACACTGCTCAAGGAAATCAGAGATGACAAAAATGGATGGAAAGGTATACCACACTCATGGATAGGAAGAATTAATATTGTTAAAACAAAGCTGGAGGCATCACATTACCTGATTGCAAATTATATTACAAGGATACAGTAACCAAAACAGCATGTTAATGGTACACAAACAGACACATAGATCTATGGAACAGAATAGAGAGCCCAGAAATCTGGGATAACTGGCTGGCTATATGCAGAAGATTGAAGCTGGACTCCTTCCTTGCAACATATAAAAAAGTCAACTCAAGATGTACTAATGACTTAAATGTAAGTAATAAAACTATAAAAAATGCTGCAAGAAAACCTAGGAAATACCATTCTGGACATAGGAGTTGGTAAAGGTTTTATGACAAAGACGCCAAAAATAAGTGTAACAAAAACAAAAATTAAGAAGTAAAATTCATTTAAACTAAAGAGCTTCTGCACTGCAAAAAAAAAAAAAGAACAAAACAACAACAACAAAAAAAAAAACTATCAACAGAGGACACAAACAAATGGAAGAACATTCCATGCTCATGGGTAGGAAGAATCAACATCATGAAAATGGCCATACTGCCCAAGGTAATTTATAGATTCAATGCCATCCTCATCAAGCTACCAATGACTTTCTTCACAGAATTGGAAAAAACTACTTTAAAGTTCATATGGAACCAAAAAAGAGCCTGCATTGCCAAGTCAATCCTAAGCCAAAAGAACAAAGCTGGTAGCATCATGCTACCTGACTTCAAACTATACTACAAGGCTACAGTAACCAAAACAGCATGGCACTGGTACAAAAACGGAGACATAGACCAATGGAACAGAACAGAGCCCTCAGAAATAATGCCACATGTCTACAACCATCTGATCTTCGACAAACCTGACAAAAACAAGAAATGGGGAAACGATTCCCTATTTAGTAAATGGTGCGGGGAAAACTGGCTAGCCATATGTAGAAAGCTGAAACTGGATCCCTTCCTTACACCTTATACAAAAATTAATTCAAGATGGATTAAAGACTTAAATGTTAGACCTAAAACCATTAAAAACCCTAGAAGTAAACCTAGGTAGTACCATTCAGGACACAGGCATGGGCAAGGACTTCATGTCTAAAACACCAAAAGCAATGGCAACAAAAGCCAAAATTGACAAATGGGATCTAATTAAACTAAAGAGCTTCTGCACAGCAAAAGAAACTACCATCAGAGTGAACAGGCAACCTATAGAATGGGAGAAAATTTTCACAATCTGCTTATCTGACAAAGGGCTAATATCCAGAATCTACAATGAACTCAAACAAATTTACAAGAAAAAAATAAACCCATCAACAAGTGGGCAAAGGATACGAAAAGACACTTCTCAAAAGAAGACATTTATGCAGCCAAAAGACACATGAAAAAATGCTCATCATCACTGGCCATCAGAGAAATGCAAATCAAAACCACAATGAGATACCACCTCACACCAGTAAGAATGGTGATCATTAAAAAGTCAGGAAACAACAGGTGCTGGAGAGGATGTGGAGAAATAGGAACACTTTTACACTGTTGGTGGGACTGTGAACTAGTTCAACCATTGTGGAAGTCAGTGTGGCGATTCCTCAGGGATCTAGAACTAGAAATACCATTTGACCCAGCCACTCATTACTGGGTATACACCGAAAGGATTATAAATCATGCTGCTATAAAGACACATGCACACGTGTGTTTATTGCGACACTACTCACAATAGCAAAGACTTGGAACCAAGCCAAATGTCCAACAATGATAGACTGGATTAAGAAAATGTGGCACATATACACCATGGAATACTATGCAGCCATAAAAAATGATGAGTTCATGTCCTTTGTAGGGACATGGATGAAGCTGGAAACCATCACTCTCAGCAAACTATTACAAGGACAAAAAATCAAACACCGCATGTTCTCACTCACAGGTGGGAATTGAACAATGAGAACACATGTACACAGGAAGGGGAACATCACACACTGGGGCCTGTTTTGGGCTGGTGGGAGTGGAAGGGATAGCATTTGGAGATACACCTAATGTTAAATGATGAGTTACTGGGTGCAGCACACCAACATGGCACATGTGTACATATGTAACTAACCTGCACGTTGTGCACATGTACCCTAAAACTTAAAGTATAATAAAAACCAAAAACAGAGGAATCATATATCCTGCAGAATAGAAGAAAATGTTTGCAAACTATGCATCTGACAGAGATCTAATATCCAGAATCTACAAGGAGCTTAAACAAATTTACAAGCGAAGAACAATCTTATTTAAAAAATGGGCAAAACCCATGAACAAACACTTTAAAAAAACACATATATGTGGCCAAAAAGTATATGAAAAATGTTTTACATCACTAATCATTAGAGAAATGCAAATCAAAACCACAATTAGATACAATTTCACACTGGTCAGAATGGCTATTATTATTAAAAAGTCAAAAATAACAGATGCTGGTGAGGTTACACAGAAAAGGGAATGCTTATACACTGTTGGTGTGAGTACAAATTAGTTCAACCATTATGGAAAGCAGTATGACAGTTCCTCAAATAGCTATAAGCATTACAACTCAGCAATCCCATCACTGGCTATATACCCAGAAGAATATAAATTACCATAAAGATACATGCACATGAATATTCATTGTAGCACTATTCACAATAACAAGACATGAAATCATCCTATATGCCCATCAATGATAGACTGGATTTTAAAAAATGGTACCTCTACACCATGGAGTACTACACAGCCATAAAAAAGAGCTAGATCATGTCCTTTGCAGCAACATGAATGGAGCTGGAGGCCATTACAAGCAAACACAAGAACACAAGGACAAACGCAAGCAAACACAAGAACACAAGAACACAATGGAGGCCATTACAAGCAAACACAAGAACAGAAAGCCAAATGTTACATGTTCTCACTTATGAATGGTAGCTAAACAATGACAACATATGCACACAAAGAGGAGAACAAGAGACATCAGGGCATACTTGAGGGTGGAGGGTGGAAGGAGCAGAGATTTTTAAAAAATACCTATTAGGTATTGTGCTTATGTGCTTATTACCTGAGTGACAAAATAATATGTACACCAAACCTACAGGATATGCAGTTTACCTATATAACAGCCCTGCACATGTATCCCTGAACTTCAAATAAAAATTATAATAAAAATAGAAGTAAGAAAATAAAAATAAATTACACACACATAAAAAAGAACAAAGCTGGAGGCATCACATTACCTGACTTCAAAACACAATGCAAGACTATCGTTACCACAACAGAATGGCATGGGTGCAAAAGTAGACACATAGACTGATAGAACAGAATACAGAACCAAAAAATTAAGCCACAGCCAAATGATCTTCTACAAAGCTGACAAGAACTTACTTTAGAAAACGAACTCCTTCTTTAATAAATGGTGCCAGGAAAATTGGATAGCCATATGCAGCAGAATGAGACTGAAACCCTGTCACTTGACTGAAACTCTGTCACTCACCATATATAAAAATCAACCCCAAATGGATTAAATACTTAAATGTAGGACTTAAAATTTAAAATACTGGAAGAAAACCTAGGGAAGACTCTCTTGGATATTGATATGGGCAATTAACTTATGACTAAAACCTCAAAAGACAGGTAACAAAAACAAAAACAGACAAATGGGACTGAAACTGAAAAGCTACTGTGGACCAAAGAAAGAATCAACAGTAAACAGAAAACCTGTTGAATGGGAGAACATAACTGCAAACTATATATGCAACAGGGGACTAATATCCAGAATATATAAGGAGCTCAAACAACTCAACAGGATTAAAAAAATAAAGATCCCATTAAAAAGTGGCCAAGGGACATGAATAGACATTTCTCAAAAGATGACATACAACAGCCATCAGGTATATAACAAATGTTCAACATCAGCAATCATAAGAGACATGCAAATGAAAACCACAGAGATATCATTTTCCTCCATCAGAATGACTTTAGTTAAAGAGACCAAAAGTAACAGATGTTGATTATAATGCAGAGAAAGGGAACTTACACACAGTGTTGTTGGGAAAGTAGGGTATTACAGCCACTATGGAAAACAATATGGAGATTTCTCAAAAAACAAAACACAGAATTACTAATAGATCCAGGAGCCCAACACTAGGTATCTTCCCCAAGGAAAAGAAATCAACATAACACAGGGATACCTTCACTTGCATGTTTATTGCAGCACTATTCACAAGGGCAAAGATATGAAATCAGCCTAAGTGTTCATCAATGAATAAATAGATTAAAAAATGTAGTATATATATACAGTGGAATACTAGTCTGCCATAAAATAGTGGAATAATTTCACTTGAGGCAACATGGATGGAACTGAAGGCCACTATCTTAAGTGAAATAATTCAGGCATAAAAAAATAAATATTGAATGTTCTCACTTGTATGTGGGAGCCAAATATTTTGAACATGTGGAGGTAGAGGGTGGAAACAGATAACAGTGACTTGGAAGGATGAGTCTTGGGGAGAGGGCAGGATAAAGATAAGTGGGTTAAAGGGCACAAACACACAGAAAGATAGAAAAAAATGAGTTTAATGTTTGATAGCTGTGATGGTTGGTACTGAGTATCAACTTGATTGGATTGAAGGGTGCAAAGTATTGATCCTGGGTGTGTCTGTAAGGGTGTTGTCAAAGGAGATTAACATTTGGGTCAGTGGACTGGAAAAGCAGACCCACCCTTAATCTGGGTGGGCACAATCGAATCAGCTGCCAGTGCAGGCAGAATAAAAAGCAGGCAGAAGAATGTGAAAAGATTAGAATGGTTTAGCCTCCCAGCCTACATCTTTCTCCCATGCGGGATGCTTCCTGTGCTCAAACATTTGACTCCATGTCCTTCAGCTTTGACACTTGGACTGGCTTCCTTGCTCCTCAGCTTTTGGGACCTTGTGATCGTGTGAGTTAATACTTCTTCATAAACTTAACATAGATATACTATTATTTCTGTCCCTCTAGAGAACCCTGACTAACACAATAGCAGTGTAGGATAACTATACTTAACAAAAATATATTGTACCTCATGATGGACATCCTAAATCTCCTTACTTAGTATGTGCTATATACATGTTAGAAAAATTTTCTCGTACCCAATAAATTTGTACAAATAAAAAGCAAGTAATACTCATCCCATAGAGGTATTGTGAGATTTAAATGTGCTCCCTAAACACTTCACAGTTGATATAATTTCTACATTATTTAATCTTCACAGTAAGTATATGAAATGAGGAATATAATATTGTTGGCATTACACAGATGAAGGGAAAAAGGCTCAGGAAAGTGACTTTTGAAAGGTGTATTACTGGCTTATCATAGAGCAAATATTTAAATCTAAGTCTTATAAAACTTAAGTCTCTCCAGTCTGTCTTTCAGTCTAAGGGAGAAGGACAGGAATTTCTGCAAGCCATACTAATACAGTATGCAATATCATTGATATTCACACATTCACATATTTTTCATATGAGGAAAGCTATGAAGAGATACTTAAAAAAAGCAGTTCCAAAGATAACAAAACCAAAATTTCCAAGCAATTGCTATGTGCACAGCTGTATTAGAGTCTTCATGAAGATAATGCAAGCCAATAACAACAATGTGGTTCACACTGATTCAAAGTCAAAGCAAAACTTGGATGGAGAGGAAAATTGTTCTAATAACATTGCTGTGATTTTACTGCAATCTATAGTTTGTCTCATAGTCCTTCAAATTTAGAAATAAAATCTTTCTATCACTTTAAGAGTATTTTGGTCGAGGCAGAATTGCTCATGCCTGTAATCCCAGATCTTTGAGATGCTGAGATGGGAGGATCACTTGAGGCCAGGAGTTTAAGACCAGCCTGGACAACATAGCAAAACCCTGTCCCTACAAAAAGTTGAAACAAGTAAAATTAGCCATGGGTGGTGTTGTACCTGTAATCCTAGCTACTCAAGAGGCTGAGGTGGGAGAATCACTTGAGCCCAGAAGTTTGACACTGCAGTGAGCGATAATTATGCCACTGCACTCCAGCCTGGCGACAGAGTGAGAGCCTGTCTTTGAATGAATGAATCAATGAATGAATAGGATTGGTTCTGGCTTTCAGAGTCAACTGCACTTGACCAAGGCCTGGAAACACATGTAAAGTATCCTAATTCTCAAGGAGTATTTTTCTAAGACAGTAAGTATATTTTAGTATGCAAAACTATTGCTTCGGACTTAAACAAAAATAAGTGAGAGAAAATGCTAGTGTTATATTATCTTCCAGCAATTCCCATTTTTTAAGAAAAAGAAATTACTGTCAAGCTTTACTGAAAATTTGCGTAACTAGATAGAATGGTTACATTTTTTGTCTTTATTTATATTTTATGTACCAAAGAGTTTTCAGAAAACCTCTCTTATTTTGAGAGTTGCTGAGCCATAAGAAATAAAGAAATACTTGCTTTATTTGGGTTTCAACCTCAGACAATAAAGAACTTGTAGGAAACTCTGTGTTGACTCTGGGTCTCAGTGCACTCGTTTCCAAGCAAGAGGGACCATGCATGCAGACTACCTCTCTGAAAGGACAGTTTGAAGATCACTTAAGAATAATTTCCTTTATTAATTCAACAAGATATAAAACCTAAATTATCATTAATGAATAGCAGAGGAGATGCCACTTTAGTGAAAAGGGAAGTCAAAGCAAAAACAAAAAAGCTTACTGCAGTAATTTTTCTTTCACAAAATGTTAATGATTTTTTTGCTAAATGTAAAAACCACTTAAACAATTCTGATATGATTTAAAAATTAAGAACCTGGCATTCAAATCTTTCTAAGAGACTGGCTATTACCGGCCGGGCAACAAAAAAAAAATGTGGCAGACATTGACATACATTTATGCTTCATCAATTATTATTAAAATCAAACGCACACACACAAATACATACATTATATTTTTATCACGGCCACAGAAAGTAAAGAGTTATTCAAGCCTAAACATTTGAATGTTAAGAGCATTGTGTATGAAGAGAAATACTTATAAGGGACTGAAATCTACCAAATACTAGGCAACATTTGTGGTACTTAAAATCTTTTACTTCATTTTTCATATATAGAAATACAATAAGTTCTGTGGAGAGAGACTCAAAATCAGACTCTTTCCTTTAGCATGATATTATTTGAATTTCTGGTGGATATAAACCATAATTTAACATACCACATTGGAAAAAGCATATTTTAATCTGAAATGTCTGTCAACTGTTTTTAGATCTTAACTAAATAATAATTTCCTAGAGGGACCACATTTCTAACAGTGGCCAGAAAAAAAAATCATTAGGTATATAAATATCAAAATTTTTGAAGACTTGTTTTAGATTGCATATAATTATTTTTAGCATTTTCTTTAAATTAAATAGATTTCATAATATGAACATATTTTTTCAAACTACTTTCCTATTTTATCAGTTCTCTTATTTGAAAAATATTTTTAAAACACAAATGACATGTTTAAATCCTTATTTAAAGAACTGCTTGGCCAGGTGCGGTGGCTCACACCTGGAATCCCAGCACTTTGGGAGGCCGAGGCAGGGAGATTACGAGGTCAGGAGATCAAGACCATCCAGGCTAACATGATGAAACCCGTCTCTACTAAAAATACAAAAAATTAGCCAGGGGTGGTGGCATGTGCCTATAGTCCCAGCTATTTGGGAGGCTGAGGCAGGGGAATCGCTTGAACCCAGGAGGCAGAGGTTACAGTGAGCCGAAATCGTGCCACTGCACTCCAGCCTGGGCAACAGAGCAAGACTCTGTCTCAAAAAACAAACAAACAAACAAAAAAAAAACAAAAAAAAAACTGCTTATAGAGGTGGAGCAAGATGGCAAAAATAGAAGGCCCCACTGATCATCTCTTCACCACTCATAAAAACCCACAAATTTAACAACAATCTACAAAGAAGAAACACCTCCATGAGAAACAAAAATCAGGTGAACCCTCATAGTATCTGGTTTTAACAGTGTCACTGAAAGAGGAAATGAAAAGATTAAAAACACTAGTCTTTAATTGGCTACTAAGCCCATGCAGTACCCATTCTTTTATTCCTTTACTTTCTTAATAAACTTGCTTTCACTTTTAAAAAAATAGTGTTTAATTGCCAATGCCATCCCCCAGTCACCCCCATCATGGTGTGAAGAGCATCTGTGTGCTGGGGGAAGGAGAACATAGCAATTTTGAGACATTGAACTCAATGCTGTCCTGTTAGCAGGAAAAAAATAAAAACAAACAAACAAACAAACAAAAAACAAACAGAACAAACTCACGTGAGGCTCACCCAAAGAGGGAGCATTTAAAACAGCTACAGCCAAAGGCGAATTGCTGAAACCAGAAGTATGAACTTGAGTTCCTGCAAACCTCCCTACCAAGGGCCAATCTGCTTTGGGTCTGGGTCTCTAAGCAAACTTGAAAGACAATCTAGGCCATAAGGACTGAAAATCTTAGTGGAGTCCATGGTTGAATGGGGCCAAGAAAAAATATACTGGAAGGAGCTGGGGAGTGGGGTGCATGTGACTCACTGAGACATCAGCTGGGGAAGCTAAGAAAGTGCTGGCATCACCCCTCTCCTAACCCCAGGTGGCACAGATTGTGGCTCCAAAAGAGACACCTTCTTTCTACTTGAAGAGAGGAAAGGGAAGAGTATGGAGGACTTTGTGTTGCATCTTGGATATGAGCTCAGCCACAGGAGGATAGGGTACTGGTCAGAGTTGTGAGGCCTTATTCCAGACTGTAGCTCCCAGGCAACATTCCTAGACATACCCTGGGACAGAAGGGAACCCACTGCCTTCAATGCCTTCAAAGAAAAGACCCACTCTCCTAGCAGCTTTCATTACCTACTACCTGAAGAACGTTTGAGACCTGAATAACCAACACTGATACCTGAGTACTATGTTGAGGGCCTTGTGTAAGCCTATGTAACTTGTTGGCTCAAGTGTGACTCCGCACATTAACAGTGTGGTGGCTATGGGGTAAAATTCCTTCTGCTTGAGAAAAGCAGAGGGAAAAGTAAAGGGGACATTGTCTTGTCTTCACTTTGGGTACTTTAGGTTGTCCACAGGGTGGGGTAGAGCACCAAGCGGGCCCTTGGAGTCATTGGTTTTGGGACTTCAGTCTTGCATAGAAACTCTAGACTTGCCTACCACATTGAAGGGTGAGATTTAGGCTAGGCAGCATTCATCACAAGCTGACTTAACAGACTTTGGGCCATGAAAGAAGATCAGTGGTAGTCTGTCAGAATTCCCTGTGGGCCTGTGGTGGTGGTGGTTATGGAGTGAGGCTCCTCTGCCTTTGGGAAACGGAGGAAAGATGGAGAAGGACTCCATCTTGTGATTTAAATGCTAGTTCAGCTGCAGTACAACAAAACATCAGGGGTAATTTTAAGGATTTTTACTCTAGTCTCTAGTTCCTGGATGGCACTTCAGGACCCATGCAGGGGTGAGGGATCTCATCACCCTGAAGTGAAGGAAACAGCCTGGCTAGATTTGCCAGCTGCTGATTCTAGAGCCCAGGGAGCTTGAGTGAACATAGGCAGTAGCCAGGGAGTGGTTACAGCAGGCCTTGGGCAAGATCCAGGGCTGTGCTGGCTTCAGGCCTGACCCAATGCTGTCATAGTGGTG
Organism: Homo sapiens; assembly: GCF_000001405.40. Lineage (NCBI taxonomy): Eukaryota > Metazoa > Chordata > Mammalia > Primates > Hominidae > Homo > Homo sapiens. The sequence continues at coordinate 25,159,526 of NC_000011.10, read as the reverse complement.
GTGGTCACAGGAGTGCTTGTGTCACTCCACCCCCAGATTTAGGTGACTCATAACAGAGAGAGAGACTGTTTTGAGGGGATAAAGTAAGACAAGAGAGTAAGAGTCTCTACTCGGTAATCCAGAGAATTCAGCTCGATTTTGTCCAAGACCATCAAGGAGATACCTCTAAGAGTCTGCAAGAACTGCAGCATTACTGAGCTTTCTAAAGCAGATACAGCTTAGATAACAACCCCCAAATCCTTTCAAATATCTGGAAAGCCTTCCCAAGAAGAACAGGTACAAACAAGCTCAGAAAATAAAGACTACTGTAAATACTAAAATATTCAATGCCCAGACACCAAAGAACATCAAGTAGCATCAGCACCATCCAGGAAAACATGACCTCACCAAATGAACTAAATAAGAAACAAGGGATAAATCCTGCAGAAACAGTTATGTATCCTTCCAGACAGAGAACTCAAAATAGCTGTGTTGAGGAAACACACACAGAAAATTAAGATAACACAGAGAAGAAATTCACAATTATATCAGATAAATTTGACAAAGAAATTGAAATGAAAAGTATCAAACAGGCACACTGGAGCTGAAAAAATGCAATTGGCAAATTGAAGAATGCATCAGAGTCCTTTAACAGAATTAATAAAGCAGAAGAAAGAATTAGTGGACTTGGACACAGGCTATTAGAAAATATACAGCTAAAGGAGACAAAACATAAAATAATAGAAAACAATGAAGCACACCGGTAGGGTCTAGAAAATAGCCTCCAAAAGACAAATCTGAGTTGTTGGCCTTAAAGAGGAGGTAGAGAAAAAGTTGAGGTAGAAATTTTACTCGAAAAGATAATAATGGATAACTTTCTAAACTTAGTGAAAGCTATCAATAACCAAGTACAAGAAGGTTACAGAACACCAAGCAGAGTTAACCCGGAGAAGACTACTTCAAGGCATTTAATAATAAAACTCTCAAAGGTCAAGAATAAAGAAAAGATTCTAAAGGCGGCAAGAGAAAAGAAACAAATAACATACAATGGAGCTTCAATACATTTGGCAGCAGACTTTTCAGTGGAAACCTTACAGGCCAGGAGACAGTGGCATGACATACTTAAGATGCCAAAGGAAAAAACTTTTACCCTAGAATAGCATATATGGACAAAATATCCTTCAAACATGGAGAAAAAAAGACTTTACCAGACAAACAAAAGCTGAGGGATTTCATAAACACCAGACCTGTCCTACAAGATATGCTAAAAGAGAGTACTTCAGTGAGAAAGAAAAGATGTTAATGAGCAATAAGTAATCACACCAAAGGTACAAAACTCACTGGTAATAGTAAGTACACAGAAAAACACAGAATATTATAATACTATAACTGTGGTGTGTAAACTACTCTTATCCTAAGTAAAAAGAGTAATCAATGGACCATCAAAAATAGTAACTACAACAACTTTACAAGATATACACAATACAATAATACATAAATAGAAACAACAAGAAGTAAAAAAGTGAGAGGGTGAAGTTAAGGTGTACAATTTTCTTAGTTTTGTTTTTGTTTATTTGTTTATGCAGTGTTAAGTTTTTATTGGGTGAAAATAATGGGTTATTTTTCAAATAATAGTATTTGCAAGCCTCATGGTAACTTCAAACCAAAAAACATACACTAGATAAACAAAAATTTAAAAAGCAAGTAACTAAATTATATCACAGGGTAAAATTACCTTCACTATGGGAAGATAGGAAAAAAAATAAAGAGGAGAACACCACAAAACAACAAGAAAACAAGTAACAAAATGGCAGGAGTAAGTCCTTACTTATTAATAACAACATTGAATGTAAGTGGACTAAACTCTCCAATCAAAAGACAGAGTGGCTAAACAAATAAACAAAAGAAGACCAATTGATCTGTCACCTGCAAGAAACACCTTTCACTTCTAAAACACACAGAGACTAAAAATAAAGGGATGGAAAAAGATACTTCATGCCACTGGAAAAAAACAAACAAAAAAAAGCAAGAGTCACTATACTTAGACAAAAGACAAAGACTATAAGATGAGACAAAGAAGGTCACTATATAATGATAAAGGGGTCAGTTTAGCAAGAAAGTATAACAATTTTAAATACAAAATGTTAAAAATCAGGAAAAATTAAAATAATTCCATTTGCAATAGCCACACATAAAATTAAATAAATAGAAATTAACCAAAGAAGTGGAAGATCTCTATAATAAAATTATAAAACATTGATGAAAAAATTGAAGAGGACACCAAATAATGTAAAAATACTCTATGGGCGTGGATAGGAAGAATCAATATTGTTAAAATGTTCATATAACCCAAAGCAATCTACAGATACAATTTAATCCCTAAAAAAATTCCAATGACATTCTTTACAAAAATAGTAAACAAAATCCTAAAATTTATATGGAACCACAGAAAACACAGAATAGTGAAAGACATCCTAAGCAAGAAGAACAGAACTAGAGGAATCACATTACCTGACTTCAAATTATACTTCAGAGCTACAGTAACCAAAACAATATGGTACTGGCATAAAAACAGATACAATGCAACAGAATAGAGAACCTGGAAACAAATCTACATACCTATACTAAACTCATTTTCAACAAAGGTGCCAGAAACATATGCTGGGAAAATAAGTCTCTTCAATAAATTGTTCTGGGAAAATGGGATATTCATATGCAGAAGAATGATGAAACTAGGCCCCTATCTCTCACCATATACAAAAATCAAATCAAAATTTATTAGAGACTTTAATCTAAGACCTCAGGCTGTGAAACCACTACAAGAAAACATTGGGAAAAATCTCCAGGACATTGGTCTGGGCAAAAGTTTCTTGAGCAATACTCTACAAGCACAGGCAACCAAAGAAAAAATGGGCAAATGGGATTACATCAAGTTAAAAAGCTTCTGCACAGCCAAAGAAAACAATCAATGAAGTGAAGAGGCAACCCACACGATGGGAGGAAATATGTGCAAGCTAAACATGTGACAAGGGATTAATAACCAGAATATATAAGGATCTTAAACCACTGTATAAGAAAAAAATTAATAATCCGATTAAAATGGACTAAAGATTTGAGTAGACATTTCTCAAAAGAAGACATACAAATGGCAAAAAGGCATATCAAAAGGTACCCAACATCACTGATCATCACATAAATCAGGCAAATCAAAACTATAATGAGATACCAACACATCCCAGTTAAAATGGCTTATATCCAAAAGACAAGCAAAATAGAACCCTCATGCCCTGTTGGGGGGAAGGTTAATTAGTACAAACACTATGGAGAACAGTTTGGTAGTCCCTCTAAAAACTAAAAATATAGCTACCATATGATCCAGCAATTCCACAGCAGGGTATATACACAAAAGAAAGAAAATCAGTATAGTGAAAAAAAATCTGTACTCTCCTACTTTTTGCAGCACTGTTTACAATAGCTGAGATTTGGAAGCAATGTAAGTGTCCATAAACAGATGAATGAATAAAAAAATTGTGGTACATATACACAAGGGAATACTATTCAGATTAAAAAAAAAAAACAATGAGATGCTGTTATTTGAAACAACATTCATGGAACTGGAGATCATTATGTTAAGTGAAATAAGCCAGACACAGAAAGACAAACATCACATGCTCTTACTTATTTGTGGGATCTAAATATCAAAATAATTGAACTCATGGGAATAGAGAGTAGAAGAATGGTTATCAGAGGCTGGGAAGTGTAGTAGGGGGATTCGGGGGAGGTGAGAATGGTTAATGGATACAAAAAAATAGAATGACTAAGACATACTACTTGATTGCACAACAGTGACTACAGTCAATAATAACTTAATTGTACACTTTAAAATAACTAAAATTGTGCTGTACAACATCATTCAGGACATAGGCACAGGCAAAGATTTTATAATGAACTCACCGAAAGCAATTGCAACAAAAGCAAAAACTGACAAATGGGATCCAATTAAACTAAAGAGCTTTTGCACAGCAAAAGAAACTATCATCAGAGCCAACAGACAACCTACAATGGGAGAAAATTTTTGCAATCTATCCATCTGACAAAGGTCTAATATTTAGAGTGTACAAGGAACTTAAACAAATTTACAAGAAAAAAACAACCCCAATAAATAGTGGGCTAAAAACATGAACAGAAACTTCTCAAAAGAAGACACTCATGCAGCCAATAAATATATGAAAACAAGTTCAACGCACTGATCATTACAGAAATGCAAATAAAAACTACAGTGAGATATCATATCATGCCAGTCAGAATGGCAATTATTAAAAAGTCAGGAAACAACTGATGCTGGGGAGGTTGTGAATGTAACTGTTGGTGGGAATGTAAATCAGTTCAACCATTGTGGAAGATAGTGTGGCAATTCTTCAAATATCTAGAAGCAGAAATACCATTTGGCCCAGGAATCTCGCTACTTGGTATATACTCAAAGGATTATAAATCATTCTATTATAAAAATACATGCACACATATGCTCATTGTAGCACCATTCACAATAGCAAAGACGTGGAATCAATGCAAATTCTCATCAATGATAGAATGCCCATCAATGATAAAGAAAATGTGACATATATACTCATGAAATACTATGCAGTCGTGAAAAGCAATAAGATCGTGGTTTTTTTTTCCAGTGACGTGAATGGAGCTGGACGCCAATATCCTCAGCAAACTAATTCAGGAGCAGAACACCAAACAATGCATTCAGTCACATGTAAGTGCAAACTGAGCAGTGAGAAGATATGGCCACAGCTGTGGGTAACAACACACATTGGGTCCTGCTGGGGAGGGTTGGGGTAGAGAGAGCATCAGGTACAACAGCTAATGCATGCTGGGCTTCATACTGAGGTGATGGGTTGATCTGTGCAGCAAACCACCATAGCACACGTTTACCTATGTAACAAACCTGCACATCCTGCACATGTACCCTGGAACTTAAAATAAAATTTGAAGAATAAAAAGTGATAACTAAAAGAGTTTAATTGGACTGTTTGTAACAGAAAGAATAAATACTTGAGGGAAAGGATACCCAGTTCTTCGTGATGTGATTATTTGACATTCCATGCTTATTTCAAAATATCTCAGGTATCCCACAAATCTATATACCTACTATGAACCCACAAAAATTTAAAATTTAAAAAATAAGAGAAGAAGAACTGCTTATATATTATTTTTCTGTTCTTCAGAAAACTGATAAAATTAATTGCTATCTTTATTTCTTGAATAGACATTGCTCTCTTTGCATCTACAGTGAATCATTCATAAAACATTTTGCAAACCCAGACATCCTCTAAAAAATGCAAAACATTCTACTAGACTGTTAGCCAAATTGATATCACTCTGGATATAACATTTTAAATTTTACTAACATTACATGTGGCTATGTATACCAATTTATCTAATTTATATGAGTTCCTTAAAAATGAGTTATTATTATCTAAATCAAGTGATATCTATTTTTTTCTCCCCTGATTTTGTTGTATAATGGATGACAGTGAGTTACATTTCTTTGGTTTGATGATTAACACTTAGTGGTTTAAAGATGCCCCTCATTTAATATACCACAGAGGATTTTATTAAATGTCACCAGGACAAGTAGTAGGGCAGTTAATAGGAAAAGTCATTTATCGTAGAGAACCATTTCAAAACATAGATAAATAAACATAGACACAGTTATCTATTTTATATATAGATACATAGGGATATATTTTAGTGATCTACAGAAGATATATGTATCTATAGATATGTAACATTTTAACTTTTAATACACACAGGTGCATTTATTTTACACTTATTTGGTTTGATTTAGACAAAAGATATTTCAAGTAAGTGTACTAATTGATATTTTATATCACAATAAATATACCTTTGAGTTCTTAAATGAATGAATAATTTAACATATTAAGAAAAAATCTGCCTGTACAACAGAAAAGCACAACATTACTAATCATCAGGGAAATGCAACTCAAAACTACAGTGAGTTATCTCTTATCCCAGTTAGAATGGCTATTATCGCAAAGACAAACAATAATAAATGTTGGTAAGGATGTGGCAAAAAGGAAACTCTTATACACTGTCAGTGAGAATGTAAATTAGTACAGCCATTATGAAAAATAGTATGAAGGTTTCTCAGAGAACTAAAGATAGAACTACTATATGATCCAGCAATCCTACTACTAGGCATTTATCTAAAGGAGAGAAAACCAGTTTATCAGAGGGATATCTGCTCCCCCATCTTTATTATAGCACTAGTCTCAATAGCCAAGATATGGAATCAAACTAAATGTTCATCAATGAATATACGGATTTTTTAAACTGTGGTCTATATACATGATAAAATACTATTTAGACCAAAATAATATAATTCTATCATTTGTAGAAACATGAATGAAACTGGAAGTCATGGTAAGCGAAATAAGCCAGGCACAGATAGAAAAATGTTGCATGTTCTCACTCATATGTGTCAGACAAAAATGTTGACATTATGGGGGTAGAAAGCAGAATGGTGGTTGTTTGAGGGTTTAAAGGATTTGGGACGGGATAGGCATGGAGAGAAGCTGGTTAATGGGTACAAACATACAGTTAGAAGGAAGAAATAAGTTCTAGTATTTGATAACCGATTATGGTGAATATAGTTCACAGTGATTTATTTTATATTTCAAAATAGCTAGAAGATTTAAAATGATCCAAACACAAACAGTAAATATTTAAGATGATGAATATTGTAAATACCCCAATTTGATAATTGCACAGTGTATAATTGTATCAAAATATTACATATATGCTATAAATATGTATACATATTATGGATTTGTACAAAAATCCACACAGAATCTATACAAAATCAAGTAAAATAATAAGTCAAATAATAAAATAGTCATATTTCTACAGAAAAAAGTATACTTTCATGATTTTAAAATTATAAAATTGTCTTTTTTACAACTGAACAAAATCATTTTAGCATCTTATTTTTTCGTATTATAGTAGAATTTTCTTTTCACAATAAAATTTTCACAAAAATATTATATTTAAATTAATTACATAATTACAATAAAAAACACAAGTAGCATACGCATTTTTGAAAACAACCAACCTAGTCCATTGGTGCAAAAGTGCAGGGATAGAGTAGCCCGCTAGCTTTAGTGGCTCAGTGACCATAATCACTAGGTAACTAGCTTTACATATATAAAAACTAATTAACTAAAATAATTAATATTTAAATGAATACTAATGTGGAGTGAAGTTGAATAAGTGTTTCTATTATAAAAATGACACCAGTAAGATGACAGAACAAGATGCCTGATACCCTCCACTCCCAATAGAGACACAAACTCAACATTAATACAAGGACCAATTTTCTTTATACAAAATCCAGAAACCAGTTAAGAAGCTTATGTACCTCAGGTGAATGTAAAATCAGCAACATCAGGCTGGGCGTGGTGGCTCATGCCTGTAAGTCTAGCACTTTGGGAGACCAAGGCAGGCAGATTGCTTGAGCCCAGGAGTTCAAGATCAGCCTGGGCAACATGGCAAAAACCCATCTCTACAAAGAAAAAATAAAAGCAAAAAAAAAAAAAAATAGCTGAGCATGATGGTATGTGCCTGTAGTCCCAGCTACTTGGGAGGCTGAGGTGGGAGGATCACCTGAGCTTGGGGATGTCCAGGCTACAGGCAGCCGAGATCACACCACTGCATTCCAGGCTGAATGACAAAGTGAGACCCTGTCTCAAAAAACAAGCAAACAAACAAAAAAATTAGCAACATCAAAGCCTGTAAAAAATTTGTGATAATCACTTATCATAGTCCCTCCCTCCAACTAAGTGTATCGCAATTAGAGGAAAATTCCTAGCCCATGCCTTTTTCCCAGGAAGGAAAAGAGAAGACTAACATATATTTCCAACATTAAGACTTTTTGAAGCATTTCCCAATAAAATGATTTTTGTCTTGCCTGAATCTAAGCATTAACAGTAAGGGTACCAGGCTGATGGCCACTGAGAACAAAGGCCACAGTGTGGAACACTCACTTTCCATAGTCCTTCTCCCTGGCTCAGCATGAAACAAGTAGGAGATAACCCCCAACTCCTAACTTCTTCCTGGGAAAGGAAAGGGTTGGTCAAATAATATTCAACATGGGTACCAAGGTTACACAATAGGTAATAGATAGTTTCTTCAACAAATAATGTTGGGATAACTAGATATTCACATGCAAAGGAATATAATTAGACCTATATCTTATACTATGTACAAAAATAAACTCAAAATGAATTAAAGACTTTAATGAAAGACCTGCCTGATTTAAAAAAGAACTTGAAGAAATATTTCTCTAAAATAAGACATACAAATTGCCAACATGTATATAAAATATTCTTGAAACACTAATCATTAGCAAAATGCAAATCAAAACTGCAATGAAATATCACCTTGCATCTGTTAAGATGAACATTATTTTAAAAAAAGATTTCTCCATTGCAATTAGGCCCAGGCACTATGGGTCAACAGCACCTCACCAACAGGGATGGTGCCAGAAGGAGGCCCCCAAAAATAATAAGTGGCCATCAGAGTTAACCTCCAGGTCTGTTCTACCAGTGGGAGGCTGACAAACTGTGGGTAGGCACCTGAAAGGGCAAATTCCAGATGAGACTTCAAATTTGTAATTACACAATGGGTTCTTCTTTCCCATTGCACAGGCAAAGCCAATTCACTGAGACCATGGTCTTGCAGTAAAGAAAGAATTTAATTGCTGCAAGGCCATTCCACGTGGGAGATTGAGTTTTCCTGCAAATCAGTCTCCTCCCAACTTTCTAAATATTAAAATGTTAGTGACATATTATAAAATAAAAATGTTATGTTAATATAAGATATACATGGTAGAAATACGATGCTTAATCCTGATTTTGTAACACATACTAGAGTTTTGCCTCTCATAATACGTACAGAAATAATCATACATATATTAGTTTCGGGTACATATCCTTTCATTTTTCCTGGAAGGTTTTGTCCTCCTCAAGCTCCCTCTTCAACTGGAAGAGTTTAGCTTTTATTATATTATCTGATAGAATTTCAAGTAAGGTTCACGTAAGATTACCTTTAAAGAAGAAAACTTATTTTTATATTTTTGAATGATGGAAACTTACTGTATTCTGGTCTTTTTTTTTTTTAACAGATGAGTGATATAAAGTCCAGAGAGGCTTAGAACTCATTCAAAGTCCCTTAGTTGACAAATTGAGGTTGAACCTCAACTCAGAATCTTCAACTTTTCAAATGTTTTCTATATACGTGATTTCACTTTTTCTGTTGAAACAAAGTTGAACAAAACATTTGGAAAAGTATTTATTGTGACCCTAATGTGTAACAGGGGTTATAAGAGGTAGTCAGAATGATAAGTGAGATCTGTGCACGGTCCTCAAAAAGTTCCTACCAACATAGTCTAATGGAGTTTTCTTAGTGTTTCCAAACACATGTGATATGCAAAATTACTTACAACACAATATGAAATATTTATCCATATAGTTTCTGAAATATATATAAAGTGATCTCAGAATAAATAATCATTTCTTCCATAAAAGAAATATTCACGGAATTCTTTGAAAAAGAAAGGTGACATTTGAGTAGTACACAGATATTTAACAGGAAGATTAGGGAAGAAGGCCATTCTGTGCAAAAGAAACATAAATATATGAAGGTGAAGAAAGCTCATAACACAGTGGTGAGAATACACACAGGGTACAAGAAGTGGCTGAAGATGAGGTTAGTTAGGTAAGCTGGGAACAGACTGTGATAGGAGGAGCATGCCACTGTGAAAGTGTTAAACATTCTTCTGTAAGGTAATAGCATTGTTTGCTTGTTAGTTTGCTTGTGTTTTAGTCTGATAAGGATCAACTTATGGAAATAAAGATGCAGGACTTTAGAGAAGCTCCAGTGCCAATAGCTGCTATAACTAAAGATTAATCTTGAGCAACTTCAGCTTAGTTTTCAGACTTTAGAGTAACAAAGAAGTAATGCAGATTGCTGGGCACTATTAGTAAATTCAGTGCTTTAGGATTTATGCCCACAACTGTTGATTTCTTCTTAGAACCCTAGGTGTTTTCCATGGATATAGAAGTCTGAGATTCTCTGTTTAGAGGAGTGGTTTTCAAATATCACTATGCCTAATGATTGTCTGGAAGATATTGGATGACCTCATTCACAAAGAGTGTGATTCTGTACATCTGAAGGGATGCTGGTAACTTGACTTTCTAGCAAATTTCTTGATGCTGATGCTGCCTGTCCCTGAGTTATTCACTCCCTGTCAATACACAACAGATTGGTGCCAGGTTTAAATTTTGTATATGTATCACAAGGATGAAAAATAGACCTCGCTAAAAGAAATATGGGACAGAAACAAAATGACCAGGTCTATCAATTTTGTTTTACTATACCATCTAACAAAGAAGAATCTGCAAATAAACTGTCCTTTTGTTTAAAAATGAAAAAAGAAAATAGAAAAAAAAACAGAATTTCTGTCAAGAAAAGACAGAAAGCTTTTTCTCAATAAGGATGAAAATGCAATAATTGGCAGGAATATTTGCTCAAGTAAAACTAGTACCTGACAATGACCTTTAAATTTACAAATTTTCATCACCTTTGAGTTACCTCCTTTCGATCTTCTCTCCCACTACCACACTTATCCTCATTAGCCATGATACTAATAATATTTTTTTCTTCTTTTGATAATTCACTGATGGGAAAGATAAATATTCTGAATATCTGGCATAGATGAGAAAATATGAAAATCTCTAACACAATACAAAAATGTACTGTATTTTGATCAGAAACAAAGAAAATGTTATCAACAATTTTGGCTTACTATGTAAAGAGAAGTTTGACACTGCAGTGGTTAACTCTCGTTTCTTGTGCTTGGAAGCTCCCAAATACACAAAACACCTTTATAAATATAAATACATTCACACAAATGAATTTTCAGACATCCCCATTGTAAGTAATGAATATAATGGTTATATGTTTTGCTTTAACAGTCTCCTCCCTCCCTCCTTTCCCTTCTCGTCATGCCCTTCCCTCCTTCCCTCCCTCCCCTCTATCCCTCTCCCTCCTTCCCTCCTTCCTTCCTTCTTTTCCTGCTTTCTTTTTCCCTCCTTTCTTCCTTCCCTCCCTCACCTCTCTCCCTCCCCCTCCTTCCTTCCTTCTTTTCCTTTTTTTCTTTCTTCCTTCCCTCCTTTCTTCCTTCCCTCCCTCCTTCCTTCCCTCCCAACTTCTTCCTCCCTCCCTTTTTCTTTCTTTCCTTCCTTGCTTCATTCCTTTATTCCTGTTAATAACAGGTTTATAAATAAATATACCTATACTTATTTATAAACCTGTTATTAATATCTATCTACTTTTTGGATGGATTATTGTACCAAAATTTTTTCTTATACGTGTTCACTTTTTACTAAATTTTCTAAGATAATATTGGTGTCCTGGAGATGAACACTGGCAGTATTACTAAAAAAATAAGTATTGAACATTCTAGATGGGTATAACCTCTAGCTATTTCTAAGGGAGGGGTTCACTTTCATTGGCTGTCATTTTAGTCTGGAGTTAGAGAAAAAATGCACACAGCCATCAATTTTGCATGATACACAGGGGATTGTTTAAATGCAAGACACCCGAGAAAAGTTTTTTTTCCTTCTTTCTAATGTAGTTTCTAGATCTACATTCCTGTATAAATTAACTATCTGCCCCCACTTTTTTCTTCTTTTGGTTTGTTTTAGCACATGACAGGCAATCTGTTCAGATAAATACCATTGACTATATAGGGAAAGCTAGTGAGCAGAAGTCCTCTCAAAAGCTGTTACATTCATGTCTGCAGATTTTTCCAAGGCTCATTAGTCCTCCAGGTAAGAGCTAGCACTATTTCTCATCACATTCTAATCATTAACATATGAACAAAAACAATCAATTCAAATATGACTTCTAGTAAACAGAGAAAGAAGACAAAATCTAACAAATTATTTATATAAGTTAGAAAAACTCTAACAATTGTTATAACTACTGGCAATGGTACTATTAAAAAGAAATAAGAAAAAAGAGATTACGAGCTTTGTTTAATAATCTTCAAAAATTTGTTCCATTGGGAATTGTGGACTGAAGAAAAATATGTTCTAAGTCATATCAGCAGCTATAGTCAGGGTTTACCTGGAATTGGGAACTTCACACATACAAACATCCTATAAAGTAAGTGTTGTTTTTCTCAATCTATAAATGAGCAAACAAAAACAGTAAGTGCTGTTTTTCTCAGTCTATAAACGAGGTCAGATGGGTTTAAAGACAAAACAGGTTACACATTCATTCAGCCGGCAAACATTTTTGACTCCCTGTACAGTGCCATGCAGCAGTCTAAATTATGGGAATAATATGTGAAAAAAACACACTAGCATGCATTTGACGGTAGGGGGTGGTGGTGGGGGGGCATGAAATAAATGAAGAAAATAAATAAAGTTTAATAAAGTTTAGTATTTAGATGAAGTTAAGAGATTTGAATAAATAAATAAATAATAAGAAAATTGAGTTGGTAGGCATCTGGATGGTCAGGGCAGCCGTTATTTACAAGACACCTTTTGAGTAAGGAGGATTTGTGGGAAAGTTAGAAAAATAGAAGATAAAGTTAAAAGGCAATGAGGTCGAAATGTCCCTGTCTGACAGCTTTGAAGAGAGCAGTGGTTCTCCCAGCATGCAGCTGGAGATCTGAGAACCGGCAGACTGCCTCCTCAAGTGGGTCCCTGACCCCTGACCCCTGAGCAGCCTAACTGGGAGGCACCCCCCAGCAAGGGCACACTGACACCTCACATGGTAGGGTATTCCAACAGACCTGCAGCTGACGGTCCTGTCTGTTAGAAGGAAAACTAACAAACAGAAAGGACATCCACACCAAAAACCCATCAGTACATCACCATCATCAAAGACCAAAAGAAGATAAAACCACAAAGATGGGGAAAAAACAGAACAGAAAAACTGGAAACTCTAAAAAGCAGAGCGCCTCTCCTCCTCCAAAGGAACGCAGTTCCTCACCAGCAACGGAACAAAGCTGGATGGAGAATGACTTTGACGAGCTGGGAGAAGAAGGCTTCAGACGATCAAATTACTCTGAGCTACGGGAGGACATTCAAACCAAAGGCAAAGAAGTTGAAAACTTTGAAAAAAATTTAGAAGAATGTATAACTAGAATAACCAATACAGAGAAGTGCTTAAAGGAGCTGATGGAGCTGAAAACCAAGGCTCGAGAACTACGTGCAGAATGCAGAAGCCTCAGGAGCTGACGCGATCAACTGGAAGAAAAGGTATCAGCGATGGAAGATGAAATGAATGAAATGAAGTAAGAAGAGAAGTTTAGAGAAAAAAGAATAAAAAGAAATGAGCAAAGCCTCCAAGAAATATGGGACTATGTGAAAAGACAAAATCTACGTCTGATTGGTGTACCTGAAAGTGATGGGGAGAATGGAACCAAGTTGGAAAACACTCTGCAGGATATTATCCAGGAGAACTTCCCCAATCTAGCAAGGCAGGCCAACGTTCAGATTCAGGAAATACAGAGAACGCCACAAAGATACTCCTCGAGAAGACCAACTCCAAGACACATAACTGTCAGATTCACCAAAGTCGAAATGAAGGAAAAAATGTTAAGGGCAGCCAGAGAGAAAGGTTGGGTTACCCTCAAAGGGAAGCCCATCAGACTAACAGTGGATCTCTCGGCAGAAACCCTATAAGCCAGAAGAGAGTGGGGGCCAATATTCAACATTCTTAAAGAAAAGAATTTTCAACCCAGAATTTCATATCCAGCCAAACTAAGCTTCATAAGTGAAGGAGAAATAAAATACTTTACAGATAAGCAAATGCTGAGAGATTTTGTCACCGCCAGGCCTGCCCTAAAGGAGCCCCTGAAGGAAGTGCTAAACATGGAAAGAAACAACCGGTACCAGCCACTGCAAAATCATGCCAAAATGTAGAGACCATCGAGACTAGGAAGAAACTGCATCAACTAACGAGCAAAATACCCAGCTAACATCATAATGACAGGATCAAATTCACACATAACAATATTAACTTTAAATGTAAATGGACTAAATGCTCCAATTAAAAGACACAGACTGGCCAATTGGATAAAGAGTCAAGACCCATCAGTGTGCTGTATTCAGGAAACCCATCTCACGTGCAGAGACACACATAGGCTCAAAATAAAAGGATGGAGGAAGATCTACCAAGCAAATGGAAAACAAAAAAAGGCAGGGGTTGCAATCTTAGTCTCTGGTAAAACAGACTTTAAACCAACAAAGATCAAAAGAGACAAAGAAGACCATTACATAATGGTAAAGGGATCAATTCAACAAGAAGAGCTAACTATCCTAAATATATATGCACCCAATACAGGAGCACCAAGATTCATAAAGCAAGTCCTGAATGACCTATAAAGAGACTTAGACTCCCACATATTAATAATGGGAGACTTTAACACCCCACTGTCAACATTAGACAGATCAACGAGACAGAAAGTCAACAAGGATACCCAGGAATTGAACTCAGCTCTGCACCAAGCGGACCTAATAGACATCTACAGAACTCTCCACCCCAAATCAACAGAATATACATTTTTTTCAGGACCACTCCACACCTATTCCAAAATTGACGACATAGTTGGAAGTAAAGCTCTCCTCAGCAAATGTAAAACAACAGAAACTATAACAAACTATCTCTCAGACCACAGTGCAATCAAACTAGAACTCAGGATTAAGAATCTCACTCAAAACCGCTCAACTACATGGAAACTGAACAACCTGCTCCTGAATGACTACTGGGTACATAACGAAAGGAAGGCAGAAATAAAGATGTTCTTTGAAACCAATGAGAACAAAAACACAACATACCAGAATCTCTGGGACACATTCAAAGCAGTGTGTAGAGGGAAATTTATAGCACTAAATGCCCACAAGAGAAAGCAGGAAAGATCCAAAAATGACACCCTGACATCACAATTAAAAGAACTAGAAAAGCAAGAGCAAACACATTCAAAAGCTAGCAGAAGGCAAGACATAACTAAAATCAGAGCAGAACTGAAGGAAATAGAGACACAAAAAACCCTTCAAAAAATTAATGAATCCAGGACCTGGTTTTTTGAAAGGATCAACAAAATTGATAGACCGCTAGCAAGACTAATAAAGAAAAAAAGAGAGAAGAATCAAATAGATGCAATAAAAAATGATAAAGGGGATATCACCACCAATCCCACAGAAATACAAACTACCATCAGAGAATACTACAAACACCTCTATGCAAATAAACTAGAAAATCTAGAAGAAATGGATAAATTCCTCGACACATACACTCTCCCAAGACTAAACCAGGAAGAAGTTGAATCTCTGAATAGACCAATAACAGGAGCTGAAATTGTGGCAATAATCAATAGCTTACCAACAAAAAAGAGTACAGGACCAGATGGATTCACAGCTGAATTCTACCAGAGGTACAAGGAGGAACTGGTACCATTCCTTCTGAAACTATTCCAATCAATAGAAAAAGAGGGAATCCTCCCTAACTCATGTTATGAGGCCAGCATCATTCTGATACCAAAGCCAGGCAGAGACACAACAAAAAAAGAGAATTTTAGACCAATATCCTTGATGAACATTGATGCAAAAATCCTCAATAAAATACTGGCAAACACGAATCCAGCAGCACATCAAAAAGCTTATCCACCATGATCAAGTGGGCTTCATCCCTGGGATGCAAGGCTGGTTCAATATATGCAAATCAATAAATGTAATCCAGCATATAAACAGAACCAAAGACAAAAACCACATGATTATCTCAATAGATGCAGAAAAAGCCTTTGACAAAATTCAACAACCCTTCATGCTAAAAACTCTCAATAAATTAGATATTGATGGGACATATCTCAAAATAATAAGAGCTATCTATGACAAACCCACAGCCAATATCATACTGAATGGGCAAAAACTGGAAGCATTCCCTTTGAAAACTGGCACAAGACAGGGATGCCCTCTCTCACCACTCCTATTCAACATAGTGTTGGAAGTTCTGGCCAGGGCAATTAGGCAGGAGAAGGAAATAAAGGGTATTCAATTAGGAAAAGAGGAAGTCAAATTGTCCCTGTTTGCAGACGACATGATTGTATATCTAGAAAACCCCATTGTCTCAGCCCAAAATCTCCTTAAGCTGATAAGCAACTTCAGCAAAGTCTCAGGATACAAAATCAATGTACAAAAATCACAAGCATTCCTGTACACCAACAACAGACAAACAGAGAGCCAAATCATGAGTGAACTCCCATTCACAATTGCTTCAAAGAGAATAAAATACCTAGGAATCCAACTTACAAGGGATGTGAAGGACCTCTTCAAGGAGAACTACAAACCACTGCTCAAGGAAATAAAAGAGGATACAAACAAATGGAAGAACATTCCATGCTCATGGGTAGGAAGAATCAATATCGTGAAAATGGCCATATTGCCCAAGGTAATTTACAGATTCAATGCCATCCCCATCAAGCTACCAATGACTTTCTTCACAGAATTGGAAAAAACTACTTTCAAGTTCATATGGAACCAAAAAAGAGCCCACATCGCCAAGTCAATCCTAAGCCAAAAGGACGAAGCTGGAAGCATCACACTACCTGACTTCAAACTATACTACAAGGCTACAGTAACCAAAACAGCATGGTACTGGTACCAAAACAGAGATATAGATCAATGGAACAGAACAGAGCCCTCAGAAATAACGCCGCATATCTACAACTATCTCATCTTTGACAAACCTGAGAAAAACAAGCAATGGGGAACAGATTCCCTATTTAATAAATGGTGCTGGGAAACTGGCTTGCCATATGTAGAAAGCTGAAACTGGATCCCTTCCTTACACCTTATACAAAAATTAATTCAAGATGGATTAAAGACTTAAATGTTAGACCTAAAACCATAAAAACCCTAGAAGAAAACCTAGGCATTACCATTCAGGACATAGGCATGGGCAAGGACTTCATGTCTACAACACCAAAAGCAATGGCAACAAAAGCCAAAATTGAGAAATGGGATCTAATTAAACTAAAGAGCTTCTGCACAGCAGAAGAAACTACCATCAGGGTGAACAGGCAACCTACAAAATGGGAGAAAATTTTTGCAACCTACTCAACTGACAAAGAGCTAATATCCAGAATCTACAATGAACTCAAACAAATTTACAAGAAAAAAACCAACAACCCCATCAAAAAGTGGGTGAAGGACATGAACAGACACTTCTCAAAAGAAGACATTTATGTAGCCAAAAAACACATGAAAAAATGCTCATCATCACTGGCCATCAGAGAAATGCAAATCAAAACCACAATGAGATACCATCTCACACCAGTTAGAATGGCAATCATTAAAAATCAGGAAACAACAGGTGCTGGGGAGGATGTGGAGAAATAGGAACACTTTTACACTGTTGGTGGGACTGTAAACTAGTTCAACCATTGTGGAAATCAGTGTGGCGATTCCTCAGGGATCTAGAACTGGAAATACCATTTGACTCAGCCATCCCATTACTGGGTGTATACCCAAAGGACTATAAATCATGCTGCTATAAAGACACATGAACACGTATGTTTATTGCAGCATTATTCACAATAGCAAAGACTTGGAACCAACGCAAATGTCCAACAATGATAGACTGGATTAAGAAAATGTGGCACATATACACCATGGAATACTATGCAGCCATAAAAAATGATGAGTTCATGTCCTTTGTGGGGACATGGATGAAATTGGAAATCATTCTCAGTAAACTATCGCAAGAACAAAAAACCAAACACCGCATATTCTCACTCATAGGTGGGAATTGAACAATGAGAACACATGGACACAGGAAGGGAAACATCACACTCTGGGGACTGTTGTGGGGTGGGGGGAGGGGGGAGGGATAGCATTGGGAGATATACCTAATGCTAGATGACGAGTTAGTGGGTGCAGCGCACCAGCATGGCACATGTATACATATGTAACTAACCTGCACAATGTGCACATGTACCCTAAAACTTAAAGTATAATAATAAAAAATAATAAAAAAATAAAAAAATAAAAAAAAGAATTTGTTTTACATTTCTAAATGATTTTTAAAAAAAAGTTAATGAGGTCCCCTCATGTAGTGTTTTAGGCCTTTATAATGCTTTATATCTCAATTAAATAAGTGAGGTGATTGGAATGCAAAGTTGTTTGTTCGTTTGTTTGTTTTAAGTAAATTCAGGGGTCACCAGCCTGCTGCATATGGTGTTGGCGGCTGAGTCGCATGCAGGCCCTTTACTCTGACATGGACAACACGCCCATCGATACCACCTGGGCGAGCCAGAGAGGCATGCGGAAGATGATAAGGCTCCTACAATCAAAATACTGTTAAAAGGAAGAGGCTAACATCATCTGTGAGAAAGTTCAAGTTAAACTCAGCAAGGAGTGGTTCATCCTTACAATACACGCATTACTGATCTAAGGACTTCACATTGGTAAAAAGCAATCCAGGAAACAAAAGGTGGTGCAGCCAGTAGAAAATTGGCTGAAAAATGCTACTTCCTTTGGAAATCTACACAATAACAGCACATTACACTAGCAGAAGATGTCAAAGCCATGTTCACTGAACTTTGAAAGGAGGTCCACCTACTTCTATTAATGAATGGGGACAGACAGACCCAGAGGGAGAAGACTGAGGCTTGTGGCTGTCAGTCCTATTTTGACACTGTTGTAGGTGGAAAGCAGAGAGAGAGGAGAAGCCAGAACCATCCATGTTGTATTACTGCTGCAATCCTCTCGGAGTACAACCTGCAGATTGAAAGCAGGACTGAAAGCAACAGTCTGAATTGATAAAAATGGAATAGTGCCACTGAATTCCCACCCAGTTCCATGTTATATAGTTTCTTCTGTGCTAGAGTTACCTGCTCTCTTACAAAGTATAGACCAACAGTATCTCCACTTAAAGCACATAAAAGGGCATGATTATGAACGTTAGAGTCAATTTGCAGAGTTTGAACTAAGAAAAGTTAAGGTACTCCACTTACCACGGTCCAATTCTAAGAAAAATTTTATTTATGATTTAATGACCAATATTTTGAAGGTCTTCCCAACCTGATTGCTTTTAAGTTGTAACAACCAACCATTGACTGGTATTTATATCTGAAAATTCAGATTACATTAATACAAGTCAGTAGTATATTCCAGAAAATTTGTCCCCACTCTCTCAGGTATGGTAAATGCAATGTTTAGGCAGAATTAATAGAGAAAATGTGTGCAGAATGTGAGAGACAACAATGCCACTCAATTCTGCTTTCATTACTGCAATACTGCATTTCAAATTGAGAAACTGAGAAATTACACCTGATTCCCAATCATCAGGATGGAGTTCAGATAGAACATCCAACATAGGAGAATAATTACTTTATAAATTGAGGACTGACTAAAGGAATTGGAGGAAGAGAAGAGTAAGAATGTAGAACAAGTTTTGAAGTATGTAATAGACTATTCTGAAAAAGGAATAAAACTCACTTTGATTGGCCCTAGGACAAGAATTTGGTCTAACTGGATGCAAGAAGCAGATTTTTTGCTTCTTATGAGGAAGATCATAAACATTGAAGTTATCCAATATAAGGTAGGTTACCCTTATTAATTACCCGGAAACTGTAGATGTTGGACCTGGATTAGCATTTAGGGGAGATGTTGTTAGGACAGAAATTTCAGACTCCAATGTGTACATGCATAACCTGAAGATCTTGTTTAAATGAAGATTTAAATGAAGATTCTGAAAACTTATGTGAGAGTAGGTTGTATCATTTTACTTTTTTTTTTTTTTTTGAGATGGATCTTGCTCTGTTGCACAGGCTGGAGTGCAGTGGCATGATCTCGCCTCACTGCAACCTCTGGCTGCTGGGTTCAAGCGATTCTCCTGCCTCAGCCTCCTGAGCAGCTGGGATTACAGGTGCATGCCACCAAGTCTGGTTATTTATTTATTTATTTATTTATTTATTTATTTATTTATTTCTATTTTTAGTAGAGACGGGGTTTCACCATGTTAGCCAGGCTGGTTTTGAACTCCTCACCTCAAGTGATTTACCCATCTCGGCCTCCCAAAGTGCTAGGATTACAGGTGTGTGCCACCATGCTCGGCCAATTTTACACTTTTAACAAGCTCCTAGATGATGTCCATGCTGCTGGTTCATTGTCCAAAGTTAGAATAGCAAGTTTGTAGAGCTATTCAATATACTTATTTGTATCTTGAATTAAGAAATATAACTTTTCTTTCAGCCCTGATACTGTATTGTCTAATGTAGGTCTAATATTGTCTAATAGCATCTGAGCATGCTATAAATAAAGGTCCTGTATGATTAAGGATTATCTCTCTTCCTTCTCACCCTGATTTTAAAATGAAAATAGAAAAAGAGTAGCTTTTAATGAGTCAGCCAGTGAAAATGAATTATCTTGTTTAAAGAGGAGGAAATCTCCATCTCAGTATGTATTAGCACACATCCTACATAATTTATGCCTTTTATATTGAGGTTTATGACTCCCAAAAAAGGTTAATATAAACCTCTTCCTAGTCATGTAGCAGTATTCTTTTATTTTCCATTATTCCCTATTGAATTCCTTAATATTGTTGGAAGTGAAACCATTCACCAACATATTTGCATCAGAGACATGCTGAATTTTCATATGGATTACAGAAAATTGCATGTGACAGCTGAAAGGTTAAAATTTTTTTAACACCCAATGTCTTTCACTGAGATTTTTATTTTTTACTTTTATGAACCAACTATAATAAGGACCAATTAAAGCTTCAAACGCTTGGCTATAGATGGCAGCTGACTTGCATAAATCTTCAGGAAAAACATTCTGGGCATAATATCTCCCTTTAAACATGGAAAATTTTAAACATTATTTAGTTTGATCATAATTACATATTTGAGTTCCCTCAAGAAAATTAATGTTTGTTCTTTCCTCGATATGACTGATTTTAGTTGTTTATTTTACCTTTATAGAAGGAACATCAAGGAATAAAAAACAAACACTTAAAATAGTTTTCTAAACCTGACAGAGAGTAGACATAACAACAAATTATTTTTTCTTTCTCAGTACTAAGGCTTCAAATAATACTTATTTGAAGCCATTAAGTTTAATAATACTTAATGGAAAAGATTTTATTTCTATAGTGTAATTTTTGACTGTTGGTGCTAGTATAAAAGTTGACAATTCCAGTTAACTTCAAAGAAAAAATCTCTACCATTATTTCCAGAAAGTTAAAAGGAGAAAAATAATCTAAGAAAGATTTTAATTCTGACAGAAGTTTTCAGCATGTCTACTAATTAATAAGAGCAAAAAGAGAAAGTACATTAATTGGCTTCCTTTCAACTACATACAAATCATGATAAATTGAAGCAAGGAATTAAGCTTTAGGCTCTCTGCTCTGATTAATGAAAATCATTTTCCTACTTTTGATATGATAAAAAGGATATTTGACTTGGGAGAATGTAAGTGACAGACTTGACTCACCCTGTTGGGAGAAGATAAAACCATATTTCCTATAGGTTCAGATGTCAATCAGTGAAAATAGAATCTTAGTAAATAAATAGTGTTGCATAATCTCATCTATTTATTTGCGTGCTTTAGAAGGATACTGCCACAAAACCACTTTAGGTCACCAATCAGGGACCGGGCCTGTGAATCAGAAGCACACAATAGTCTCTCAAAAACAGAATCTGAAGCAGAAGAGGTTTAAGACTTAATATAAAGCTTGGGAAAATAATTTTCAAAGAAACAAGTGAAAAACACAGATATTCTGAAAAATGAATAAGACTATATTTCCATATATACATATGGTAATGTGCCATATAATGACATTTTGGCCAACAATGGACCACATATTCAACAGTGGTCCCATAGTATTATAATCTCCTATTTCTACTATATCTTTTTCTATGATAGATATGTTTAGGCAAAAATACTTACCATTGTGTTATAGTTGCTTACCGTAGTCAGTACAGTAACATGCTACTCAAGGATAGCCTAGATGTGTAGTAGGCTATAGCATCAAGGGTTGTGTAAGTACACTCTATAATGTTCACAAAATGGCAAAAATATCTCACAATACATTTCTCACAATACATCCCCTTCATTAAGTGATGCATGACTGTGTATGCATGTGTTTATATATATATATATAAACATGAACACAGACACATACATTCATCCATATATACATGTATACCTACATGTATACACACACACAAACACACACATACACCTGAAATTAAAACATTTGTTTCAAATGTTTACAGTGGATAACACCCATCGCACAGCATGCCTGATGTCTGCTTTTATTGTTTAAGATGAACTAAAAGGTAGATACTGCTGTTAAAAAGACACACACACACACATACATGCACACAAATGTGTTTGTGAATAGATAGTAGGAATTATTAACTTGTATTTTTAATTAAAAAGTCAAAAAGCAGAATGCAGAGATTGGGCAAGTGTTGGTACTAGATGCCACTCAAAATATTAAATTATTCAGGGGCAACACAACTTATATTTTTTATCAAAATCCTGTGTTACTTGTGTTTGGATCAAAGACAATAATGACATATTTAAACATCAATTTATTGTTATGTCTCCACTTTATATTTAAAAAGCCTGTTATCTCAAAAATGTTTTAAATTCAGCATTAGCATGTAATTAATTCATTTTACTCAACATAACATCCATTGCACAGCATGCCTGATCTCTGCTTTTATTGCTTAGGACTAACTAAAAGGTAGAGACCGCTGTTAAATTGGTGACACTGAGAAGGCAGAATGGCTTATTTTGAACTATACCTAATGCTCAATGCAAATAGCAAAGCCTCCTCTGACCTGGCGCTGGGGAACAACTATATATTGGTTGTTATATAGCTGGTACCAAATACAAGTTGAATATCTATATTAAATAGCTTGAGAAATATGGAGTTTGTAATTTTACATAGGATAAAATATAAGATGATATAAATTTTGTGGCTTTTTTTTCTGCTAGTTATTTACTCTTAAAAATTATAGAACTGAGTTCCTATTTTTACTTCCTCATGGAAACAGCTTGAATTTTGCCTCTTTATCCTTATAAAAAGTAAAAAGATGAACAAAGTAAATAAATCAGTATGTTTTATAAAAATCCGTAAGAGAAGTGATGTCACAGGGCAAACTGGAAGCACAAAAATTCAAGATGCTCACCAGGTAGATAACAGAGAATTACCACATACCAGAGTAGAAACCTCCAGGAGAATCACCGCCAGGGTAGAAAAGCTTTAACTGTAATTGTCAAATTACTGGAGGAAAGGTTGGACAAGTTTGAGAGTTAAAAACTGTAGGAGGACAGAATCATATTCAAGAGCTTGACCAAGTTCTCACAGTAAATATGGGATAAAAATTCCCATCTCCTTCTAACAAATGGTAGGAGGAAAGAATCATTTTGATACATGCCAGAATTCCAGTTTCCAACAACTTTCTCATACCCATCTGAGACCACCTCAGTCTGTACTTCATTGTCCATATCATTATCAGCATTTTTGTCAAAGCTATTCAACCAGTCTCTAGGAAGTTCCAAATTTTCACCTATTTTTCTTTCTTCTTCAGAGCCCTCCAAACTGTTCCAACCACTCCCTGTTACCTAGTTCCAAAGTCACTTCCACATTTTTGGGTACCTTTACAGCAGCACTCCACTCCAAGTACCAGTTTACTGTATTAGTTCATTCTCATGCTGCTATAAGAACATACCCGAGATTGGGTAATTTATAAAGAAAAAGGTTTAATGGACTCACAGAATCATAAGGCTGGGGAGGCCTCACAATCACGGTGAAAGGCAAAGGAGGAGCAAAGGCATGTCTTACATGGTGGCAGGCAAAAGAACACGTGCAGGGGAAATGCTCTTTATAAAACCATCAGATCTCAAGAGAACTCACTGACTATCACAAGAACAGCATGGAGGTAACCTTCCCCATTATTCAATTAACTACCACCAGGTCTTTCTCCTGACATGTGAGGATTATGGGATCTACAATTCAAGGTAAGACTTCAGTGGGGACACAGCCAAACCAAATAAGCCAAGGATATTGGAAATATCAGACAAATGATTGAAAACAAGTATGATTAATATACTAAGTTCCCTAATAAATAAAGAGTATGAAAAAAATAGATGTACAATGTAAGAAGAGAGGTGGAAATACTAGAATACAATGAAAAGAAATACTAGAAATAAAAAACAAAAACAAAACCAAAAAATACTGTAACAGAAATTAAAAATATATATATTTGATGAGCTTATTAGCAACTGGACAGAGGTACATAAAAGCACTATATCCCACATAACACTATACTTATTATTTTCAAGTGTACAAGGAACATTTTCCAGGATGGACCATATGTTACATTATAAACTAAGTCTCAATAAATGTAAGAAGATATATATTAGGAAAAGTATCTTGTTCAACCACAATGAATAAGGTCAGAAAACAACAACAGAAGTAAAACTGCAAAAATCAATGATATGTGAAAATTAACCCATACACTCTTAAACAATCAATGAATTAAAATAGAAATCAAAGAAAAATGTAAAAGTACTTAGAGATGGCTGAAAACAAAAATACAACCTAAAAGTTATGAGATGTAGCAAATCAGTGCTTAGCAGAAATTTATAACCATAAACACCTTAGAAAACAAGAAAGATCCCAAATTAACAATTTAAATTTACAACTTAAAGAACTAGAAAAAGAATAACAAACTACACACAAAGCTAGAAGAAGAAATTAACAAAAACCAGAGCAGAGATTAATGAATATTAATGAAAACAAAAGTTGATTATTTAAAAATATAAACAAAATTGGTAAATTTTTAGCTAGATAAACCAACAAAAAAGAAAAGTTTCAAATTTCTGAAATCAAAAATGAAAGTAGTGACTAATCCCAATTCTACAGGGATAAAAAGGAATATACTGAAGTACTATAGAAGATTGTTTGCCAAAAACCTGGTTAACCTACATAAACAGACAAATTTCCAGAAGCAAGAAACCTACTTAGATGCGGTGGCTCACGCATGTAATCCCAGCACTTTGGGAGGCCGAAGCAAGGGAATCACCTCAGGGCAGGAGTTGGAGACCAGCCTGGCCAACATGGCGAAACCTAGTCTCTACTAAAAATACAAAAATTAGCTGAGTGTGGTGGCGTACGCCTGTAATCCCAGCTACTTGGTAGGCTGAGGCAGGAGAATCGCTTGAACTTGGGAGGCGGAGGTTGCAGTGAGCCAAGATCATGCCATTGCACTCCAGCCTGGGTGACAGGAGCGAGACTCTGTCTCGAAGAAAAAAAAATAAAAATAAAAAAGAAACCTACTTAGACTAAATTATGATGACATAAAATATAAGTATAGACCTGTAACTGGAAGGAGACTGATTCAATAACAAAAGATCTCACAATAAAGAAAAGCCCTGAATCTGATTACTTCACTGTTGAATTCTCCCAAACATTTAAAAAATACACATCAATCTTTCTCAAAGCCTTCCAAAAAATTGAAGAAAAAGAGAATTTTTTCAAATTTATTTATAAGGTTAGCGTTATCTTGATACCAAAGCCAAATAAAAGCACTACAAGAAAATAAAAACATAGTCCAATGCCCCTGGTTAATATAAATCCAAAATTATCAAAAAAACTAGCACCTCGTGCTTTCTACAATGTACGTATAGATAAAAGCATCACATTGTACCCTGGAAATATACACAATAATTATTTGCCAATTAAAATAAATAAATAAAATAAAAAACAAATTAAAAAATACGAGCAAACCAAATTCAACATCATATTAACAGGAATATACAGCATGACATTGTGAGATTTGTTCTTAGGATGCAAGAATGGTTCAAGTTATAAAAATAAATTAATGTAATACACAATATTAACAATATTTCAGGAAGCTTAATTAATGCAGAAAAGTTACTTGGAAAAAACTGACATTCCTTCATAATCAAAACTCTCATCAAATTAGGAATAGAAGGAAACTACCTGAACAAAATAAAAATAATACATAAAAATCGCATAGTGAACATCATACATACTGGTGAATGATTCAAAGTTTTTTCTCTAAGATCAGAGATAAGGCAATAATGCTTATTTTGCTACTTCTATTTAACATAGTATTGGAAGTATTAGCTGAGCAAATTGGCAAGAAAAAGAAATAAAAGGCAACAAAATTGAAAAGAATGGAATAAAATTATTTCTGATATAGTATGTAAAAAAACTATTGAGTATACATACACACATGCAAAAATTATTATAACTAATAAGTGTATTCAGCAAAGTAGCAGGATTCAGTTGCATTTTATACAGTAACAACCAATAATGTTGAAAAGGAATTTATGATAACACTTCCATTTACAATAGCATCCAAAAAATAAATTATTTGTAAATTATCTTAACCAATGAACTGAAGACATGCACAATAAAAACTATAAAACATTGCTGAAAGAAATTAATGAAGGCATAAATAATTGGAAACACATCCCATGTTCATGGATTGAGTGACAATAATAAGATGACAATACTACTCAAAGAGATCTACAGTTTCAATGAAATATTTATAAAATTCCCAAAAACATATTCTGCAGAAATGGAAAAGGCATTTCTAAAATTTATGTGGAATCTCAAAGGGCCAAAACTATCTTGAAAAAAAGTAAAGCTGAAAGACTAACACTTCCTGAATTCAAAACTTACTGAAAGCTAGAGTAATCCAAAAAATGTGGTAACTGCATAAAGACAGACATAGAGATCAATGAAATAGAATAGAAATCTCAAAAGTAAAACCTTACATATATGATCAAATGATTTTGACAAGACTGAAAATAGCATTCAGTAGAGAAGAAAAAGTATAACCTTTTCAACAAATCGTGCTGGGAAAATGGCATATCCATATGTAAAAGAACAACGTTGAATCCTGCCCTAACATCATATATAAAAATTAAAGTGCATCAAAGACCTAAATATAAAATATAAAACTATAAAATTCTTAGAAGACAATATATGGCAAAAGCGACAGGACTTTGGATTTGGCAGTGATTTCTTAGATATGACACCACAGGTACAAGCAATGAAAGAAAGAATAGACAGATTGGACTTCTTGAAAATTTTTATAAAACTTGCATCTAAAGATACCAACAAAGTAAAAAGGGAACACAAAGAATGGGTGAAAATATTTTCAAATAATATATCTAGTAAAGGATTGATATCCAGAATATATGGAGAATTGAAACTCAACAGCAATAAAACAAACAGCCATATAAAACATTGGGTAAAAGACTTGAGTAGACATTTCTTCAAAGAATATACACAAAAGACCAATAAACATGTGAAAAGATGCTCAATATTACCAATCAGTTGAGAAATGCAAATCAAAATTACAATGATCTATAACCTCTCACTCACTAGGATTGCTAATATAAGAACAACCAAAAAATAACAAGAATTTTTAAGGATGTAGAGAAATTGGAACTTATGCATTGTTGGTGAAAATGTAAAATAGTGTAACTGCCAGAAAAACATGAAAATGTTCCTTAAAATATTAAAAATATAATTTCTATGTGATGCAGCAATTCCAGTTCTAAATATATACCTCTATGAATTGAAAACTGGGTCTTGAAGAGATTTCCATTCACCTATGTTTATAGCTGCATTATTCACAATAGCAAAAACGTTATAGGAACTCAAGTGTCCATCAACAGATAAATGGATAAGCAAATTGTGATGTGTATGTACAATTAAATATTATTCATCTTTGAAAATGAAAAAAATTTTGACATATGCTACAAAATGAATGAAACTCGAGGACGTTACATTAAGTGAAATAAGCTAGCCAAAAAGGACAATTAACGTTATGATTGCACTTTTATGAGGTAATTAGAGTTGTCAAAATCCTACAGACAAAAAGTCATATGGTAGCTACCAGGCTCTGGGTGAGAGAAAAATGGTGACCTTACTCTGTGCTATAAAATACACCTTAACACATTTTAAACAATAGAAATTATATGATATGTGCCCTCAGATCTCAGTGGAATTAAACTAGGTAACAATAACAAAAAGGTAATTGAAAAATCCAATGGAAGGCATTATCCTCAGCAAGCTAACACAGAACAGAAAACCAAACACCACATGTTCTCACTTATAAGTGGGAGCTGAACAGTGAGAACACATGGACACAGGGAGGCGAACCACACACATGGTTGGGAGTGTGGTGGTGGGGAGGGAGAGCTTCAGGATAAATAGATAATGCATTCGGAGCTTAATACATAGGTGATGGGTTGATAGGTGCAGCAAACCACCATGGCACACGTTTACCTATGTAACAAACCTGCACATCCTGCACATGTATCCCAGAACTTAAAATTAAATTAAAAATAAAATAAAATTATGAGTATTTATATGCACTAAAAATAAAAAGTCCAAAATATGTGGAGAGTAAACAATATATTTCTAAACAACATATGGAGATCAAATAAGAAATATGAAGAGAAATGTAAAATATGTTTTAAACAAAATGAAAATGAAAACACAACTTATTAAAATTTGTTCAATGCAGTGAAGGCAATATTTACAAGAAATTTATAGCATCAAATACACCTATTAAAAATAAATATCTATGATCAGGAAACAGCTTTCACACTGGAAAGTGACAAAAAGAAAAGCAAATTAAATCCAAAGTAATTCGAAGAATAAAAATTAAAGCAGAAATCAATAAAATTGAAAACAGGAAATTAATAAAGAAAATCAATAGAACCAAAAGCTGGTTCTTCAAGAAGATAAATAAATTGATAAAACTCTAGGCATGCCAACTAAGAAAAAACAGTGCAGACACAATTACTAATATTAGAAATAAAAGAGGGAGCATCACTGCAGAATCTATGGATATTAAAATGACAATAAAAGAACACTCTAAACAATGCTATGCCTACAAATGTGTTACCTAGATAAAATTGACTAATTCCTTGAAAGACATGATCTGCCAAACTAACATAAGAAGAAATAGACAATCTGAATAGACCTATGTCTATTAAATGATTAACCTTCCGAAATGGAAAACAGCAGGCCTAGTTGGGTCCACTGGTGAATTTACCAAGTAGTTGTAAGAAAGAAATTATACAAATTCTTTACAAACTTTTTCAGAAGATAGAATCTGAGACAATACTTTCAGACTCATTCTGTGAGTCTGGCATTGCCTTTATATCAAAATCAGACAAAGACAGTATGTATAAAGAAAACTACAGACCAATATCACTCATGAACACAGATGCAAAACCTCTCAGCAAAATATTAGCAAATTAAATCCAACAATGCATAAAAAGAATTATATGCCATGACATAGTGAAATGTACAACAAAGTATTAGTGCAGGTATTGGGAATTTAATGTATAGATAGGAAAAATATTTAGAATAGCTAACACAATATTAAAAAGGAAACAAAGTTGGAGTACCAACATTACTCAACTTTAAGAATTTCTATAAAACAACAGTAGTCAAGACAGTGTGATATTGGTGAAAGTATAGACATATAGATGAATAGAAAAGAATAAAGGGTCCAAAAATAAACAAACATAAAATCGCCAAATAATTTTTGACAAAAAAGCAAAGGCGAAAGAACAGAGAAAAGATAGTCTTTTCAAAAAAATGGCATTGGAACAACTAGATATTCACATGCAAAAAAAAAGAAAGAGTCTAAACACGGACTTCATATACTTAAAACACACACACACACACACACACACACACACACACACACACACAAAATGAACGGCAGACCTAAATTTAAAGTGTAAACCTATAAAATACCTAGAAAATAACATAGGAGAAAATCTAGATGACCTTGGGTTTGGTGATGACTTTTTGGAGATGACAACAAAGACAGAATCCATGGAAGAAATATTTATAAGCTGGATTTCATTTAAATCGAAATTTTCTTCTCTTCAAAAGACAATGTCAAACAAATCAAAGACAAGTCACGAACTAAGAAAATATTTACAAAAGATATATAAACAACTGTTATCCAAAATATGAAAAAAAAACTCTCCTAAAATTCAACAAGATAATCTGATTAAAAAATGGGCTGAAGTCCTTAAAACACCTCACCAGAGAAGGTATACAGATGACAAATAAGCATATGAAAAGATGTTCCTTGACATATGTCATCAGAAAAATGAAGATTAAAACAATGAGAGACCACTATGCACCATTTAGAAAGGCCAAAATTCAGACCAGTGAAAATGCCAAATGCTGCTAAGGATGTGGAGTAGCAGGAATTCTTATTTATTACTGGTCAGAATGCAAAATAGTCCGGCCACTTTGGTAGTTAACTTGATAGTTTCTTACAAAAGTAAACATACTTTTACATATAAACCAGCAGTTAAACTCCTTGCTATTTAATCAAAGGAGTTGAAAATGTATGTCCACAAAAAAATTAGCACATGGATGCTTATAGCAGCTTTATGCATAATTGCCATAACTTGGAATCAACCAACATGTTCTTCAGTTGATGACTGGATAAATGATAGTGTATCTACATCATCATATTCTTCAGTGCTAAAAAGAAATGGGCTATGAAGACATAAAAAGACATGGAGACAACTTAAATAGATATTATTAAGTGAAAGAAGACAATTTGAAATAGCTACGTACTCTATTATTCCAATTATTGACACTCAGGGAAAAGTAAAACTATGGAGACAGTAAAAAGATCCGTGGTTGCCACAGATTAGGGGGTAGTGAGGGATGAACAGGCAGAGTGCGGTAGATTTTAGGGAAATGAAAATACTGTGTGTGATACTGTAATTGTGGACACATATGATGCATTTGTCCAAATCCGTAGAATACATGACACCAAAACTGAATACTAATGAAATCATGGACTTCGAGTGATATAAAATAGTAAAAAAAAAAAAAAAAAAAAAAAAAAAAAGAAAACGGAAAATAAAAATGTTGAAAAATATCAAAAAAATTATAAAATTTTAAAAAGGAATAAAATAAAACTTGATCTCTGGGGAAAAAAACTTTAGATTTGTCAGATACAATTTTAACGAGGTCAGAGTATACAGTTTGATCACTGTATAGACTTTTCTTTTTTTACCCTGTAAATCCATTTATTTTTATTTTATAGGTTTTATGTGTCTTAGAAATAATCTCTTTGACTCAACACTACACATTTAATTATATTATAATTTTCAAAATATTTTAATTGATATATTTGATTAATGTACTTTATGTTTGCATGTTTTGATTTAAATAATAGCACTTAATTATAAATTCATTTAATATAATTTTTATTTTCTTGCATCTAGTTCCCATTCATTAGTCTCAGATCAAAGTTTAAATTCCTTTTCTCATCAGCTTCATTTTTCATTTTTTTAAATTATACTTTAAGTTCTGGGATACATGTGCAGAACGTGCAGGTTTGTTACATAGGCATACACGTGCCATGGTGGTTTGCTGCACCCATTAACCCGTTATCTACATTAGGTATTTCTCCTAATGCTATCCCTCCCCTAGCCCCCCCCACCCCCCGACAGGCCCCCAGTGTGTGATGTTCCCCTCCCTGTGTCCATGTGTTCTCATTGTTCAACTCCCACTTATGAGTGAGAACATGTGGTGTTTGGTTTTGTGTTCCTGTGTTAGTTTGCTGAGAATGATGGTTTCCAGCTGCATCCATGACCCTGCAAAGGACATGAACTCATCCTTTTTAATGGCTGCATAGTATTCAATGGTATATATGTGCCGTGTTTCATTCTAATCGTCATTTACATTTTGATTTAGTATTTGGTTATCTCATGTTTATAGAGATACATACTTTGGAATCTCTAGATTTGGGTGGTGATTTTGTAAGTTTATATTTGTTCCCATCCAGCATCCATTTCCTCTATCCCAGGCCCCCGGTGACAGAATATTTAGTATATTGATTTTGTATTAATAATCCTTGTTTTCTTATGTAACCCATTATTGCATTCATTTGTGTCGCTTTTCTGAATGTCTCCAGCCATCCCTTCACTTAGACATAGATGTCTTTCATGTTCTATACACTCAGAATTTTTAACCTAGAAATTTGAATTTTGAATATATTGAAAACCTTGGGTCAGATCAATCCAACTTGTGGCATATTGAACTAATGAGAACTTGTTCTCAGTTATGTCTATCTACATTCCTAAACCTTCTCAGATATAATTCTCTGAGGCCAGAATCTTTCATTTTTCCTTTGCTTTTTGGATTTCCCTCATATACTCACAAGAAAATCCCTTTATTTTTCACAGTGCAATGTACTTGACCACTATATGATCACAACCCTTTATTTTCTAAATAAATTAGAGACGTTTTTCTTGCAACCAAGGTTCTCATAGGCATATAAGGTATGCAAGCTCTTTGTAGACTGGTGACCATGCTCTTAGTTCTAATTGTGATTTTTTTCAAAATAAGTATGATTGAAATTTTTGTTTATACTTTAACAACGGTTTACTCTTTCTTTGAAATAGAAATCTGTATAGTTAGTCATATGGCTACATATGTATAGTCATATGACTAAATTCTAATCAATAGAATGTAAGTATCACTACTATGTGCAACAATGAAGAAATTTCCTTAAAGGGAAGGTCATATCAGATTGTGTTCTTCAATATGTATACATTGAAGTTCTAACCCCTAGTACCTCAGAATGTAACCATATTTGAACATAGATTTTTAGGAGGTAAAGTTTAAATGAAGTTGCTAAAGTGGGTCCTAAGACAGCTATTGTCCTTATAAGAAAAGGAGATTAGAACACAGATAAATATGGAGGAAAGAGCATCTGGAGCATCTGATGACAAAAAAAAAAAAAAGAAAGAAAAGAAAAGAAAAAGAAAAGGATGGCCAATCTATAAATGAAGGAGAGGTCTCTGATTGAAATAAACATTGTTAACAGTTTTATCCTGAACTTCTAGCCTTCAGCATTAAGCAGCCATGAGCTCATCAATTTAAATGAAAACTTATCAGCAGCATAACATCAATGAATATTTTTTCTTTATCTTTCTAAATATACCATCACAAGTGAACAAATTTGGTTAATTATTGAGAAGGCAATAAAATAAAAAACAGTGACAATAGGGCACAGAATGGGAACTAGAAGCCTGGGGTTAGTCACAGCTTTCTGATTTGTGTTAAATCAGGTCCAAACTCCAGCCTCAGTTTTTTAATTCTAATGTAATCTCCAAAGCTCCTTCTACTTCTGGAAATTGACTCTAGGACCCATATGGGAGAGGAGTCTCGCAAAAGTGTATTGTGGAAATGAAAAGTGCATCATTGCTTTTAGAGTTTCTAGAAAACAATTGAAATATATAATTCTGAGCTAACCTGTTCTTTCCTTTCGTAACGTCTCTCAGACTTTATCATTTCTAGAGAGAAGAGGGCTAAGTACTTAAATGGAGTTATTGACAAAGACACAGTAAAAATATAGGGTTTGTAGAAGCACATAGAAATGTAGAACTACAACAAATAACAAAAGCCTTTTGTTGAGTAAGTCAGTCTAACTTAGAAGTATTTACAGACATATGACATACCTACATTACTAGCTTATAGGAAAACAGAGTTACGGAAAAATGATTGTGTATCATTAAATTTAGAAGCATCACTGGTTTCTAGACTACAGAGAATAAAAAACAAACTGTCAAATCACTTCAGATATAGTAGAGATATTATTTTTCAAGCAATGTAAATATCTAACTATGTTGTCTTGAGTGAATATTTCATTGCTTCTGTTTATTCTGCATACATGTGACTTATATGTAACTACCCAAAGATCATAAACTGCTTCTATATAATTCTCCTTTGACACCTACTATGACACGTCTTGGAAATAAACTGCCCTCTCTCTATTTTGTCCTTTTTAGGGTTACCTGCTAATCCTTCTGCTTTTCCATCTGCTACAATTTACTTGATAATATCAAAGATTTCAAGCATTATATCAATATAATATTGATAACAAAGGAACATGGTCAGTCCAGTAAACAAACTGGAAAATGATTGTTTATATTCTCCTATCTTCAAATACTTTTATATCAGCATAATTGGGACTTATGATCCAGGAAGGGATTTATGATTTTATCTTTGCAGAAAAATTACTGACAACCAGCATAAGAAATATAAAAAAGTAGCTTTTGTCCAACTCAAGAAATGCCATCATCTCTTGTGAAATACTGAGCCTGAAACTGCATGCATATACAGTTTTCTAATAATGGTACTATATCAAAATTAATAAATTTATTCCACCAAATATGAAAAATACTCTTATATTGGGGGTACAGATTTCTATAATTGATAGTAATAATACTATTTAACATATATTAAATGTTAAAATATATATTTTATATGTTACATATATTAACTCAAGCAATTAAAGCAACCACCCTATCTTATCAGTGCTATTATCATCCTCATTTTACATGTAAGAGAAATAAGAACCAAAGAGTAGTTGTCTAAGGTTTCATATGTCATAAGGAGGAATTAGGATGTGGACCAAACACATCTGTCTCTAGAATGGGCTGTTTTAGCTACGTTACCTTGACTTACTGACATGGAATATTTTAATCCTGGTTTTTTTTTTTTGGTATTTAACATTTATCACCCATCTTCATGAAGCCATAATACACAGGCAATCCTGGGAAATAGATATTGTTGTCCAACCCACTAGAAAAGAAATAAATTGATGAATTATTTCCTGGTTACTTCCTAGGTTGTATTGCTATCTGGAGCAATTCAAATATGGGTCCAATATTAGGACATTTTTAATGTAAATAAATTCAAACTAGGCTTAAGCATATCAGGGGAGTTATTTGAGAAACAAACAAACAAATAAAAACAACAAAAAGGGAGTTTTGCATGAAGTCATAGCAGAAATAAACCTCAAAAAAGTGAAGTTAGAGAATTAGTGATGAAAAATATTTCTTTTTCTCTGGACATTGCATCTCACAGCAAATCAGTTTTAGACCTGTTTTTCTCATACTCAGGCTAGATTGATTTACTTTGCTATTCTGGCCCACAGGACAAATCAGCTCTGGAGTTTTCAATTCACAGGGAAAATGACACATCCTCTCTTGGGCCTAATTGCAATCACCCAGAAGAGAGACTGCCATTGGCCTAACTTGACTAAGGATACATATCTAATCCAATAAGCTATAGTAAAAGAGAGTTTAAGGAAAAATATGGCTATAGGAGGTGATTTCAATAATCATGAGTTTGTAAAGTATTTTCAGACTAGTGGTATTAGTTTATTAGCAGGTGCCATTAGGGTGGCATAATTCTTCATCACAGAGACTGTGTATTGTCTCCCTCATCATAGCAGGGAGCAGAGAGCTGTGGCATATCAATGATCTTAAAGAAAAACCTGACCTGCTGTTTTTAACACTGCACTCTCATGATCCTTCTTCAAATTCTATCACTACCATTAATTACTCATCCAAACTCTGGGACAGATATTGTTTCTGATACATTGTTGCTAATCTGAGAAGTATGTAATAAAATTGGGAAGTGTGCTGTATTTTACCAATGTCAACTTGGTTAAGTTTGGAATTGTATGTTCCAGAATAACTTCCCTGTATGTTCCCATTTTGGAGTTGACCAAAATAGAAGCTACCATGAGATGTGGACGATATGGATAAAGCAGTGGTCATTAATCTCAGGTGTTCACTACCAGATGTCATGACAGTCAGATGCAAAGGGCTCTCACCAGGTCCTAGCCTATCCTTTCACTTCTGTGCTCGTGTCCAGCTCATCTACCCATTTTTTGGCCTTGCTGATGAACAATGGCCCCAATTCCACAATCAGACATTTGCATGCAGATCCACAGAGATGGAGTTAGCCAAAGTCAACAGCTTCTCATACACCTCTTCAAAGTCTGCCCTACCCAGTCCCATTTCAGTAGCTGAATGAGCTTAGCTCATTAGATTTGCTGGGAAGTTCTGTCAATCCAAGCCTGTGCTTAAGGAGATCAGGTTAGTTACTCTTTTTCTGAATCTCCAACTTCTCCTCCCAGAGCTCTTTAAACAATTCTGTAAAAACTAATTCTTATAAATAAATGTGTCATTATGTAACATTCACAGTGACCCTGTGATCCTGGTTCCCTGACTGGAGCATGACTAAAACAGTTATTATTATAGCAAAAGAAGTGGTCCCCAGAAAATAGAACTTTAATTATTGGAATCTGGAATTGGCGTCTTGATTTAACTAGATTCAAAGACATAATGGATTCTAAGCATGCCGGATCAGGATTAATAAAATCTTAGCTCAAACTAATGTTGTTGATATAATTGCACTAACAAGTGTCTGATTTCAGTGTCTTTGCTCAAGTAGCTGGGTGACCTATAGCGGTTCGCTTGGTTGGCTGCTCAAACACAGAAAAAATTATAATTGATGACAAACGAAGTTGTGATGCCAGAACTTTCTTACTAATCTGTATATCTGTGCTTTTCAATGTGATGGTATTGGATACATGTGGTTATTTTAATTAATA
Organism: Homo sapiens; assembly: GCF_000001405.40. Taxonomy (NCBI): domain Eukaryota; kingdom Metazoa; phylum Chordata; class Mammalia; order Primates; family Hominidae; genus Homo; species Homo sapiens. Next base: position 25,122,916 of record NC_000011.10, on the reverse strand, counting down.
TGAATTAAGTTAAATTCATTTGTTTATTGTATTAGCCATATTATAAGGACTTACAAGTCTTTTCTAAGTAGTGGTCACCACACTAAATAACATAGATATAAAATAACTCCTTCATTGCAAGAAGTTTTTGGACAGTCCTATTTTATAAGAAAGTATCCACAGGCATATTGAGATTGAGATCCTGAGGTGGACTGATATGGTTTGGCTTTGTGTCCCCCGCCAAATCTCACCTTGAATTGTAATTCCCGTAACCTCACGTGTCAAAGAAGGGACAAGTTGGAGGTAATTGAATCATGGGGTGGTTTCCCCCATGCTGTTCCTGTGAAAATGAGTGAGTCTCAGGAGATCTAATGGTTTCATAAGCGTGTGGCATTTCCCCTGCTTGCCCTCTCCATTTTGCTGCCCTGCTTCTCCTTTGCCTTCCACCATGATCGCTAAGTTTCCTGAAGCCTCCCCAGCAATGCGGAACTGTGAGTCAATTAAACCTCTTTCTTTTATAAATTACCCAGTCTTGGGTATTTCTTTATAGCAGCATGAGAATGGATTAATACATGAATATATTAGGAAACATCTGCTTACTCAACCCCTAACTCTGTGTCTTGGAGGCGGACAATCTTTTCACTGAAGCTTTAAAGCATACAGTGGTAAGTGGAGCACTAGCATTCTTAAAGAACTCCGCAATAGCTGTTCTTTACAGGCCAGGAGTGACAGTAGAAATGCTTGTCATCAAATGAATTCCTGGAGTTGAAGGAGGAAGGTAGCTTGCATTTAACTGCCAAATGCAAATTTTGTAATGGTTACTGTAACTGGCAGCATAGAACTACAGAGTTTTTTTATTCTGGCTAATTTATTATGGTGTCCTTGGGACTGAAATCAGTGGTCAGTCTGTTAATTATTTTTAACTTGGAAACTCATGGTCTAGTGAACACAAATCTTATCTTAATGGCCAGAGTAGAGACTTCTGGCCCCTTGATTATTTTCCAGGCTTGAATCAGTTTACATAGTCGTACCCTTACTAAAAAAGGGAGGATGAGTCCCTTTGAAAAAAGTACAGGGAAATCCTGTCAAAAATATATTTTATAAATCTTCCTTCTAGTTTTTCTCCAGTGAATCTTCATTATATAGTAGAGTTATTTTGAGTTGGTAAAGGGCAAATAACCAGACTTTCAGAGATTCTTTTACAAATTGACCTGAACTAACACTAATTCCTGAAAATAAAATTGCCACTGTGGTGCAACCTCAGTGCAGGGTGTAATGAGAGTCAAGTAATTAATGGAGTTGCCTCAGGTCCATCTCACAGTGGGAACAGTGAAACTCCAAACCCTTGGTATAATTATTTTCTCAATTCTTACATGCATAGTTGAAAGAGACAAACTCAGCAACTGGCAGAAACCCCACACTGGTTATCTGACAGCAAAATATAAAACTGTATGTCAAAAAAGGACATGTTGTTTTCCTAGAAAGACTATGAGATTAGTTCCACAATCACAAACTTGAATTATGTAGGGTTAGTGATTTCAATCACACCCCAATTCCACTTGCTTATTTTCTTGTGCCAAAGATAAATGGATCTTAGAGAAAGTGGGTTATTGTAAACTTAATCCTGTGGTAACTTCAATTTCAACTGCTGCTCCAGATGTAATTTCTTTGATGGAGCAAATGAGCACATACCCTGGCACCTGATATTCAGGTATTGATCTGGGAATGTGTTGTTTATTTTCTGCATTTTAGTAAGGACACCAGAAACAGTTTGCATGTAGCTGGCACATCCAGTAATACAGCTTCATTTTCTTACCACAGAGCTGTATCAACTACATCATAATCTATCCCACAGGGAAATTGATCCCTTTTCCATTCCTCATATTATATGTATTCATTAGATTGATCGTTTCATATATATTGGAGCTGATAAACAGAAGTAATAACTAGCCTAGATATATTGATAAGACACATGTGTACCGAAGGGTGGAAAATAAATACAGAGAAAATTAATGGTTTTCCACATTGATAAAATTTCTTAAAAAATGTCTGTATATATATATGTAATATAAATATTATACATATATTTTATAGCTATATCATCTAAGGTGAAAAATAGCACCATGCTTAGTGAACCTGTTTGGATCTGAAGGACTGTATACCCTTTATGGACATGCTATTCAAGCCCATTTACCAAGAAACCCAAAAGATTGTCACACTTAAGCAGGGCTCAAAGCAAGAAAATTCTTAGTAATAGGTCTTGGCTTCTGGGTAAGTTATTCCAGTACATGAACCCTATTGACCCAGGAGGCAATAATGGCTTTTGAAGGGTCTATGATTAATAGGGGTGTTGTGTGGAGCCTTTTCCAGGGCTATATTGAGTAATAACAGCACAGGATTTTGGAGAAACTCTACATCATTCTTTACAGCTAACTATTCTATGGAGCAGCAGTTTCTGGCTTATTTGGACTTAGACAAAAATGGAAAGCTTTCCATGGTCTATTAAGGTATCATGTGACTTCAGATGTCTAATCAGGTGACATCTGATCTATCAAGATGTTAGGTTGCACAACACCCAGCAATAGCTGATCTGATGAAAGTGTTATAAATGAGATCATGCTTGATCAGGTCCAACATACATTAGCCACTGGCTGCATTTCTATGGTTGCCATTCCTGCTGTATCATATATCCTCTTTGCACTTGATGCCTATAACACCTATGTCTCTAATCTGTTTTCAACTGTAGCTACTGCTGGTCTAATCTAGGTTGTCAATCATATCTAAATGATAACTGTGAAGAGAACTTACAGAAACCTTGTGAGAGCATTATGAAGGAAGCACAAGGTACACACCCTGTTTATTCAACAGACTTAATTATAAATTAAGCATATGAAGAATATACAAATTAACCCCTATTCCTTTACACTGAATGATTGTTTCACAATAGTAAATATATATCCTTGTTGTTCCACTTGTGGCAAAATACAGAAATACAGTAGTCTTTTTTTCTTGTAGTATATATGTCACTCATCCTCCCCTCGAATTTTGCAGGTCTATATTTTCTTTTGTAATATGGGTTAGATCCTTATACTGTGGAACTGAGTGCACACACACATGCACATGACACTAAATGTCCAAAACATAATCAAGTTTGAAATACAAAATATGACAGATTACAACACATGACATTAAATAAGTCGTTTAACAAAGCTATTGTTATATTCATTCAGTGAAAATATAACACCTAATATTTTTGTTCAAGATGGCAAACCCACAAAAATAAGCACTGTGCACCATCTTGTAGATGAAATTTCTGTTAACTCAGCAGATTGTACTTTCATTCCCCATGTTTTGAACAACGGTTCAGGATATCGACTGAGAAGTAGCCTTTGTCCTGGATTTTACTTCCAATCTCTCTCATCCAAATGTAAACTCACAGGCCCAGTTTTCTAGAGTTCTGTGCAGTTATAGATGGAATCAATATGATAAAAGTAAATGGTATAAAGGAAATGGCTCAAGCATTTCTTTCATGGAAATCATGGCTAGGTCAGTAAGATATTGGATATAGTCCAAACACTGAGAACTCCAAACTCATGCTATAAAGTGAATCAATGCAGGTATAGGTGTGATTACAATTTGGGATTAGAGATTTTGAGATCAGTGTTTAAAGTATGGCTATGGTATCAGAGAAGGTCAAAGTCAAGAAACTAAAGGAAGGGGAAGAATTTAGAAATCATATGAATCACCAAATGCATAAATTGTCATTCAGATAAATATGGAAAGCTCAAATTAGGTGGAAGATTTTAAAATTTATGCTTCCAGTGATATCAGAATGCCTGAGATTATTACCTACCTCTTTGTATCTAATATTTTCTCATGAAAAGTTAACTAATTTCATCAAACCATCAAAACATGAAGTCTGATGCTATTCGTATTATCAACACTGTACAAACAAAGTTATTAAGGCTTAGAGAGTTCATCTAACTTATAAAGACCACAAACCTAATAAGCCTTGGAACCTAGATTCAAATGCAAAAATACCAGCTTCATTGCACTTAACCACTCTGAAATTTCATGTTTCGCTACATTTTAGTGGTTACTAGGTATGTCGAGTAATTCTTTTTTGCTTCTACTAGGCATTATATGGCTGACATAAGGTCCCTGGAAGATGGAAAAAGTAATAAATGATGTAAAGTAGAAAACTTAGGGGCAAATGAGGGAGATGGATGGGATGGGAGTTCTCCTAAAATCCAACTACAAATTACAGTCATAGTTTATAGAACATATTATTGACCCAATTTCTTAGGAGAAATTTTATGATACAATATATACATAACCTCCATACAGATCTGGGTTGAAGTCTTATATATCTTCCAATGCTTTGATATCAGGGACAACTAATAATTTTCACATTCTAGTAAAATAAACACAACCTAACAACTCTTGAAAATTATTTTCTTTCATTTTCAAGCTGAGAACAAAACCACCTACCTTGGTTAATTACAATATATATGAAATGTTTCATAAATTTGATTCTTGGAATTAATGATAATTCATTTTCTATTTTGCAAGAATGTTTTCATTGAGACAATTACATAAACAAAGCTAATAAAAAGAGTCTCCATATGAGCTCATATTTTTGTTAACATTCAAAAAAGATGCTGATAGAGACATCAAAAGGAAAATACAAAAAGCTGTTACAAATCTCTCTAAATTCCACTGTTGGGAAGTAAATGGGCTAGTGGATGAAGAACTTTGTTCTTGAGCCTCAGTTTCAACTGCAGTGAAACAGAGGTAATAATCACTTTGACTCTGGCAGTCCTGGGAAGATTATTGACTCAAATCCTCTATTCACACAGATGAGGACATTGAATCCCAGCAAGCTTGAAAGAATTGACCGGTGTCTCACAGCTAGTCAGTAACAGAGGCAGGATTTGAATGACAATTCCAGAATGTATGTGATATGATTTTTCCCCTAAATGCTCAGAGCATATAAAGATGAAGTAAAAGCTATAATTTAAAACGTGGAGAACTAACACAAAATACTCTAAAAACATAAAGCAAGAACAAAACAAAAACCAAGCTTCTTCGTAATATAGGAGTATTTCAAGTGTGGAATTACCTACATAATCCCTATAGGGATTCATTTGTTTCATGGTGCCACAGCTTAATTAAGGTAATTTTTATCCATAAATATATTTCTTATGTGAGCAATCCTCTATCCTGATTAATAGCAACAACAATGATAATAATGGAGCTACCCTTAGAACATAAGCCAAATTCTCAGAAAATGATTGGGGGATGAAATAGTGAAATAGAACCATTTTTACTTTGAAATTTAAATAGTGTGAATGCCTCAGATTTTAAATATATTTTTATTCATTTGATTGTTTTTCTAGCATTCAGTTATCTTAGATGAACCAGATACCGCCTGATTAAAATATTTCATAGATGTGAACCCTTTTGGTAGCATAGACCATTTGTGACTGCCACGACATTTGCCATTAGCACTTACAAGTAGAGTTGACCATATTATTTCTTACTTTAAAATCCCCTAATAAATAAAGCAGAAATTCCAGGCCTGCTCATTCATTTTTACCTACCGTGCTTAAAAATCTTAGAATGTATCTATGTTACAGCTTTCCTAAAGATGCATATGCTGAAAAAATAAAGTCCTTTTACCACTTTCTGACAGCATTAAAAAGTTTTCTAATATGTTTTCAGGTGCACTGTCATTGATTGCCACAATAACCCTGTGCAATAGGGAGTATTGCCATTTTACAAAAGGAGACTCTGTCACCCAAAGAATTTAAGTAAGTAACTTATCCAAAGGCAGTAAATGGTAGAGATGGTTCGTAAATCAACTCTGATTCCAAATTCAGTATTCTTTTCTCTGTATGACACTACCTCTATGTTGGATTGCAAATTGTAAATTTAAACACTATCTAAAAAATGTAAATGTAAGTTATATTTCTTTCATGATTGAGTCAGAAAATTGAAACCAAAATCTTAAATGCCTAGTTTTATTTTATTTCAATCACCATTTGGAGGTTCAAGGACCTACGATTTATTTGGGCACAGAAATGCTTATTCAAAATCATTTTCAACTTGATGAAAGCAATAATACATTTAGAATTCATTAGATGGACTATTGAAAAATATAAAGAGATACAAAAACGGTATCTGATGTGTTAAGGACTACATTACAATGTGTTTTACTAACTGTGTAATTGCAGATTCACTTACAAAATATATATTTTCCATATATTATCTGAAGTGTCTATTAACATTTTTTTAAAGAATAAATAATCTCTATGTGCCCTTCATTAAAATCAAAATCCACGGAATTTCATTTTTATTCAGTTATTATTATTTTTCTCTAAGCAAATTCTTTAAACCAATATAATCACCAGCAATTTTATGGGGGAAAAACAGGAATTATGGAGCAACCAGCAAATTATCTGAAGGATTTTGTGCTATTTGAATTTGTAACAAGAGTCTGGAGGGACCCAAAGATGCTTGAACAAGCCATCTCAAGGCCTTCGGGGAACAATTTAAGATGTCATTCAGCCCCATTTTTCTTAGTCAAGGTAGCCCCTACGGGTTTCAACAAAAGAAAGACTATTGAGGAGAGATCCCCTTCTTTACAGATAAAAGGGAAAACCTCCTTTTACCAAATATATGCCCGCATATTATCTTCCTTTACACCCTCCCAAGAAAACTCACAAATCACAACTCACACACACACGCACGCTCACGCGCACACACACACACACACACACACACAGCTTCATTTCCAGCAGAATGCTTTTAAGAAGAGCGTGTTTACCTTCACTATACAAAGATCTATCTGCAGGGTCAATAAAAAACACGCTTTATTTTGAGGTCCTTGGACTATACTCAGTTTATGCAGTAGTTGGACATTTACATTGGCTTTGTCCTTGCACCTCAAAATTCTGGCATGGAAAATATGAATACATTAACACTTTTTCCAGTTAATTATATTTTTACCTCTGCAAAGCATAATTAAGACAGCAAACTAAAATGGCCATAGCTAGTACCAGTAATTACTCTGTTTAAGTAAGAAATTAGGCAAGGAAAGAAAAACAAGCACAGGCGATTCAAACACCCCTATAACCAGAAACTGTCAACGATGCTTGACTCTAAGGAATCTGTGTTATTTCGTGTTGAGAGGCGTTCCCTACATAGTGCTAAGAAAAAAGTGTTTCATAAAATAATATTACTAGTCATCATTCATTCTAATGTTCGTTCCCACTCCTGTTTGACTCAGAATTTATAAAAAATGTTTTGCATAATTTACTCTGAATCCTTGAATTCAAAACCTTTTCTTCAATATTACTTCTTTTTTTGTTTTTTTGTTTTTTGTTTTTTGTTTTTTTTTTGAGACAGAGTCTCGCTCTTTCACCCAGGCTGGAGTGTAGTGGCGCGATCTCGGCTCACTGCAGGCTCCGCCCCCCAGGGTTCACGCCATTCTCCTGCCTCAGCCTCCCGCGTAGCTGGGACTACAGGCACCCGCCACCTCGCCCGGCTAATTTTTTGTATTTTTAGTAGAGACGGGGTTTCACCGTGTTAGCCAGGATGGTCTCAATCTCCGGACCTCGTGATCCGCCCGCCTCGGCCTCCCAAAGTGTTGGGATTACAGGCGTGAGCCACCGCGCCCGGCCTCAATATTACTTCTTAAAATTAGAACCAACATGCCTACCTGTCAATGAGAGGAGAACCAGAATTTAGCATGAAAGATGAAGCAATTACAGGAGATCTGGACTCAACCCATTATAGTTTACAACAAAGTTGTGATTGTGAATTTAACTCAGGGATTGAGATGGTATAGGAGTAGGCACAAAGGAATACAAAAGCCGCACATCACTTACTTTTATGTTAAAAGCTTAGTAAAAAGTAGAACTTTACTTGATTGCTCACAGTTTTTTTAACAAGAGGAATTCAAGTTTATTAATGTGTTTGTTTATTTTAATTAATTGTTAGTTATCATCTAAAAGTTGATTATTTTCTCTTCCTGCCCTTCAATAGAATTATACTTGGATTTTTCTCAAGCATTTCAACTTATTATTCTAGATGCCTCAAATAATGTTTAGCCTCACATGTCTCATAAGTAAATAAATACCATAATTTAAAACATTGTTTGCTAAAAAGACATGCTTATGACAAGGAAAAGCATCAGGGAGTTAACTTCTACTCTGCTAATTATCTAGGTCTGAGGGTAGCAGAATAACATCATAAGTAACAGGAAGATCACTTGAAAAATTGATATTAAGGTGATCGTAATGAGTATGGAGGAAATGTGGACAAATACAAGATCTGTTTTGTAGGTAGATTTGTTTTTTTTATTTTGAGACTGCTCCACTGGCTTTTCCCAGTTACAGACTGGCAATGTTCTTCCACTGTTCATATTATTTCTACTTTAGGAATGTCTACAAGAGAAAGAAGCTAAAATGATTTGTAACTCCTCAAATAAAACAATGTATGTGATCTTAATGTCACTGTCACACTTCTACCTGTATTACTAGGAGATCCTGTCTCTACAGGGCATATAATTTATTGAACTGCAAAAAGATTCACAAAGTCTATACTGACCGTTTGTTTCTGAAACTCACAAAGTTTCTCTCCACCTCACATTTTCCTCTTGCCTGGAACACTGTCTTCTTCTCTTTTCATATATTAACTATTTAACTTACAGGTTTCAGCTTAATTTTTTTTTTTACAAGATAAGCTTTCTTTCATCATGCAGAAGAGTATTTTGGCTATAAATTCTAAGGTACAAGAAAAAAACTATACAAATATTGTACTTTAGTTGGAAATTTGTTTATCACAGAGATATTGATCTTCAATTCTAAAACTAATATATGTTTATTCTAGGATTGAGCAAATTAAATATCATCAATAATAAAAGCTATATTTCTCACTATTGGAGAAGAGCTACAGATAGGAAAAGCAGAAGGTTAGTAAACTGTATAGTGTTGAATTTAAATTGGAGGTATCAGTATGAACACATGGTTTAAAATACACATACACATGCTGATATAGAAAAATATATATATTTGTGTCTGTCTATCACACATATGTTCTCTCCTCCTCTCTTCTGCGAGAGATTCAAAGTAAAGACAAACACCGGTATCAATGAGCAAGCACAGTTAAGACATAGATACTGTTTTCTCTTTTTTTTTTTTTTTTTTTTTTTTTGAGACGGAGTCTCGCTCTGTCGCCCAGGCCGGACTGCGGACTGCAGTGGCGCAATCTCGGCTCACTGCAAGCTCCGCTTCCCGGGTTCACGCCATTCTCCTGCCTCAGCCTCCCGAGTAGCTGGGACTACAGGCGCCCGCCACCGCGCCCGGCTAATTTTTTGTATTTTTGGTAGAGACGGGGTTTCACCTTGTTAGCCAGGATGGTCTCGATCTCCTGACCTCATGATCCACCCGCCTCGGCCTCCCAAAGTGCTGGGATTACAGGCGTGAGCCACCGCGTCCGGCCATAGATACTGTTTTCTAAATGTCAGTCACGAAAAAAAAATACTTTTTAAACAGATGATTTCCTTAAAGAAAATTGTTGACTGCAAGACCTGAGAAGGAAAATTAAAAGATTATCCTAGAAGCTCTCCTAGAACTAGAAATGTAAAAACATGCTTTAAAAAAAAAAAAAAAAAAGATATCAAAGGAGCATGTTAGCCAATGGGGAAGAGATCCAAATGCCTATCTGGAATAAACTGAGAAATAAAATTCACGTTAACCATAAGAACAAATTATGAAATATAAAAAATAAATATCTATAAGTCCAGAATGATATAAATAAATAAATGAATAATAAATAAATGGGAGAGAAAAGTTAGTTTTTCATAGAATTCTAACTAATAAAAGTAGGTGAAATGATCAATACAGAAATTCACAATTTAAAAAATACCTCTTTAAAAGATAGAAAAAAAATTGTAATATACAGGATAACCACATATCTTCAAGTATATTCTCGTAAAATACTTTTTGATCATAAATAGAAAATTTTGAAGTTTACAATTCAAAATCCTAGAGGCCATCAACTCAACCAAGTAATTGAAGGTGGTTTCCTCTGTAATGAGATATATCAGCACTGTGTATCTCCAGATAAGATGCACTAAGAAGGCCTCACAATATATTTTGTGACATTTTTGCCAAATACACATTTCAACATGAATAACTACCAGAAAAACTCAAACTGAGAGGCATTCTAAGACATGTTAGACCAGCATTTTTCAAAAGTTTCAAGGTTATGATAGATTTTAAAAAATTACAAACTTTCCTAGATAGGAGGAAGCTAAAGAGACAAATAATTATACTTAAGGTGTGGGACCCTGAATAAAATCCTGGACCAGAAAAATGACATTAGCGGGACAATTAGTAAAATTTGAAAGAGGCCTGTAGATGTGTTAATAGTATTGTGTCAACATCAGTTATCTCCTTTTGATAATTATTCTGCGCTTATGTAAGATGTAATATTTAAACTATTTTTTGCACCTTTTTGTAAGTTTGAATTATTTTAAAATAAAAAAATGTCATTTTGTGGTCTTTGCAGTTTGTAGATGCAAACAATAGTTAACCTTATAGAAACAAAATCATAATACACAGTGATAAGTTACGAATTCAAACGTTAATTTGATAGATACATGCATGTGAGTATATTTACAGGTAAAGAAAGATAAAGGCAAAGTAGTACCGATGCACAATATTTAGATAAAATAGAAAAACAAAGTATATTTACAGAAAGGGTTTGAATTTATAATGCATTTTGTATATTAAATTATTATTTGTCTGTCTAAAAAATCATTAGCATATATATCACAGTAGTGCAAACTTTTGTTGTCATCTCTATCTCTTTTTAGCTAAGATCACCTCAAAATGTAACCTTAAAAGTAGTTATATAGATTTACATCAAATTATTTCTTCCTATTTAAGGCAGTTTCCAGGGATAATGTCATTTTTTATATTAGTTACAAAGTTAGAATAAAGTATACTAAGGATCAAGAAAGTCAAACTGGAAATATATTGCTTATTTCAAGAATTCTACCACTAATATATTTATCAGACATATATTGATTAATTTAGATAACAAAAGGAGCCATTTTCTCAAACTTTTGATTAGAAAAAATGCTATTTTGCAAGCAATCAAAATCTCTGCTCAACTTTAGATTTGCAAAATACAAGTATTGTGCTAGTGATATAATTTTTAATGTTGTGTTATATTCGAGAACTATAAGAGCACTGGGCAAACAGATTTTCCTTGATAAGATTTTCATATTCTTCTAGAACAATTGATGTGTTGTAAATTTTATTTAGGATGAATTACTTGACACCCACAATGGTTTCCTAAGGAATAATAAAATTAATTTAAAAATACTAGTATACCCAACATCCCCTCATGATTAAAAACTCTCAACAAACTATTTGTCAAAGGAACACACCTCAAAATAAGTAAGAGCCATATGTGACAAACCCAAAACCAACATTTTATTGAATGGGCAAAAAGCTCAAACCATTCCCCTTGAGAACTAGGACAATACAAGCGTGCCCACTCTCACCACTCCTATTCAACATAGTACGGGAATTCATAGCTAGAGCAATCAGGGAAGAGAAAAAAATAAAAGGCCTCCAAATAGGAAAAAAAAAAACAAAAGTCAAACTATCTCTCTTTGCTGACGATATGATTCTTTACCTAAAACATCCTGGAGACTCTGCCAAAAGGCTCCTAGAATTGAAAAACAACTTTAGTAAAGTTTCAGGGTAGAAAATCAATGTACAAAAATTAGTAGCACTTCTATATACCAACAATGTCCAGGCAGAGAGTAAAATCAAGAACATGATTACACTTACAGTAGCCCCCCAAAAAATGAAGTAGCTAGGAATACAGCTAACCAAGTAGGAGAAAGATCTCTACAACAAAATCTATGAAACACTGCTGATAGAAATCAGATATGACACAAATAAATTGAAAAACATTCAATGCTCCTGTATCAAAAGAATCGGCATTATAAAAATGGCCATATTGCCCAAGCAATTTACAGATTCCATATTATTTTTATCAAACTACTAATAGCATTTATCATAGAATTAGAAAAAATTGATTATAAAATTCATATGGAACCAAAAAAAGAGCCAAACCAACCAAAGCAATCCTAAGCAAAAAGAGCAAAGCTGGAGGCAGCTCAAACTATACTATAAAGCCACAGCAATCAATACAGCTTGGTACTGGTCCAACAGCAAATACATAGACTAATGGAATAGAATAGAAGATTTGGAAATAAAGCCACACCTACAAACCTCTGATCTTTGACAAGGCCAACTCAAAGAAACAATGGGGAAGGGACTCCCAGTTCAATAAATTATGCTGGGATTACTGGCTAGCCATATTCAAAAGATTGAAGTTGGACCACTATTTTTCACCATATACAAAAATTAACTCAAAATGGATTAGAGATTAAATGTAAGACCTCAAACTTCAAAAGTCCTGGAAGACAACCTAGGAAATATTCTTCTCGACATCAGCCTTGGAAAAGAATGTTTGGCTAAGTCTCCAAAAGCAACAAAAAATAGACAAGTGGGACCTATTTAAACTAAAGAGCTTCTTCCCAACCAAAGAAACTATCAACTGAGTAAAAAGTATTTTCTTCTTTAATGTTTATACCAGTATTTTGGGAGAAATATAAAATGGGAGAAGATATTCAAACTATGCATCTGTCAAAGGCCTAATTTCCAGAATCTGCAGACAGGTTAAACACATCAAAATGTGAAAAACAGATAATCCCATTTAAAAAAAATGGGAAAAGGACATGAACAGACACTTTTCAAGAGAAGATATGCAAGTGTTCAACAAACATGAAAAAATATTCAGCGTTACTCATCATCAGAGAAATGCAAATCAAAACCGCAATGAGATATCATCTCACACCTCTCAGAATGACGATTACTAAAACGTCAGAAAACAGCAGATGCTGGTGAGGCTGTGGAGAAAAGGGAATGCCTATACACTGTTGGTAGAAATGTAAATTAGTGCAGCCACTATATAAAGCAGTCTGGAGATTCTGCAAAGGACTTAAAAATAGAGCTACCATTTGATACAACCATCCCATTACTGGATATATACCCCAAAGGAAATAAATCATTCTACCAAAAAGACATACACACTTGCATGTTCATCACAGCACTATTCACAATAGCAAAGACATGGAATCAACCCCAGGTGTCCATCAGTGGTAGATTGGTTAAAGAAAATGTAGCATATATATACCATGAAATATTATGCAGGCATAAAAATAATGAAATCATGTTCTGTGGAAACAGTAGACACTGTGGACTATTAGAGGGTGAAGGGAGAGGAAGGTGGGCTAAAAATCTACCTATCAGGTACTATGCTTACTAACTTGGTGATGGGATCCATATTCCAAACCTTAGTATCATGCAATACTCCTATGTAACAAATCTGCTCATGTTACCTCCTGTATCTAAAATAAAAGTTAAAATAAAAAAAAAAACTAGTATAAACATTGAATTAGAAAATAATTCTACTCCAAAGGGAGACTGAATATGATCTTTATAAGGAAAAATTTGTAGGCTAAGTGCAAAAATTCTAACCTCAAGATATGTTCTAATAAGAATGAATTATTTAGCCAAAGGGTTAGCTACTTGCTACTAGCAATAAATTAAACTGTCTTAATAGTCACAGCATTTTAGAGGTGAAAGGAACCTTGTATGTCAACTCAACCACTTTGAATTTACAGAAAAGAAACACACTCAGAAAGGTTTACTAACATACCTAGCTGGACATTAGAAATGTTGGCTTGTCATATCATGCAAAATAATATTTCTATTATAATAATGCTTTTCAAAGATTTTCATTGTGTCTTTTCCTTGTCCAAATTTCATAAGTCAATAGATACTCTCTCTGTCCAGCTTGGTTTAGAAGTCATTTTACATCTTCAGAATAACTGATATAAAAGTGGAGATTTCATTTTAGAAACAGCAAGTGTTAAATATGCTGTTTTTGATTATGCAAATTTGAAATGGTCTAAGGCTGAGAGAGACAAATTCCTTTTGTTCATAAAGGAGAACAGTGAGGTTAACTGTCAGCACTGACCTCTTTTTCAATAATCTAATATTTAAAGCATTCTGTGCTATTATGGGAGATACAATTGTAAGGTTTTGGTTGCTACTCTTTGCCTAAACTGACAAAAACATTTTAATTTCTCAATATTAAAACACATATTTTTAAGGATTTATTTTTGTGCCAAAAATGTGCTAATTGGTAGAGGTGTAATAGAGAGCAATTTAAACAGAGTGTCTGCCCGCTTAGAGTGTAAAGTCTAGTAGGGATCATAAAATAACAAAATAATTGGTTACAATGTAATTTAATTTATACTCTGGTACACAAAATATATTGTACTGTGATAGTACATAGGATGGGAACTGAAATTAGTTCACTCTTGCTAAAATAATACTGTGTAACAAACCACCACAAAACCCTGTGCCTTAATTTATATTTCTGTCTATGATGGAACAATTGATATTAGACTTTTAAAAATTGTATTTTAGTATTATTTTCACTTTTAATAGAGGCAGGGTCTCACCTTGTTGCCTGAAGGCAAATGTTAATAGCCTGGTCTTGAACTCTTGGGTTCAAGAGATCCTCCTGCCTTGGCTTCCCAAAATGCTAGGATTACAGGCATGAGTTACGGTGCTCAGCCTGCAACAGTTGATACTGAAGTAGCCCTCCCATTATAAGTGCCCAGAAAACTGTATAAAATATGAGAAATGAGACAAAGATTTTAATAAATTGGACAATAATACCAAGCCCTTAAAAGGTCCAAGGAGAACTATAATTTGCATGGTGAATCTTCCCAAGATAGAGGGCCTTGGATAACAATCTAGGCTCCTTGTAATGCATCTTAACAAAACTTAAAACCAAGTATACACAAGCTCAAGGTGACCAGGCAGTAATTGAACTGCATATCATCACAAAACTAACCCTCTTCAGAAGAAACGAAAAATCTAGAGTTTCTCCAATATAAATAAACAAGGTCCTGTGCACAATTTCAAAACATCAATTATGAAGAAATATCAAATGCAGAACATATACTCCCATCTTAAACAATTGAAATAAACAGGCAAAATAGAGAAAATGTCCATTGTTTAGGCATTAGACAACAGAAAGTATTGAATGAAATTAAATTATGTGATATTTATTATTATTGTCTTTCTGAATGTAGGCATTTTATTATTCAATGGGAGGTACATTAGTTAGGCAGTCTTGCTGAAGTAAGGTGACAAAAATTAACATTCAAGGGCACTAGAATTTGTAGAGAAAAATACTAGAGAGGAGGAAGCTTCAGGGAGAAATAACTCCAAATATTTTCATGATATCTTTTGAGTTTTAGCTGAATTACACATTATACACTTACAGATTAAGATTACACAAGGCCAATCAAATATCAACTACTGGATTCCTCTAAAATGAGCAATTTTTAGAATATACAAGGCTAGAAGATGTTCACATTTCATGGAGCTGAAGTGGTGGTCCAAACCCCAGAATGGTCACATCCTGATTATAGGGCTCAACTAGTTCACATCCTTTAAAGCATACCGTAAATATGCTCAAGAATGCAACTAAATACATGAACATACAAAGAAGAGAAGTGTAATATGCAAAAAGGAAACAAATATAAAAAGGAATTACTTTAAAAATGCATGTTTTTATTCACTGGATGTTCTTACCAATGAATAGAACTCTGCAGAACAAAGGATTAGTGAATTCAAAGATTGAAAAATAAAAAAAGCCTTTGTCAGGTAATATTAGGCCCTATAAAACATATGTAACTGGAGTCACAGTAGGATATGACTGAGAGCAAGAATAACAAAAAAACTGAAAAAATAACATTCATTTACTTTTTTTTAAATTTGATAAAAACCGTAAAATCACAAATCTAAAAATATTCAATAAAATTGAAGCAGGGTGATATTGACTCTGTGTCCCCATCCAAATTGCATATTAAATTGTAAACCCCCTTGTTGGAGGAGGGGTCTGGTGGGAGGTGATTGAATCAGAGCAGTGGATTTCCCCCTTTCTGTTCTCATGATACTGAGTCAGTTATCGTGAGATCTGTTTTTTTAAAAGTGTGTAGCACTTTCCCCTTACCTGTTCCACTATATGAAGATGTGCCAGTTTCCCCTTCACCTTCCACCATGATTTTAAGTTTCCTGAGGCTTTACCAGGCATGATTCCTGTACAGCCTGCATAACTGAGTCAATTAAACTGTTTTTTTCTTTATAAATTATCCAGTCTCAGGTAGTTATTTATAGCAATGCGAGCAATACAGAAAATAGTACCGGGACAGGAGTATTGGTATAAACATACCTAAAAATATGGAAGCACCTTTGGAACTGGGTAATGGGCAGAGGTAGGAACAGTTTGGAGGGTTCAGAAGAAGACAGCAAGATGAAGGAAAGTTTGAGACTTCCTAGAGACTTGTTAAATTGTTGTAATCAAAATGTTGATAGTGATAAGGACAATGAAGCCCAGGCTGAGGTGGTCTCAGATGGAGAAGAGGAACTTATTGGGAACTGGAGTAAAGGTCACTCTTGCTATGCTCTAGCAAAGAGACTGGTGGCATAGTGCCTGTCCTGTAGGATCTGTGGAACTTTGAACTTGAGAGTGATAATTTAGAGTATCTGATGGAAGAAATTTCTATGCAGCAAAGCAGTCAAGAGGTTACCTGGATGCTTCTAACAGCATGTGGTCATATGCATGAGCAAAGATATGCTCTGAAACTGGAACTTAAATTAAAAGAGAAGCAGGGCATAAAAGGGTGGAAAATTTGCAGCCTGGTCATGGAAGAAAAGAAAAACTCATTTTCAGAGGAGTAATTCATGCCAGCTGTAAAAATGTGCAAAAGTGCAGAGAAGGCAAATGTTAATAGCCAAGACAGTGGGGAAAATGCCTCAAAGCCATTTCAGAGACCTTCAAGGCAGCCCCTCTCAAAACAGGCCCAATGGCCTAAGAGGAAATTTTTTTTTTTTTTTTTTTTTTTTTTTGCCAGACGCAGGGTCCTGCTGTCTTGTGAAACCTCAGGACACAGCTCCCTGTGTCCCTGCTGTTCCAGCTCCAGCCATGACTAAAAGGGCCCTAAATTCCTATCAGGCTGCTGCCTGAGAAGGTAGAAGCCAGAAGTCTGGGCAGCTTTCATGTGGGGTTAAGCCTGTGGGTGTGTAGAGGGCAAGAATTGAGGCTTGGAAGACTCCACCTAGCTTTTAGAGGATGTAAGGAAATGCCTAGATGTCCAGGCAGCAGTCTTCTGCAGGGATGGAGCCCTCATGGAAAATCTCTGCTAGGGCAGTGTGGACAGCCAATGTGGGGTTGGAGCCTCCACACAGAGTTCCCACTGGGGCACTTCATAGTGGAGCTTTGAGGAGAGTGCCACCATTCTCCAGACCCCAGAATCATATGTCCATCAATAGCTTGCACTATGTACCTGGAAAAGCCGCAAGCACTTAATGTCAGTCGGTGTAAGCAGACAACGGAGCTATACCCTACAGAGCCATGGGGGCAGAGGTGCTCAAGGCCTTGAGGGCCCACCCTTTGAATCAGTGTGGCCCGAATGTGAAACATGGAGTCAAAGGAGATTATTTTGGAATTTTAAGATTTAATGACTGCCCTGCTGGGTTTTATACTTGTGTGGTGTCTGTAGCCCTTCCGTTTTTGCTGAGTTTTGCCTTGTAAAATTGGTGTATTTACCCAATTCCTGTACCCCCATGGTATCTTGGAAGTAACTAAGTTGTTTTTGACTTTATAGGCTCACAGGTAGGAGGAACTTGCCTTGTCTCAGATGAGACTGATCTTTGGACTTTTGAGTTAATGCTGGAATGAGTTAAGACTTTGGGGGACTGTTGGGAAGGCATAATTGTGTTTCAAAATGTGAAAAGGACGTGGGATTTGGGAGGGGCCAGGGACAGAATAACATGGTTTGTCTCTGTGTCCTCCCACAAATTACATGTCATATTGTAATCCCAAATGTTGGAGTAGGGACCTGGTGGGTGGTGATTGGATCATGGGAGTAAACTTCTCCCTTGCTGTTCTTATGATAGTGAGTGGTTTCTCACAATGTCTGGTTGTTTAAAAGTGTGTAGCACTTCCCCCTTCACAGTCTGTCTCCTGCTGTGCAAGGTAAAGATGTACCTGCTTCCCCTTTGCCTTCTACCATGATTATAAGTTCCCTGAGGCTTCCCTAGCCATGATTCCTATGCAGCCTGTGGAACTGTAAGTCAATTAAACCAATTTTCTTTATAAATTAGCCAGTCTCAGGTAGTTATTTACAGCAATGCAAGAACAGACTAATACATATGGTAAGCACAAAGAACCATACGAAGGCAATTCATATGCAATTTGATAGAATCCAATCATAAAAAGAACACCATAAGATCAAAAATATAAATTATGTTCAAGGGGACAAATGTAAGAATTATTGCTCACATATGCAAAGCAATGCAAGGGGAAATGAAACAAAATTTCTTTAGATTGCTTAAAGAAAAAAATGTCAGTATGGAATTTTTCTCCAATTAAAAATATCATTCACGAATAAAATTGAAAAAATACTAATTCAAACACTTCTGAGGGAATGTTGCTATTAGATTTGCACATTAACAGATATTAAAGAAAGAATCTCAGACTGAAAAATATAAATCAGTTGGAAGCATTGATGTACGTAAAGGAATTAAGAAATTTAATACTGCAAATAAAAAAAGTAACAATATAAATATATATTTTCTTTCATTAAAAAAGTATTCAAAATATAATGCAACCATTTCAAATTAATATAAAAATATTCAAGAATTTATGTCATACCGAATTTAGAAGTTTGATAAATCTTACTCAGTGGATGAAAAGATAAAATAAATTAACTACATTATTAGGTTCTTACATCATATATTAAATGGTGTAATGTAGTTTAAAAGTAGACTGTGGTAAGATAAAGGTGGATGTTTTATTTAAATCCTAGAGCAATAGCTGGAAAATAGCATAAAATTTATAGCTAATAAGCTAATAGCGAAGGTAGAAGAAAGATAAAAATTCTCAATTGATGCAATTAATTCAAAATTAGAAAAATGGGGAAAAAAGAACAAATGAGATGAATTTAAAAAACAAATAAAAGGACTAAGACTGAAGCAAAATCTTATCAATATTTATAGTACCTCTAAATTTTCTAAACATATGTTTCTGTGCTGCTATAACAGAATACCTAAGACTGGACAATTTAAAAATAACAGAAATGTATTTCTCGCAGTTCTGATGCCTGAGAAGTACAAAGTCAAGGTGCCAGCAGATCCAGTTGTCTAGTGAGGGCAGCAATCTGCTTCCTACATGGTGCCTTGATGTTGCATCCTCTGAGAGGAGGAGCACTGTTTCCTCACATTGAAGAAGGCGGTAGAGCAAAAGAGATTATCTTCTTCAGTTAAGTGTTTTTCAAAGCACACCTAATCCCATTCACGACGGAGTCCTTATGGCTTGATCACTTCTTAAAGGCCTCACTTCTTAATACTACCATATTGTCAACACCTGAATTTTGGAAAGGACACACTAAAAACCTTAGCAACCTGTAACAACAAACTGAATAAAAATGTAACACAACTATATGTTGTCTAAAAGAGAGGCACTTGAATATAAATTCAAAGGTAAGTTAAGAGTAAAAAGAAAAACTATATGTATTATACAAATAATTCTCATGAGAAAGTTTTAGTGTCTATATAAATATCAAAATTAAAATTAAAATTTATGCTCAAAGGCAGTATCAAGAAAATGAAAAGATAACCTACAGAATGGGAGAAAATATTGTAAAATGTATGATAGAGCACTTTTGTTCAGAATATATAAAGAATATTTGCAACTGAATACTGAAAAGACAACCCAATTTTTAAACAATGGGCCAAGAATCTAAACATACATTTTTCAAAGAAGATATAAAATGAAAAAAAAAAAAACCAACAACACACAGGCACACATGAGAAAAGTTGCTTAACATCATTAGTATGGATAGAAATACAGCTCACACCTCAATGAGATACCACTTCACACTCACTAGAGTGAGTGAGTGATAGTAAAACAAAACTAAACAGATTGATAATGATGTGGGCTATTAGAGCCGTTGATCACTGCTGGTGGGAATTCAAAATGCTAGACAGGTTGGAGAAGAGTCTCTCAGGTCCTCAAGCATGATAGAGCTATCATATGACCCAGCAATTCTACTCCTATATACATAGCCAAGGGAAAAGAAAACATTCTTTCACTATCACTTATATATAAATGTTAAAACTGCATGATACATAAGAACCAAAGAAAGAAACAAATGACATGTCCATCAGCTGATTAATGGATAAATAAAATGTAGTATGGGCCCATAAAATAGAATATTATTTGGCCATAAAAAGGAATGAAGTATGGATGCATTCTACAACATGGACAATCCTTGAAAATGTTAAGTCAAAGAAAACCAATCATAAAAGATTACATACTGTATGATTACCTTTATATAAAATATCTTCAATAGGAAAATCTAAGGGGACAGAAAATAGGTGTTTGCTTGGAGCTGAAGTACGAGATGGGGGTGAAGGGGAAATGCTAATAGTTAAAGGAAATAAAGTTCTTTGTTTTGTTTTTTAAGGAGATTAAATGTTTTAAAATTGATGATGATGTTACTGCTACATTTATCTAGGAATATACCAAAAACCATTCAATTACACAGTTTAAATGGTGAATTGCATGTTATGTGAATTATATCTTGGTGAATCTGTTAAAAACACAAAATTTGACATTAGAAATTACTTCAGAAATGCAAACATATACAACTGAACAATAAGAAGCACAACAATACTTTTCCTATTAAATCGTGAGAGTAAAATGAATTATAGTTCAACCATACATATTATCTGCTATCTATTAATAGTAGATTATTAATTTTTATAAAGATATTTAATATCAACCTTATATCAATTATAATATTGAAAGCAAGGTATCATTTATACATTGAATAAAATATGATAGATTATAACTAGAAAAGAGAGTAAGCACATTAAAACTATATCTAGTAAAGAAAGTACCAACAAACAAAAATAACAGAAAAATGACTTTTATATCAACCCTTCTCACCAGTATTTTAAAGGTTTTAAATAATGCAACAAAAAATAGAATAAAAAATTTATATAACTATTGGAAATGAGATATTGAGGTATAGAATGTATGTTTGCCCTAACTAGTCAAGAAAAACAATTGCAAAACTATGAAATTATGAATGCAAAGCAAATATCTCAAATAACTATATCCAAAACATAAAAGGAGAATGCCTCAATTCAAAAAAACAAAATTATAAAACGTCTATGAATACAGTTGATAAAATTTGAAAGATCTATATAGAAATATGTCAGTTATATTCTTATTACAGAATGGGAATACTTTAGAGTTTATTATTTATTTTCTTTATTTTTTGAGATGGAGCTTTGCCATTTGCCAAGGCTGGTCTGGAACTCCTGCTCTCAAGAGATCCTCCTGCCTTGGCCTCCAAAAGCACTGGGATTACAGGTGTAAGCCACTGTGCCTGGCCTGTTTATTTTTATTTTTAAAATTAATTTATTATTTTAGAGAGAGGTTCTCACTCTGTTGCCCAGGCTGGAGTACATAGCTCACTGTAGCACCCGGGCTCAAGTGATCGTTCTGTCTCAGCTTCCCCAGTAGCTAGGACTACAGGCAAGCTCCAATATGCCCAATAATTTTTTTTTTTTTGGTAGAGATGATGTATCACTATGTTGGCCAGGCTGGTCTAGAACTCCTGACCTTAAGAAATCCTCCTTCCTGGGACTCCCAGAGAGCTGAGATTACAGGCATGAGTCACCATACCCCACCTATGTTTTACATACATCAGTACATTCCAATTAAAACTATGTGTGAAATGTAGTTGAGTATCCTAATTCTTATAATTAGTTTTCTTAAGTTTTATTATTACTTTACATAAGTTGTTTCTATACTTTACATGGATGAGCATATTTAAAGATTACAAGAATCAAACTAAATGGCAAATTATATACTCAACGTTCAACAAGAAAGTCTTTAAATCAAAGAAGGAATATATTTTCAAACTCTTCATGGCAAAAAATGAAAAAAATCACTGAATTATATTATTCATATAGGAGGAAGTATACAAGCAAGAAGTCCAATAAAATTATTCTTAACTATTATAATTTACATATATAAATTCAAACAATCTAATATTTTTCATGAAATTATCAGTAGTTTTACTGACTCACATCCTGTTGGGATAACAGGACAGAAAATACATAATAATATATGGGAAATATAAATCAGTGCAAACTTATTAGTAGATAATTTGGTAAAATCTTTCAAAATTTTGAAAATATGTATGCTATCATTTGAAATCTCATTTCTAGAAATCTGTACAAAACAAATGAGTAGGCAAGATATGTGTATCGTAAAGTGTATTAGCATTTCAATTTTAGACCAAAAAAAGGAAACTAGAAGCAATCTAAAGCAGGAGTGTCCAATCTTTTGTCTTCCCTGGGCTATATTGGAAGAAGAATTGTCTTGGGCTATACACAAAATACACTAATGCTAATGATAGCTGATGAGCTATAAAGAAAAAAAATCACAAAAATCTCAATGTTTTAAGGAAGTTTACAAATTTGTGTTGGGCTGCATTCAAAGCAGTCCTGGGCTGTGGGTTGGACAAGCTTGATATAAAGTTCATAACAGGTAAACTTTACAATGGCATATTCATCAATCACTAAAGAAAAATAAGTACTAACCTGGATAATTTCAAATATTTTTAAAACAAATATCAGACCTAAAGCATAAATACATTTTTAAAATATACCTCTGTATGAATGTATAAAATTTATCACACAATCATTGGGTTTCAAACTATAATTACACATATAATTACACACGCACACAGGCTCACTCTTACCGGCACACACAAACACTATGTTGTCGAAACAACTTATTTAGAGATTGCAGATTAGAAAGAATGCATGATTGACTAAATTCTACCTGGCAAATCTAATAAACATATTTTACTTATTTTTTCTTACAATATTTTGTAAAAATATATATAATATTTAACATAGTTTTTATTGAATGCTCATTTGTTAACAAAAATTTATCTTACCCACTAATTTGCACTTCTTAGAGTGCATAATATTCAGTTATCTGAAATATTCACTATTTCCTGTTGAATTTAACCCTCACAAATTTACACATGTATTCTATCACTTTAGCAGCTGAAGTCATGTGAGTTGTTGAAGCCTGTAAAACTTTTGAGTATTACAATAACTATATTATTTTTTCCACATATCACAGGCTGCAGCAAAGCACGACCTCAGGAGGCTTTTACTTTTCCACCTCCATCAGGTTTCTTGCCAGTTTATCCTAATTAAAATGATTTAATCAAATGTAGTAAATTTATTCTGTAAAAGATAGACAAAATAATTCTCCTAAATAGATCCATGTCCCTGAGAACATCCCTCCTATAAAGAGATTATGGAACTCACAATGATCCAAGTACTTCATAATAAAAATGTTTTTAATGGACATTATAAAAATTAACCACACCTTGCATTATACAGATTTCGGTTGCATCCAGCTTTTGTATAAGAATAATTAATGTCACTTTCCTATCACAATTAGATTTTTGTTGGCATAGGTTAAACATTCTTAATATTTTATCACTCATTGTCAAAGCAAAGAAAGCATAAAGCTACACAAAGAGTAGAATTGTTTTGTTCCTGATATATATTATCTACCTCTGAAAGCTTTAACTTATCACTCAGATTGTGATTTAATTAATATTGGCTAATATTGGCAGAGATATTACCAATTGAATCCCTAACTCATCCATTTCATTGTAGCAAGTTCGTATTATGAAAAACTATAGGAAAAAGTGTTTTCTTATTTACATAAAAATGGATAGAGCCAAGAAAAACTGTAACAAGTTCTAAGTGTCTACTTTGACAGACAGGATTAAAAGTAGGTGCTCATATTTGTTTTCTACTATATACTTTAAAGGGAAAAATCCAAACATACCACACACATGCACACAAACTAATTTGAGTCCTTTAAAGAAATATCCCCCCAAAATTACTCTGCTCCCTTCTTTTGAATGTCTTGTGGAAGCGACATTTTTAAAAATGCACTAGAGTAGTGGAACAGAATTAGAAGTGGATCTGTGCAAGAGGTGAGGAAACTAAGATGTGTTTTCAGTGGTACTGCTGAGAAATATGCCTCTGCATTCATTTAAATCTGTTAAGAAATTGGGTGGTAAATGTTTTTAGTTGTATTTGTTGTCATAAAAAGTGTATGTTGTCCTCTAATCTTGGCAAATGTTTCCATTTTCTAGTACAGAATATGTATTTGTATGTGTATCATAAAGAAATATGTATTATATATTTGTTATGTGTTATATTATACACACACACACACACACACACACACACACACTCTCTCTATATATATATAAAGACAGGGAGAGAAACTGCCTTTCAAAGATCCTACCTCTAAACACCATGAAGTTGGGGATTAGATTTCAACATATGAATTTTGGAGGGACATAAACATTCAGTCCATAGCCATAACTGAGATGTACTTACAGTAGAAAGTATATTATTGTGATCAGAATTAATTTTAAGATCAACAACTATGATTATAAAGATATATTTCACATTTTAAGCAAATGTAGCAAAATTATATTCACAAATCAATTTTTTCAATCTTTTAAAATTATTTTCCAAATTGGCCTCTAAGAGATATGGGCACTGGCCAGGAATGGTGGCTCATACTTGTAATATCAGTACTTTGGGAGGCTGAGGAAGGAGGATCTCTTGAGGCCAGGAGTTCAAGACCAGAGTGGTCAACACAGGGAAACTCCATCTCAGCAACAAATATAAAATATTAGAATATTAGCTAAGTGTGGTGATGTACGCCTATAGTCCTAGCTACTTTGGAGGCTGAGGTAGGAAGAGCTCCGGAATTTGAGGTTACAGTGAGCTATGATCACACTATTGCACTCCAGCATGGATGACAACAGTGAGACCCTGTTTCAGAAAAAAAAAAAATATATATATATATGTACATATGTGTGTATATGGGCACTGTATTCATTAACTCATAGTAATTCATATTTCCCTATTTTATATTTTATTCAGCTTAATCATTTATCTTAATATAGTTGTATCTGGATGACTTCTATTGTTTAAAAATATTCAACATGAACCAGTACACTTCTCAAAAAGTTTTATTATTGATTTTATATAAAGAACATATACGTGTATACATTATAATATATATATATATATATACATTTTTAAAATAAAGAATGAAAGGTGTTGACAGTTTTTACTACTGCCTGGATTAAGTTTCACTATAATCTACTACTTAGTTTATTACAATAGCCTTCTCAAAAGACCAAATAGATAAGTAGGACCAGATCCAACTTTAAAGTTTCTGCACATTGAAGAAAATAACAGAATCAAAAGGCAATGAAAGTAATGATTTTAAATGTAGTTATATATGCAACTCTTTGCTCAAAAACATCTACAGTTTTCTATTTCACTCAGAATAAAAGAACAAAAGTCATGATAAACAGCCTATCTGGCCATGCATTATTGCACTCATCATAACCTTGGACTCTTATCTTTAGGGCTCTCCAACTCACTCATTCTACTGTATCAGATTCCACCCTCATACTTCCTATCTGCATTTCCAACTTCAGTTTCCACATACTGCTTACCACTCTTTGAGCTGCTATTTTTCTTATGTCTTGTTGACTGTGCGTTCCTCCCTAATTCTTAACATTCACCAAAGATTGTAAACTCCATGAAACCACTGAGATCAAAAGATTGTGACTGTTATTTCCATAAGTGTATAGACAGAAGTGTTTTGTATCACTTGCATCTATCAAGTGTTAGGTATATGTTGAATGAATCAATGGAAGGTATGTGAATAAATTAACATTTTAAAGTATTTCTGTTACGCTTCAGTATGCTGAATAATGCACTTATTTTGGCTATATTACATATTGCTATTTGAAATAAGTTAATGGAAAAAAATGAATTAGGTTAACTCGGAATTTAAAATTTTTAAATAAATAACAATTTATAAGGGCAAGTAATAATAACATATCATTTTGTACTATTCTAACCACTTTAGACCTCTGATACATACGCATCTTTATGAGATAGGAATCAGCTGCCTGTTTAATTTAAAAACGGTCTTTGACCAGTGATCCTTGGTGAAGCCTACATTTAACATTAGGAAAAATATTTTTAAATAGAATTAATAATTAGTATCTTAAAAGTTATCATGGTAGTAAAATATGGTAAGAATGTGCTGGTACTCCGTGTTGTGTAATAATACACTTTTTAAAGACATTGCCATTAAAATTGTGATTTCTTCTACACATTCCTGGTGTTTTATAATTAAGGTACTCACCTGATTCTGTAGCTTGATTTCTATGGGTCCTAGAAACAAGATGTTACATTAGGATTTCATTAGGTGCCAAAACAACTACTTATAAGATGTTCTAAGTTCTGGTTCTGTACCAGTTAAAGAGAAACCCTTGTGAAAAGTGTCTGCTGTCTTCCAGAGACTAAATTGTAATTTATTGATATTTCTTTTACCTAGTTCACAATAATTAAAGTGTAAATCACACAGAGCATGGTCCTCTCCCTCCTCCATGACATGCAGGATGTAGCCTATCCTAGGTCACAAGCCAAGATGAACTTCTTATTTTATACTGAATTATTAATGCAGAACAAAACAGATACCATTATTTGTATTGCTAAGCACAACATATAAGTTTACTCAAGCCAGTTGGCCAAACTTAAAGGCTATAATTATTCTTAAACCACATCCTATAAGTAATAATGATAGATTTTGATGAACAATTGAACCACTAATAAAATCCTTCACAGCACTCAAATCTACTGTTTCTGTGACAACTAACCAATCATTCAAAATCTGAAGATTAAGAGATTTTGTTCTTTTTCATGCATAAATTAGATTTGAAGTTAATAGCCTGTTTTTAGAGAAATGAACCAATCTACAGATGGGATGAGGCTTGGAAACCTCCTCAGACATATTTCAGAAAAAAAACTTCTGTACAGTTATTGGAAATGAGAAATACTTTTCCACAATTACAGAACTTCTTTGAACCCAGTGTATTATTCTGTTCTCATGCTGCTATGAAGAAATAACTGAAACTGGGTAATTTATAAAGGAAAGAGGATTAAATGACTCACACTTCTGCAGGGCTGGGAAAGCCTCAGGAAACTTACAATCATAGTGGAAAAGGAAGCAAACACATCCATCTTCACATGGTGACAGAAGAGAGAAGAATGAGAGCTGATTGAGGGAGGAAGGCCCTTATAAAACCATCAGATCTCATGAGAACTCACTCCTATCAGCAGAAAACCATTAGGGTAATCTAACTCCTGATTCAATTATCTCCCACCAGGTCCCTCCCACAACACCTGGGGATTATGGGCAGTACAATTCAAGATTGAGATTTTGGTGGGGACGTGGCCAAATCAGATCACCCAGTTTCTGTGACTTTAGAATGAATAACTTAAGGCTTAAATGAGATATACTACAGAACTGCAGATAGAATTATAATTCATATCAAAGTGAAAAAATAACATTAGGTATGTGATATGATTTGGATTTGTGTCCCGTGAAAATATCATGTTGAATTGGAGGAGGGACCTGGTGGGAGGTGATTGGATCATGGGGGTGGGATGCTCCCTTGCTGTTCTCAGGACATCTGATAGTTTAAAAGTGTATGGCACTTCCCTGCTCACTCTCTCTCCTGTTGCCCGTAAAAAAGCTTCTTGCTTCCCCTTCACATTCCATCATGATTGTAAGTTTCCTGTAGGCCTTCCAGTCATGATTTCTGTTAAGCCAGTGGAACTGTGAGTCAATTAAACCTCTTATTTTTATAAATTACCCAGTGTCAGGTAGCTCTTTTTTTTTTTTTTTTTTTTTTTGTATTTACCTAAAACTTTATACACTCAAATTGGCACCAAAACCTGCCCCCTCCCGGGACCCCATCTAGAATGCCCTGGAAGAGCTGGAGGTGGCTGATGGATGTGTGACCACCCTCAGCACCCTGGGCCTCAAGTCTGCCAGTCTGTGCCAGGCTGTGCACCAGTGGCCCCCTGACCCTGACCCTAGCCCAGCTGATACCTGCTGCTCTGTCCCCCAGCCACAGGGCAGGTAACCAGTTGGTAGCCAGCCTGGCTGTGCCCAGTAGCGGTCCGGGCCCTGGGGACACCTGAGGTTGAGAGAGTGGCCCCCATCTGTGGCCACACTGCTGACTGCACACACAGAGTGGCGTGAGCACTCTCATTGCTGCTATTGAGTTCAGCTTTTACCAGCCTCAATCCGGAGTCTCCATCCCAGCACAGAGGCCGGGGTCTTGGCAGGGGCCCAGCTGGGGCTGGGCCCTGGGTTTTGAGGGAGTTCTTTACAGCAGCATGAGAACAGATTAATATAGTATGTCAAAGACAAAAACAAACAAAACCTAAGGGAATTGACTTTACTATGGCTATTGCAACAGGGTGAGGTTCCAATGTCCAAAACAGAGTGTTCCTGGGGGTGGTTTTGCCTTATCCTTTTATAGAAATGAGTGTACAAGTCAAAGGAAGAGTGATTTGCAGGGGAAATTTCAGTCAGTCACTAAAGAGAAAACATTTATTGCTGTGTTCAGCTGGTTCAGCTGGCTCTATTTGTCAGATCAGGCAAAAGGAGAGAGGTCTATATTTTGCCTTGTCACAGGTGGAGTCATTTGTGAATCTTATGAGAGTCATGAGAAAGTGTGTCCACCTATTATACAAATCATCTGGAGAGCTATTTCCTGAAACACACAATGGTGGGGGATTTCATAACTATCATTTTTCAGAAGAATAGGGTTCAGGTAATGTTCAATATTGTCAGGTACACAGTGCCCTTATTTCCATTATATGTAAAATTTGGAAAATAGTGCACCCCTGTCGTGGAGATGTTATGATTGCACTGTGCCAAGTACACAGATAGTATTTTATATTACTTATTCATTATTATCATTGGGGCTATTTTGATGTCATTACTTTAGGAAATTAGCTGCTGAGCTAGCACCTCTTTTTCCTTCTGTTTGATGATAGGGCAAGACATAAACTCTTCGCTTATTTTGCCTGTGTGGGCTGAGTAGTGTCTTTCTGATAGATTCACTCACAGAGCTTCTGTGACATGCAGTTGCCTGGTTGATGCTGACCGACCAAATATGAGGCACTAGACAGTTGCCAAAAATCTATAGTTCTCTGAGTACCCAAAGCTACTGAGTATAAGGGAGTATCTACCCAGAACTTCATTTTATTGATCTGTGGCCTAGAAATTTATCCACATTTATTTCCCTAGGTGATCTGCTCTGTGAATTTGAAGTGTGTATGTTATGAGCAATCCTGACTATGTAGAGTCAAGGAAATACATTAATAAGTAAATGAGGCTCACTTTATAAGTATAAATCATTATGATTCTGTTTGCCTGCACCCTATTTGTCTATGGTTGTCCAATCCAGAAGTAACATTTTCTTTATAAATGCCTATGAAATTCAGGCTGAAATTACTCTGAAGAACAATTTTCTTTTAATGACTTTCTTCCCAAATAATATTCATCTTTAAAACTTCAGTTTAAAAATGGATAATGTAATGTCACACACGTACCATTTTCTTAGCTGCAATTTTCCAAAGAATGAGTTCCTTAAAAATAATTCTCAGAAAAAGTGACTATAATTTTCAACAAATTAGCTTAGGCATAGGTTTAAAAATACAGTGTTTAATCATTACCTGCCTTTTTATTGGCTCACATGTGAAATGACATTTATTGCATCTCCCACTTATTAGACCTTCAGTTTCAGGAAATTCAGGCTACTCTTTGGGGAATTATCATGATTAAAGACCCTCATTCTAACATAACCCTTAATCACAACATAGAACATGTATCAGCCCCATGATTCCATACTAAATCATCAAGTCACTTTCCAAGTAGAATTTAAGTATTTATTTAAAGTTTTTCTTAAGATATAAAATTTTATTATACACATGAATTGGAAGAAGAGCAGTCAATAATACATAGACGGTTAAACTTTGAGTTGCATTAAAACTAAACTGAAAATTGGAATAAGATGTTCTGCGTTCAAGTTACTGTCCTGTCATTTACAGGTATTGTGACATTGGACAAGTTAGTTACTCTCTATGCATTTCAAATATTTTTAAGGATATTCATGTTAGAATATAATATGTACAAATAATATAAATAATAAAACATAATGATAATGTGAATAGTATCAATGATGCTTGACCCATAAGAGTTGCTGCATAATAAATTTCCTTTCCATGGTGTCAGTAGTCATATAATATATATTCATTCACTCTTTCATCCAACATATAATTAATGAATGACTATTACATGCCAAACAGTTCCCTTGCCTTCACTGGGTGAATTTATAAAAATATGCTTAAAAATGAATTATTTCTATAAGCAGCTAATAAAATGTCACATATTCTTACATATTCTTAAAATTCTTAAGCTACTCTTGGGAATAAATATAAGAAAGGGAATTGTGTGTTATAAAGACAATATAGAAGATAGGACAGATATATTGGATATGTAGAGAGCTGAAAGGAAGTTGAAACAAAAACACTTTGGAATTCAAAGGAAGTTTGAGTTGACTATCAGAATGTTAGAGGGTGTAATAAATCTACATTTGTCTAAGAGAAGGCTAATTTTACCAGGTTATAGCATTTCTGTAAGTACTAGTGAGTTCTGGCATGACATTGCCATGCAGTCAGGTTAGGTTTGTATCCCTCTGTGTTTTGGAAGGAAATAGGATATCTAGCTGCTGCTTTTGAACAGGGAGAGAAGCTAATTTATTTGCTCATGGATACTGTGGTAGCCACAACTATGGATTTATAAATGAATCTGGAGAAAATTGATATTTTTATTATATTGAGATTTACCATTGAACAGAGTATGTTTCTCTGTGTACTTCAGTGCTGTTTACTTTCTTTCACTGACATTACATATTTCAGCATAGAAATCCTATACAAACTTTCTTAGATTTTTGCCCAATTTATTTTGGTTTCATTGGAAATTTTTTTTAAACATTCTATTTCCATTTACATATACAAAAATAAAATTAACTTTTCTGTGTTTACATTGTATTCTATAATTTTCACTTATTATTAGGAGATTTTTTTGTCGTTGTTTCATTTGCTTGGAATTGCCTACATAGACACTCATAATATCTGTAAATAGAGACACTATTATTTTTTTCTTTCTAATCTGCTTAACTTTGTTGTTGTGGTGTTTGTTTTGTTTTATTTGACTGGTGAAGATTTCCAGTATAATGTTAAATGAGAGTGGAAAATGTGGACATTCTTCTCTTGCTACCAAATTTAGAATAAACAATTCATTTCCTAATGATTAAGTGTGATGTTCGTTGTAGCATTTTGTAGATGACATTTATCTATAAAATAATAATTTCCTTGTAT
The DNA here is from genome assembly GCF_000001405.40 of Homo sapiens. Classification (NCBI taxonomy): domain Eukaryota; kingdom Metazoa; phylum Chordata; class Mammalia; order Primates; family Hominidae; genus Homo; species Homo sapiens. Next base: position 25,091,306 of record NC_000011.10, on the reverse strand, counting down.
TCCTAGTTGCTGAGAGTTTTATCATAAAGAGATATTGTATTTTGTGAAATAGTCTTATGTATCAATTGATATACTTTTTTTTTTTTTTTTTTTTTTTTTGAGACAGAGTCTCGCTCTGTCGCCCAGGCTGGAGTGCAGTGGCGCGATCTCGGCTCACTGCAAGCTCCGCCTCCCAGGTTCATGCCATTCTCCTGCCTCAGCCTCCCGAGTAGCTGGGACTACAGGCCCCCTCTACCATGCCCGGCTAATTTTTTTTGTATTTTTAGTAGAGACGGGGTTTCACCGTGTTAGCCAGATGGTCTCGATCTCCTGACCTCGTGATCCACCTGCCTCGGCCTCCCAAAGTGCTGGGATTACAGGCGTGAGCCACCGTGCCTGGCCTTTTTTTTTTCTTTTTGACTTTAGTATACAAGGTTAAATTGGCTGCTTTTCTTATAGTCAATCATCACTGTATATCTGCGGTAAACTCCATTTGAACATGGTATATTCTTGTCTGTATATATTGTTACATTTTATTCGTTTACATATTTTAGGGGGTTTTGGTTATAATAATTTGGGACATTTGTTTGTAGTTGTCTTTTTTGTATTGTTTTCATCTTGTTTTTGAATTAGTGTTGTAATAGCCTCATAAAATGACATGGAAAATGGTTCTGCTCCTTTTCTGAAATTGTGCAGAACTGATGTTATTTACTTTTAAATATTTGTACCTGATATGCAGCTATTGAGCCAGAAGCCAGATCGGGTATGGCATTGTGAACCTTGGTGAGAAGTTTGGAGACTAAGTGATGGAAAAGTGGAGAATAAAGAGTGAAATATTCTGATTTGCATTTCATTCCCTTAGTTCCTATCTCCTTATTACAAATTTAAGCTATTAGCCTGACTTAGAGACTACTCAGAAAAAATAAATAAAAGTAAATGCTTGAATTCTTGCTGCTTGTTGAGGGATGCAAAATAGCAGCTTCACTGAATCAGGCCAACTTTACTCTTTGATCTTTGAAAGCATGTAAAGGCCTGAGGCTAACACTATAATATAATCGAGACATGGGTAAGTTCAGGTTCCTTAATGACCTACTCAGGAGCAAACTCATTGAAAATTGTTACTTTATAACCTCTTTTAAAATCATTGATAATAACAAATTTGTTACTTCACATCATTTATTGGACGATGGTGGAGGCAAAGTTCTAGCTCCAATAGTTTCTAGCTCCTTTATCCCTCTTTTCCTGATTATAGCCATAGATTTGTTTCTCTACTAAAAGATGTATGAAGGTTCCAGTCACATCGAAAATCTATCACCAAACTCGAAAGCCTCTTATCCTGATAGGCAGGGAGATAAGATTACAGTTCAAAAGAAATGGAACAATGTCATAAAAATAATGAAACCAATAGCTTCCAAAAGAGGCTATTAGGTTTGGTACAAAAGTAATTGTGTTTTTTGCCACTACTTTTAATGGAAATTAAAATTATGGAGATCCTATTACCATCAGTCTGCATGACAGTCAATTACATAATTCTTGTTAGAATAATTATTAGTACTATCAGCCATCAATTACCATGCTCATTATATTAATACATCCAGTGGAGAGGGAAAACAAAACCATTACCTTGCCAATTTGGTGAGAAATTCTGGTCTGGCATGCTGATTGCTGTATAAGAAGTAGCCAGAAATGGGGAAAAAAGCAACTTTGCTTCACAACAGGCTGAAAAGCTTCAGTATTTGGGAGATGGTAGAAAAATCTGTCATAATATCTTATGTGTACTATAATGAAAAACATTGGAACAGGAAAAATTTGCCTCACAAGGTAGATTTTATATAAGAGAAAAATTGGACAGCTATAGATGTTAATAGTAGTTATATAAGCAGTAAGTCAGGCATACTTCAGTGCTTTTAAACCTAGTTTGTGTAGGTTCATCTTAATTCTTACAAAAAGTAGACTCCTTCGATACAATATGAGAAAAACTGTTTTAGTGATTCTAGGGCATGGCCCAGGAACTCTCTTTTGGTTATCCTAACCCTGCTAAGATAAGGTTCAGGGTATACATTAAAAACTAGATGAGTAAGGCTACACTGTCTTCCAAATTTGTATCTCAGTTCTGGTATCATGTACCTTGGATAAGTCACCTAAAGTATTGGGGTGATTGCATTCTTAATCTGGTAAACCAATCTACTGTAAAAACAAATTTATTTTGCTAAAAGTTGCCATATCATTATATATGATATAATGCCACGAAGTAATTTTAAACAAAGTAACGGGAGAGTGGTGGGGATATGGTACCATTTTAAGTAGAGTAATCAAGAATAATCCTTCTTATGCAGTGACATTTCAGTAGAGAACAGAGAAGGGTAAGCTGCATAAATAGTTAAAGAAACAGCATCCCAGTCAGAGATCAAGTACTAAGACCCTGATATAAGAGCTTTTCAGCAAATATAAGGTACAGCAAGGAGGCCAGTGTAATTAGAGGAAAATAAACCATTGGGAGAGTGGCGGGAAATGAGGCCAAGAGAGGGAGGCCAAGCACAGTAGGGCCTGGTAGGCCATGATGAGGATTTCATTCTTTTAAGTACAGTTCTCAGTGAGATTAGAAACAATTTGATAATTTTAAACAGTGGATTGTCATGATGTAACTTTTTTTGTTTTTTTTTAAGAATCAGTATGGACATTATGTGGTGAATAGACTGCGGGGGCAAAGGTGTCACAGAATGACAATTGAGCAGACTATTAGGGTAGTTCAAAAGTGTAAAAACCTTGTATTTAAAAAAGTATATTGGCTATATAAATCTCAAACTTTCTAGGAGCTTTCAGTTCCACAAAGACTTTATCTCATTTACACTCTCAAAAAAGAATTTCAGGGCGTATCAGGAAGGAGTCTTTTTTCACACACTTGTCTTTAATAAAAGAAAAAATGGGAAAGAGGAAAGGCATAAAGAGGTCCACGAAGCTTTGAAGTAAGGATGAAGTAAGATTGAAAGGGGAAATTGATGCTTCTATTTCCCTATTGAGAATCAAAATCTAATTTCAAAAAGTAATGAATGTGTGTAAAATTATTTCCACCATAAAATCTGAAATGAGGCTTGGTTTTCATTAACGTTTTATTGGTGTTTTAAAGGTCCCTGTAAAACTAGTACTAGACCAATACATGCTTAAAACTTGGAAAGCAAAAAAAAAAAAACTAGAATAAATTTTTTTCTATTCAATAAAAATATCATTGAATCTTGTAACTTTTTATTTCTATATCTACTCAATTTCTAGAATGAACTGTTGCAAATCACTTTAGATTATAGCCTATACCACATCTTACTAAAATTATATCGTTGCAAATAAGAATGAATCAATTTGTCATTTTTCCGCAGATGTTATTTATTATCACTTAAGATTAGATAAGAAAACAAAATCTAGAAAATAATTTATGCCAGAAGGTAAAGGAAATGAAAGCATTCTTATAAAATCTTGGGAAAGAAATGAACAGAATTCTGCTCTCCTAGTTATTATTTGTGACTCACAACAGGAGACAAAAATTAGATGTTTTTAGAAGAAAAAGTGCGACAATATTGAGCACATAAATGGAGAGTCACTTCATGCTACTACTCAGGGCTTTTACAAGGATGATCATCATATCTTAGCTCATTAATCTTAAGAAATATGAGTTCAACATAAGGGTAACTAGATAACTCCAGTCTTTTTCTTTAGATAATAAACAATATAGTTTATTTAGAAATAAGACACATCATATCTCCTGCTCACTACATATAGACACCCTGGAACACACACCTCCCCACCCACACACACACACACACACACACACACACAGATTGAACACATATCCAATCCCAAATGCATGATAATTTTCTTATTAGGCATTTGCAAATGCATTTCTATATGTGTAAATACCCTTAAAACAGAAATAACTATCATTTATTAAATGTTTACTGTGTGTCTTATTCATATAATCTCATTTAATATTTAAATGAAATGGTTATTATTATCTTGACGTGTGCTATCTTATTATTCCCAATCTACTGATGGAAGCACTGAAACACACAGAGATTAGCTAATTGAGGACACAAACATAAAAAACTGATTAAAAAATGTAATGCTAACAGTCTACCTCCAAAGCATCTGCTTATAAACATATTTTACCACTTCTATGGGCAGTTATGTGTACACTCCTCAAGGTTCAGACATATGTATGAAGTGAAGTAACCTTTAGAAAATCTGGCCTAAAATAGTGTATTTCAAGACCCAAAACTGGGAGCCAAGTCAGGAAGTCTTCTGAGTGTTTCATTTAAAAGTCTACCATGACAATGCCCACTCTAGCCTTTGGCCCAAGTAAAGTACATGCATCAACCTTTAGAAAAAATGACTTGTGAGTTTGCATTGTTTACTCATATTTCATGGAATAGTAGGAGATATTAAATCCTATGATGTGTTGGAAAACAATAATTAGGTACCAGGTCACCTGGTAAAGTTGGAGTTGATAGAAACTGGATAATTTGAATCAAACAGACATATCTAACTTCAGTTTATCTGGAAAATAAAATTACAAAAATCACATCATATCTTAATTAAAAGCCCATTAACCTTAGTAATTCTACCATGGATTAATTAGTATTTTATTCCGTACACTATAAACATGGATTGTATTAAGTAATTAACCCAAATTTCAAATAAAACACAGAGAACAAAGTAACATAATTTTATTTTTTATAAAGAAAATAAGAGAAAACCTTAGCAATGTATTTCCTCACAAACAGACACTGACTTTCAAAAGTGTATTGATTTCAGGGTAAGCTAGGCCTAGAAACTTCTACAGCAAATACCTGTCATTAGAACATTCTCATCAGTTAAGATAAATGAAATACCTCTCTTTCCTGGACCTTATGATTACATTCTTTTTTCTCTATCAGAATACCTTTGTTCCAGTACAGTCACAGTGGATATTATCTAGTATAAATACTTGCAACATTTTCCTCAAATAAAAAATGTTTTGGTAACAATGAGGATAATCTACAAAATCCATTTGAGGTTCCATTCATGCAGAACCATGCCAACAGGAATCCCCTGCCTTAGTGCATCCAGCAAGTAGTTCCAAATATCACTGTCTGGTCTAGGTCTAAGTGTAAATGGATGAGAAAACATAAAGAGGTACATGAGCCAAGCCTGCGTACTTGACAACTGAGGATGGCTACCCTATCAAATAACTGAAGTGGTATGCTAATTTGGTGTGTTCATTGCACAGCATGAATTAGCAGTGTGTTCACTGCAACGGTATTGGACTCTCACTTAACTATAAATACGCAGTTATCTACTATGCTCTTAGAATTCCTATGTTAAAATACTATGAAACATGTAAATGGAATCAGGGTATAAAAAGGTATTCAACTGATATATGTGTCATGTATGTATAACGTAAGTATGTTTTGATGAATTAATATTGATGAACATCATGAAGGCATGTACATCCATGTGGAGAGATGTGAACATATGAAGTTATTCATATGCTAAATTTACCCATCCACAAATTAGAATGTGCACAGATGCCAGAGAGCACAAATGTGTATGGAATCCCTATAATAATGCCTACAATAGGCATATGCAAACAAGAATATGCACAAGCACATACAATGCACATATGTGTCCATAGGAACATACATGAAAAATTATTAGGTTTCAGTTAACAGATGCCATGTCAATGGGTAAAACAAATGCATCATAGGAGTATCTAAAACTTATTTGGAGACTCAAAAACCAAAAAGCCTTTAGGGGCAAACTCCCCAAATGAAGTCATAATAAAAGAGGAAATGACAGACTGTTTTTTAACGTTTATAGAGAAAGATCTCTCCTAATTCCTCATTCAAAAACCAGTCTATGTATTCATCGTAGAAAAAATGAGGGTATCTCAGGTTTTATACTGCCCCAAACCTCAACCACCCTCTTATTCCCTTACTCTTATTAAGTTGAATACTTACAAACAGCCTGCTTTTCCTCCAAGGAGAATAAAACGTGAGAAGGCATATTCTCTTTCAAGGGTACTAGAGTTAATTATGTCAACTTGATAATCTAATTTACTTTTTGGACACACCTAGCTGATCTCAAGTTCTGATGATCTGAAGAACATTTATCATCTATCTCACACTTTTCAAACTTGTAGTTATTAATTGGGCTAATATTCATTAAAGTACCTCCATGGTCAATGAGTAATGACTGGAAACACATCTAGTAAATAATTCATTTTTATTTATGACCCGTCTACTTCAGCAAGATCTGTTTCAGGGATTAAAACGAGGAATTTAAAATTTCCTCTTCATTATTTATTCCTCTCCGCAACCCCTTACCCATACTGTTACTACTTATCCTACACTTTCTCAGAATCACCCAGACTTGTCATTCTTAGTGGCTTTTATGTGCAGAGTGTCAGCATCACATTTTACTCATGACCCACCACAGCGTGCCTTCTCTTGTTCTCATCCTTGATAGAGATGTGGCCCAGGAAAGCATGCTCATTCAGCAGTTAACAAATATCTAATTGTGCGAATTCAAGTTTGCACTTTCAAATATTGTTAGCTAGTATCTAATACCAGAAAATTTCCTTTTTGAAGGTTTGAACATCCATACAAATATCATATTTTTATTAATCTTAGCTTAATATCATTTTCTCCATCAAGCCTTTGCACAGCTAAGACATTCAGATACTCCTGCCTTTACCCTATGGTATGCTATAAAGAGAACCCACATTTGTATTTGTCGCAGTAATGCATTTATCTGTATGCTTCCTTCATTAATCATCTTCTCTCTTTTTTTTCAGTGTTTTTCTGAGTCCTATTTTTTTTATTTTTTATTTTATACATATATATGTATATTTTGAAACCATTTTTTTTTTAAACTTTAAGTTCCATCAGGGCAGGGCCCCGGGCTTTGCAGGAGAGGCTGCATGTTGAAGTTGGTAAGTGCATGGATTCCAGTAACTCATTTCCAGATCCATATCTCACCTCTTCCTCTTACTAGCTGTATGATTTGGGGGTAATTACTACTTCTCTATGTCAATTTCCTAAACCGTGAAATAATGATAACTGTAATATCTATTTCAACGAATCCTGAGAATATTTAATAATTTTTTAAAAATCACCTAAAAGAATGAATAGTGTAACTGAAACATATTGGTATTCATAACTATTACTTTTGCTTACATTTGGATCCTCTAACAAGTAGAATGCCAGGCACATATCAGAATCTCAAAGAATATTTAGTGAGTGATTGAATGGCTGACTGAATGAACAAATGGGAAGGAGGGATCATAGAGATCCTCTTGATCTGTGACTTTCAAATCACTTTAGACTTGGACTCCCTTTCTCCAATAAAAGTATATGCAGATTATATAAGCCCAACAAATAAATTATGTAAAATAATAAATATCTTAGTTGAAGGGATTACAGAATCCAGAGTCCTGGGCCGGGCGTGTTGGCTCACGCCTGTAATCCCAGCATTTTGGGAGGCCGAGACGGGCGGATCATGAGTTCAGGAGATCGAGACCATCCTGGTTAACACAATGAAACCCCGTCTCTATTAAAAATACAAAAAAATTAGCCGGGCTTGGTGGTGGGCCCTGTAGTCCCAGCTACTCGGTTGGCTGAGGCAGGAGAATGGCGTGAACCCGGGAGGCGGAGCTTGCAGTGAACGCAGATCGCGCCACTGCACTCCAGCCTGGGCGACAGAGCGAGACTCCGTCTCAAAAAACAAACAAACAAACAAACAAACAAACAGAATCTAGAGCCTATCCTCTTGATATTCATTTACCTCTCGGTAGCCCTAGAGTTATTTTTACTAAAGGGCTAGGTCTCTTCAGAATGTAGAAGAAAATCTCTGTTTTAAGCCAACTGCTTAAGACCCAATAGATTAGGAAACGAATGCTAAAAGAAGTGACCTGTGCATGTCCAAGTATGTGTCAGAAGTGGGTGTCAATTAAAGACTCATAAAGTCCACGTGAAATATTTCTATTGCATTGACCTACATTTCAAAATTTACCCAGGAGTGCCTTATCTACTCTGCTTAGAAAATCCCAGCCACAGGCCTATTATTAAAGCTTTTAGAAAAAGAAAAAGAAAAAGTAAAAAAAAAAAAGATAGTCTAAGAACAAAGCAACAAACGAAACAAAATGCTTATTTTTGGTTCTTATGGTTCTCTGTTCTCATGCCAATACATGCTCCCTTGCTGCTCCCCTGCTTGTTCCCTTGCTGCTTCAGCCTCTAAATTAATTTATTCAACAAATGTTTGAGCATCTTGTATGAGGCAGCTAGCTCCAAGCACTTGAGATTAATTTGTGAGGTGATGGATATGTTAATTAGCTTGATATAATCATTCCGCTACATGTGTGTTCATATATAGAGATACATCACATTGTACCTATTACACATCACAATAATTCATAAATTAAAAATAAAAATTCAAATTAAAAAAAAGACAAAATCCCTGTGACCATGGAACTCTATTTTTTTTTTTAAAGAAAGCACCTGCAAAATAAAAGATTTTGGGGTCATTGGCAAAGAAAGATTAAAAAAAATTTCAAGATGCTATTTAAGAAAAGTTCTTACATCCTGATACACAGAAGCAAGTACCATTTTTAATGTTCATATCTGCTTTTTCAATTAGTTTATGTAAGATAATATACATTGTATTCTTGTAACAATCTTTATTGAACAAAAATAGGCCATCTTTCAGCATCTTTTATTCTTCATCATTCGACTGTTATTATATAACACAATCCAAATGAACACATAGTTTGGGGAAATTTAGGACTATACACACGACTAAGAAAATGTCTCCTAAGTAAACAGTATGTGTTTTCTTCATTGTCTAGGTCTGGCCAGTTCAACCTACTCTATGGTACTCTACGGTGTCAATAATTATTTCAGTCTCTGCTGCAATTAGTGCTAATTACAATACCTGAGCTATAAAAATAAAAGATTTCATTATAGCAAAGTTCACAAATATCGTTTTAGTTCAGTTATCCACATTGTTCATCTAAAATAATACATTTTCTTTACATATAACTGTCTTAGACTTGTAATTGAGGATATTTGATGAAACAGATCTGTATCTGAAACAGCACTATGATGCTAAACATTTGCATAAGGAATGAAAAAAGTTAGCAACCTAGTTTTTTCAATATTCAGATATTTGAGATTACACAGAAAACTACATCCAGATGAATGACTGAATTATTCACTTTTCTTCTGAGCATTTTGGCATTGGATAGACACAGCATTCAAGTTTAATGCATTTTAGGAACAGGTTCAGTTTACATATTTAACGCACATTAAAAAAACACAAAGCCAAAAGAAATTTCTAATTTAGAAACATATACATCAAATACATAGCATTGATTACTATTTTAAAATAACTATAGAGAAATACAATTGTTGGTTCTGGTTGTACCTCTATTAAAACAAGTTACTCCATTGGAAAATATCTTTTTTCTTAATAAGAATCAATTCCATGTTTTTCAAAATGTAAATAATCTTTCAATGCTTATCATTACAGGTACATAATAGAATTATACTATCTATAGTAAAGATTTAGGTTGATATTTTATTCTATATGAGGATGGTTGGGATTTAAGTGTTAATTCCTTTAAAACAACGTCTGTTTATTTAGTTGTTAATTAAAATATGTGAGAAATGGCCCCTCTCTCATAGACACATTCACAAATGTAAGAGGAACATTTTAAACTTATCCGATTCTATTTTGAAGCAAATAAAAATTGAGATAAATAAAATGCATTCATTAAGGTACAGTCATAGAACTTACTGAAAGAGAGTCTCTAACTTAGTTATTAAAAGGAACTCCTAAATATATTTTTAAATGTCTCCTGCTACAAGTTTCTTTTTTTTTTTTAAACAAATGATGCAATGAGTATAACACAGTAAACTTTGCTGGATGTATAATGCCATATATATTTAAAGGAAAAAAACACACTGGCCAGGCACGGTGGCTCACACCTGTAATCCCAGCATTTTGGGAGGAGACTGAGGCAGGTGGATCGCCTGAGGTCAGGAGTTCGAGACCAGCCTGGCCAACATGGTGAAACCCCGTCTCTATTAAAAATATAAAAATTAGCCGGGCATGGTGGCAGGTACCTGTAATCCCAGCTACTTGGGAGGCGGAGGCAGGGAGAATCACTTGAACCTGGGAAGCAGAGTTGCAGTGAGCCAAGATCGCTCCATTGCACTCCAGCCTGGGCAACAAGAGCGAGATTTCATCTCAAAAAAAAAAAAAAAAAAAAATCATATGGATCCAAAGCCCACTTGATCAAGCCAGGAATTAATAAAAGGAATTTAGAATATACAGAACAAAAACAACTTTAAAATGAAGATTGATAAAAACATGATTAATATCAACCTGAGTTCTTACCTTTCAACATGTTATCTCTCATAACAATTTCAGGAAATAACAGCCTGATTCTTCTTTTTTTTCATTCCAAAGATGCTTCAAAACATGCTGTGCTAGATTACATGGTGAATAACTTTCTATAGGACCCACAAGGCCTGCAAGGGAAGTTGGGCCCCAGGGTGGAGGTGGGAGACTGAACATAAATTAAAACTAAATGATCTGCTTCCCTGTCAGGAACCTATAGAGATGGTTAGGGCCACTGAGAACAGTGGGAGAATTACAAGGAACAGGACTTGGGAGACTAGCAGTATTCTAGTTTGTATGATTATTTTTAGAAATATGAAGGAGTCAGAAGAAACCTCAGACCTTCATCTTTTATTTTATCCTAGTCACTTCATCTGAAAGCTCTATGGATCATCCATAAAGCTAATTATTTTTTTCCTTGGGTAGCCGGTTTTATGAAAAATATGAATGCTCCTTGATTTAACAATAGGATTACATACAGATAAAGAAGTCAAAGGTTGAAAACATTGTAAGTCTGAAATGCATTTCAGATACCTAAATGGAAAATCATAGCCCACCCTAACTTAAACCTGCTTAAACGTGCTCAGAACATATACCTCATCCTACAGTTGGGCAAATTGTCTAACACAAACCCTATTTTATAATAAAGTGTTGAATATTTCATGGACCATGTATCACTAGCCCTCCAAAAAATAACAAAATTCAAAATTCAAAGCATGTAGAAATTATGAAGCTTTCACAGAATCATGAAAAAACCGTTAAGTTGAACCATTGTGGTTGGGACCTGCCTGTGCTAATGAATGACACTGAACTATTCTGAAAATAGAAGTGCTACATAAATATGTCATAATATTACTTTTACAGCTAACGATATTTTCCAATTCTCCAAATCTTTAAATTTCTTTAAATATGCCATTTTGATCAGAGGTATGCCATTAAATCTCAGAATCTAAGTTCATTTATTGATTAAAGATTTCCTTTAATACATTTTTATTAACTGTCTCCTAGGATACACTGATCCAAATGTATATATTGTGGTTTGACAGATCCATCCTGCAAAACCAATGGTTTAATATGCTTTCTACGGTTGCAAAAAGGTTCTAAACAAAAGAAATGACTTTTCAGTCCAGACAACTTAACTGTAGTCATTAACTGAGTCTGCAACTTTGAATGCCCTATGAAACCTATTAATCAGATAATTATTCAAGGGTCAATTCCTCTTGCTTGTGAGCTATCTTCCAATTATTCATGAGTGCATTTTTTTGATTAGTGATATTCCTATAGAAAATCAGAACTCTTATGGATTAACACTGCCATTGATTTGTTTCAATAACACATTGGTTTTCAAAAAATATGCATCTGGGTTTATTGAATCAACATGGCTATTGTACTTTCATCAGACCCCTGTTTTGTGATATATATTACCTGCTTTCATATTTGTATTTTAGAACTCACTCTTCATTCCCTATTCCACTACCCAACTTCATACCAAAAATCCTGCCAAGTATTTCAGAAAACTTGGTTATTAACTTGGATTAATTACAGTAGACATACATAGGAGATGTGTCTATAGAATGCCAAAATATTTAATTGTGTCAGAAATTTAGTCATTCATCCAAATATTTTGTCCATATGATGCCAAACATACTTAATGAATTATGTTAGCTGACAAAATTCTTAACAGAATTGTCTTAGCATTATTTAGACAAAATAATTGTTATTAGTTCAAAATAATACCAATAGCAATAAACACCATCAAAGAAACAACGTATTTAGGTTGGCACAAATTCCAACCTTGAGGAAAATGACTTCAGTTGGCTCATGTGGACCAAACCCTTACTGATATGGTTGTAATTTGGATTCTAAGAATGCTGAGAACCCACAATATTTTATTATCCTCCAGTTGATTTTGACAACTATATCATAGAAGTACTAGATATCCAAATGAACCGGGAGAATTACATGTTAGATAGCATTTGAGTTAAACCAGACCAATTTATATGGGACAATTTACTGTTGACAACAAAATATTTCTGACTGTGGGTATTCAATTCAATGAGGTTATTGCTTAAGGATCATAATTGGTCTGGAATCTTTGAAAATGTGTAGGCTACTTTATAAAGTTACATAAAATTGTGAAAAAGTTGCATGCTTTAGAAACAGTATTTCCATCAAGCTTGTGGTCTAAAAAGAATATGAAGACAATAGCAAATGGACGTTTTTAACACAGTTTCTTAGTATTTACAGTATTTTTTCTTCTCTAGCTGCCATCCCTTCAAAGCTGGTCAATGGTTTTTCTGGGGCTTTTTTCACCTCACATTCAGAGCAAGGAGGCATTTGCAATTTCTGTTAAACAATACAGAAAAGACAATTCGAAGAATCAAAATAACACATTTTAAGGTAAAAATTGAAAAGTCTAAAAGAATAAGAATGGAAATTCAAAGATCTCAACAAATATCTTAGAGAAAATGAACACAGGACAGAAATGAAACAAATGTGAAGATGTTAATTATATTTCATAAAAGTACATAACAATATTTTGCCTAAAAACAGCAAAACATTTCAAAAACTATTTTGAAAAAACTTTGCCCAAGCCATTCAATTCTGTTTAATCTAATTCAAAGTTTGAAAATAAGTTAAATCTAACTCCACGTTTTAGTATTAAGTGAAATAAATATTAAGAATGTCAATGATACAATATTTTTGGTCAAGTATAATACAGTACAAATAAAAATTCAGAATTAAGCTCTTGACTTGTGTTTATTTTGTTTGTTCTTGTAAGTAATATGTACTTCTTTTCACCTCCTCTGCTTCCTCAAATCCTCTTTAGTCTCCTTTGTACAAAAAGAAATATATGCCTGTGTGATCATCCCTGTTTATTTTTGTTTTGTTTCCTGGTCTGTGAGAGGGAGGGTGGAAGTGAGGAAGAACTCCCCTCACCCTTGACCTTCTGAGAGCCTCATATAGTCAAGCCAAAAGCTTAGTAGAAAGCAGAGCAGCCTTGGAAAAGCCCAGGGGCACCATGGCTTTACATATAGTACTAGCAAGTACAATATCCTGCCCCAGCAAGAGCAAGAGAGAAGAGTGTTAAATACCATGGATCTGGTCGGGCGCGGTGGCTCACGCCTGTAATCCCAGCACTTTGGGAGGCTGAGGCAGGAGGATCACAGGGTCAGGAAATCGAGACCATCCTGGCTAACACAGTGAAACCCCGTCTCTACTAAAAATACAAAAAATTTGGGCGTGGTGGTGGGCGCCTGTAGTCCCAGCTACTCGGGAGGCTGAGGCAGGAGAATGGTGTGAGCCCTGGAGGTGGAGTTTGCAGTGAGCCGAGATTGCGCCACTGCACTCCAGCCTGGGAGATAGAGCAAGACTCTGTCTCAAAAAAATAAATAAATAAAAAATAAAAAATAATATAAATAAAAATAAATAAATAAATACAATGGATCCAATAAATGCTTTTTGACACAAACGAAATAAAACAAACACATACCTGTGGGATAGGCTCGGTTTCTGCAGTGGCATTACTTGGGGGACTTTCTTTGTGCTTCATGGAACACGGTCTGCCCTCCTACAAAAGTAGCAATTAAAAATACATCAATGAAGTTAAAGAAAGAAAGTGGAGGGGGGAGTCAAAAACACTCTCTTGAATTCTTCCTGTTGAGAAGATTCTATCACTTTGATCCATACTGAAAGGGCAAAAGCTAGGGACAAAAATAATCACCACAGCAGTGGGATTTCAAGGAGAGAGCAAGCATTCCTGACTGGTTTGGGGATCACAGTGGTGCTTATGGCAGTCAGCTACTACAAAGAAGTACAATTCCAATGGAAAATTATTTTCCTGTAAAACATTTAAAAAGAAGTAAAAGATTATAAAACTACTATGTCTACAATGCATCCAGACTCTGTGATTTATATATGTCAATTATCAGAGTGCCTGCAGGAACATCAATATTGCAAGCTAGGAAGCAATGTAAGTAATGTGACCACCAATCTGTCTTGCATAAAATCCTCAGTATCTTTTTTAAAAGATAATATTTCTGGAACTAAGATCCCAGTCATTTTACTGGCCAGAATATCTGATCTTACTTATTAGCTTCACCAGTTTAAAGGAAGATGAAGTGTTAGCAATGGAAAAAAAAAAATAAATTAAAAAAAAAAAAAAAGGATTCCACTTGGGCTTCACTTCTATTTTAACCAGGGTTAAAATATTCAATCCTCCCTCCCTCCCTCCTTCCCTCCCTCCCTTCCTTCCCTCTTTTTCCCTTCCTCCCTTCCTTCCTTCATTCCTTCCTTAGTTCCCTCTTCTTTCCCTTCCTCCCTCCCTTCCTCCTTCCCTCCTTCCCTCCTCTCTTCCTTCCTCCCTTTCTTTTTTTACTTACTGATACTTTTCCTCCTTCCTCTCTTCCTTTCTTCTTTATCATATACATAGTTTTAAATTAACAGCAACATATGTAGTGTAAGAATCTGCATTTGTGTGTGCGTTTGTTATATTTCTCATAATCTTTTCCACGTGCAAGGCAGAGCCTAAGAGTTTAATCATTTGTGAACATTAGGCCAGGTGAAATGGCTCACACTTGTAATTGCAGCACTTTGCAAGGCTGAGGTGGGTGGATTGCTTAAGCCCAGGAGTTTGAGACCAGCCTGGGCAACATGGTGAAACATTCTCTTTACAAAAACAAAAACAAAAACGAAAACAAGAACAAAAACAAAAGCAGCTGGGTGTGGTGGCACATGCCTGTGGTCCCAGCTACCTGGGAGGCTGAAGTGGGAAGATCACCTTCTGAAGTGCCCGGGAGGTTGAGGCTGCAATGAGCTGTGATCATGCCACTGCACTCCAACCTAGGCTACAGAGTGAGATCCTGTCTCAAAAAAGAATATATATAATTATTATATTTGTATATAATTATATATAAAATTCATGACCACTGACCCACTGACATCAAAAAAATAAGTTTATTTCCAAGCGATGAATCAGGGGATAGAGAGCTAAGTTGACTTTAAACTCTAAAAATTCTGAGTGGAAGATAAATAAAAAGGTTTATAGTAGATTAAATCTACTCTAATTCAGATTTTAAAGGTTATTTTTTATGCTCCCTCTATTCTCACACTATATTGCTCTTAAATGAACACAAACCATGTATCTGTACGTTTCTCTGCCCATGTGTGTGCTACCCCACTTCTTTCACTGCAGGCCCCTGAAAACCAGCTACTCATTTCTGCCATAATTTATCTTTTCTACTACTAGACAGACTCAGTCATCCTTCCATGCTCTAAAGGTAATGCTTATAACAACTGTAACACTTACCATTGTTTTTATATGTGTAATCATGCCTGCCTCCCCAATATATTGTGAATAACTTTAAGACAGGGGCAACATTTATCTCCACTAGATCGCAGCTAGATGCCTACCAAAAAGTGGTCGATATATAATCTCTAAATAAGTAATAAATAATTTTAAAATATTGGCCATGAAATAGTTCAATACTTTAGAATTTTCATAAATGCCTGCTTTCTTTGTATGGCCACATTTAGGCACATTTTATACACAATTGGTTCTTCTAAATAAGCCTACAGTATACAGAAAAAGAGAGATTGTCACTATAAGACTAAAAATCAATAGCTGAATTCTTAACCACCTAATTCTAAATACTTTTTAAGTATTCTGAATATTAATACTATGTATTCCTTTATATACATAGAGGAATCTTCTACACCGCCTAAGGAAAAATTTCTTGTTGTATGATTTATAATTCAAACCTCACATTTCTCTGGAAATATTATAATCACTCTGTTTTGCTCTAATAAACCAATTGGCTGCTGTTTTTATTATTCTTGCATTTACCCTTCGAAAAATTAACTAATTGTAAGAAATCAAGCTCAAAAAATGTTGTTCATACAGAAAGTAATTTGCATAGTGTAGGATTTCCCAAAATGCACTTGGTAAGAGTGGAGTTCCTGTCATTTAAGTTTAGGGAAAAATTGATTTCAACATTAAACAGTTGTATTTATTGTAGTTCTTCTCAGAAATCTTATACAATATCTTAAAGTTTTGATCTTGAATGATCTGATCACATAATCACAGGAGGTGACTGCTAAAAAAACACACCAGGGTGATAATTCTGTCCTATAAATATGGGGTTTGCATTTTTAATCGGCATGCTAGCAATTCAAATGTACCTATGAAATTTGATATTCACTTCATAATGCACAATATGTTATAAATCTCTAAGAAGGAGATATAATGTACGTATTTCTTGAATATCTTTGACCTAAAATTCTTTATGTGTAAAGCTTCACTTGAGGTCATTGTCATGAGGAAAACACTACGAGATCTGCTATGCAATATATTTCATTAATGCTAGCACAACCAACTATTCGAGATAAGCCTTTGATCATCTGAATAATGAAAACTTACTACATTTCAACATTAAAGAAAATGTTTTATGTCTAGAAGGCAGCTGTAGCTTTTTCTGATACTTTTATCTTACAATGAATAGCAACTTTAAATTTACTCTTTCTGTGCGTCACAGGCATTGTGGAAATTTTGTAAGATGGTTCATAAAATTGTTAGTGAGTCTCAGAGAGGCACCAGAGATAAGGCCACATTACTATACTGAATAGGTTTTCTGCTTTAATAAAGCCTTTTACTAAACTTATAGCCTTTGCTGAAATAGAGCTCAATATGATGAGGCACAAAGGGTGGGTTTCTAATAGAGTTCCCTCACTCTGTTGCAAACAGGACACAGACTATCAAAAATTCCAGAGAACTGTTGTGAAGGAAGGCAAGACAAATTTGACCCATTTCCAATGTTGTAGTATAAAAGTAGTTTTGACTATTGGTTAAAAGTGCTTTGGAGTGAAATAGACTTTGCTTTATGTTTTAGCTCTGATACTTATCCATTGATGACCTTGATCAAGTTATTTTTCGCTGGGCTTCGGGTTCTTTGGCTGTAAAATGGGTCTGCTTCTTTATGGAATTAATTTAAGGGTAAAATTAGAAAACATAAACAGGTATTCAGCATGGATTAACAAATAGTGATCGTTCCTTTTTTTCTTTCTCCTCCTTTGATTATTGTCATTACTAACATTAATGGTTACAAAACAATATTTATGATCAGTTGACACTGACATTATTTTATGTCACAGAATCAACAGTGATGCAATTACCAAACATAGAAAAATAAGAGGAAAGGTAGAGAGAAGAGAAGGAAAGGAAATGAAGAAGGTGCTGAGTAGAGGGGCTGCAAAAACGTTTCTTACGAATGCTCCTTTTTTAACAATAAAGCTAAAATATAACAAAAATTTTAGGTGGGAAATTAAAGAAAGAAAAAAATAAAATTAAAAAGAGAAATAAGCTTTCCTGTATTAGGCTAACTTGTCCCAGAGGCAGCAATGGGCACAGCCCAGACCCAGGGAATGTCTTGATAATACTATCTAAGAAGCCAGGACACAAAGGAATGTGTTCCGGAGATTCTCCCAGCACTTCCTCCACACAGGGAGAAGAAAACCAAAGTTTCCTTTGTTTTATAATATGAGTTTATAGATTCTTGTTCTCTGTAACTAGTAACTTCAAGTATTCTGTTTTATCTAAAAAGTACAATGAAGGTCATAAGAAGCCTGAGTGGGCCTGAACTACAGCTGTCTAGGCACCATAGTGAAGGTTAGAAGATAAACCAGTGCAAGGCTCTTTAAAGCAAAATCTAGATAACAGACATCTGGATTGCTTGGCAATGGTCATGTGTAATCCTTAGTTATGAACCTGTCACAATTTAATTAATTGTTCTGCCTCTGTATCCTTGCTTTTGAGCCACTGTAACTGTAAGCTTGCTTCAAGCTAGCCCACCCCCTTTTTAAAGTGTGTATAAAAGTCAAGTGCTGTCTTTGTTCTGAGCCCAGTGTTTGTATGTTAAGTCTGCTGGGTGTGAGTGCACTCAATAAAGATCCTGCCATACCCCAAGGTCTCTCTGGTCCTCCTGATTCTGCAACAAATTGTCTATATTCATGTTTTGCTTTGGAAAGAAAAGATACTTGAGAAAATATAGGCTTCAAGATGACACCAAATTGTGTTTATATATTTAAAGATTTATCCAATAAAACTTGGGTTTGGGGTTATAATGGTAATCACTGAATATAGAATTAAACCAATGGGCTTACTTCTAGGGAAGCTCCCTTGGAAACAACATAATTTAATTCTTAAATAAAACCTCTTAATTTAAAAAAGCTACACTACATTACAGGGTAAGAGGTGGGGTCACTGAGAGAAAACTGCAACTATAGCTAAGATCTAAGGAGAGTAACCAATGTTATCTAAAGAGTAAATATAATTTTATCGAAAACTATTGCAGTAACTTTTGCTTCCACAAATGTATTTTTATTTTTCCCTTTTTGGCCACACAAATGAAATATAGACAATCTAATAAATTACCTTTGTTATCCTTAAATTGCCTCAACACTAAGAGCCAAATTGAGCTTCAAAAATAGTTCTATACTTTAATCATTCATTCCACAAACATTTACTGAATTTCTATTATGAGCCAGGCACTGACTGAAAATAGAACAATAAAAAAAGTCAAGGACTTTGATGTCAGTGGAGGTTATACTCTAGTGGAGAAAGCATAAATACATACATAAACAAGAACATATTAAAAAGAGTATCAGAGAGATTTAAGTGTAATGATGGAAAGTGCCTGCAGGTCACATCCAGTGGCAACCTCTGTAAGATGATAGCACAGGCTTTGAGATCAGGCATATCTATGTTCAAGTCCCAGTTCTTTCACCTACTAATTATCTATCAGGGGAAGTTCTGCAATATCCTTGGGCTTTAATTTAATCAACTGAAAATAAGGATATTAATATCCATCACAGACAATTTCTATACATTTTAAAACATAAAATCAATATGCTTAGTGTATGTGCGTGACATAGTTTAGATGCACAAGAATCATTTGTTTAATTATTTCAGGTGCCTAAAACCAGTTACATTTTTTTCTTTCCATTGCTTTAACTTTATATGCTTTTTCATCATGTGTGATTTATTTATTTTTTTTTATCTTTTTTTAAATTTTTTATTTCTTTTTTACTATACTTTAAGTTTTAGGGCACATGTGCACAACATGCAGGTTTGTTACATATGTATACATGTGCCATGTTGGTGTGCTGCACCCGTTAACTCGTCATTTACATTAGGTATATCTCCTAATACTATCTCTCCCCTCTCCCCCAACCCCATGACAGGCCCCGGTGTGTGATGTTCCCCACCCTGTGTAAGTTTAATAATTTGCCTTCCTGAAAAGCAGATTTCCACCCCAAAGAGAAAAACTAGATTACTTCAAATAGAAAGCAATTTGTAGAAAGACTTTTCAAATGTAGGTGCTTCATTGATAAGTTTATGATCAATGAAGCACTTACATTTAAATGTAAACTACATTTAAATATAAACTTTATATTTAAACTCGATCAACAAAGCACCTACATTTATTTTTATTTTTTAATTTTATTATTATTATACTTTAAGTTTTAGGGTACATGTGCACAATGTACAGGTTTGTTACATATGTATACATGTGCCATGTTGGTGTGCTGCACCCGTTAACTCGTCATTTAGCATCATGTGTGATTTAACATGTAAAATAGACATATAAATATATGTGAAATAAATTACAGATGGTAATTCTGTTTCAACTTAATTGCTGTTTATATATTTACTATAGATTAGAACTGTGTTAAGTGATATCAAGATACAAATAGGTATGTTTCATAAAACACATTATCATACCTCAGTAGATTTATGATTTACAAAATTGCATGACATGGTCATTGTTAATTGTGCTGAAAGTGTAAGACATACACATATGCTTTACACGAATGGTTTCGTGTCAGTTTACATGAATAGGGCTCTGTTTTTCATCTGTGGAATTTTTGGACCCTGCCACAAGAAAAAACTTCAAGGTCACGGCTAAAGGTGATTCAAAGAAGGGAACCTTTTCAAGATGTGAACTGAAGGGCAATAGGAAAGTTTGAAGGGCAATAGGAAAGTTTTTTCTTATTTTGTCAGGCAGTTTATAATTTTAGCCTTCAGTAACACACACACACACACACACACACACACACACACACACACACACACCATACACAGTCATTCACAATGCCATTTTATGAAACTTATATATGAACTTATCATGTATCTGAAACATATGATCTTTAAATGTTTTAATCTATGGAAAAACAATTATTTTACAACACATATTCTAAAAATTTCAAATGCTAGTTAGGGACTTAACTGGGATATTTTAACAGGCAGGATTCTAAGATGCTCCCCATGTTTCTCACCCACTGGTGTGCAAACCTTATATAACAACCTCCTCTTGATAGGTTCTCACAGGCAGACCCTATGAATGTGATGAAATATAACTCCTATGATCAGGTAGTTGGTTGGCTTTGAGTTAATAGAAATGGAGATTATCTAGATGGGCCTGGTTTGTCAGTTGAACCTGACAAGATAATAAATATCTTATCTTTGCTTTGCCTTTGCTTTGATTATTAAAATGTAGTCTATTTACTGGCTCCACATTTTTTGAAGGTGGACCCTAGAAAATTTGTAAATAAATACACTTCTGGGGGATGGTTAATATTTAAATAATTTTGTGAACATAATATATAGATAAATTTAGGTGAAAGGATAAGTGAATCTTTTCTCCATTTGTCTTTCTGCTTAACTTCTTTTTGCTATGTATACTGCTGGCTCTTTCATTTCTTAAAATTCTGTGTTTCTTAGTGCTCTTACCTTAAGGTTTTATTTTCTAATCTCTTTAGTCCTCACTCAGCTCAATCCCTAAATGAGTAGACTCCCATTTGGATGTTTGCATAGGTATGCAAACACATATTACGGGGATGACAGAAAGAAAACAATAGAACTGTTAATGCTCATGTATTTATTTAAATAAATAAGAAGTAAGCAATTAACACAAGATTTGACACCACTAAACTCACTCAGATGGCCACATGTCAAGAAACATCCTTGATGTTTCACATAAGAGTTCCTAACAACAAATTAAAAAAAAATAAGAAATTCCTGCAAAAAATTATAAATTGAAGAAAAAATTTATAGTATAATCAAATAAAGAACTAACGTTTTATTTCATTCCAAGTATAATTGTTTGCCAGCTATATGATATAAGTGAATAAGTTGATAAAATGAATTGAAACTACTGAATATTGAAATATAGACATGTATACCCTGTCACTTTTTATTTTCCTTTTGTTAACTTTTTTCAGAATATATATTTTCTGCTATTTTATGTATATATTAGTTTATACACCCACACACATACAGTGTATTACTCACTGGGAAAACATGCTCAAGTGATCAAAACTGTTATTATTTCCAGATGTTGTACGTGTAGCTGGGGTTTGAAAATTGAAAATAAAGAAATGTTAATTTATGAATTAGTACACCATAACTTACCAGGTATCTGTTATGTACCAGATGCTGAAATTGATTTGATGTATATTTCATGTGATTTAATTCTCATATCAATACTCAAGATATTTTTATCTTTTTTATAAATGAGGACAACAAGATCAACAGATCTGCATAACATCCTCAAGGTCATAAAGTTATTGCTGTTGCAACTGAGGCAAAGTCTCTTGCTGCAAATTTGGGATCGTTCAAAGATTTATATTTTCTTTCTTCCATTTTATTATTTAACTATATAATATTTTAGATTTTGATAGCACCTCACATGTTGCAGTCTCAGGTAACAACACAGTTTGTGACAAAACCAAAAAACGTTTCTCATAATATCAATGCTTTTGCAATATTCTACCAAGATCCCTAAGTAAATGGTTGGTACACATTTGGGCCTGATGAATCAGTGAGCTGTATTATCCAGAAAAGAAGAAAAATATCACTCATGGCTAATTAGGGCTATCGATTTCTTCATGAAGGATGAACTGAGGCTTGAGCGATGAATAAAGTTTTTTGAGATAGAGTCATGAGGACAAAAAAGCAGAAGTAAACATTCTGTAAGTGAGGGGGATGCATCAAAGGTAGCAGTTGTGAGGTAAGCTGAGATGGGAAATACTGAGATGATTAGAGTAGGTACGGTTCAAGAACTCTGAGGTAGCTCAAGCAGTGATGTTTATACTGAATCTGGCAGTTATTAAGCAACAATTACATTGTAAATATCCTGCAGTAACATGTCTATGTTTCTAAGAAGTCAATGCGTTCTCTGTGTTGGAATCTAAAGAGATTTATGAACAGCACTCTACAGCGATCATTACATACAATACTTGTTCAAACATGTCATCAGTATGACTCTTCCTCCAGCGAAAGAATTGTAATCTATATGATTTTTATAAGCATCCCTCTCTCACTTCCAGAGCTTGTCAAGGCAGCACCATTTTTCTTCTCTCATATGGCTGACAAGAAGTTGAAACTTGGCAACATTTGTTAGAAGTTAGGTTTTAATACTCAAATATTTGGAGTTAGAGTTCCAAATATTATTTCATGACTCTATTACTAAATTAAATTATAAAACTGAAAGAAAAATACATAAAAGTACCTTTTTATTTTATTTTTTAACCATACTTTAACTTCTGGGATACATGTACAGAATGTCCAGGTTTGTTACATAGGTATACACGTGCCATTGTGGTTTGCTGCACCCATAAAGTCGTCATCTACATTAAGTATTTCTCCTAATGCTATCCCTTCCCTAGACCCCAGCCCCCAACAGGCCCCCAGTGTGTGATGTTCCCCTCCCTGTATCCATGTGTTCTCATTGTTCAACTTCCACTTATGAGTGAGAACATGTGGTGTTTGACTTTCTGTCCTTGTGATAGTTTGCTGAGAATGATGGTTTCCAGCTTCATCTATGTTCCTGCAAAGGACATGAACTCATCCTTTTTTATGGCTGCATAGTATTCCATGGTGCATATGTGCCACATTTTCTTTATCCAGTCTATCATTGATGGGCATTTGGATTGGTTCCAAGACTTTGCTCTTGTGAACAGTGCTGCAATAAACATATGTGTGCATGTGTCTTTATAGTAGAATGATTTATAATCCTTCGGGTACATAGTAATGGGACTGCTGGGTCAAATGATATTTCTAGTTCAAATCCTTGAGGAATCTCCACACTGTCTTTCACAATGATTGAATTTACACTCCCACCAACAGTGTAAAACTTTTCCTATTTCTCCATATCGTCTCCAGCCTCTGTTGTTTCCTGACTTTTTAATGATTGCCATTCTAACTGGCATGAGGTGGTATCTCACTGTGGCTTTGATTTGCATTTCTCTAATGACCAATGATGATGAGCATTTTTCACATGTTTCTTGGCCACATAAATGTCTTCTTGGATGAAAAACTTAAATGTAATACCTAAAACCATAAAAACCCTAGAAGAAAACCAAGGCCATACCATTCAGGACTTAGGCATGGCCAAAGACTTCATGACTAAAACACCAAAAACAATGACAACAAAAGCCAAAATTGACAAATGGGACCTAATTAAAATAAAGAGCTTCTGCACAGCAAAATAAACTATTATTAGAGTGAGCAGGCAACCTATAGAATGGGAGAAAATTTTTGCAATCTATTCATCTGACAAAGGGCTAATATCCAGAATCTAAAAAGAACTTAAACAAAGTTACAGAAAAAAACAACTTCATCAAAAAGTGGCCAAAGGATATGAACAAACACTTCTCTAAAGTTCCTTTTTAAAATGACTCAGTCTCTCTGTGCCTAAAACCTACACTACATGTAATCAGAGTATAATTAACTTCCCATCCCAAAAATATAATTTTATTACTTTAATGATAATGAATCTCAACCCAAGGGATAATAAACCTTCAGAGTTTTCCCTTTACATGTACTCACCACAGACAACAACAAGGACAATACCTTTTGTAGTTTTAATTGCCATATGTAGGTTCAATGTCTCAACTCAGAGGATTTTGAGGATTATGCTATGTCAGCTTTGAAAATGAAACTTGCAGATGATAGAAACAGACAACCTTTTGTGGGTAAGCTGTAAACAATTTTTCATGAAAACAATTCAGCACGTTATAGTCTTCCTTTCTCTTTCAGAGATAATGGCATTTACCCCTTTATTTCATCTCTGGATTGTTGAATTAAACTTTTAACTCTCTCTAACGTCACCTTTCTCCAACCCAAACAGATCAGCCTCCAGAAATGTCTTCCTAAAATGGATTTTATCATGCTAACTCACTGCATAAAAATCAATCTAAACAAAACAAGAAAAAATATCTCCCCCACACAAATATGTGATTTCCCATTGCCTATAGAATAAAGCATGAATTTAGCTAAATAACACTTAAGATCATTCATTATATGGCTACACTTAGAGCCCCTTAGCGAATGTCATTGCCACAGGTTTTTACTTATTCTTCAAACTTGATAAGCAAATGGACAAATTTAAATCTTTGCTCAGGCTTGTTTATCCCCCAAATGATCACAAAACATTATTTTGTAAACTCCCACGTATCATTTAATAAGCAGTTCAAGTTATAAATCTCCAAAGATCATAAATCTTGTGTTGAAAAGCTCTATGCAATCATTTTATACTACCAACTCTCATGCCTCCCCTTTCCACTGAGACCATCACTGGACAATGCCACAGTGAATGAAAATTTGCCTCATCTTCAAATAGCCTTTTGGTAATGCATAACTAATAGGAAGAGTTGGGAGATTTTTTCAGTCACAAAATAGAAGAAATAAAATCCCCCGAGAAGACAAAATGTTGTATAACACTCTGAACTAGCTTCCCTAGAAATCCTCCTTCCAACAAATGCTCATTTGGAAATCTGGAAGGTTTTTATGGTTAGTATAAAAAAGCAGATTCTGCCAAATTTTCATTGTTGTTCCTCTTACTATTTGTGTGCTAAGCATGATAAGTGCAGAGGCAGACAGAGAAGATGGATGAAATTAGAAGGTTGGAGACTGTTTTGTTAAACAAATAAGATGTGTCATAGAACGTAGTCATCAGATTAACTTTGATGAATCATAGTGAAGGTGTATGAGTGAGCATGAAAATAATGAATCTTTGCTGTCACCTTCTCTGACTCATAGATTATCTTTTGACTATGACTGTTAAATACATACACAAACACAAAAAGTTTTGTCACACTGATATATTCTTTGCCTCATTCCTCTACCTGGAGTAATTATTGAAATTTCATTCTTTTAATTCTTCCTGGCAAAACCTGAAATGGAACTGTGACTCTTGGAAACAGATAAAAAGTGCTGTTCACATAAGAGATTTCATGACAAAGAAGAATAAGGTTAAACCCCGTGGGTGACGGAATCTATGTTTAGTCAATGTTTAAATTCTTAAATCTACTAGCTTTGTGGCCTTGGATTACTCAATTTTCCTCAATCTCAATTTTCGTATTTTTAAAATGAGGAACAAGTTTTTTCATCAATATTTGTAAGGAATAAATAAGGACATATATTTAATGCACTTATCTGAGTGACACTCATCCCACTGTGTTCTGTATTATATATTGTAGCAGCAATGATAATGATGAACATAAGGATTAATGTTATAGGCAATTATGACAGCAGCAGGCAATGTTAATAAGGTTCATTCACTTGGCCCTTAATAAAGATGTACCAGGTGATGACTGTGTGCCAGGTGCTTTGTGGGACCTAGGTACATGGTAGAGAACAACCCAGAGACAATGCATGACCAAAATCATCATTGACTACAAGAACATTTGGCTCTTTCAAGCAGCTTTCCCATAGTTTAAGATGCATATTTTGGTATCAAATATTTAAGAAAGAATTCACTAAGTGAATTGTGTTTTGTAGGAAGTCAGAACATGTTTCTCTTTTTTACTATGCCTGTCAATGTTATCTCCAAACAAAGCACTGATTTAGAGATTGGTCTGAGTAGTTGGTTATGATTATGGTTTTAAATGCTAACATATTAAACCTCAATATCTAGAGATTTTGAGATTTTTATCTTTCAGATGAACATTAGAAATTCGCGAAGTCACAAATGTCAACAAATGGAGAATTAAGACATACTATCAAATGTTTCAAGGGCCATCATGCTGGGAGAAGGGCTAGGCATATTCTGTTCCTTGAGTGACGTGCCTAGGATAAGAGAGAGAGCAGATTGGGAAAATGGAAAGAACATGTCTTAAATTGAGAGACAGTCCAAAATCAAATGAACTGGAAATGTTGATATTAAGCCAAAACAGCCACAATCTTAGGCTATTTTCATGAAATGGATGGGTTCGGTCACCTCTGAGACCTACACCAAATTTGAAATTCCATGAGATTTTATGAAATAGAGTAGGTATGCTAATTTAGTTTTCAAGTTTCACAAGTTAAGTATATCTTCTAATGCTTGACAATAATGCTTTATTTTTTTAAGTCTACATGAGAAGTTGCTGAAAATTTGAATAGTTAAAAAAAGAAGTTTACATGCTGCTCATGTTTTTTAAGAGTCATCATTAACACATAAAGAAAGAGATAATGAAATTAATCACACAGGAAATTTATATTTAACAAGCAATTATAAAGCAGTAGATACATAATTTAATATACACCATCTATTTAAATGTCAACATAATTCTGTAGACTGCATAATATTAATGGTGTTTTAAATATGAATGCCAATATAGATATTATCAGAAAATAATAATTGTATAATATGTTTCTTTTTCACCAAGGAAATCAGTACAGGTGGAATGATAAGAAACAATAAAATAAACTATATGGTATGTGAATTGAAAATGTACAACCTAGTGGAAAGAATATGTGCTTTGTAAACAAGCAGACATGGGAATATATTCAGGCTACATTTCCTTCATGTTCAAAATGTATAAAGTTGAAGTAATAATGTTTATCTTACAAGATATCTGAAGATAAATTGAGTCCCTAGGCAGTGAGAAGTGCAGGATCTGCATTCAGAAAGTTTAATATTGAGTCTGGTTTTTTCACCTGTTCTTTGTCTGACTGTCCTATTCTTCATGTTTACCATTTATTTAATAGGGAAATGGAATTGTATTCATGGAATTTTTGTGGGGTTAAATAAAGACAAAGAACCTGGAATAAAGCTCCTGATACACATTACATGTTCAATAAATCATATGTATTTTTATCATTGTGGACCACTCTCTGAAATTATGTATTTAACAAATGGTGGTTAATGATTAATGTGGTCCATTCAGTTTTGGAAGAAATGTGGTTCTACATTAACTTACTCAGATGCATTTGCATTAATGCAATGCCATCCACATGACACTGAATAAAATGGTATGATCAAATTACACAAAATATAAATAAGAATTAAAATGATAAACTATTTTTCTTATAAAACATATCAATAAACAAAAACTATACATTTACTGTTGGCTATAACATGCTGAAGCAGACTCCTCTCTCTTCTCTTTCCCTTTCTGTCTTTTACAATGCTGGTGTGAAGATATATTCACACAGATATTTTGGAAAATATTGTATTAAGATGGATAAATGGCTTTAAATATTTTCACAATTCAGTGTACAGACATCCCTCAATATCAGCTGGAGATTTCTTCCATCATCCCACACAGATACCAAAATCCATGGATGCTCAAGTCCCTTAAATAAAATGATGTTATATTTATATATAATCTACACATGCTCTCCCATATACTTTAAATCATCTCTAGATTAATTATGGCACCTAATATAATAGGAATGTGATGTAAATAGTTGTTACACTATATTTTATTTGTTTTATTTTCTGTTGTATGTTTTCCCAAATATTTTTGATCCGTGGTTGGTTAAATCCACAGATGTAAAACCCAGGGATAGAGAAGGCCAATTTTATTTTAATTTGGGGTATTTTTTTCTCTGAAAAAAAATACAAAATTTAAAACAAAACTAAATGAACAAACAAAAAAAGAAAAGAAACTGGGCACTAAGAAGTATTCATTATGGTGATTTGTATAACAGAAATAAAACAAGATATTGGTCAAACAAAAATATGCGGATTAACTAAATAATGATAAAATATTTTGTGGTCATTAAGACAACGTTTTTACAATGTTTATTTATATAAAAATGCTTAATCTGGTAGCATATAATATGAAATTATATAGATAATATTGCACTAATACAAAGCAAGAAATGTATATAAAACTGACAAAAATAAAATATATTAAACTCGGTATTGTCAAATGTCATAGCACAATGATAAAGTTGGAGACGGAAAGACACACAACTTTATTGGTGTGCTTTGACATTTTGCTGGTTTCCTTTCCTTTCTTTTTTTTTTTTTTTTTTTTTTTTTTGACAGGGTCTTGCTCTGTCACATAGGCTGGAGTGCACTGGCGTGATGATAGCTCACTGTAGCCTCAACCACCCTGGCTCCAGTGATCCTCCCACCTCAGCCCTTCAAGTATTTGGGAGTACAGGCAAATGCCACCACATGCAGATATATATATTTTTTTATTCTTTATAGAGGCAGAGTTTCAACATGTTTCCCAGGCTGGTCTCAAACTCCTGAACTCAAGTGATCTGCCTACCTCGGCCTCCCAGAGTGCTGGGATTACAGTTACAAGCCACCATGCTTGGCCCTGGAGGTTAGTTTCAAAATAACAAATAAAGCCTACCTATCTGTTTGGCCATTGTTGTAACTATCTATTTCTGTCTTTATCATTTCTATATCCATTATTTCTACCTCTCTCTCTCTCCCTTCCTCCTCCTCTCCTTCTTTCCCTTCCCTTTTTCCCTTCCTTTCTCCTGTCTCCCTCCTTTTTCTTCTTCTCCCTTCCCTCTGTTTTTCGTTTTTTGTTTTTCCTTTCTTCTTTTTCCCTTTTCTTGAGGGGTATGACTGATATGTCACTTTCCAATGATATATTTCCATCTGTATAATAACTGCTTATCTGTGTATAGCTGGCATGTCGGGCAATACACAGGTTCATAAAAATATAACATTTAAATTTGAAAAGTGCCTAAAAACTTAAGGTCTTCATTCCATATCAATTTCAAACTCAAATTCTTTTTCTTGAACTAAAGCAAAAGTTCAGATATCATTTCTCTTTATGCATGTATAATTAAAGAATATAATTTTACTTGGGAAAGAATGGATAGAGATGTAATAAATTGTAGTGAATGATGGATTAATTATTCAAAAGAATCATTTTATGTCTAAAAAAAGAAAAAATATCAAATATTAGTCTGGAGAATTATTTAAAACAATACAAAGAGTAGTACAAGTCTTCCAAATACCTTCATCATCTCAATTAAGTAAAACTCAACCTAATTAGTAAAGTACCCAAGATCTGCAAATTCAAGTAATAAAATATGCAAATTAATCAGGAAAGCATGCACAAATTCAACTGCTTCACTATGCGGTTCACCCATTCAATTATACAGGAGATCTAAGGAGAAACACAGCTGGGTCTGTAAATTATAAAGTGGGATAAGCCACAAATACATCTATTAAAATGATTAAACACTGCCTCTCAGATACACATATTCACCAACACCTCTAGAATAACCTGTTTGTTTCTGTGATTTCTGGCAATAAACTGCCAACTGACACAATATTATTATATGATCACAAAAGCAATCACGGTAACAACAAAAGTATGTAGCTAAGACAAACCTTGGTAATTACATAATCTCTGTGTGTGCAAAAGAACACACAATCACAGCGTAGTGCAGAAGACTCTAATCCTGTGATGTCTCTAGTCATTACTGGGAGTCCCACAGTAAGGCAGGAAGAATAAGCTTTGGAGTCATGTACAAATGAATTTGAGTCCCAACTCTATTTCCTACTATTTGTGATAATGTGGGTAAGTTCATGAACATTGAAGCTCCTGGACTTTGATATCTTATTGGAAAATAAAATTAGACACCACTAACAATGAAATTGCCAATGTTAAATTTTGACATTGGAGAATATAAATCAACAAAAAATAGATTACTATATTTCAGCAATATTTCAGATAAAAATTTTAATTTGAAAAATAGACAAAGGATTCAATGACAACATAAATTATCCTGAGACGGAGGGAGAAATAGAAAAAAGAAGAGGAAGAAACAAGAAGAGGAATGGGAAAAAGAGGAGGATGAGGATAAGACAGAAGATAAAAGATTAATGGAAAATCCACTAATATGTTGTTATATGGCTTTTTATTCTATATCACTTTTCTTTTTATTTATACTGTTGAAAACTTAATCACAGAACAGTATTTGCCTATGGCAAAGTGGGAAATACCAATTTAACCTCATTTTATCTCATTTGTTAAATGATGATAATGATATTTACCTTCAAAATGTTTATATCACAGTGAAATGAGATAATAAAGGTAATCACAGCAATGTGAATAAAGAGATAGTCCATCTTAGGTTAGAATTTTGCTGCTATCTGAATATTTATGTCCCCGCAAAATTTATATGTTGAAATCCTAACTCACAAGGTAATGGGATAAGGCGTTGGAGCCCTTGGGAGGTGATTATGTCATGAGGGTAGAGCCTCATGAATGGTACTAGTGCCCTTATAAAAGAGGCTTCAGAGACATCATCTTACCTCTTCTGCCATGTGAAATTACAGTGAGAAGATGGCTTTCACTAAGCAAGTGGGCCTCACTGAACACCAAATCTGTCAGTGCCTTGAATGAGGATTCCCTAGCCTCTAGAACTGTGAAAAATAAATTTTCTATTATTTATAAACCACCCAGTCTATGGTGTTTTGTTATAGCAACTCTAATGAATGAAGACAAATTCTTTTTACCTTCATTCATTGTATGAACTTGGAAGGTTACCTCAACTTACTGAGGCTCTGATTCTTTATCTGTAAGCTAGACAAAATAATACCCACATCAATCAGATGCTGGAAGAGTTGATTACATTTTTAAAAAACATATAAAG